>NC_000007.14:105631779-106256779 GCF_000001405.40 Homo sapiens
TTGCTAACAAGAGAGCAAAGGTTTACTTGCCAGAGAAGTTGAACTGGAGAGATTCTAGACACGGGGCCATCAGGCTCAGCGCAGAGTAGGAGTGAGGCACAGGGCTGGACACAGTGGAACTGCGGGCCATTTCTAGTCAGGGCTTCCAGATTGCCTATTGCCAGGCACATCACCAATCAGGTTTCTATCTTTGAGAAACTGAATGGCCCCAGAGAAGGCTTCCAGATCTTGCCTTTGGGAATCCTCAAACAAAAGGCTGAGTGGTGATCAGACAAATTTTGGTCGACAACCTCACACACAGACTTCCAATTAGGCTGTTAGAGCCTCTCTTCCAAATGTGCATGGTTAGGGATGGCCCAACACTGCTGGAGCATCCCCAGTGTGAGACTGCCCAACCAAACATCAAAGACATGAACAGAGGAAGGAAACAAACCTGGAAAAAACTAAGACGATGATGGAAAGAGAAAAAACTAAAAAACTTATCTTCAAAGATATTAGGATGTTATTACCTCTGAAAAACGATAGTATCTTGTGGTAAACAACCAGATAAAGAGAACCAGATCCTAAAAAATAGGAAAGCATCATAAATGATTTAAAATACCATTTTTGAAGATACAGTCAAAGAAAATATTTCAGAAAGTAGAACAAGGAGAGTAAGAGACAAAAAGAGGTAAGAGAGCTAAAGGTCCAACATCCAATTAATAAAAAGTCAAGAAAGAAAGAATAAAGACAATAGTGGGGAGAAAATTATCCAAGATGTAACACAGGAAAACATCCCAGAAGAGGATAAGTATCTCCAGATTGAATGAGCTACTGAGTACCCAGTATGATGAATGAAAATGAGCTACATCAAGAGTGATCAGCTGAGTGCAGTGGTTCACATCTGTAATCCCAGCACTTTGGGAGGCTGAGGGCAGGTTGCTTGAGCCCAGATGTTCAAGATCAGCCTGGGCAACACAGCAAGACCCTGCCTCTGTAAAAAAATAAAAAAATTAGCCAGGGGCAGTGGCTTGCACCTGTAGTCCCAGGTACTTGGGAGACTGAGGTGGGAGGATCATTTGAACCCAGGAGTTTGAAGCTGAGATAAGCTATGATTGTACCACTGCACTCCAGCCTGGGTTACAGAATGTAATCTTGTCTTTAAAAAAAAAAAAAAAAAAAAAAAAAAAGAAGAAGAGTGACTATTGTGTGAACTTTCAGAGTCCCCAGTCTTCAGAGAAAAAAAACTGGACGTGTGCAAAGAAATGATAATCAGAAAAATATTAAACTTCTTGATAAAATTTTCAATGTTACAAGTCAATGAAAAAATGTCTTCAAAATTCTGTAGGGAAATGATTTTCAATCCAGTTATATACTCAAATAGATTATCAATTTAAGTGTGAGAGTAGAATAAAAATATTTTCAAGTGTGCAAGGATTCTAAATATTGACCTCCCACAAATCTTTTCACAGGAAGCTAATGAAAGAGGTACTTCATCAAAATTTAAAGGCACAAACTAAGAAGGAGGCAGTCACTTGGATCCAGGAAACAGGCGCTTGAACACAGAAAGAGCAAAGACATGTTCCAGGATGACAGGAACTGTTTTCATTCTAATTATTTAAGCACAGTTTAATTTTTGAACTATGTGCCTATCTTACTCTGATTTTTAAAAATGCAGGCTGGGTGCGGTGGCTCACGCCTGTAATCCTAGCACTTTGGGAGGCTGAGGTGGGTGGATCACCTGAGGTCAGGAGTTTGAGACCAGCCTGGCCAACACGGTGAAACCCCCATCTCTACTAAAAATACAAAAATTAGCCAGCCTATGGTGGTGGGCGCTTGTAATCCCAGCTACTCGGGAGGCTGAGGCAGGAAAATCGCTTGAATCCGTGAGGTGGAGGTTGCCATGAGCCGAGATCAAGACACTGCTCTCCAGCCTGGGTGACAGGGGGGAGACTCTGTCTCAAAACAACAATAACAACAAAAAAAGCAGTGTAATTAAGAAGAAAAGTGGCTGAAACACTCTATAATAAGTTCCAGTTGCCAGATAAAAGAGAGGAGGAGATGAGTGGAAGATTCCTGGGGAGTATGCTGAGTGTGGAAGCTGTGCTCTAGCCCACAAAACTGGCTGTGGGAGCAAAGGGAGAAACAGGGACACATGACGGTGTGCTCGTGTGTGCACACACACCAGGAGGAGGGAGTTCCGCATCATTTCCTTTTTGGGCTCATTTCCCTCAGGGTGCATGCAGCCTCCTGGAGGTGATATAGTGGTGGATGCTTTCAGGACCTTTTAGCTCTGATTGCTGCACTCCAGGGTGATACCTGGTGGGAAGGAGTTCACTGGAACCAGCTTGGGTCTCGGAAAAGCTGAGGAGTGATAGGGAATGGGGCAATGAGCCACAGGAAGGTGTTGACACAGTCACGCAAGTTTGTTTAGTTGCCGTTCACTGTTTCCCCCTCCGTACTACATCACCCGTCCCCTGTCTGCCCGCCAGTCTGGTCTAACGTCAAAGCATAGGATGATGGGTCTTGTCCAGTTCAACTCAGGGAAATGCAGAGAAAATCCCACCTTACCACTTTGAGGAAGCAGAGCATCAGTTTGTCTGAGCGCATTAGGGAAGAGAGCAGAAGGCAATTGACCTTGATTCAGTCCTTACCATTTGACCTTAATTCAGTCCTTACTATGTGCCAGGCATGAAAGTACATTTCTTATTCCAGCCACCTTAGGTGAGTAAACTAGTATCTGCCTTTCTTAGATGAGAATTTTTTTTTCCCTTTTGGTGGAAAATGGGGTCTCGCTATGTTGCCAAGGCTGCTGTTGAATTCCTGGGCTCAAGCTACTTTCCCACTTCTGCCTTCCTAAATATTGGGATTACATACGTGAGCCACTGCGCCTGGCCTCAGATGAAAAAAACTATTATAAAGCTAATAAGAAATGGAGGGGTTTTGTGCCTGTCTGTACAACCTCAAAGCCCCCCAGACTGAGAAACAGATGTAGAAACAGCACAGGGACAAATATATAAGAAATCAGGGAGAGAATAAGGCGGGGTGCAGCAGCTCATGCCTGTAATCCCAGCATTTGGAGAGGCCAAGGCAAGAGGATTGCTTGAGCCCAGGAGTTCAAGACCAGCCTGGGCAACATAGTGAGACTCTGTCTCTACAGGAAAAAAAAAAAAAGAGAATTGGCTTGCAGTGTGGCAATATCACTATCCTAATGACATACAGAACGGAACAGAAGTTGCTTTTACCCCAGACTCATCCCTGCCCTTTGTCAGGAATCTAAGACCTTCTGCCTGTCTCCACACTGCCCTCGTCAGTCTAAGATTAGCTAAGTTTGCCCTTTTATACTTTAGACTGCATGTGTAAGCATCTATGAGACAGAGGGGACTGTGCCCAGATTTTGTGGCACCAGCTTCCTGCGGGCTCTCAGCCTGGCTTGTCAGATCCCAGCCCTCTTTGCCCTTTCCAACAGTCCTGGTGGGTTTGGCTGGGCTAGTCATCCACAACCCTCGGGCTTTTTGGAGCAAGCAATGTGTTCCTTTAGAGTTGGAGGCGAATAAACTGAACATATGAGTGTGTTATTCCAGGCCCCTCGGGCTGGGGGCAGAAGCACGGAGGGCAGGCATATGGAAACCAGGCAGTGTCAAGGCCGGCATTCACTGCCTTTGCCTTCCTGTGGAGTGCCCCTCCCACTCACTAACAGCTACCATCCATGGACTGCTTCTTATGTGCTTGGTACTTTCTCACTTCACTCTGATTAGCTCTGTTGTACAGATGAGCAATCTGAGGTGAGACAGGCTAAGAACCATGACCAAGCTTACCTAGTTGGTAGGCACGGAGTTGAGATTTCCACTTCAAATCCCATTCCAACCCTTGTTATCTAACTTTAACTTTTCTAATTCTAGACTCAAGTTCCTTTTTTAGCAATCCCTGACAAGAATGGGTTGCAATGTAAGAATATGAGAACTAAAATATTTTCAAGGTTAACGAAAAGATACGTATGAAATAAATTCACACACGTTAGCATTTCCCACAAAGGGAATTCACAAGTGGGAGGGGATGACAATAAATTCCATTCATGTGCGATAGTTTTTTTTTTTTTTTGCCAAGTACAGATAATCTGTGTAGATGAAACATCTATTATATATACATCAATATGAGTAAAGCAACGTTTTTGTAAGTTTTGTGTGATTACAATATTCAACTCTGATCATGCCTATTCAATCTTTAATTGCAGGGGATCTTGTCCTAAACTAAGTGCAGGACATTTTCCTGATTAACTTTGGAAAAGAGCTCACCCCTGAGTTTTCTGGTGCCTATCTCAATCTTGAAAAGCATCCTCAAAGATGACTCTGTGGGCCGGGTATGGTGGCTCATGCCTGTAATGTCAGCACTTTGGGAGGCCGAGGTGGGCGAATCACCTGAGGTTAGGAGTTTGAGACCAACTTGGCCAACATGGTGAAACCCCATCTGTACTAAAAATACAAAAATTAGCCAGGCATGGCGGCACACGCCTGTAATCCCAGCTACTTGGGAGGCTGAGGCAGGAGAATTGGTGGAACCCGGGAGGCGGAGGTTGCAGTGAGCCGAGATCGCGCCATTGCACTCCAGCCTGGGCCACGGAATGAAACTCTGTCTCAAAAAAAAAAAAAAAAAAGATTCTGTTACCAACCTGTGTAATGTGTTCCTCTGCCCCCCCCACCCCCACTTCTTTTCCAGAAACATTCTTTTCTCTGATTAACCTCACCCATCCTTTCCTGCTTCCTTAACAGAACACAAACAGCTGGCATTTCTCTATAGATGAACATTCCCCTGAAAATTAAACCCAAAAGGAACAGTCGGAGCAGATCCTTCAGGCTCCACTGTTTTATTCTTTAATGGCTGCTCCCTTCTTTCTCTGTTAGGCCAGGTACCACTGCTTGGTGAGAAGTGCCTCCATCAGTCAAAAATAGATGGAGATTTGTATAGTCAAAGAAGGCTTTCAAACTGGGTTCCCTGGAGTCCTTGGGGAACCCAAGGATATCCTTGAGAGGGTGTGGGGGACAATGGCTCTGGGTACATGTGTGAGCTTAGCCGGCTTCAGGTGGAGGCAAGTCTACTTTCCTATCAGGTACCCATAATAAGGTTGTGCTGGAATGAAAATGTTCGATAGCTACAAAGAAGTTTAAAAGTCGCTGTATATACAATTGAAGCCCCTTCCAGAAGTTTGGAACGGAATTGTTGCCTCAACTCTAAAACAAGGGTAATATCCCTAACCAACACCCCACATGACAGTGAGAAGTCATTATAAAATGATCTTGCAAAGTGAGGGGTGGCCAGGAAAGTAGCATGTCAACGGTGACAGTAACGCCACGATGGTGAGCATGATGGAAGTGTTGGGGATGGCAATTCCATCTGACCGCGTCCTCCTGAATGCCTGAGGCTGAGCTCGGCCATAATGACAGAGGGACTCTGGCTGTCAAACTAGGTCAGGCTTGCACCAACATGGAAGGCATCAGGGTGAGAGCCTGGCAGATCAGGAGCCACTGCTATCAAATATTTGTTTTTGCTTTAAAAATCAACTCCCTCCCCTTCTTTTACGACTATGTCCTCTTAAAGCCTATTTGCTACCCGTTGAGATTCACACTGTATGCATAAAAAACATCAGATAATACCGTTATCTGCACTTCTCACTGAGTATTATTAATGTTTCCTTTTTATAAAAATTATGGATACTTGTACCTCATTCTTTTAAACTCTAAATTCCTGAAAAGCGGGGTCTAGCTTCATTAATCTCTGTACCCCTGCCTGAGAGTACCTAACATGGAATCTTGCTTATGGAGCGAGCACTCAATAAATATTTTTGAATAAGTGGTTCTCTGTCGCATTATTTGGGAATTGAGCTTCTGCCCATCAAAATGGACATGCATGGATTTTAAATTACTTTTAATCCAAATGAGTGTTAATTCTGTTTTCTATTTTTTCATTTCTGTCCAGGACAACCACATAGAACCCCAAACAGGTGGCCCAGAAGAGTAGCTTTCCTGGTGTGGAGAGACATGTAAGGACAAACAACCTCTGCTATGCCAATTTCCCCTTTCATCCTGATGATAGGAGAGCGTGCAAAACAAATATCGTGGCAACTGGACTAGCATGGTGCAGTGAGCGTCTAAGAGGTGCTAACGACCTATTCACCTGGGTTTCCCTACTCCGCTCCAGGAATCGTCAACTAATATAAAAGCCCAGGCAGCCAGGAAGTCACCTGGCGGCTGATGTGTCACAGTTTCAGGTATTTATTTCCAGCTTACTCTTGCTGTGTAAAAACACACACTGTCTGATATAAGATCTGCTTGTCTGCCATGAAGTCCGCTGCTGCTGACAATGATGATGACAGTGATGATAATAATGATGACAGCAGTAAAATCTGTTGAACACTATGTGGCAAGCACTGGGCTGGGCCTCTTATGTACATTATCTCATTTAAACTTTACTACTTGCCTTAGGAAGTAGTACTATTATGATTTCCATTTAACATATAATCAGACCACATGCCACAGACCCAGCAAGCTAGTCACTTGACCAAGCATTCAGGGCTTCTATCGTCAAGGTGGTACTTACCTAGGAAGTACAGAGTTGGGTGGTCTGGATTTTGCAGGGGATGCAACTTTTGGTTCTGGCCCAGAGCTCCCTGAAGACCCTAGCAGAGAATCCTGTGCCGGCCCGGATTGGCTTGGAAGTATTTCCCTCGTGGAAGTCAGGAGATGCTCTTTATCTTTAACTTCTTTTTCCCGGGACTTTGCTTTGTGTTCTGCCAGGAGGAGGTCAAATTGCTTTTTCCGGCCTGGGACTGCCCTCCGATGGCTTAGCGAATGTGTCTAAGGAGAAGAGAAATGAAAAGCACAGCCTCTTTGATCAGCACATAAACCTGCTTCCCCAGGCCCTCCATTTCAGAAATAGCAATTCATGGAAATTTAGAGGTGCTTGAAAAGTCAACTTCAAGGCAACAGCTCCTGTTCTGTGGCTAGGAAGAGGCAGAGACCACACGAACGCAACCATGCCCTACACTCCTGGTGTTAAGAAGCCAAAGCTTCCTCCAAAAAATGGCATAGGATGACGAGCTTCAGCGCAGAACCCATGAAAACCTCTCTGATGAAAGGCAACTGCGAGGGAATGCTAGAGTTAATCCAGGTGCAGGTGGGAGGCTCGATTCGGCCCAGACAAACAGAGCCACCAAGCAGAGAGGGCCATCGCCTTGATCCCAAGAAGCACTAGCAGTTCAGCATGAAATACAGGGCTTTGGGCGACCCAATGGCGGCCGCCTTGGGTCAGCTGTTCCCCTGGCCACCCCGGTGTGGCTGGATCAGGGGCGCGGCATATCATCCTCCCCTCCAGGGCTGCCTTTCAGGGCGCTGCCGCCGCCGCCGCCGCCGCTGCCGCTGCTCCTGCATACATTAAAACGTAGCAGGCTTTAGAACCGCCTGTGAGTGCCTATAAATACAATTTACTGTCTGGCCTCACAAGTAACAGGGGAAGCCTAGTTTTTTTTTTTTTTTTTTTCTCCTTCTTAAAAAGCCAGCCAGCTTGAGGCAGGCACTCTGCTACCATGGACGAGAAGAAAGCATTTCCCTTACAAAGAACAGCTGGGGGTCATGTCGAGGTTCCACACCCTGCCGTGTGCAGAGAGTGGCATGCAAACATTTCGACAAAGGCCCCAGCGAGAGCAGGAAGTATTTTTTATGGAAAGAGAAATACCTTGCAGGTGAGGGATCTTGTGCAAGGTTTCTTTGTCTCGGGATCCAATACTCCACAGTGTTTATTTGGGTCAAATTCTCTCTCTGGTTTAAGAAACAAACAAAAAATATAAGAAAAAAGGAGACTAAATAGGATTTGGCATTAAGACTACATTTTTTAAAAAATGCACATTTGCACCAACAAGTGAGACATTGTCAGGCAATCTGTTTTTTGTTTTTTTGTGTTTTGTTTTCTCAACCAGCTGCTAAAAGTCTTCCAGAACCGCTCGGGGAAAATGGTGCTCCCCTCTGAACCCAGAGTTCCCAAGTCTAGCTTCGGCAGCACCGCCGAACGCAGCACAAGGCTCGGGGAATAGGGCGGGAGCAGGCACCGAAGGGAAGGAGAGGAGCCGTGCTGCTCTTAATGCTCTTAACGCTTTATTTTACTTGCAATGGTTCCACAGGTCCTTGGCATTTGGGCATAGCTGGCTGCAGACCAGGGAGAGCCACCTGAGACCCAACGACCCCTTTCCTGGGCTGCTCCAAGAGTACAGACACCCTGACTCCAGCTCCTGCCTTCCTGCTAGTTTTAGCCATGTAAATGGGAGATTACTCCTTGACATGTCAGAGTGACCTGCCTCTCTCATGCTTGACAAAGCTCTCGGCGCAGGCTTTGCACACAGCCTTGCTGACCACAAACACCATTTACCTGATTGAGGGGCACTCTAGCAGTGTTACAGGCAGGGGCAGGGGAGAAGGCTGAACTTGAAGGTGCAGAGAGGGCAGGGGCCTGCTAATCTCACAGCTGCTCCCCGCCCCCACTGCCCTGGGTCTGATGCTTCACGTGGGAATAAAACGGGGCAGGCTGCCCCACCAGGATGAAGGATGTCTGTGCGGAGAGGCCAGGCTTCCCCAGCTCCTGCCTTCCAGTTGACTGTGGACAGCTTGTGCGGAGGTTACTTCTAAGGAGCCTGCTCTTTCTATACCCATCTTGGGTCCTTCACCCCTGCCAGGAAGACAATCATGCTGTCCTCACCTTAAAAATGAGGGGATGTGAGGTGATCTCTTTTTTTCATTTTTATTTTTTGAGACAGGGTCTCGCTCCGTTACCCAGGCTGAAGTGCAGTGGTGGGATCACAAGGCTCACTGCAGCCTCGACCTCCTGGGCTCAAGCCTCAACCTCCTGAGTAGCTGGAACTAGAGGCATGCACCACCACACCTGCCTGATTTTGTTATTTTTTGTAGATACAGGGTCTCACTATATTGCCCAGGGTAGGTGATCTCTTAAGGATCTTTTGGGCTTTAAAATTCCACCTCTTGGATGGCCTGTGCCGTTTCTGGAAGGCACCGAGCAAACACATAAGTCCTGCAGAGCAGGAATGACACAGCCCTCTGGGCATGTGGGTAGACTGGCAGCAGTGTTGCTGGTGGTAGAGGGTGTACAGAAATTGGTGGTATCTCCTTAAGACCCTTGAATGGCTGCAAACTCAAAAAAGGTTCCTAGCTGGAAAACTGTCTGAAATTGGTGGAGTAAACTCCGAGCATATAACAATGCTCAGATTATACCATAATAAATGAATGTATTCTATTTTCAAAAGCTTTGAGGGTCATGGGGAGGTTGCAATGGTGTTACTGATGATATGCACAAGAAAACTACTCTATACCCAAGACAGATTCCCTGGCTGGTTACCAAAATGCCTCCCCCCTTTTTTTGCTTTTTGTCTGCCTTTTCTCTCTCTCTCTCTCTCTCTTTTTTTTTTTTTTTTTTTTTTTTTTTTTTAGCTTCACTTAGAAAAAAAACCTGCTAGGCCTGGAGATGCTGGTTTGCTCGGAGCCCTCTCTGGCCAGGCTGCCTGGTGTGGTGTTTTTTTTTTGGGTCTGTCAGAGTCAGGCCTGTGCCTGGTCCCACACCAGCGCCTCATGTCGACCTGGAGCTGAGCAGGCTGTTGGCTGAGGGTAGGAGCTGGCTGCCAAATGTGAAAGTGAGGCAGAAACAAGCAAAAGACCCGACGAAACAAGACAACCCACAAAATGCAAAAACAATGTGCGGCAAAAAAATCCCCAGACAACTTCAGATGGGGTTACAGGCTGGAAGCCACGGCCGTGCTTCTGCTATGGCGAGGAGCCCTCGGCCTCCAGCCACTGTGCCCACGCCTACCGGTTTTCTGGGGATGTTGCCACCACCTCTGAAGAGTGAAACCAAGCTTTCCATGCAGGAAGAGCCAGGTGCTGGGGGCTCCCGCCCGAACTGTGAGGCCCACAGTGCTTAGGGAGAGCACCAGGCTCTACCTTTCTTTCTTGACAGTGGGTGAGCAGCGCAGGCAGAGATGTGCAAGGTACAATGCCTGCTTTATCCGAATGCTTTGGGCTTGAGGGATTTTTCAGACATAATTTTAAAAAGAGTTACAGATGAAAGATAGAGAAACTAGAACTACAGACAAATACAGAGTAGACAATAAAAATTACCCACAATTCCTTGGGTGCTTAAAAATCAAGCTTAACCCGAGGACAGTTTCTCTGTCACAGGGTGGCTGTCACTGTATTTTACTTTCTCTGGCCACCATCAGGGAGTGCCCATGATGTAAGAAGAAGTTATGAAGTTTATAGCTTCTCCTGGTCTTTTGGAGAAAGTAAAAACTGCCACGTTTAGTTCTACAGCAGATCGATCCAAAGCAAACATTACCCACATAGGGGCCTCTAACAAATAACCATCATCCTGTGTGCCTCTTCTGGCACCCCAAGTGTCTGCTCAGACAACCAAGGAGTAGACCCACAAGAGACCGCCCCAGCACCCTATCGGCACTGCCAGCCCTACTGTTCCTGTTTGGGAATTCCAACCTGATTATGGGGGATCGACAGTTGTAAACTCAACTGCAGAATTAACCTGGAAACTCCCGAGGCCAAAGGACAGAGGCTGTGTGTCCCTGTGCAGCACAGCTGTTGGCGGGGCTGTCCCTCACATGCCTTGAGGCACCATGAGATCCCTGTGTGTTGTCCAGCTTCCCAGCAGTGAAGCTTCTATGGAAGCCAGGGCTAGTTCAACCTGTTTGTATGATACAGATACACAGAATCACCTGCTCACAAGACCCTCGGAATCTACAGAGTAGGTCGGTGCAGAGCACCCTGCCTCCTGGGTTGCTAGGGTAACTCCCGCTAAGCACTGAACTGAGTGAGGGACTTCATCTGCCCGGGGAAGAAGAGACCTGGTTTTCCCTTGCATTTTTAGGTGGGGTTCCTGTTTGCAGGTAAACTCTGCATCCCCCTTAAAATGAAACAGACCTGCTTAATGATAACAGCACATCACTCCTTCGTTATGGCTGCGACTCCCTTTCAGTCTAATCATGAGTCAGACCCTGACGACACTGACACATACCTGAAAGTCTCCTGTAAGGCTTGTTGCTGTTTTTGGTGCCATTTTGGTGTTTCTTGTCTATGGTGGTTGGCAGAATTCCTTTGCCATTTAAGATCTTCTCTGGTGAAGGTGGCACTGACTTGGACATCAGGACAGGCTTAATTAAAGGAGGGGTGGAGACGGCAGAGGACGAGGTGGAGGAGGCAGAAACTGCAGTAGTGGTTGTGGAGTTCATTTTGACATTGGCACCATCTGCCTTCACTAGGTTAGGAATTTTCTCTAAACTGACTACAGGAACTGGAACACTGAAAAATAAATGAACAAACACACACAATTGTCTTCTTTGATACATCTAGTCTGCTGAGGAACCATACCCGCTTATCATTATCAGAACATTTCCTTATCACTTATTTATACTCCTTCTATAAGCAAGCAGCATGAGTCCAGTTTTGATGGGAGAGAGTTCTGTGCCCTGGAAAGGATCAACAGGGGGTGCGAGGCTGGCACAGTGTCAGGGGTGGCATCAGGGCTGACTGATTACCGCCCGTGCTGAGCTGTCCCCATAGATCCTGCAACTCCCCACTTCCCGGGCCCTATAGGTTGGCCATTTCCAACACAGCACCTTGGGCAGAACAAGGCGCCTGTTGTGAAGCTCAGGAAGAGATACCGTTTGTCCCCTGAAGACAATGTGCCACTGCTGAATCACGCCCCCTCCCCCCGCTGCTCAGCTAGTCCCCCAGCCCGGCCCGGATCGGGCCTGACATCTGCTTAGCTCCGGAGTGCTGACAGGATCACACCACAAGGAGGCATGGCTTCAGGCCAGCGTGCTGCACGGCGTGCTGTCGGACGGCTTCTGGATCACTCTCACATCCTGGGGATGGGCTCAAATTGAGTGAGCCGCCATGTAGCATTATCCAATATTCCATTTTAGGCAGCTAGTTATGTAAATAGGCAATTCTCAAGGCTGGCAGGTGAAAGGATGAATTTTAAGAAGGCAGAGCACAAAGGTGTGCTTCACTCTTCAGAATCTGTCACCTTAGCCCCCTTCCCTGCTATTTCTCCTGTATGGGATGTGCATTTGATTTCTCTTCTTCTTTAATGCTGAAGGACCTGCGTCTGGGGGGCTGTGGAGAACTCCATCTCTGGGTCTTAAAAGATGAGATGAATAAGCTTTGCTTTGGTCCCTGAGCTAGATTCCCTTTCCTCCTGGCAGGAGGGAAGAATGCTAACATGGGCTCCCCAGTCATCTCTGAGCTGAGAGTGAAGCCTACTTAGCTATTTGAATGCCAAATGATCTAGAATATGGCTTTTACATTCCTGCAGACAATGTAGGGCAGGAAAGAGGGGCTGTTTTTGGCAGGAAAAGAATCTTATCTGTCCACATGGCTGGCTGGCTGGCTCTCCTTTCTCTAAGATTCATTCACAGATTATTTCTTTGATCAACTTGTTCATGAAATTATTTTAGCCCCCTCTCAGCCCCTGCCCCTTTTATGACTCTGAAATAGGATCCCAGCTGTTTGTTACAGATCTTTGCCAGCGAGAAGGGCACAGAGCAGCGGAACAGATTGTGGCTGGACATTACCGACTTCTCCCTTGGACCACGTAGCTTCTTGGCCTGGGGAAGGGTGACCTGGGGCTTCAAGTCCCATGTGAGGGGAAACTAGAATGACAGTTTTTTGTAACAAACCCTGCCACTGCCAATTCCGTCCCTGATCAGAGTGTCTCAATGTCTGAGATAGAGCTGAACTGCTGCTCCTTTCTATTTAATGGCAATTCTCAAAGCACTCCCATATCACTGAAGAATGGCACAAGAAACCCTTTGAGAGTGAGCACACCAAGATGCTAGACAGGTATTACCTGGTGAAATTAGTGCTGCATTCCTGATTTTTCCCAAATGATAAAAAGATGCAAAGCAATGTGATACAGAATTCTTCTAGGCTTATTCCTTGACACATTTAAAAAGCCACAAGTTAAGAAATCAGGGTCCTGAAGAGAGATCTGTACACCCATGTTCATAGCAGCGTTATTCACAATAGCCAAAGGTGGAGGCAGCCCAAGTGTCCATCAATGGATGAATGGATAAGCAAAATGTAGCATCATTCAGCTTTAAAAAGGAAGGAAATTCTGACACGGGCAGGAGCCTTGAAGACATTATGTTAAGTGAAATAAGCCTGTCACAAAAGACAAATACTGTATAATTCCACTTATATGAGGTACCTGGAGTAGTCAAATTCATAGAGACAGAAAGCAGAGCAGTGGTTGCCAGGGGATGGGGAAGGGAGAATGGGCAGTTTTTTTTAATGCCCGTTGAACAACTGTATAGAGTTTCAGTTTTGCAAGATGGAAAAAAAAGTTCTGGAGATTGGTTGCACAACAGTGTGAATGTACTTAATACTACTGAAATGTACATTAAAAACGGTTAATATGGTAAATTTTATGTTATGCTTATTTTACCACAATTAAAAATGTTTTACATGTACAAACTAAAAAAAAATGCAAATTACAAAACTCTTACAACCTAAATTATACTTCAATAAACCTGACTTTAAAAATACAGATCAGAGGCTGGGCTCAGTGGCTCACACCTGTAATCCCAGCACTTTGGGAGGCTGAGGCGGGTGGATCACCTGAGGTCAGGAGTTCAAGAGCAGCCTGGCCAACATGGTGAAACCCCGTCTCTACTAAAAATACAGAAATTGGCCACACGTGGTGGCTCACGCCTGTAATCCCAGCACTTTGGGAGGCCGAGGCAGGTGGATCACCAGGTCAGGAGATCAAGACCATCCTGGCTAACATGGTGAAACCCTGTCTCTGCTAAAAATCCAAAAAAAAAAAAAAAAAGAAAAATTAGCCAGGCGTGGCAGCGGGCGCCTGTAGTCCCAGCTACTCCAGAGGCTGAGGCAGGAGAATGGCGTGAACCCAGGAGGCAGAGCTTACAGTGAGCCGAGATAGTGCCACTGCACTCCAGCCTGGGAGACAGAGTGAGACGCCACCACAAACAAACAAACAAACAAACAAACAAACAAACAAACAAACAGAAATTAGCCAGGGGTGGTGGTGCATGCCTGTAATCCCAGCTACTCAGGAGGCTAAGGTGGGAGAATCACTTGAACCCAGGAGGCAGAGGTTGCAGTGCACTGAGATCATGCCACTGTACTCCCACCCGGGCGACAGAGCGAGTCTCTGTCTCAAAAAAAAAAAAAAAGTGTCAGTGGCCAGTTGTGGTGGCTCATGCCTATAATCCTAGCTCTTTGGGAGGCTGAGGTGGGAGGATTGCTTGAGCCTAGGAGTTTGAGACCAGCCCGGGCAACATAGCGAGACCATTCTCTACAAAATAGAAATAAAAATTAGCCAGGCATGGTGGCATGTGCCTGTAGTCCTAGTTACTTGGGAGGCTGCAGGTGGATCGCTTGAGCTCAAGAGTTTGAGGTTACAGTGAGCTAGGATCATGCTATTGCACAGAGCAAGACCCTGTCTCAACTCCCCCCTGACCCCACTGGCACCCCCCAAACCCAAACATATTGGCCAGGTATGGTGGCTCATGTCTGTAGTCCTAGGATTTTGGGGGGCCAGGGTGAGAGGATTGCTTGAGGCCAGGTGTTTTTTTGTTTTGTTTTGTTTTTGAGACAGTGTCTCTGTCACCCAGGTTGGAGTGCAGTGGCACAATCTCGGCTCACTGCAACCTCGGCCTCTTGGGTTCAAGTGATTCTCCTGTCTCAGCCTCCCAAGTAACTGGGATTATAGGCACCCGCCACCACACTTGGCTAATTTTTGTACTTTTAGTAGAGATGGGGTTTCACCATGTTGGCCAGGCTGGTCTCAAACTCGTGACCTCAGGTGATCTGCCTGCCTCAGCCTCTAAAAGTGCTGGGATTACAGGCATGAGCCACTGCTCCCAGCCGAGGCCAGGTATTTGAGACCAGCCTGGACAACACCGTGAGACCATGTCTCTACAAAAAAAAAAAAAAAAATTATAAATAAGCTGGGCACGTTGGTGGACACACACAGTACCAGCTACATGAGAGGCTGAGGTAGGAGAGTCACTTGAACCCAGGAGTTTGGGGCTGCAGAGAGCTAGGATTGTGCCACTGTACTCCAGCTTGGGTGACACAGTGAGACCCTGTCTTGGAAAAAAAAAAAATTAGAAGAATCTGTTCTGTTCAAAAAGATTTATTGATTTAATTTCTCACCCTTGTTCTGATCTGTTGACTTTTATTTCTTTAGGGAAAAAAATCAAACTTCAAGTGTTGATATGAACACATGGACAGCTAGCAAGAAGAGAAGGTGCTCTAGTACCTGGGCAGCCTTCTCTGATGTATTAATATTTCTTTGTGAAGCCAAGTTAGTTCAGGAAAGGAAATTAGAACTTGCAAGTTCCAGATCTAGTTCTTGTTGCATGAGCTGGTACGAGTTAACATAACGCCTCTAGTTTCTGTGAAAAATGCCCTATGTAGATGTTAGGTCCTCAGGCCTTCAGCAGACAAAGATATGATGCCTGGGATAGAATAATCCAGAGCAATTGTACAAATGGAAATACATTTAAAAAACCGGCTGGGTACGGTGACTCACGCCAGTAATCCCAGCACTTTGGGAGGCTGAGGCGAGTGGATCACCTGAGGTCAGGAGTTCAAGACCAGCCTGACCAACATGGTGATACCCCGTCTCTACTAAAAATACAAAATTAGCCGGGCGCGGTGGCACATGCCTGTAATCCCAGCTATTTGGGAGGCTGAGGCAGGAGAATCGCTTATACCTGGGAGACGGAGGTTGCAGTGAGCTGAGATGGCGCCATTGCACTCCAGCTTGGCAACAGAGCGAGACTCCGTCTCAAAAACAAACAAACAGCAAAAACAAGCCAAGCAGCCCTCAAATGCTCATAGCACAGTCTGCATTACTCCTCTAAAGTCAACGTCAGGCTCTGAATGTGCTCCTTAAGGCAGCCCCACGAGCACAGGTGCACCAGGTCCCAACATTTGGAACCGTGCCAGTTGACTCATCTCTTTGGTGACACTTCTTCCCAACTGTGTGTAACTGAGCTTGGGCCAGGCCAGCTAATGTCTGTGACTGTCTCCTAATTTGGAATTTTTTCTGCTTTATAATGAGTGTGGCCCAATCATACTCTACTGTCAATGATTCCAGAACTCAGCTGGATGCGAAATTGGAGCCCATCAGAAACAGGAAAGACAGCCTCACGTGCAGTCCTCTGGATTGAAGAATGGGAAGCATTGGGGAAAAAAGTCTGATCAAGAATGTTTCAAAGATTTCAAAGACCAGGTGAGTTGGTAAGGGGCTGGGCCACTGAGTGAACACCTCTGATGTGAGGTAAAAGGACTTGGCAGAAGGAGAGAAGGGAGACTGCGCTCTTTTGGGTGTGTTCTAAGGGTGTTCATTAGCTAATGGAGAAGGGCTTAGAAGAGTGAAGGAGAAGAACCTAGAGCTGTCCCTGATACTTTTTTCTTTGGTGTCCCTTCTCTCCCTCAAAAGCTTTGGGCTTTCTCTCTAAGGGAACCTGCCTTGGCCTGGACTGAGAAGACACAGAAGCAGGCAGCTGAGTGATGGTGGGAAAGGCATTTGACCTTGCCATCCTCTTCCCCAGTATACACGCTAGCCATCGGGCCAGCCTTTCTTTACTACAGCTGGCAACAGCCCCAAAGTCCTGAACTGAGAAAGCAAAGGAGGAAACGGTCACAGGATAGTGCCACAGAATCTGGAAAGCCAATCCCAGAGATGATGCTTTTTGAGCAAAAACATTCAGCTGACATAAGAGCCTATTAAGAGCCCCACCCCCCACCTCCCATACACACAGATCCCGCGTGTGCCTATGCTGCAGCCACAGTGCAGTCACAGGGAAGCCAGTGTCTCGGAATTGTCCTCTGCTTCCTCTCACTGGCCCCGTGTGCATCCCCCTCACTTCCTCTGCTGTCACCTTCCCCAGCCAGGAAAGTGTCCCAGCCTTGGGCACGCCCCTTCCAGATGGCTGTGGACCCTGAATGACAGGTTGGACTTTTTTTTCCATTTGGAAAGAATCCAAAAGGTTCTAACCCCTGCTTTCACAGTATGGGCATCTCCCATCTTCTTTGTGTCTAATCACAGTAACGCAAACACCTCCATGTGCAGGTGGTGAGACCTGGGAGGGGGTGGTGAGTTGGCAATAGCCTGATGGGTGACTCAGCAATTTATTACACTGTTTGCTTAGGTGACAAACAAGCCTGGCAGTTACCCCCGAGCTTAGCCAAAGCCCTTCAAAGTTCCTTTCCCTTCAGTCTAAAGGATGCATGTGCACACTTCCCAAAGTCGCACAATTAGTTGCATTTATCAACTCACGATTGTCCTTTCTTTGTGGAGCAGTGTTTGAAAGGGAAAGATGAGTCTCCACTCTTCCCCTGCTGCTTTCATAATGCCTGTTTTGTTCACTTGGGATGAACTCTTTCAGAGAGCTCAGGGCTGCAGCCTGTTCCCCTGCTGTGTCTAATATGCTGGGAGTAGTTCTCTCCTCATCATCTCTGTACCTCTGTCTCGGTCCTGGGAAAGAAACCCAATGCCGAGAACACCCTCCCTCATCCCCCTTGCTACGTGGGGGCGATATCTACCTCTGTTTCTTTTGTGCTGCTTTAGTTGCCCACGTCTTCTTCCTTTGTGCTTGGCCTGTCTGAATTTATCTTTCTAGATCAAGGCGGGTCCTCTGGCTTTAAGAAACATGGTTCTCTTGGCATCAAGTAGATTCCCCTCCCTGCCCAGTGATGTCTGCAAAAGAACAGAGGTGGAGACTCATGACGGTGCCATTGCAAGAGCCACCAATGTGCCGCAGGGCCAGCTGCCCACCTGCCAGCTACGCTTTCCTGGTGATCATGATCTATATTCTTTGATTATCAACAGAAATGCCTTAAGAGAATGGTTCTGAATGTCTCTAGGTCTGCAGAAATTATTGCCAGCCCTTCTTCACTTACCAGAGCACGGTAAAGATGAATTTGACAGGCAGGAGCCTGAAGACATATGGTATTTGTGCTGTGGGTTTTGTGTGTGATGAGAGTTCTCAGCTGTCTGATTTCCTCCACCAATTCCTTCGACAAAAGCCTATGTGCTTATGCTGCTGGCCTGGCAGAATTTTGAGAATCTCTGACTCACTGGCAGAGCCTTAGAAGGGCCATATCACCCAGCCTCTTGGCTTCCAAGCAGTGATAGCATTAAGTCATCCCCAATAAAAAGGAATTTACCCTCTTTTAAAATGCCCTTGGAGAAGGAATTCAATTTGGCTCTCTTGGATGTATTTTGGCAGCTACTATGAGGAAATTATTTATATCCAATCTAAATTCTTTAAGTTGAAGAAGTACTTGGGAGATTCTAGAAGTCTGAGGGGCAGGCAATCACTAAGAATCAGGGTAAATAACAGAGACACAAAGTCCTACTACCGTGGTATGACAGATACAGTTGATACTGCATAAATCCTGACAAGTGAATAAATGGTATTTTTGCGGTGTGTCTGGAAAAATATTGGGAAAACTTTCAGAAAGCCTGTCTGTAAACACCTTTAGCAAACAGAAAACAGGTATTCAACCACAGAGCATGGTAAATAAGAATATCTGCCAGATAAATCTAACATTATTCTGTGGCTGAGTGTCAGGCCTGGTGGTTAGAGAGGAAGCATAGTGTCTAATCTCTCCTGGCCTTTGCACAGTTTTGGATTCTCTCCCACATAACACACCTTCAGTAAACTGGGGAAATGTGGTCAGACCACACAGTTACCAGGTGAGTGGTCCTGGCAGCAGAGACAAAAGAAAAATGGGTTAGCAGGGCTCAATTTCAGCCTAGAGTGATACCATGCAGAGCTCGACAGGGACCCACTGCCGGCCAAGAAGGTCATAGTGTCTTCATCAGTGACTTGGATGATGGGCCAAGACTTTGCTCCTCAATTGGGTTAAGAGATGATTAGCTGCTGAGAACAATGATGTGAGATTTCCTCCTGAGTCAGTTAGGTGGGAGGAAAAATGAACAAGCTGACTTGGAAGAATTGTAAAAATGGCCAGAAGCAAATCAAATAAAATCAGGGAGAACAAGTATGACTGAATTGAAGGTCTGTGCCTTGTCAATATTCTGGCAAATTTATAGAATGTGGAGTGTTGGAAGATAGTTTATAAGGCTTAGATAAGGCTTAGAAATATAGGCTTTCAAATCAGACCAACCTAGACTCAAATCCTGCCTTTTCTGTTGCTGGATGCATTACGGTATCACAGCCTTCTGGCTACCCGGTTTCAGAGCCTCAGTGAGCTTATCAGGACTCTAAGAATGAGAAAGAGGACACCTGGCCTGGCAAGGAGTGAGTGCTGGTTTCAGTCCTGCCTTGGTGGGGTGGTCTCATGCAGTGCAAAGCCCACACAAACATATGTGGCTGCCCTGCCTAACTTATCTCAGGCCTTCCTGGCTCCATGCCTCAGTTTCCTTATCAGTCAAATGAAGATAATAAGAGATATTTGAAGTGATTAAATGAGGTAGTAGATACCAAGTGCTTAGCATAGTGCCAGGCACATAGCAGACTCTCAATAAACTCTAACTAAACCAAAAGGGCACAGAGGATCCCAGCATCTGCTCTCATCCACCGATACTTGAAAGGTATATATGTGGGGTGCAAATCATGGTCACCATCAGAAAACTTCTGCTTCCTTAGTCCCTTCTGGTCCCACCGTGGAAGGAGGGGTGGACAGGGTGGAGGCAGAAGCACCAGCAGAGGGTGGGAGCAGCAGCCTTCCACATTCATGCAGAGTAGAGGACTCCTTCTGGGTGAGGCAGTGAGGAAGAAAAGCAGAACGAGGTGGGGCCAGATTCAATGGCCCTTTTCCAGGACCTGTCAGCCCTACTTCACAAGCCCACCTGCTTCTCCATCTCTAGTATTCTAGGCACTGCTTAAGCCTGGACTAGTGGTTAAAGGTCCCATCTGTATAGGACATTCTGGAAGAGGAGTAAGGAGGAACTCCAGCCTCCTCATGCACAAACATGTTGTCTCCTGCAATCCTGAAGTATGTTAGGCATTGGGGCTCTCTGCTGGTTCTAAGATGCCTCCCAGAGAAATAACTCTATAAGCCCCCCTCTAGGCTGCTCCAATTTTCTGGAAGCAGGAGGCCCCAGCGCATGTCTCCCTGCTGGTCTGTTAGTCTCTCTTGTACTTCTGTTATTCATGGCTTCCCAGGGCATGGAGCTCAGAAGGTGGTCTCCAAACCTGCTGGGAGAATAAGGAGTGCTAAGTGTCCTGACATTCCTGGGGAGTCCTAGTGCCCTAGGACTGTGAACAAGTCAGCAAGTCAGAGAAGAGGAGAAGATAAAAAAGGAAAAATCGAGCCCTCATGCAGTAGGGCATAGGATGCTGCACAGGCTGCCTTTGGGACCAGCTGTGTCTGCAGCAGTGTAGCCTTGGGCAGGGAGTCCAGGAGCGTTTTAAGGATAACCCTAGACCTAATCAACTGCACCTGCTCAGTGCCTTTCCTCTGCAAATGAGAACGAAGAGCCACACAATTCCAATGAATGGCCATTGAAATTCACATCAATAAGGAAATGGTATCAGAGCCTGGGAGGGCAGGAATTGAGAACGTAGAGATTAGGAGGCAATTTGATTCTGCAGGGAGCGCTGGTGCAGGGTGAGGCAGAGCCCCAAGCACCCTGTCCCCAGCACTGGCCCAGAACAGGCTCCGCTCAGGAGCAACAAGCGGGAGCACTCCCCTCGGCAGCCACCAGAGGTCATTGGTTCCTGCTGTTCGAGCTGTAGGCTGCTCTGCAGTGCCTTCCAGCCAGTACAGCCCAGACAGTTACTGTTTCCCAACAGTCCTGGAGGAAACCCTGACCCAAGGGGAGACAGGGCAACTCCTTACAGAACACCCTCCATCCCCCTGCCAGGAAGGCTGGGAGCTGGCACCTTGAGCAGAGACCCTGGGCTCCCATCCTAAGCCTTTGGCCTTCAAGAAGCTTTTTCTGAGCACGCTGAAAGATGAGGAAATGGCAAAGCATCCCAGGCTACTTATCAGTGCTCCAGCTTCTGGCCAGGTACCCTGACACCTGCTGCTCCCAGTTTCCTGCCAGAGGAAAAGCCCTCAGGAGCACCTTCCCTCCCCCAGGCATCACTCACTCACTCTGCTTTTTCCTTTTTTGTATTAGAATCCGGTTCTGGGCAGGCAGCCTTGCACCTGAACCACCTCCATCCAGAAAACAAAGCACATTTTCTTTTTAAACCCTCAAGGGTTTATTCTGAATGGCATTTTTGCCATATTAAAAAAAAAAGTTTATCTTCACACTGACCTACAGCAAACTCAGGATATTCTTTGTTCCAAATTAAATAGACTTTTTCTTTTTTAATCTCTATGTTAGCAATATCAGGCCGGGCATGGTGGCTCATCCCAGCACTTTGGGAGGCTGAGGTGGGTGGATCACTTGAGGTCAGGAGTTGGAGACCAGGCTGTCCAACATCATGAAACCCCGTCTCTACTAAAAATACAAAAATTAGCCAGGCGTGGTGGTGTATGCCGGTAATCCCAGCTACTTGGGAGGCTGAGGCAGGAGAATTGCTTGAACCCAGGGGATGGAGGCTACAGTGAGCCGAGATCGTGTCACAGCACTCCAGCCTAGAAGCCAGGGAGAGACTCTGTCTCAAACAAACAAAAACAACAACAACCAAAAAACTCTATGTTAACAATATCAGCATCCAGTTAGAAACCAGCTCTTCCCTGAAATTCAGTCACTCACAAGTCAGTCTGACCAAAGTCCACCTCTTAAACAGCTGTTAAAAGGTCCAGGCCTCAGCATCGCTTGCAACCTTTCTGGCTTGGCCTCTCTGTGTGTTCTAATCTGTTTGCACTCAGCCACCAACGCAAATCTGACCATGAAAGTCTTTGTGGGCTGCCCAAGGCCCAGAGGTCCAAGTGTAACCTTCACAGCCTGGCCCACCCCACCCCTCCTGCCCCAGCCACCTTCTCCTGTAGCCTCGCTGGACTTCTCACTTCTCCTTGAACACCAGTGCTCCGGCCTGGCTCTGTGCCTTTCTGTGGGCCGGGCTCTCCTGCTGGTGTGCCCTCCCCCATTCTCCAGGTGAACACTCCCCCATCTGTCCAGATCCGGAGGAAACATCCTCTTCTCTCCCAGTGCCTGCTGTTCCTTCCTAGGTGTTTCTGCTGCACTCATCATGTCCTATGGCAAGGTTTTATTTCTACATCTATGTGTCCTGACCAGACTGTGAGCTGCCTGATGATGGGAACCCTGTCCCAGTATACATGTCGCTCTGGAATTATCCCAGCAGCCTATACATTATCTAGCATTTAGGAAGGGCTCGATAAATGTTTGATGAATGAATTAATGTTCTCAGTGGAAGTTAAATCACATAACACAATAAAAACCAAACTGGCACCCCACCAATGCTTGGTAAGAACAAATGCTTTAGGTGGGGATCAGGCTGTGCTGCCTCTCCTCTTCTGAGAAGAGATTGTGCAATGACAAAGGTGAAGTGTCCGCTCATAGCGGCACATGCTGCACACCTACCATGCATGAGCAGTGAGTTATGCACTCACGTGCAATACCGTGTTTAATCTCTATCCCCAATTTCATAGATGTGGAGCCTGAGGCTGAGAAAGGCTTGCCCCAGGTCATTCCACAAAATGAAGGGCAGAGAGAGCTTGACGTCAGGCAACACCGAGGGTGGTGCTCTTTACTGTAGCACTGGAAGCCAGAAGGCCAGGGGTCAAGTCTCAGCTCCTCTGCTGTCCCACTGTGTATGTAATCTCAGCCCATCGCTTCATCTCTTTGGGCTCTGTTTTCTTATCTTCACCACAAAATAGTCTTTAGGCTCAAATAGGATTGGGCTATCAAAACATCTAAAAATCATAATGAGCTATGCAGCTATGAAGGACCATGGTTACTAATCTCTGTGGCTCATCCCTCTTCTTTCCTTCAGGCCATTTTTTTTTTTTGAGACGGAGTCTTGCTCTGTTGCCCAGGTTGGAGTGCAGTGGCACAATCTCAGCTCACTGTAACCTCTGTCTCCCAGGTTCAGGAGATTCTTGTGCCTCAGCCTCCCAAATAGCTGGGATTACAGGGACACACCACTACGCCTGGCTAATTTTTTTTTTTTTTTTTGTATTTTTAGTAGAGACAGGGTTTCACCACATTAGTCTTGAACTCCTCACCTCAAGCGATCTGCCCGCTTCAGTCTCCCAAAGTGCTGGGATTACAGGCGTGAGCCACAGTGACTGGACACTTCAGGCCATTTTCTTCCTTCCCCAGCTGTCTTGGTCTTACTTTTCCTCCCAAAGCTGGATTCCCTATTTCTGAGCACTTCTGTGACTTCACAAGGTTGGCTGCATTTACACCCAAGGAGCTGTCCATTGTCCTTACCTTTGCTCATCTGAAAACCCAGTGAGCAGGCAGCCTTAGATGTTTAAATTCCCACGGCCTCCCTGTCCTGGAAGGGACACTCTGCCCCCAGCCGCAGCCCCCACATGCTTCAATATTCTGGTCTGTCTACCTTCCCACCCTCTCTTACCCCTTCCCTCTGAAGTCCATTACAAAAACATTAAACTTCTACTCTGTAGGCAAACAAGTGGGAGCCATCAAAGAGTTGTGGGCAGAACGGGCTCACATCACTCTGGGGGGGTGTGTGGGGTGGACAGGAGGATGGGCAGAGTGAGGGGCAAGGAGGCCAGGGAGAGGCAACTGCAAGAATCCTGCTGAGGAATGCAGGGCAGTCACAGGGGTAGGGTCCTTGCAGTGTCTGCGGCTCCTTGGGTTGCTCGTATTTCACAGCCTGAGACGACTCTCTGTGTCTTCAGGGAGCCATCAATCCTGAGCCTTGGTCTTGCCCCCAGTTCACGCCAGCACCAGGCAGGAAGAGATAAGCCGCCCAGTTTCTCCCACAGGCATCTGGCCAGGGCCTCTCAGTGATCG
Organism: Homo sapiens; assembly: GCF_000001405.40. NCBI lineage: Eukaryota > Metazoa > Chordata > Mammalia > Primates > Hominidae > Homo > Homo sapiens. The sequence goes on from NC_000007.14 coordinate 105,655,732, forward strand.
CTTCCCTCTCCATAAAGCGTTGGGAAGACTTCCAGAGTGCTTACACTCCCTCAGCCCCAGTTGCTCCGGGAAGACCCGCCTGGTAATTCCAAGCATTTGGAGAGGAGCCCCGCCTACCTGGGGAGAGGGAGCCCTCCCCCACCTGCTGCAGGGCATGCACAGGGAGGCCAGGGAGCCTGCTGATTTTTCTTTTGCTTTGGCTCATTTTCCTCCTGGAGCAGCGGGCTCATCTTCTGCATTTTTAATAGCTGAGCATATTTAGCATTCAACACACACGTGTGGGTTGATAAGGCCCAAAGAGAAGGCAACAAGCCATCCAGGGGAGGAAATCCTCCTCCTACCTCCTCTCTGCCTCCTGCCCACCTCAGCCTACAACTGTGGGTCTGAGTTCCCCATCAATTCGCCAGGCCAGACCAGGGTTACCGAAGTGATAGCAGCTGAGAGAGTCAGACTGGCTGACTCGGTCACTGTGCCAGGGTCTGGTCCCATGGCTGAGCAGGGACTCATAAGTAAAGGCTGAAATGCTCATCGGAGCTCAAAAGGGCCAAACAGCCATAACTCCTTCTTGATTCTTATGTGGGGACCGAGTCTTCTTGCCCACCTCCCTCCACTGTCATCAACTACATAGATGTCAACACTGTGAGATGGTGGCCAGGTACCCCCTGACCTCTGGCTCCCACAGGGGTGGTCCCCACTGTCAGGACAGTGAACCAGTGGAAGGGGCCTCTGAGAGGCTGAGTACAGGGCTGGGGATGCTGGGCAGCCTGTGGGTGCTGTCAGGCAGTTCTGCAGGGAACAAACCTGGTAACATGGCAATGCTCTGTTTTCCCCTTTCTTCTTCTTCCTTTTTTTTTTTTTTGAGATAGTCTCGCTCTGTCACCCACACTGGAGTGCAGTGGTGTGATCTTGGCTCACTGCAACCTCTGCCTCCCAGATTCAAGCGATTGTCTTGCCTCAGCCTCCCAAGTAGCTGGGATTACAGGTGCCCGCCACTACACTCGGCTAATTTTTGTACTTTTAGTAGGGACAGGGTTTTGCCATGTTGGCCAGGATCGTCTTGAACTCCTGACTTCAGGTGGTCCACCCGCCTCGGCCTCCCGTGTTGGAATTACAGGCGTGAGCCACCACGCCGGCCTCCCCCTTTCTTGTAATGCAGTTATTTTTTTAAGCTACTCAGTCACATAAAGGAGAAAATAACAAAACCACAGACCATTTAACCTTGTGCTGGAATGCCAGGAGGTCAGCCTGAACTCTAGAGTAGTGTTTTTATTGCTGTACATGTGAATTTGAGCTATTTGGAAAGGGTGGCCCTAACCTGCTGTTAAATCTAATCTAAGGGCCACGGTCCAGTATGGGTTGGCACTGCTTATGCTTTCTTGGCCAGTAGGGGGCGATACAGAGTTCACTTGGAGCAATGGAACGAACTTGGGCAGGGAGTTCTCTGCACCGCCTGATGCAGGTCTTCCAGGTCTGTTTCCACCACAGACCCAGCAGCACCAGGCCAAGGGGAGAAAGGAGTTGGAATTTAGCAACTCCTGATGGGAGCGTAACATTTAAAGAGATTAGAGGAGCCCAATTGACACACCATTGAATTGAAAAAACCAGAGGGTCCCACCCAGGGTCAGTGGCCTATGTGTCTAGATCCAGCAGCCACTAACCACTTCAGGCTACTAAGCATTTAAAATGTGGCTACTGTGGGGGCCAGGCACTGTGGCTCACACCTGTAATCCCAGCACTTCGGGAGGCTGAGTTGGGTGGATCCCTTGAGCTCAGGAATTCGAGATGGTGAAACTCTAACTCTACAAAAACACAAAAATTAGCCAGGCACAGTAGTGTGTGCCTGTCGTCCCAGCTACCTGGGAGGTTGAGGTGGGAGGATCACTTGAGCCCAGGAGGTTGAGGCTGCAGTAAGCTGAGATTGCACCACTGTACTCCAGCCGCAGCCTGGGTGACAGAGTGAGACCCTGTCTCAAAAAAAAAAAAAAAAAAAAAAAAAAAAAGATAAGAAAAAAAGTGGCTACTGTGGCTGTGGCTGAACGGGATTTTAAATTTCATTTAAGCTGAGTTTGTTGAAATTTAAGAACGGATACTTGATTCAGTTATTAGAAAATGTTTAAGTCTGTTTAGAACAACTTGGGTGTCAATCTATTTTATAACCTTTAGTTTTTATGAAACCTAAAAATGGGTCAAATATTTCTAATGAAAATTTAGTGTCCAAATTGAGATGTGCTGTAAGTGTAATAAAACACATGCAGGATTTTGAAGACTTATGAAAAGAAAATAATGTAATCTATCTCATTGGTTATATGTTGAAATGATAGTATTTTGAATATATTAGGTTAAAGAAAATAGTCATGTGTCACTTCATGATGGGGCTATGTTCTAAGAAATGCAATGAGAGGTCATTTCGTCATGCTAACATTGTAGAGTGAACTAACACAAACCCCTGCACACTGGCCTGGGCGACAGAGCTATACCCCATCTCAAAAAAAAAAAAAAAGTGACCAGTTCCACTTTTCCAATGGATTACCCTCTTCTTGCCGGTCTGGGCAGGATTCTGTCCTGTCAAGTATAAAAGGTGCTTGAACCTAAGCTGTATGGTATAGCCACTTGTTCCTAGATTACAAACCTGTACAGCATGTGACTGTACTGAATACTGTAGGCAATTGTAATATAAGTGTAAGTATTTGTGTGTCTAAACATATCTAAATATAGAAAAGCTATAGTAAAAATAGGGTATAATCATCTTATGGGACTGCTGTTGACTAAAACGCTGTTATGTGGCACATAACTTTTTTTTTTTTTTTTTTTTTGAGGTGGAGTCTCACTTGCTTTGTTGCCCAGGCTGGAGTGCAGTGCCAGGATCTTGGCTCGCCGCAACCTCTGCCTCCCAGGTTCAAGCAAGTCTCCTGCCTCAGCCTCCCGAGTAGCTGAGATTACAGGCATGCGCCACCATGCCTGGTTATTTTTTTTTGTATTTTTAGTAGATACGGGGTTCCACCATGTTGGCTAGGCTGGTCTCGAACTCTTGACCTCAAATGATCCATCCGCTTCGGCTTCCCAAAGTGTTGGGATTACAGGCATGAGCCACCATGCCTGGCCAATGACTACTATTAAAAATTAATTTCATGACTGGGCATGGTGGCTCACGCCTGTAATCCCAGCATTTTGGGAGGCCAAGGCAGACGGATCATGAGGAGTTCAAGACCAGGCTGGCTAAGATGGTGAAACCCCGTCTCTACTGAAAACACAAAAATTAGCTGGGTATGGTGGTGGGCACCTGTAATCCCAGCTACTCAGGAGGATGAGCCAGGAGAATAGCTTGAACCTGTGTGATAGAGGTTGCAGTGAGCTGAGATCACGCCACTGTACTCCAATCTGGGTGACACAGCAGGACTCCGACTCAAAAAAAAAATTAATTTCACCTGTTTCTTTTGTACTTTTTTCCAATGTGGCTGTTGAAAATGTAAAATTAACATGTGTGTCACACATTACATTTCTATTGGATAGTGCTAGTCTAAACAATTCTAGACAAAAGGTCAGCCATCTCCAGGAATGGAAATCTCAGAATCCCTTTCAATGGTCACATCCATTTCATTCAATTCGACAAATATTTACTGACACGAGTACCACGCTTGTTGAGTTGGTGAGAGGTTTCCATACAGGAGGCCCTGCAGTAACTACTGGGCAGGAGGAAGACAGGAAGTGGAGTCTATGGCCGACCAGAGAAAGTGTCACATGTGAGGTAAAAATTAAGTGCTCCGGGGATTAAAAGAAAGGCGATAGCATATCAGGTTGTTGGCAAGGAGGAAGTGAATGAGGAAAGGGCATTGAGAGAAGGTAGCCAGTGAAACGGGCAATAAGAATGGTAAGGATTATGGCCAGGAGAGAAGGGGACTGAATGCTGTGGAGACACCGGGCTTAGCAGACCCAGTGCCCTCAGACTCCTCTTTCCCTGTCCCAATCCTCCATGGCACCACCCTTGGCCTCTGTTCTTCTTCTTCTCACACCATATACCTCCCTGGCAGGCCCATCTGTACCCACAGCTTCCATGCCCACGTCTACACTGATGACTCTCTAGTCCTGGCCCATACCTATCTCTTGACCCCTGGTTCCAAACATTCAATGCCCACTCACATTTCTTTTCTCTTTCTTTTTTTTTTTGAGACGTGTAGATATTTCTTAGATACTTCAAAATCCACTGACTTCCCAGCTGAACTCATCCTTCCTTTCCCTCCCTCAACTCTGGCCCTTACTGTCCTTCCCTTGAGGAAGCGGCAGGACCACAACTCTGCTGTCGTAATGCCTTCCCTTGTACTCCAGCCCTACATATGACCAGCCCCAAAGTCCTGCGGAGTTTTCCCTCCTTAATATTTATCTCACCCAGCCCCTCCGTACACACCACTGCCTGGATCCAGGCTGTCACCACGCCTCGCCTGGGTGACACAACATCCTCACCGTTCTTGCTGCTTCCTGTGTGACCCCCCGAGCCATCATTCTACGTGGCTGTCAAGGTGACCAGACTACATGAGAAAACTGCTCCTTTAACACCGCTTTGAAATTTCCAGGGTGAAGTCCAAATTCCTGAACTTAACACATACAGCAGAACTTCATAATCTGGGCCTCACTCCCCTACCCAGTTTCACATCCTGCCTCTCCCCACATGCAAATACTTTTGCACATTCTGTTCCCTTTGCCTAGGACACCCTTCCAACTCTCTTAGATAGAATTTTTTTTTTTTTTGGTGGTAAAATAGACATAACATTAAAAATTTACCATTCTAATTCCATTCTCTTTGTCTACCTCCTTCCTACTACTTGTCCTTCTAATTTAGCGGAAGTGACCTTTTTTTTTTTTTTTTTTTTTTTTGAGACAGAGTCTTGCTCTGTCGCCCAGGCTGGAGTGCAGTGGCGCAATGTTGGCTCACTGCAACCTCCGCCTCCAGGGTTCAAGCGATTCTCCTGCCTCATCCTCCCAAGTAGCTGGGATTACAGGTGCGCACCACCACACCCAGCTAATTTTTGAATTTTTAGTAGAGACAGGGTTTCACCATGTTGGTCAGGCTGGTCTTGAACTCCTGACCTCGTGATCCACCTGCCTTGGCTTCCCAAAGTGCTGGGATTACAGGTGTGAGCCACCATGCCTGGCCAGAAGTGACCTCTTTTGAAAAACCCTTTCTGAGTCCTCAGCCTGGGTTAGGTACCCTTCTCCTTTGCTACCAACCTCATAGTCCTTATCACTTTGTACTGTGTTAGCTTATGTTTCTATTTACAGACTCCCTAAGACAATGTCTGTGTCTTAACTTTGTATCCCCAGGGCTGCAGTGTACAGTTGTATAGGTTATGCACTGTGAGAGGATGCCTGGCTAAGGAAATAAGCAGTGGATGAAGGCCATTAGTCAACTGTGCACCTGGTACAGGCCTGTATCCAGACTGTTTTCTAATTTGCACAAAGGTGCTTGTGTGACACCAGTGGGCCCTGTGTATCCCCTGTGCTTGTTATAGAGTTGGCACACAGTATTACAATAGGTGCTCATTAAATGTTGAGTAAAGATGGACGGATGTTCTAGGCAAAGGTACCAGGGGTAGAGATGGGGGGAAATCTGGCCTAATAGGGTGGTATTGGATACTCAGTATTGACTTAGGGTGGTTGCAGCTAGTTTGTAGAGGGTCCGTTATGTTGGGCTGAGGGACTAACTCTTTAATTCAGGAGGCAGTGAGGAACTTTGTGAATTTTTGATAGGACTGTGATATAGAATTTCAAAATATTCAGGCTTGAAAATGAGACTCAGAGAAGTAAAGTGACTTTTTCAAGGACACACAGAAAGTTAGAGGCAGGGCCCAGACTTGAATTTGATTTTCTTACTCCTAGCTCAGTACAGGTCTGGGGAACTGCACTCTGGGGAGCTGCACTCTGGGATAGCTCAGAACTGAGGCTGAGCCCTCTAAGGCTCAAAACCAAATCATCCCAGCCTTGGTGACTCTATCTCTTCCCTGACACATGTTCCTGGACGTGTTGGGTAAATGGATGACAGCCAGGCAGATGGGAGGTGAGGACAGTTAGGAGACCGCTGCAGTCCATGGTTCAGCCTCATTCATGGTGCACCACTGGTTCTGTCCTCAGAATATTTACCGACTTGCAGGCATGGCAAATTGCCCGTGCCTTTCTCTTCTTCCCACAGGTGAACATTCGAGTCTTTTCACTACGAGCTATCTCTCTCCTTACAAATCTCTTGGTTGCTCATCTCTGGACCTGGGCTAGTTTCTTTAGATTCTTTCTTTTCTTTCTTTCTTTCTTTCCTTCCTTCCTTCCTTCCTTCCTTCCTTCCTTCCTTCCTTCCTTCCTTCCTTCTTTCTTTTCTTTTCTTTTCTTTTCTTTTTTTTTTTTTTAAGCCAGAGTCTTGCCCTGTTGCCCAGCCTGGAGTGCAATGGAGCGATCTTGGCTCACTGCAACCTCCAACTCCCAGGTTCAAGAAATTCTCCTGCCTCAGCCTCCTGAGTAGCTGGGATTACAGGTGTGTGCCACCACGCCTGGCTAATTTTTTGTATCTTTAGTAGAGATGAGGTTTCACCATGTTGGCCAGGCTGGTCTTGAACTCCTGACCTTGTGATCTGCCCATCTCGGCCTCCCAAAGTGCTGGGATTACAGATGTGAGCCACTGCGCCCAGTCAGATTCTTTCTGCCCCTTTTTGCCCCTAGCTGAAGGGGACTTGACTGTGGCAGGTCTTAAGAAGTGTGTGTTGAGTTGGACTGGATTGAGTGTGGACAATGATTTGAACCAATGGTCTCCCTGAAGGTTTGCCTTTTGGGCGAGTGCTTTTTGGTGCCATGGGGCTACATGAGACCTCTCATTTGCTCTTTTACAAGGAGAGTTCATTGATGATCTTCCCCGAGCTCCCTGGGTCTCCTCCTGGCTTATGTGCTCCTTCCCTGGCTTTCCTTATTTTGTTTCTCTGTAGCTCATTTCTAGACTCTGAATAAATTATTTGATCATTTTTATCTTCACTCTGAGTCTGAAGAGCCATTTCTCTAATTTTTTTTAGAGAGATTTGACTTGTCAATCTTTATCCCAGGATGGAAGTGCTGTCCTTTGGCACACATGATAACATAGTAATAATAACCATGACGTTATGCTAAATTATTTATTGAACATATACTATGATCCAGATACTGTGCCTGCTGCTTTATAAAAACTAGCTCACTTAATCCTCACAACAATCCCATGGAATAGAGCTATTATTGGCCCCACTTTACAGATGAGGAAATGGAAGCACAATAAGATCAAATAACTTGCCCAAGGTCACCCAGCTGAAATTTGTGCCCAGGCCAGTGACTCCAGAGCTTGTGGTTACATCGGGACACCATGCAGCCCCAGTAAATAAACTCTCAGGCACATTCTCAGGTCACAGATAAGACGGATTGCAGGTTAGTGACTGGGAGACTCACATCGCCGGTGGGTGGGCAAACACCACTCTCCGGCTGAGTCTTCCCTAACCAGCTACAGCCTCCTGCAGGATGGACCCGCAATCCCAACAACCCAAGGAGAACAAAGCTTGCCCACGAGGCCCAGCTGTGTGGCAGGTAACTCCTCCACAGCCATGCCTACACCTTTCCACTCCATCACAAGAGGCTCTGTAATTGATCTGACATAATTAGCTCTTTACTAAGTTATCATAATTTCCAGTGTGCAGTGACAAACCCATTGATGGATGATTTTACTCTACAGCTTGCCTAGGTACGAACTTAAGTGCAATTAACTGTCATCAATTAATGGAACACTTTTTTTCTTTAAATACATAAATTAGATGGACTCCACACTTATCCCTTCTCTGTCTTCTCAAGGCTTGAAAGATAAGCATAGAGGTGCTGTCAGAAGCCAGTTCCTTAAGTACTCCAAGGTGGGTGCCAACAGCATTTGAAGATACTCATCTTCCTTGTTTTAAGTTTGGTTTCCTAGCTGTCTTTTCCACAGGCAACCTTTTCTGACTTTTTAGTAAGGGCTGAGATAACAAAATGAATTAAAAGCCTCAGATTTTTTTTTTCTTTTTTTTGAGACAGGAGTCTCACTTCGTCATCCAGGCTGGAGCGCAGTGGCACAATCTCGGCTCGCTGCAACCTCTGCCTCCCGGGTTGAAGCAACTCTCCTGCTTGCCTCAGCCTCCCCAGTAGCTGGGATTACAGGTGTGTAACACTATGCCCAGCTAATTTTTATATTTTTAGTAGAGATGGGGTTTCGCCACGTTGGTCAGGCCGGTCTTGAACTCCTGACCTCAAGTGATCTGCCCACCTCAGCCTCCCAAAGTGCTGGGATTACAGGCATGAGCCACCACGCCTGGCCAAAAGCCTCTGAATTTTCACAGCCCACTCCCCCAAAGGGGTGACCTTCTACTTGGCTTTCTTCTCTTTCTCCCATGGTCAGCTCCCAATTAGTTGCCTCTGCTGGTGGCTATTCCACTATTCCACAGGACCTGGGACCCAGTGTTGCGGGTAGGGCCGTGGTCTTGCTCCACACCAGGCACACTGTCAGTGCTTTTGATTTTACACCAGAGCTTCTCTTCACTGGGGTGGAAAATTGAGAGGTGGCAGCAGAACTGAGAAATATTTCCCTGTTACCCTTTTCTTAGACACAACTTGGCTCAACTCTCAAGAGAATTAAAAAAATCCCCCGTCAGGCATACGGTATATACATGTATATATCTACTCTGTCTCAAATATATATATATATGTATGTGTGTATATGTATAATATATGTATACATATATGTATAATATATGTATAATATATATATACATATGTATAATATATATATGTATAATATACATATATATATTATGTATGTGTGTGTATATATATATATTTGAGACAGAGTTTCACTGTCACCCAGGCTGGAGTGCAGTGGCGTGATCTCGGCTCACCACAACTCCGCCTCCCGGGTTCAAGCAATTCTGCTTCAGCCTCCTGAGTAGCTGGGATTACAGGTGTGTGCCACCACACCTGACTAATTTTTGTATTTTTAGTAGAGACAGGGTTTCACTGTGTTGCCCAGGCTGGTTTCAAACTCCTGACCTCAGGTGATCTACCCACCTCAGCCTCCCAAAGTGCTGGGATTACAGGTGTGAGCGTGGCCCATATGGTACTCTTAAGGTCCCACATGCCCTCTAATATTTAGGTTTATCTTTCCATCATTTTGGGTTTCTGTCCTTTCATTCCTCAGTCCCCCAAATTCCTGCATGTGACACCTAGGAACAAAGCCAGAGAGTAAATACTATTTCCCCATGGTGACAGGAACAGCAGGGGGGACAGACAGCAGCTGGCTGCCAGCCAGCTGACTCACCATGGTTTATCCCTTGATCCTTTCGCAGGAAAGACTGTGTGCTGTTTGCTGCTGGAGGTAAGTAGATTGTCTTTGGGCGTTTTGAATGGCTTTGAGGTGCTGCTGGCAGAGTGATGGCCGCTGAGACAGGCTTTTGTTTTCACCTGTACTAGTGATGTCCTGGGATTGGAGGCTGGAGACACTGGAGAGGGAGAAGGTCTACACATTGAACCGTGTCTTCTCTCTACAGGGGCAGAAAGTAGAGAACTCAGCACAGCATCTGTAGCAGGTGAGGCTCCCACACACTCACATACACTCAAACACACAACAGGCGGAGAGAAGCGCTTTCCCTACAGCACTGGCATTCCTGAAGCCTAGGTTCTGATGAGACGATTTGTCTTGACATATGCTCCTATTCCACCAGCTAGCAATAATTATGTTCTGGGTTTCTGTATCAAATGGCATGCTCAACTAACATCAGGGTTCTCATGGGAGGCATTTACCAGGCCATCTTTCTGCAAAACCACTTCCACAGGAGTAGCAGAGGGACACCAGGTGTCATCTGAACAGTGGGACAACCACACATAGCCAAAGCAATTCCTAGACAGCTACACAGAGGCCACAGGTCCATCAGGGCAGTGGACAGGGCAGGACTCTTAACAAACAGGAAACTCTTGAACCTGACAATCTGCAGGAGCACTAAAGTAAGACGGACCAGCAGGCTTGAATCGAAAGGACTTTGCAAGCGAGGAAGTGGCCCAGCAGCTGTCCTGGGACTGAGAGGACAGTGTCAGCACACCCCTGCTATGGCCTCCTCAGGGTCCACAGAGATTGAGGGCCACATGCAGGAGGATGTCAACGCTTGAGGCAGAATCTGCAATGTGGGGCATGGACTTGGGCCGGCGAGCACAACTTCCTGAGGTTCTACAGAGAATACCAGAGCTCTGGGCAGAGATGCCTCACTTGTTCACATTCTGTTAGCCACTGTGCTTTCGACTGAATGGGCAGGATGAGGATACTGACCAGGAGAGCAGATGCATGAAGTAAAGTTCTAGTGTGCACCCGCTATGGGGTTCTTAAATTGTTTTAGAATAACAGATCTGATAAAAATTTAAGAACCCAGCAAAACACACTTTTACACCTGCCCAAAAACTTTGTACATGATTACAGGAAGGAATCCCAAACCCTAAAAAAGACAAAGCTTCCTGAAACCCTAAGTCCTCTCTGGCTCTCTTATGTCTCACACATAATTAGTGCTTAATTAACATGTGTTGAATAAATAAATGAAATTATAACAGTTCTCCTGAACTAGAGATCTGAAAATCTGGCTGAATTTGATAATGCAAAATGTGACAGGCAAAGATGACAGATCATTCTCTCTCCAGCCCAAAGCTGAGCCTAGGCTTCTCTCATTAGGGCACCTTTCCTGGTTGCTTTTGCAGGCACCCTGACCTGGGAGATGCAAGCCTCCCACCTGTGGCCAGCTGCGACAGGAGTCTGGGGTTTTTCTCTGTACTCCCTTGTACCAATGGGTTGCCAGGCTGTCTCAAAGCAGACTGAATTTAGTCTTCTGATGCAATGGGAATTAGGAGGAAGCAGATTTTTGAGGATCATCCAATTGCTGGGTTTCTTTGCTTGACCAGTGCTCATATGCTGCCTACAAAGAATAAGTTTACAGGGTGCTTTTTCCTCATTGAATCAGAGTAGACCTTTGCATACAGCTTAGTTCTCAGAAGCCATCCTGTTGAAGCTTTTGAAAACAAAGAGCTAGTTCTGGGGCCTCTGTTTTGAGGGCTGGGAGCCAGGAGACCTGGGCTCCCACTCCAACCGCATATACACAGTATTAGGCTCGTGGCCTTCAGTTTACCACTTAAACTTCCTTGGTTCCTGTGTCTTTATCTGTGAATGAAGTGGGTCCCTAGATGGCTTCGAAGCCTCCTTCCACTCAATCACCATAAATACAAGGGATACTTACACCTGTTCCTTCCCTTCTCATCTCTCATGATTCCTGGATGTCAGAGCAGTAATAACAGCCAAAATATTGAACAATTTTACTCAGGCAAGATCTTCCTTGGGGGAATTCGTCCTTTGTAAAATTGTACTGGCTTTTACAACCCCTGTGACACAGGCAGGAAGCAGCCAGGGGTCTCCACCCTCCTCATGGCTGACTGGCCAAAGGAGACCCAGAGAGGTGAGGTGATTGCCAGGGTCAGGGCTACTCAAGGATCAGGGTGCCTCTGTGCTGAGTACATGGGCCTACCTGCCTCTCAGGAAGGCAGGAAACTAGGTGAATAAAATTCGAAGCCAGGAAATTAGAAAATGCAGAACTTAGAATCACTAAAGGTTAGAACTGTATCTTAAAAGTCAACTAGTGGCCGGGCGCGGTGGCTCACGCCTGTAATCCCAGCACTTTGGGAGGCCGAGGCGGGCGGATCACGAGGTCAGGAGATCGAGACCATCCCGGCTAAAATGGTGAAACCCCGTCTCTACTAAAAATACAAAAAATTAGCCGGGCGTAGTGGCGGGCGCCTGTAGTCCCAGCTACTTGGGAGGCTGAGGCGGGAGAATGGCGTGAACCCGGGAGGCGGAGCTTGCGGTGAGCCGAGATCCCGCCACTGCACTCCAGCCTGGGCGACAGAGCGAGACTCCGTCTCAAAAAAAAAAAAAAAAAAAAAAAAGTCAACTAGTATGATCTTTCTGATAGATGAGGTTATCAGTTGCCAGCCTTCAGGTTAAAGCTAGTTAGCGACAATCCTGAGACTAGAACCAAGTCTCCTAACTTCAAGTCTATCGACTTTCTGCCTCTCAGAAATGTCTTGTTTAGCAATTTCTTTTTCGGCAGAGGCTTCCAATATGAAAACAAGATTTCAATTTTTACCATTACTGCTTTAGATTTTTCTGCAGTCTTCATTCACTCCTTTGCTATTACTTACTCAAAGCTGGTGGTGGGTGGGTGTGGGATGTACAGAAATATTTCTTGGTTTAGGTGGGGAGATAAACCTGAATAATGAAGATACGTTTATTTTGCTAAACTAAGGGTTAAAAATTATGCAAGTAAACAAAGATAAATCACAAGGAAGTGTGCCATGAAGGACAAAATAAATGTGCCAGGCCAGTGATTCTACAATCACCTTCTAAAAGAATTCTCGTTAGTGGTTCTGGCTGACACATTCTGCTGCTAAATTTACAGAAAAAACCTTTTTTTTGAGACAGAAAAAAAACTCTGTCACCCAGGCTAGATTGCTGTGGCACGATCATGGCTTACTGCAACCTCTGCCTTCCAGGTTCAAGCGATCCTCCCAACTCAGCCTTCTGAGTAGCTGGGACTACAGGCATGTGCCACCATACCCGGCTAATTAATATGATCTTTTGAGACAGAGTCTTGCTCTGTGGTCCAGGCTGGAGTGCAGTGGCAGGATCTCATCTCACTGCAACCTCCCTCAAGAGTTTCTCTTGAGCCTGGGAGAATCAAGGCTGAAGATTCTCAAGATCTCAGTCTCCCAAGTAGCTGGGATTATAGGCATGCACCATCACGCCTGGATAATTTTTATATTTTTAGTAGAGATAGGGTTTCATCATGTTGGCCAGGCTAGTGTTGAACTCCTGGCCTCAAGTGATTTGCCCGTCTCAGCCTCCCAAAGTGCTGGGATTGTAGGCATGAGCCACTGCGCCTGGCCCCGGTTACTTACTAATTAAAACTTTTTTTTGGTAAGGCCAGGCATGGTGGCTCATGCCTATAATCCTGGCACTTTGGCTGGCCAAGGTGGGTGGATCGCTTGAGCCTGGGAGGTAGAGGCTACAGCAAGTTGTGATTGTACCAGAGCACTCCAGCCTGGGCAACAGAGCAAGACTCTCTCTGAAAACATATATATATATTTTTTTTTTGCAGAGACAAAGTCTCTCTATGTTCCCAGGCTGGTCTTGAACTCCTGGGCTCAAGAGATCCTCTTGCCTTGGCCTCGCAAAATGTTGGGATTACAGGTGAGCTACCACATCTGGCCCACAAAACAACTGTATCAGTGGATAAGCTTTTTTCTTGGTTTCATATTTTATTTTTTGAGACAGTCTCGCTCTGTTGTCCAGGCTAGAGTCCAGCGGCGTGATCTTGGCTCACTGCAACCTCTGTCTCCAGGTTCAAGCAATTCTCCTGCCTCAGCCTCCTGAGTAGCTGCGATTACAGGTACGCACCACCATGCCTGACTTATTTTTGTATTTTTAGTAGAGACAGGGTTTCGCCTTGTTAGCCAGGCTGGTTTCAAACTCCCGACCTCAAGTGATCCGCCTGCTGGGATTACAGGTGTGAGCCACCATGCCTGGTTTCATATTTTAGATTCAGAAACTTGCCTTAAATTGTCAATTGAAAGAACAAGTTGCAGTGAGGGAATATTAATTAAAACCTGAAGACAGCCCTTTGCCCTTAATATAAGTTTTTTTTGGTTGTTTGATGTGTGATTTTGTATTGTAATAAATAGGCGAAAGCAGTATGTCCTACTTGTGAAACTGAATTAAATCAGAAGGGCTCTCACAACCCTTGAGCTATGGGAACAAGCTTGTCCCCTACCAGTGCAGGTGAGAAAGGTCATATAAGAATTTAAAGGCCCAGCACGGTGGCTCACGACTGCAATCCCAGCACTTTGGGAGGCCAAGGCGGGTGGATCTTAGGCTGGGAGTTTGAGACCAGCCAGACCAACATGGGGAAACCCTGTCTCTACTAAAAATACAAAATTAGCTGGGCGTGGTGGCGCATGCCTGTAATCCCAGCTACTCGGGAGGCTGAGGCAGGAGAACCGCTTAAACCCAGGAAGTGGAGGTTGTAGTGAGCCGAGATCGAACCATTGCACTCCAGCCTGGGCAACAAGAGCTAAACTCCATCTCAAAAAAAAAAAAAAAAAAAAATTAAAGTGGAGGGACCAATAGAGTCAGTGGTCAGGGATTCACTCTGGAGGTGAGCTGTAGCTAGGCTTTTGAAAATGGGTAGAACTGATGTCCCAGGTAGGGCAGAGTGAGTGGATTTTACAAAAAGACCTATTCAATCTTTGTTTCTCTAGTCTATGAAGACCTGCCTGTAGTGGACTTACACAGTTTTGCGTTGGTGAGGAGGCGGGTTAGGTTAGTGATAGAAGAAGGCAGGGTCTTATCTTTTGCAAAAAGACGCTGCTGTGCAGGTGAGGTTTCTCTGAGTGAAGCTCTCCTGCTGTACATTACAATCATTCAGATACAAGCCTTCACCCACTTGAGGCTCAATCATGTCTTTCTATGTTTTGATTAAGGGACTGCCTAAGGTAGATCCCTATAGTTATTCTAATTCCATTTGCCCTGCCCAGAAAGAATTTGTAGTACATGATATCCCTCATTGTTAAAATATTTAATACTTAAGCAATTTTAGAGAAAAAGAGCACTTTCCTCTAAATTTTCTTAGTCTTCGTTAATGCATATAGCTTTATTAAGAAAACTGCAATCAATGGATATTTTGGACTATTCTTTGTCAGCTAACATTCTACATATACGTATCAAATTCCCACAAACTTGCTATTTTAAACTGTTAGGTAATATTCAATCATTAACATGGCGCAGATTATTTAGCTACTCTCTTGCTGTCTACCTACTATTTATCTTTAAAAAAAAAAAAACTGATTTGGCCGGGCGTGGTGGCTGACATCTGTAATCCCAGCACTTTGGGAGGCCAAGGTGGGTGGATCACAAGGTCAAGAGATTGAGACCACCCTAGCCAACATGGTGAAACCCCATCTCTACTAAAAATACAAAAATTAGCCGGGTGTAGCCGGGCGCGGTGGCTCACGCCTGTAATCCCAGCACTTTGGGAGGCCGAGGCGGATGGATCACGAGGTCAGGAGATCGAGACCATCCTGGCTAACACGGTGAAACCCTGTCTCTACTAAAAATACAAAAAATTAGCCCGGCGAGGTGGCGGGCGCCTGTTAGTCCCAGCTACTCGGGAGGCTGAGGCAGGAGAATGGCGTGAACCCGGGAGGCAGAGCTTGCAGTGAGCCAAGATGGCGCCACTGCATTCCAGCCTGGGCGACAGCGAGACTACGTCTCAAAAAAAAAAAAAAAAAAAAAAAAAAAAATTAGCCGGGTGTGGTGGCGGGTGCCTGTAATCTCAGCTACTCAGGAGGCTGCGGCAGGAGAATCACTTGAACCCGGGAGGCGGAGGTTGCAGTGAGCCTGGATTACACCACTGCACTCCAGCCTGACAACAGAGTGAGACTCCGTCTCAAAAAAAAAAAAAAAATTTATTTAAAAAGTGATTCAGAATTATTTCCTTGAGGTATAATTCCCAAAGTGAAAGGCTGCAGCTTTATAGCTCTTGCTACACATTTCTTTCCAGACCGTGTAACAGAAAGACCAAACCAATCTACTGTGCTAATATTGAATATAAGCACCACTCACCTACTTTAGGAAAAACAGAAAATCACTATCAGAACACCCGTGCAGAATTAAGTATTCAATACATCAATAACAACCTCAGTGAATGATCTTCAGCCAGCAACCTCTGCTCTCACCCGTTCTGTCCTTTGATCAATAGTAATAATAGTTTTAAGATTTTTCAGGTGGGTACAGTGGCTCATGCCTGTAATTCCCGCACTTTGGGAGGCTGAGGCGGGTGGATTGCTGGAGCTCAGGAGTTCAAAACTAGCTGGGTAACATGGTGAAACCCTGCTTCTACAAAAAATTAAAAACAATCAGCCAGGTGTGTGCCTTTAGTCCCAGCTACTTAGGAGGCTGAGGTGGGAGGATTGCTTGAGCCTGGGAGGTCAAGGCTGCAGTGAGCTGAGATTGTTCCACTGCACTCCAGCCTGAATGACAGAGTGAGACCCTGTCTCAAAAAAAAAAAAAAAAAAAAAAAAAAGAATTTTTTTTTCTTATGTGCCAGGCACTCTTCTAAACACTTTGATTTACCTTATAGCATTTCATTCTTACAATACCTTAAGAGAGGCACGGCCGGGCGTGGTGGCTCACGCTTGTAATTCCAGCACTTTGGGAGGCCCAGGTGGGTGGAACACGAGGTCAGGAGTTCGAGACTAGCCTGACCAACATGGTAAAACCCGGTCTCTACTAAAAATACAGAAATTAGCTGGGTGTGATGGCAGGCGCTTGTAATCCCAGGTACTCGGGAGGCTGAGGCAGGAGAATCACTTGAACCCTGGAAGCGGAGGCTGCAGTGAGCCGAGATCATGCCACTGCACTCCAGTCTCGGCGACAGAGTGAGACTCCGTCCCCTGCCCCCCCCAAAAAAGAGAGGCACTACTAGTTTCTCTTTTCTACAGGTAAGTTTGATTAACAAAGCTGTAATCAATGGATATTTTGGACTATTCCTTGTCAACTAACATTATTCTGCATATACATATCAAATTCCCACATACTTGCCATTTTAAACTGTTAGGTAATATTCAATCATTAATGTGCTGTAGATTATTTAGCTATTCTCGTACTGTCGACCTACTATTTGTCTTTTAAAAAACTGATTTAAAAAGTGATTTAGAATTATTTCCTTGAGGTATAATTCCTGAGGCTCAGAGATACAATGAGTTGCTTAAGGTCACAGAGCTAGAAAACATCAGATCTGGGGATGTTTTCAGAGCCCCTGTCTTAACTCTGGGCTCTACCACCTTGGAATCCTGGAAGATTCTGCTACAGATAGGAGGAATCTGAAAGAGCCAGCGGGACCTCTCCTTTCCCACTGTCTGTGGGCATTTCAGCAGGGCACCTGACTCCCCTAGGGAGAGGAAGAAACACTTTTTAGGTGTTAGGCAGCTGGCAGGTACCAGTCAGCAGCTCATACCATTGCCTAAGACCTCAATCACAAAGAGTTGGGGGGCCCCAGTACCAAAGAAATGAAAAGCCAAATCCTTTTACTTTTGTGCATTTCCACCACAGGAAGTCCAGGCCAAGGCCTCAGCAGCTGACTGTTTCAAGACCACCTGCTTCCCCACAGCCTCCTTAAACATCCAGGTGCAACTCCAGGGGCAGTCCTGGAGATCAGCCAAGCAGGGAGCTTGCAGACACCAGCTGTCAGCATCCCAAAAATCTGATAGGCGCGGGGAACCCTGGTGTCTCCAGTTTGCTCCCCTCACTCTCTGAAGATAAAATCCATCAGGTTCTCAGGCAATCCCATTTCAGTAAAAATTCAGTGTTCCCTTCCCCATACGCTTATTCATGGAGATATTTTCATACTTGCAGCATCAGTGTCCTGTATTTAAAACCTTAGCACAGATGCCTCATGAATGGCTGAGCCGGCTGCAAATACTCAAGGTGGCTCCCTGCACCATTTTTAGAAAGAACTTGTTGAGAATTTTCCAATATGGCTTTTAAGGGACTAACCCCCTCCCAATAGACTTTGAGCACCACAGTCGCTTGTGGCCTGCCATGGTTGTGTAAGCACACTTGGGCTTAGGCCAGCACCTGGCTTACTCACTTGACAGCATGGAGTCTCCTTCAGCCCCCACTTTTGAGGGCAGGTGCTTGGCAAGTCATTAGCCGGTTTCTATCTTATCAGTGGGTTCAATCTGCTTTTGTAGCTGCAGTCAGGATGCTGCCTATAAACACCCTGATTTCCAAGGGGCCTTCTTCCAAAAGTAAACTGGAGTTGGAGAGAGAGGCAGGGCTGGCACCTTGGCACTGGGAGCCGTGCCAGGAGCCAGGCCAGCTGTACTTACAGCCGCTTGGTGAGGTAACGATTCCCCCCAGCTGTGGAAATGGAGACAGACTGCATTTGAGAAACTTGCCCAAAGTCATAAGACTATTAAGTGGAGGAGCTTGGGCTAGAACCTGGGCCTGTTGTCTCATTTGTCACCATCGTAGTTAGATACTAAACTTACTGCCATGGTGTAAGGGGGGATATTGAATCAGCCTTGCTCAGCAGAGGAGGAAATGAAGACACAGGAAAGTCAGGTGATAGGACAGGCTGCGAATGCAGGCAGAGCTGTGCCAAGCAGTTTCCATGCCAGGAGTGCTTGTGAGCTTTTCTGGAGTGCCCATTCCCTTCTCAGACTGCAGTACCTCTTTAAAAGATGGCAGGGCTGAGGAGCCGAGGAGGCGTTCCTTAAGCAAAGGTTATGCTAGGTCTTCTTTACCCCTCTTCACCTCCTACCCACTGCTGGGCAACATGACCTATCTTGGGCACTAAGTTCTTTTGACAAATATGAGTGTGGGCCTGTGGTCTACACTGTTCACACCAACACCAGCTCAGTTCCCAAATCCCTAGGCTCTGGGATGGTTTCTTCGTCATCTGGTCACCCCATGCACATTCATTCAGTTAGGAGGGAAAGCAGGCTTTCTTGAGTACCTACTATATATCAGGCACTGTGTAAGCTGCTTTTCACTCACCAGCTCATCTACCCAATAACCCTACCATGTGGTATGATACCGTTAGTTGCCTTGTTATAGATGGGGAAATTACTATTATTTTTTTTTCTTCTTAGATATCAGATGGGGGAAATTAAAGCTTAGCAAGATTGTGAAACAAGACCAAGGTCACGCAGACCTCAGCAGCTGGCAGGAAAGCCCAGGCTTGCCTGGCCCCAGAGCCAATGCCCTTTCTACCATGCCACCCTGCCTGGGATGTTCCTTTCCCTCCACGCTTTAGAAATGCAACTGGGATGATTCTTACAAGGGCATTTCCCATTCCAGAGCTGCTGTGAAGTCATGTAACTTAGGATCCTTTTTAACTTTTCCCCTGTGGTGGCATTCCCCCTTCCTCCTCCTCTTCTATTTGTCATTTATACTAAGGTGCAAATTTCTGGCATCACCACTATTGGGCAGGATCTGGGGAGTCCCAGGGGCTTTCCAGGGCCCTGAAATACTTCCATCAGCCCCCAGGGATGCCCTCACAAGACACCTAGACTAGCTAAAAGGAAAAACTACAGAAATAGAATCTGTGGGGAGACAAGCACATGTACACCTTGCCAGCGGTACTTTCAAGGGATTACATTTTTCTGGAGAGCAACCTGGTGATAATAACAGGAACTAAAAAGCATCCATAGCCTTTCATCTGGTAATCTGGTAATGTAAGTTTGGAAAATAGGCCTCCAGGAAATATCCCAAAGGGAAAAAAAAAGTTCAAAGATATTCTCAGCACTGTTTACTACAGTTAAAAAAAAAAATACTACAAGCAACCTGAATAATCCATAATAAAGCAATTGGTAGGAGACAGGTAAGAGAGTTATCTCAACCTAAGAAAATGTATGCAAAATAGTACACTCACATTCACAAGGAAATTCAAAATGGCACAAATAGTATGTAGAGACTAATCACTACTTAAAGAAAAATATTTGAGGCTGGGTGCGGTGGTTCACTCCTGTAATCCCAGCACTTTGGGAGGCCGAGGTGGGTGGATCACTTGAGGTCAGGAGTTTGAGACCAGCCTGGCCAACATGGTGAAAGCCCGTCTCTACTAAAAACACAGAAAAATTAGCCAGGCGTGGTGGTGCATGCCTGTAATCCCCGCTACTCGGGAGGTTGAGGTGGGAGGATTGCTTGAACCTGGGAGGCAGAGGTTGCAGTGACCTGAGATCACGCCACTGCACTCTAGCCTGGTGACAGAATGAGACCCCATCTCAAAAAAAAGAAAAAAAAAAGCACTTGATAAATACATGATGATGAGGAAAAAAGAGAATGATATAAGATGCATTGCTTAATAGGCTCTGTCTTTTTTAAAACTGTTTAAGTTCATCCAAGAAGATAAAAACAGACAACAACAAAACACTAACATATCCTTAAGCAGAAAAGGTGGAAGAGAGAAAGTAGGTGCCAATACAAATGCAGGAAGGAGACAAAAATATGGGTTAAAATGAAAGCTATTTCATTCATTCATTCACTCTTTTTTTTTTTTTTTTCTTAGCATTTCCTTGGCACCTACCATGTGCCAGACACTGGGCTATGAGCCCTGGGTTATTACAGTGATGATACAATAGGTTGCTGTCACTGCTAGACCTTTGTCATCAGAGGGCTTCCTGTGCTCAGGGGACAGCACTCTCCAGATCCTGGCTCGCTGCCACAGTTGTCACTCTGAGTGGAGGAGAACGGACGCGGCCCTCAGAAGGCAAGCTGCTGCCCGAAGGACCTGAGTCTGCCGGACTCCACCTGGAGCCAGAACCACGATCCTCTTCATAACATGAGGCCTTTTATGGCTCTATCTGCTCCCCACTGTCTGGGCCCAGTGGTAGCAGAGGGGTTGACAAGGACTCCACATGCATGGCACTGAACTTCTCCATCAGAGTAGCCCCCTCCAAAACCACAAACACACACCGCACAAGTCACATGTGTTTAAACACAGGAGTCACCACAGCTTTGGTGAAAACTGGGGGCTACCAGCTTGCAGATAAGCTGTTGAATTCTACCTTAGGATGACACAGCTGATATCGCCCCCAGAGCACTGATGGGACAGGTATGGCAGACAGCTGGACCTGGGCACGGGGGAGCCACAGACCCCAGGATCTTGGGGAGAAGATCCATGAGCTGGGATTCCCCATATTTAAAATACCTGATAGAATGGCTGGGCATAGTGGCTCACACCTGTAATCCCGGCACTTTGGGAGGCCGAGGTGGGTGGACCACTTGAGGTCAGGAGTTCAAGACCAGCCTGGCCCACATGGGAAAACTCCGTCTCTACTAAAAATACAAAAATTAGCCAGGTGTGGTGGCATGTGTCTGTAATCCCAGCTACTCGGGAGGCCGAGGCAGGAGAATCGCTTGAACCTTGGAGATGGAGGTAGCAATGAACCGAGATTGCGACACTGCACTCCAGCCTGAGAGACAGAGTGAGACTCTGTCTCAAAAAAACAAAACAAAACAAAAAACCCCCCAAAACAAACCTGCACATGTACCCCTTGAATCTAAAAGCTGAAATTTTAAAATAAATACATAAAAATACCTGAACAGCTGGACCGAATCTTCCCAACGCTGTCTTGAGGCAGCATCAGTGACCTTTGCCCTGGTGCCTTGAGCTAAGGCCTCATGGCTTGCCAGGCCCCGTGGAGGGAGGATCCTGGCTGCAGGAGGCAGAGCAGGTGCCAGGCTGCACTTCCACATCAGAGAACACACAGTGCAGCAGCCACTTCTTTACTTTTGGACAGCAGGGCCAGGGCCCCCAAATCTGTGATTTTTTAAAAGGTCCTGAGGTGATTTTCATGCTCCATGAGCTTCGGGAGTCACTGGAAATGCCGACCAAACATGCTGTCTTTGGAATCAGAAAGATCTGGGCTCAAATCCCAGCTCTGTCACTCATTAGCTCTGGGACTTGGGGAAATAACTTAACCCCCTGAGCCCCAGTCTCCTTACCTGTAAAATGGGGACAATAATACCCACATCATGGAGTTACAACAGGACAGGTGCTCGAGTACACTGAGTCCCTCATCTTAGCGCACATCACACGCTGTAATTACTGGTTTACTGGTCTAAGTGTCCTGTGCCTGGACACACCCAGAGGGCAGGTGTCCTGTTTACTCTTTTATCTCCAGCGTTTAGCACAGGGTTTTGCCCTCAAGAGCACTCACTCTATTCACTGTGGAATAAATGGGTGTTGGGAGGATTGATAACATGTAGAAGGTGGCTACCACAGTGCCAACTCATGGGAGACGCTTAACATTAAGTTCCCCTGATACATGATAATGTCCATTAAAAACACACACACAGGTAGTAGCTTTCCTCAGTAGGCAGTTCTCAGCCTTATCCCTGCCCCTGAATTAAATTAGTCCACTTACAAGAATCCTATGGGAGCACACTGTTTAAGGACCACAGGCTGATAAGAGAGGCCACCACTGCTTTATTTCTATCTGTACCAGTGTCTACTTTCAACAGCACAGGGCCATGGTCTCTTATAAGAGAAGGTGAAAAGTCTCCACTCACTGCTAAGCTCATGGTGTCGCTCAGAGCCACTCACCCCACAGACTGTCGTGGTCCCACAGCAGCCACTAATAACGGAACCATTTCTGTTCTCCTTGGAGTGGCAGTTGGCAGCGGCAAACAGGAAGTTGTCTTGAAGTAGGGTGTGGTTATGCCCTGTCAACATATGCGTACAGACACATACTTTTTTTTTTTTTTTTTCCTTTCTGGCCCCCTTTTCTCTCCCTTCTTTAGAAGCAAAAGGTCTGAGTTATTTTGGTGAAAACAAACTTTTTACATGATTTAAGATCAACCATCACTACCACACAAACAAAAACCCAGGACAGAAAGGGGCCTAAAACACAGCAAAGGGTCTATTTTCCTGCCACCAGTCACTCGCTTGTGGCATTTAGTTAGGAACTGACTGTGTGTGTGAGTGGGTGTGCTTTTTCCCCTTTATTTCTCTGGGCACACAGGAAACAGAGCCCTAGCTAGAAACCAGCCAGACACGCTGCCCAGCATCCTAGTGAGCCCGTCAGTCCACCTGTGGGCCAGTCGCCTGCGTTGATTCAGGGCCTGCAGTGTGCATGCACTGGACAAGGACCATCGTGGACAGGAAAGAAGGAAAAAACCAGGGTGCTAGTTTCAAACAATTTGTACAGTTTGAATAGAAAGGACCCTGAACATGTCTTAACACAAAGTACATATAAAAACAACAAAGAAACACAATGACTGAGTAGATAAGTGCACTGAGTAGATAATACACGGACATAAACATGGGGCGTTGGGGTTGACACGCCGGGAAGGTTCATTGCAGCTGGCTTCCCGGTGCTCTGAAAGGTGTGCTAGAAAATTTTCCACTCCACTCCTTCTCAGGCCGGAGGCTGGTGCCTCCAGAAGGGCTGTCCAAAATAGACTGGTCCCCAACCCAGCCTCCTACTCCTGACCTCTTTCTGAGGCAGCTACTCTCCCCGCTCCCCGCCTCAGCCCTGTCTCGGCTCCAGCTCCAGCCCACAGCCGGAGAGCACTGTCTATGCTAACACTCATTTTGCTAAATGCCTCGTGGGCTGCCAGCATGATCTGCCTGCCAGGATCTCTGTTCCGTGACCTGCGCCCAGCCCCACGCCGTCCTGTGTGGCCCTCGTGCCCTGCGCTCACACTTACACATCCCGGGGAGGCTGCCTTGCCGTTTGGATAAGGAGGCTGACACACGCTGGGCAACGCGACTCGTGGTAGTAGATGTTTCCTGGCTCCTGGATGAGGGCCCTGGCCAGTCAGAACGCACCACTTCCCCTTTAAGAGAGCACGCCCAGACGAGATTAGGGAAAGGCAGAAAGAAAAGCCCGGAACAGTCAGGGTTGTATCCTGAATTTGGCAGATGAACTTGGGTATTCCTGAACCACACACACAAGGTGTGGTCAGAGGCAGCAGGCTCCTCAGAGGAGTATCAGAGCCAGCGCTGTGTGTGCAGGGCTGGGCCTTTCCGCAGCCCTGGAGCTGCTGTCTGTCTGGCCTGGGTCCCCGGTCCCCAGGCAGCCTGAAGACACCTCAGGCCTTCCCACTCCCTCTTCGCTCAGGGTCTGACCATCTTGATAGGCAGAGTCCACTTCATTACCTAGCACTATGCCTTAGAGAGAGTAGAGAGGTCATTATAATGATTGGAAAATACTTTTGTGGGTTGTTGGAACTATTGATTTAAGCAGGGAGATTTCATTCATTCTGGATATTTAGAAAGTTTGGTCCCTGATCTTGGCCAAGGACAGTAGATTTGGAGGGGGGAGAATGCCTACCAAAACAATGGTTCACAAAGGCCACACGTTATATGAAATGTCCAGAATAGGTAAAACCATAGAGACAGAAAGCCGACTTGTGGTTGTCAGGGGCAGGCTGGGAAAAGAAGGCGGGGGGAGTGACTGCTTAATGGGCACAGGGTCTTCTTTAGGGGTGATGGTTGCACAACATTGTGAAGGTACTCAATACCACTGAATTGTACATTTTAAAATGGTTAATTTTCTGTGATGCAAATTTCACCTCAATTAAAAAAAAAACAGTGGCAAAGTACGCTTTGCGCATCTTTATCTTCTGCTAGGACCTCTCCTGTGTGGCATCCAACATTTCTTTGCAAAACCTGGTTATTACCTGATGAATATTAAATCAACCTTAGATAAGGGGTACATGCCTTTTAGTAAAAAAAAAAAAAAAAAAATTAAACCTTTAAGACACAAAAGTATTCCAAGACTCAGAAGTATGATTTTCCTGGAGAATTTTGGACTGTGGGGAGACAGCACTCCCTCACGTCATGATCACATACTTCCTCTCATCACACACAAGCTAGGCAGAGCCTACTAGGCATTAGAGAGATTAGAGAGGGCATTATAATGACTGCCTATGTAAGATGGTCTCCTGTGGGGACCATCCCTTCAGCCACTTGAAAACATAACCAAAGCCAGAGACAGTGAGTCCCCCGTGGGAGAATTATTCAGGGAGAACATGACTGGACTTCTGGGTTCTTGGCTTCCTTTTCCCCTCTTGTTGAGAGAGTTTCTTCCCAGAATTGAGGAGAATTCATCAGTTTCAGATTGAGAGGGAGTTGTGCTGGCTGGCAAAGCAGAACTAGTTTCCACAGTTCCATTTGTTTGGAATGTAGTAGGGGGGTGTTGAGGGGGTATAAACTGACCACCCATCTGACCAGCCCTCGTTTTCAGTCATTTGCAGCTTTGGCTGGAGATTGTCTGTTCCCAACAGTTAGGCTGTGGGCGTTGTTCCCTGATCCCAGGCTAGCAGGTCAAGGGCCCCTGGGCACATTCCCTTCACCCAGGGGACTGTGGAGTAGAGGCCTGCTGGATGTTGCAATGCTTAGAAGAAACACAGATGAAAGGGCAGGCCCGAGGCCTGGGAACCTGAGTCTTTCCAGAGAAAAACGTGAGTTGCTTTCCTAGTATCTCTGCAAAGAGTTTCAGGATGACCTGGAGGACAGAGATGGGAACAGCTACTCTTGGGCCAGCTCTCCCAGAGCAATCTGGACCTTCTAGAGCATTGGCCCCTGCCTCTTGCAGCCCTGCTCTCCCTCCCTATCTCAGGTGCCCGTGTAGGCTCTTGGTAGCCTTACACCTGAGGTAGCGTAAGTTCTCAGCAAACATGTGGCTTAGGATAATAAGATGCAATATTTACTCTAGCTTCTGAAGAGCAGCAAGTTTAGAACCGTAACTCTAAATACAAAAACAGGCAGGTTCAATCTAATTTAAAAATGGGCAAAGGGCTGGGCACGGTTGCTCACGCCTGTAATCCCAGCACTTTGGGAGGCTGAGGCGGGTGGATCACGAGGTCAGGAGTTCGAGACCAGCCTGGCCAATATGTTGAAACCCCATCTCTACTAAAAATACAAACATTAGCTGGGTGTGGTGGTGGGCACTAATGACTCCAGTCACCAGTCATTAGGGAAACGCAGATCGAAATCACAGTGAGGTATCATTTCACACCCACTGGGATAGCTGTTAACAAACAATGAAAATAACAAGTCTTGGTGAGGATGTGGGGAAGTTGGATCCCTCGTGCACTGTTGGTGGGAATGTAAAATGGTACAGCCACTATGAAGAAGAGTATGGCGGTTCCTCAAAGAATTAAAAATTGATTCAGCACATGATCACACGATCTAGCAATATCACTTCTGGATATATATGCAAAAGAACTGGTATCTCAAATGTGGGTATACCCACATTCATAGCAGTATTACTCACAATAGTCAAAAGGTGGAAGCAACCCAAGTGTCTATCAATGAATGAATAGAGAATCCTATAATGGAATGTTATTCAGCCATAAAAAGGAAATTCTGACACATGCTACAACCTGGACAAACTTTGGGGACACTATGCTAAGTGAAATAATCCAGTCACAAACAGACAAATAATGTATGATTCCACTTACATGAGGTGCTCGAGATAGTCAAATTCATAGACAGAATGGCGGTTGTCAGGGATTGCAAGGGAGGAGGAATGGGGAGTTATTGTTCAATGGGTATAGAGTTTCGGTTTTGCAAGATAAAGAGTTCAGGAGAGGGCTGGGCACAGTGGCTCACACCTGTAATCCCAGCATTTTGAGAGGCCGAGGCAGGAGGATCTTTTGAGTTCAGGAGATTGAGAGCAGCCTGAGTAATATGGCAAAACCCTTTCTCTACAAAAAATACAAAAATTAGCTGGGCGTGGTGGTGTGCACCTGTAGTCCCAGCTACTGGGGAGGCTGAGGTGGGAGGATGGCTTGAACCCAGGAGGCGGAGGTTGCAGTAAGCCGAGATCACTGTACTCCATCCAGCCTGGGTGACAGAGCTAGACCCCGTCTCAAAACAAAAAACAAAAAACAAAGAGTTCAGGAGAGGATGGTGGTGATGGTTGCATAACAATGTGAATACACTTAATTCCACAGAACTGTACGTTAAAAATTAAGATGGGTAAGTTTCACGTTAAGCATATTTCACCAAAATTAATTTTTTAATAAAAAAGTTAAATATAGAATTACCATATGGACCAAAATTCCACTCCTAGGTATATATCCAAAGGAATTGAAAACAGATACTCACACAAATCCATGTCCACAAATGTTCATAGCTGCTCTATTCATAAGAGCCAAAAAATTGGAAACAACCCAAACGCCCATCCATGGATGAGTGGATAAACAAACACTGTGCTACATACATACAATAAAAGAATACTCAGCCATAAGAAGGAATGAAGCATGATACATGCTACAATACAAATGAGTCTCAAAAACATGATGGTAAATGAAAGAAGCCAGACACAAAAGGTCATATATATATAGTATGATTCCATTTAAATGAAATGTCCAGAATAGGTAAATCCATAGATAAGAAAAGCAGATTGGTGATTAGCAGGGGCTGTATGTGGTGGGGGAGGGGGAATAACTGCTTAATGGGTATGAGGTTTTATTTTGGAGTGTGATGAAACATTTTGGAACTAGATAGAAGTGGTGGTTGCACAACATTGCCAATGTACTAAATGTCACTGAATTGTTCAGTTTAAAACAGTTAGCTTTATGTTTTGTGAATTTCATCCAAATTTTAAAAAAGCCTGCAGAAAGTAAGAGCAAGGATAATCTACAGCAGAACAATTAGTTTCAAGATAACTGAGTTACCTTTAAAACCCTTTCTGAAATCACTTAAAGGAGGTAATTTTTAAGTTAAAGTAATTAAGGCAGCCAGCAGGATACAGCAAACAGGCACTCTAAGACAGCAGTTCCCAAACGCTAATGCTACCAATTTGGGTCCACAAAGAAGTGTTAATTTGTCTTAAACAATGTGATACATAAACACACACATGCATACACATGCATATGTACATACAGATTTTTCTGAGTTTACATCCTCCCTACCTTTCTGCGTTAGGATCTCCTTTACGTATTGATACTGAAGATAGACTGGTTGTGGTGCTTTGTTACTCTTTAGGGGGTGTTGTTTTGGTTTTAGTGCCCATACTTCATAAAATAAAACCTGAATTCAGGGCCAGGCACAGTGGGTCATGCCTATAACCCCAGAACTTTGGGAGGCCAGGGTGGCAGATCACTTAAGGTCAGGAGTTCAAGACCCTCCTGGCCAACATGGTGAAACCTTGTCTCTACTAAAAATACAAAAATTAGCCGAGCGTGGTGGTGCACACTTGTAATCCCAGATACTCAGGAGGCTGAGGCAGAATCGCTTGAATCAGGAGGTGGAGGTTGTCGTGAGCTGAGATTGTACCACTGCACTCCAGCCTGGGTGACAGAGCGAGATTCCGTCTCAAAACAAACAAACAAAAACCCTCTGAATTCAAACAACTACCACCGCCACTACCAATGCCACCACACACAAACACACGCACATGCACACACACGAACACAGGCTCCACTAGCTATTTACAAATGGGACACTGAGGCACAGCTCTTCCTCTTGCCAACCTGATCGTTCATCCCTGATACAGCCGCCATTTCCATAAAGGAATCATCATTCTCCCATGGACTCAGATCTTAGACCTTGAAGTTGGGACTAACAGACTCTCAACAGGCAAGAAAAACCCCACAGGTAACCATTCTCTGCAGGCCCCCTTCTTCAGGAGTGCAGTTGCTCATCCACACTCCTGCCCAGGGGCTGCCAGGCATAGCTTCACTGCAGGCTCCATCTGGGGCGGTGCATCAGGTAAGCAGTGTGCCAGATAAGCGGTGAGCCAGGTAAGTGGTGTGACAGTTTAGTGGCACCTCCCGAGTTCAGTCCCGACTGTTGAAGAGTTCTCCTTTATGCCAAGCTCCCGTGTAATGACCACTCATGAATCCCATGTCTGCGTTGTGGGAGTCACTATGAACCAGTCTAATCCCCCTTCCATGGAACATCTTGCCAAATGTTTGTTCCTTGAAACTTCCTTCTCTCAGGCTAAACACCCTGAGATGACTTCTTAAACTATTCTTTACAAAGCATCATTTTCATTACTCCCTGATCTTGGTTCTCTTGGCTCCTCTTGTTCTTCACAGACCATGGAACTCAGAAGGGAGAGCATTACAGATGGGGTCTGACCAGCTCCTACAGATCTGTTCTGGACATTATTCTCCTATTAATGCAGCCAGAGATCCAATCTAGATTTTTTATTTGTGATAGCTGCCTCATCCCTAAGTTTTATTTCACACATTTTGCTGCCAAGCTGCAAATCCACAGGTATCCTTTAAAAATGTCATCTTGTTGGATTTAGTCTACTGCTCCAGTCTGTTGAGATCTTTTTGGACTCTGATTCATTAACATAATCTGCTCTCCCTCCCAAATCTACCACCTGAAAACTCGATCGGCCTGCCATCAATGCCAATCTTCTTCCAAGTGCTCATACACAACGTGGAAGAGGACAGGCCCAAGAGGG
This sequence comes from Homo sapiens, assembly GCF_000001405.40. NCBI lineage: Eukaryota > Metazoa > Chordata > Mammalia > Primates > Hominidae > Homo > Homo sapiens. The sequence continues at coordinate 105,684,775 of NC_000007.14, forward strand.
CAACTCGATACATCCCTCAGTGCAACAGTGGCCTTTGAAAAGCACTCTTGAGATATGGTTGTACCGAACCATGTGCCATTCAGGGCAGGTGTCTCACGTGGCCCACATTTCTTCATCTCCCTGGTAGGATCTTGTGGGTGACTTTGACAAATGGGACTAATGATAGGCCTCCTCTTACTGTTGGTTGTGAAGGTTAAGTGCAAAGTTCTTTAAGCAGGGTATTACACACAATGAGCAGTCCAACACTGCCTTTAGTACAGAGAAGAGATGATAATAATAATAATAATAATAATAATAATAATAATAATAATAAATGGTTTTCCAATTCCCAGACAAACTACCTTCCTTATTGGCAACCACATACAGACATTAGAAAGCTGTAATCTATAGAAGGAGCACTGACATCCAAGAGCTGGAGTCCAAATCCCGGCTCTCCTTCCAGAATGTCTATGCTCTGAGGTTAGCAGTACCTCCCCTCTCCAGCGCTATAGCGAAGAGTCAATGACATCAGGCATGTAAAAGAGGTTTCAAAGTTGAGTCAGACTATGCAAACATAAAAGAATAGTATGCTGATTACTGTTATAAATAAGTCAAGATACCATTTCCATTGGCAGAGACCTCCCTGTGAAGCCAAGGAGGAACCTATAGATGTACTCAGGCTGACAGGAGGAACAGGTCTTTCAGCACACAGCAGCTGGATTACTTTGATAATGAGATTCCTGATCTCCTCTCCTGGTAGCAATCATCTCCTCTCTCATCTCAGACCAGAGCCAAAGCTGGCTTATAAAGAAAAAGGAGTGGGTCTTCCTACCATATTTGCAGAGGGGCCCCTCAGCCTGTGGGAACACACTTTCTCTCCATGGTCCCCTTGTTGAGACCAGAACCTGAGTATCAGCAGCAGGGAACCGGCAGGTGATGAAGGGCCGTGAGAGTTACTTTTAGCTCCCCTACGGCTTGACCCCAGTCAATCCCTGAGCTTCCATCCTGGATGGTGGTTTCTAAGAACAACTAGGCTTTAGGCTCTGACATTCTCAGGGCAGGTTCTCAGAAACCCTGTTCTCACTCCAGCTGAGGATGTTGGTGTCTTCAGGGAATAAATGGTCTTCACTAAAAACCAATCTTGGAAACATTTTGCAAAGCATGGTCAGAGGTCACCTGTTGGCCTTTAGAATCTCAGGATCAAGGATATCCCACAGCAGGGGAAGAAGGAGAGGAAGTGGCATGGCCAAACACATGCCTCTGAGAAGAGAGCAGCATTAAGATGGGAGGCAATAACTAACATAAATGAATTTTCCTCTCCTCGTCCATCTAAGGTTAGTTTCCCAACTTCCAGGGGGAATGAACACTAAGGGCAGATTAAAAAAAAAAAATACACAGATGCTCTCTGACTTACAATGGGATTATATCTGGATAAACCCATCATAAATTGAAAATATCGTAAGTCAAAAATGCATTTAAGGGCCAGTCACAGTGGCTCATGCCTGTAATCCCAGCACTTTGGGAAGCTGAGGCGGGTGGATCACCTGAGGTCAGGAGTTCAAGACCAGCCTGGCCAACATGGTGAAACCCCATCTCTACTAAAAATACAAAAATCAGCAGAGTGTGGTGGTGGGCGCCTGTAATCCTAGCTACTTGGGAGGCTGAGGCAGGAGAATCCCTTGAACCCAGGAGATGGAGGTTGCAGTGAGCCAAGATTGTGCCATTGCACTCCAGCCTGGGTGATGAGAGTGAAAGTCCATCTCAAAACAAACAAACAAACAAACAAAACCCACCCATTTAATATAATAACCTACTGAACCTCATAGCCTTAGCCTACCCTATCTTAAATGTGCTCAGAACATAACCTACAGTCGGGCAGAATGCCCTAACACGAAGCCTATTTTATAATAAAGTGTTGAATATCTCATGTAATGTATTGCATATCATATTGAAAATGAAAAACAGAATGGTTACATGGGTACTTAAAGTACAGTTTCTATGGAATGCATGTCACTTCTGTACCATCTTGAAACCAAAAAATCATAAGTCGAACCATTGTAAGTCAGACACCGTCTGTATCTATATGTAATTGTTGGCAAGACACTGAGAGGTTTATGCCAATGAATCTATTAACAGATCAGGGAGTTGGCCCAGAAAGGAGGTGGGAGTGAAGGGGCCCAGAAGGGAAGGTAACAATTCCTGACATAGTTTCTGGAGCCTACTGGTCCACAAGCTTCCCTTACTCAACCTACCCCTAATAAGAGTCTCTCTCGAGACAGGTGAGCTGCCACAGTCACCTGAGAATCATCATAAGCCATATGAAAGCTAATTCAGACTTTCATAGCCACTGATGACTTTTAAACATATTCCTATCTTTCTCTCATTGCATTTCCTTTGACTATGCACCCACACAGAGATGGCGCCTGGTTCTATAAACTGATGCATGAGGGGAATAAACTCACAGATGAATCTGTACCCCATGGAGGTTCCTGCAATGTTCTGATGCTGAGGCAGGACCAGGCTTGGCAGATTGGTGTTATGGGTTAAATTTCTCCACTTCAGACTTCATATGTTGATGTCTTAATCCCTAGTACCCGAGAATATAAGCACATTTGGAGAGAAAGTCTTTGAAGAGGTGACTAAGTTAAAATGAGGCCATTAGGATGGGGCCCTAATCCAATAGGATAGGTGTCCTTAAGAAAAGGAAGGGACGACAATGGCACAAGTCCAGAGGGTGGATCACATGAAGAGGCGGCAAGAGGGCAGCCATCTGCAAGCCAAGAAGGGGCCTCAGGAGAAACCAAACTTGCTGGCACCTTAATCTTGGACCTCCAGCTTCCAGAATCATGAGAAAATAAACTTTGGTTGTTGAACCCACCCAGGCTGTTTCATTTTGTTATGACAGCCCTATCATACCAAGACCAATACCTAAAAACCATGCAAGTTCACTAGATCAGGGAGAAAAAGTATAGGATGGAGGCAGAGGCCTAGGTGCAGCTCGGATGCATCCTCCTCCTTGGGCTGTGTTTCAGAGCAGTGTGACAGAGCAGGAATGTGGCCTGGCTTCAGCTACCCGCAGAAGAGCATTCTTTCATGCATTCCCACTGACCATGAGACCCACACCACTACCTCACTGACACCATACCCACTCACCCCAAGGCTTTAGTCATACAAAGAAAAGAGCCATTCTATATTGTTCTTCGGTGCTCTCATAATGTTTAACCATGCTTTTTACTTAAAGAATTCCAGGAACTGGACTGAAGAGATCCAAAATATGGAACCAAGGTTGCGGAGTGTCCCACCTCAGGAAGGAATGCTGAACAACTGATTTATAGCCTTGTTGTTGCCGGCTAGACCACCAGGTGGCCCATGACTCAAGATAATCATCACAACCAGATACATTGACTTGCATACCCTAACCCTCACATGCGTTGCCCAGCCCAGCCTGCATACCCTACCCTGATATCAATTCCTGTACTTCGCCTAATAAAAAAAATCCCAACTGGGGACGGACACGGTGGTTCATGCCTGTAATCCCAGCACTTTGGGAGGCTGAGGCGGGTGGATGGCTTGACCTCAGGAGTTTGAGACCAGCCTGGGCAACATGGAGGAAACCCCATCTCTACTAAAAATACATAACTTAGCTGGGCATGGTGGCACATGCCTGTAGCCCCAGCTACTTGGGAGGGTGAGGTGGGAGGATCACCTGGGTCCAGGAGGTAGAGGCTGCAGTGAGCCGTGATCGTGCCACTGCACTCTAGCCTGGGCAACACAGAGCAAGACCCTGTGTCAATTAAAAAAAAAAAAAAATCCCAATCGGCTGTTTTCAGAGGGTCAGTCAGGGAATTCTCTCTCTCTCTACCTTATGCCCTGGCGTAAGCGCCAATGAAGCCTTGTCTGGGAAGACTCTTTTCGCCTCATTTCTATTGCACCAAAAGCCCAAGAACCCATGGTCAGTAACAGCAAGGTCAAGGTGGGACAAATCTCCTAAACCCTGATAACTGGCAGTCTGCCTGCCCTGAAGTCCTGAAGCTGAAGTAGTCTACAAGTACACGGAGCAGGTGTGAGTAGCTGGTCTGAAAATGTATGACTCCAGGTCATAGTCTGGGAGTGATCAACTCCTTTTATCAGCTTACTTTCTTGTTTCACCTCTTACCCAAAAAGTAATCTGATTACTGGTTCTAATTAATGTATATGTCATGGCTGTTGTTCCAGAAAAGACAAGACCTTGGGGGTGAATGGACTATGGCAAAGTGAGGTCGCTGTTAGCAGACTCCCAAAGGTTTGACGAAATTACACAGACCATCTGGCTCAGTGCTGCCTTTGGCTGGGAATTCACTGGTCTCTAGGTTCTGCCTGGGTGCCTTGGTCTTCCCGGAGTGTAGGGTGGACAGAACCACTCCCCTGGGGCCAAGAGAGAAGGAGTGGGCTCACAAATGCTCACTGCTGCTAAGGTGCCCAGCTGCCCCGGATCAATTAAGTTTAAACAGCAGCTATGTCACTGGGGCTGGGGTGGAGGGAAGAATCAAAGTGAGGAAGGAGGGTGTTTCTAAGATATTGGCAGGCCAATGTCTGGAGGGCCTGGGAGGGGCAACGTGCTCTAGGAGACAGAGCTGAAAGGCCTTTACTTTCCCAAGGATGGCAGGGTGGGAGGGTTTAGCTCATTCAAATGCAAAAGCCTTTCAGTATTTACTGCCACTCCTCCCAGCTCCAACATAAAGGCCTATAGGTTCTCTTCACATCTTTCCATTCACTTGGGCTGTGGGGGTGATTGACACAGCTGGGGGCAGCCCCCATAATCATTCCTAGCTGAGATGCATACAAACCAACACACACCTCAAGCTTGACACCTTACGAAGGTGGGCCGAAAGTCCTCCCGGTCCCAACCAGACATACGGAGGAGGCACGGGGAAGTGGAACAGAGGCCCCACACACAGGGGCAGATTTGAATCAAATTAGAACAAAGAGTCCCTTAGCATCGTGTCATAGCCAGTTAGCCCAGAGCAAATGGGGGCATGAGGAGGCGAAGGTCCGATGGATCATGTCCGAGCCCGAGTTTTAGCTTCTCAGCTCCCCTGTATGAGCCAGGCCCCAAAGCCAGGCTTTTCCTACTAGGACCAAAGGGCTGGACTTGGCCCCCACCAGCTCAGTGGGGCCAGTGTGAGAAAGCACAGGACAGACTCTAAACGTCAAAGGCCTAAAGCAAGGAAGCCTCATCATTATTCTCTGCAAGGTTAAAGGAGACAGGGCACTTCTTTTTTTATTTTTGAGACGGAGTTTCGCTCTTGTTGCCCAGGCTGGAGTGCAATGGCGCGCTCTCGGCTCACAGCAACCTCCGCCTCCTGGGTTCAAACAATTCTCCTGCCTCAGCCTCCCGAGTAGCTGGGATTACAGGCATGTGCCACCATGCCCAGCTAATTTTTGTATTTTTCGTAGAGACGGGGTTTCTCCATGTTGGTCAGGCTGGTCTCGAACTCCCGACCTCAGGTGATCCGCCCGCCTCAGCCTCCCAAAGTGCTGGGATTACAGGCATGAGCCACCGCGCCCAGCAAAAAAAAGCATTCATATGAATGAGAGAAACATGGAGGAGAAAAGAAAGCCTCTCTTGGCAGCACTCAGCAGTTAGAACTATGTCAAGCCTCATCCTAATGGTCACATTTACCACCTTGGAAATTTCCGTTTTCACTGTCCGTTCTCATTCATGTGATGCTGGGGGTGGGGTTGGACCCATCTGTGTGGGACTCAAGGTCTTGGATCTAAGCAGACCCGCTCCTCAGAAGGCCTTCCGTGAGGCCTAAATGATGTTTGTCGTCTTCTCCTTCTTTTGCGATTTGTTTAGTTTAAAATATTTAACCCGAGGCACAATGAAGTGTCTCATTTACAAGGTTCTCCCGGACCATTAGACTGGGACTCCACATTCATTATGCTGATGAACGCGCTACTTACTCATGCAAATTCCAAGAGCGGCAGACTCAGAGATGGGAGGTGCTCAAGGTACGATATCAAGGGCTGATTTAATTACACAGCCATTCAGTGGGACAAGCACGGCAATTTTTAGCCAACTGTTCTAGTAAATATTACGGGAAACCCTTTTATAGAGTGCTAATTCCGGCTTAGTGTTTTCGCTAAGCTTTAGTTCTTACTCAAACATGCACACGGGCCCCCAAAGATGCTACCACCAGGCCAGAAAATCACACAGATAAAGCATGAGCCCATATGCCATCTTGCAGTCAATCATCCTTTTAAAAATGTTATAAATGTCTGCATATCACTGTCATTTAGGTGGGGACAAACTAAGGTCCAGTAACTTCCCTGTGTCTGTTCTTCCTCCGTCCCCCTCCCCCGTGACTCTGAGTCCTGCAGACCAGCCCTTGGGCATGTTTTGGGTCACCAAATGCCACTGCTCCCAGGAGTTTGACAAAACAACCGCTGTAAACTCATTTCAGACGTTTGAAACAATACCCAATCACTGCATCCACCCTCGAGGAGCGCCCCAGAGGAAATGGCATCATTACTTTCATTTTACTCCGTTTGTGAACGACTAAAGGAAAACAACACGTCCTAGGACTCTCGGGAACGTTATTAAGTGACCCCTAAGAAATTAATCATCAAGAGCTAAAATAACCCTCTGCTGCACATACACCGCCGTTTCTCTAAGTGGAGAAACAAATTTCACTTTCCACAGTTGGAACAGAAACTCTTATGCATCCCCGTTTCTTCAAAAAAAAGTCTATAAATAACCTAGGATCAGCAAAATTATGCAAAACATCCTGCTAGAAGAAGAAATGTAAACTAAAACCACTTACAGAGAGACTCAGGCTGCCAACTTAATCTGATGCTACGACGACTGTAAACATGTTGTACTTTTGGAACCTGAAGCGATCCACATTAGCACGGATGTCAGTAAAAAAAAAAAAAAGAAAAAAAAAAAGAGAGAGAGAGAGAAAGAAAAAGGAGGGAAAAAAATCGCAACGACTAAACAACAACAAAAGCCCAGCCCCAAACAGAGCAACGTGATACGGTATTCTGCACGGTGCACAGCCCGACGGCTGACCAGCTGCAGTCAATACCAGCTATCCGCGCTTGCACACGCCAACTGTTTTGACTACACGCACTTGTTAAACACGGAGTTTCAGGTCCTACCAGTTGGACACCAGAAGTTCATAGAACTGACCCAGTGCCAAGAACAACAAGCACAGAAAGCGAACCGGCTGCCTCGTGCGGGTGTTTTTGTTAACTGTTTATGCAAGCCCCAAAGCAATTGGGTAACAATTACGAATAAAAAAGAACTTAAATTACAAAAGCAAAAGATTACCACCTTGAAGGAAATGTAGATATTGGCAGCTGAAGGACAGACGTCATGCTACTTTATTGGTGGGGTGGGTGGGTAGTTTTCAGAGAGAACTGGTTGGGGGAGGGGGAGGTGTCACATGACACACTGCGGTTATTAGCAGAAGGAACTGGGTGCTTCCTCGAAGCATCTTTTAGAGATTGACTTAGATTTTGCAAATGTGGAGGCTTTGCTGCACATGTGGGGGTGATGGCAGGAGCACTAGAATTTGTCAGTTGGTAAATCCCATAGGAGAAGAAAGGGACATGCTGGATGAATTTCTTTCTTTCCTTCCTTCCTTCCTTCCTTCCTTCCTTCCTTCCTTCCTTCCTTCCTTCCTTCCTCCCTCCCTCCCTCCCTCCCTTCCTTCCTTCTTTTTTTGAGATGGAGTCTGGCTCTGTCACCCAGGCTGGAGTGCAATGGCGCTATCTTGGCTCACTGCAACCTCTGCCTCCTGGGTTCAAGCAATTCTCCTGCCACAGCCTCCTAAGTAGCTGGGATTACAGGCATGCACCACTACGCCTGGCTAGTTTTTGTATTTTTGGTAGAGATGGAGTTTTGCCATGTTGGCCAGGCTGGTCTCGAACTCCTGACCTCAAGCGATCAACCCGTCTCAGCCTCCCAGAGTGCTGGGATTACAGGTATGAGCCACCGCACCCAGCTCTTTCTTTTTTAGAGACCTTTTGCTCTGCCACCCAGGCTGAAGTGCAGTGGTGCCATCAGAGCTCACTGCATCCTTGAATTCCTGGGCTCAAGCGATCCTCCCGATTCAGCCTCCTAAGGAGCCGCACCACTGCCCTTGGCTAATTTTTAAATCTTTTGTAGACACGGAGTCTTGCCACCAGGCTGGTCTCAAACTCCTGGCCTCAAGCGATCCTCCTGCTTTGGCCTTCCAAAGCACTGGGATTACAAGCATGAGCCGTCATGCCCAGCAGAAACACTTCTTAAATTGCTTATTTTAACAGGCTTTTCCATTTTTCCCAGAGTGCATCAAGCAGTATCTCACTGTAGGACCAAGAGAATTAACCAAATAAAATTTTAGTTACCTGAGGAGTTCAGAAAACAATTCCAAGAGAACCTGGGTGTGGACGTAAGAGTGAGAAATTTTTTTTGTTTTTGTTTTAAATAGAGACAAGGTTTCTCTCTTGCCCAGGCTGGAGTGCAGTGGTGCCATCATAGCTCACTGCAGCCTTGAACTCCTGGGCTCAAGGAATCCTTCTGCCTCAGCCTCCCAAGTAGCTGGGACTATAGGTGTCTGCCACCATGCCTGGCTAATTTTTAAAGTTTTTGTAGAGACAGAATCTCACTATGTTGCCCAAGCTAGTCCTGAACTCCTGGCCTCAGGCAGTCCTCCCGCTTGGGCCTCCAAAGTGCTGGGGTTACAGGCTTGAGCTACTGTGTCTGACCGAGTGAGAAATTTTAAATTGCTGGGTGGACTTAAATCTAATGCCCCATCCATCCATCCATCCATCCATCCATCCATCCATCCATCCATCCATCTAATTTGAAGAATAAAATGTCACCCCCTTCCCACTCCACAGGTTTTGGGGAAAGTAATGAGTAAGTAGAAACAGGCTGTTTGGAAAAGCCACTGTGACTGTGGGCCAGCTTCACCTTTGTTTTGGAGAGCAAAGGTTGCTCTTCTGGTTACGGGGCCACCAGCGCCATGGTGGTGAACAGGAACCCACATAGTGGCTTTCTCTTTCCCCTCAAAGTAACCCACATTTTATTACCAACTATATATAGAAATTGTTTCACTGGGATCTGAAATGGAGCCACCCTGGAGTGAAATGCAGCAGTTGCCTGATACATCACAGGAGAAGAGCAAAGGCAACTTAGCACATCCAAGACCAAGGAAGGAGCAGGGGAGGAAGAAGTCGGGAGCAAGAAGTCTGGGGTGGGGAAAGGAGGAGGGTGGAAGGGATGCAGCAAGAGAGAAGTTTCAGGTCCTGAGGGAGAAGTGAGCCTTTTTTTTTTTTTTTAAGGCAGAGTCTCGCTCTGTTGCCTAGGCTGGAGTGCAGTGGTGCCATCTTGGCTCACTGCAACCTCCGCCTCCCGGGTTCAAGCAATTCTCCTGCCTCAGCCTCCCCAGTATCTGGGTCTACAGGCACATGCCACTGCACCTGGCTAATTTTTATATTTTTAGTAGAGATGGTTTCACCATGTTGGCCAGGCTGGTCTCGATCTCCTGATCTCAGGCAATCCACCTGCCTTGGCCTCCCAAAGTGCTGGGAGTACAGGTGTGAGCCACTGCACCTGGCTGAGAAGTGAGTCTTCAATCAGCCCTGTCCTTGGGGTCAGCAACTGTTAAAGTAGCCCCAGGATTTCTGTGGGTTAAAACCCCACAGTTTATGTCTCTTTCATGCACATTACATTATTTGATCCTGTGAGGTGGGAAGGGCGGCTATTATTACCCCCATTATGAAGGAGGGAAACAGGGTTCAGAGAAACCTGTGACTTTCCCAAGTTACACACCCAGGAAAGCTTTCTGATGTCCAATCCTGGGTCTCAGCCTCATGGCCGATAATGTACGCTGGTGTGCAGCTTCATTATTCACAAAGCAGCTTAAAAGGGGCAGACTTTATTATTCCCATTTTCACAGACAAGTAAACTGGGATTTGGAGAGGCTATGTGATTTGGCCAGGGCCACACTGCAAACCACAAACAGCCCTAGGTCTTCCAACTCCTGGCCCGGCCCTCCTTGCTTCCCTCTATGGCGCTTCCAGAGAAAACAATGATAAAACTAAAAAGGCCAATGGAGTTGTTTGACTCTAAAAGCACAACCTCAGCCAGGCACGGTGGCTCACACCTGTAATCCCAGCACTTTGGAAGGCTGAGGCGGTGGATTGCCTGAGGTCAGGAGTTCGAAACCAGCCCAGCCAACATGCTGAAACCTGTCTCTCCAAAAAATACAAAAATTAGTTGGGCGTGGTGGCCGGTGCCTGTAGTCCCAGCTACTCAGGAGGCTGAGGCAGGAGAATTGCTTGAATCTGGGAGGCGGAGGTTGCAGTGAGCCGAGATCACACCATTGCATCTCTACTAAAAATACAAAAATTAGCCGGGCGTGGTGGCCGGTGCCTGTAGTCCCAGCTACTCGGGAGGCTGAGGCAGGAGAATTGCTTGAATCCAGGAGGCAGAGGTTGCAGTGAGCCGAGATCACACCACTGCGCTCCAGCCTGGGTGACAGAGCAAGACTCCGTCTCAAAATAAATAAACATTAAATAAAATAAAAGCACAACATCGCCCTCAATTTTCTCAACATTCCCTGTCTTCATGGCTTTTCTAGTGTTTCATAGTGAATGTGCCTAACACAGAAGGGTTCCTTTCCACAGTGTGGGGGGAGCTTCGGACATCTGCACTCCAGAGCTACTATTTCAATGGAAAACAATCGTCTTGATCCAGTTTGCACCCCATCCTTTGATTTGATCAGTTCACCTAAATGCCAACCCCTGGTTCCTTACCAAATACTAGTCTAAGTTGCAGCGAAGTGGAATGTCCCAGCAGGCCTGACAGCTGTACATTATGAAGCTTGTATATCCACGGTGCACCACTGCACATGTAGAGGGGATCTAGCTTAGCACATGGTTTGGGGGATCGCTTCTCTAAAAGGTGTTTCAAAGTTAGGCCTTTGCTGAGTTCTTTGCAACAGAGGTCACTGAAAATATTGGACCAAATGTAGGTTTCCACTGTCATGTTCCTTTGCCCATGCCAAATGGACACACGCACAGCTTAATCTGGCCTGATACTACTTTTATGTGATACAGGCTGAGCAGGTTCACTGCAGGCGTTGGGCATTTGCTCTGAGGGACAGGGTGGTGGGTTACTGCAGATGGCCAGGAGGTTTGCAGGTAGGGATGAATAGAGGTGTTTGTCAGGAAGTGAAGGCTTGGGGGGCCAAGATCAAAGATATTGAATGTAGAATGCAGAGGGGAGCCTGTCAGGAGCTGATGGTTAGGAAGTTACAGAACGTTCTGCCACGCCCTTATAAATCTGCCTGTCACACTTCTTTCTCCCTGAAAGTACAACACAAGAAAACATACACCCGAAGGTCAGGGAAGTTGGGTGTCAAGGTGGACTTCACGTTGACTGTTATGAAGGTCATGAAGACTAATGAAATCTATGTGCTCCTGTTGACTGGAAATGCTCTGCAGCTTGGCGGGAGGTATATGTAGTGCTTCCCACTGCTAGTGAATACTCACTCTCAAGGGGGTTTCTTCAGGTGGTTTTGGTAACCAGAGGACATTTGCATCCATGCTGCCTGAAAGAATATGGGTGCTAGGTGAATCAGAACAGTCTTGGCACGGAAACTCGTTTGCTTGCAAGACATAAAGTGAGGAGAATATTTCCACGTAACATGTGACTTCTTTGATCATAGAGCCCCACCCATCCACCCCCACTTTTTTTAAGCCAAAAAAGAAGGACCCATGATTTGACAAGCATTGGCATAATAAGGAAAGATAGGGTAGGCTATTTAAAATCAGAACTTCTGAAAGTCCATGAGGCCTAGCCACTGAACTTGTAATATCACATTAAAATGCGCTAATGGAGAGATGTGGAATATTAGCAGGAATCTGTTGTAATTAGTACTGGCATGCTTAACCAAAGCAGTTCCACCACAAACCAGACAAACGCTGTTTTGCTAATGCAGACAGAGAAGGGAGTTTGGAAAATGCTGGAGAGCTCAGTACATCCACCCCACGGAGGATGAAGCTGGGTAATGGGGGACCTGCCCCGAAAATCACGTAGGTTCTTTTCTATTTTCCTAAGTGTCGGCCAGCTTGAGAAATAAAAGGACAGAGTACAAAAGAGAGAAATTTTAAAGCTGGGCGTCCGGGGGAGACATCACACGTTGGTAGGATCCGTGATGCCCCACACGCCACAAAAACCAGCAAGTTTTTATTAGGGATTTTCAAAAGGGGAGGGACTGTGCGAATAGGTGTGGGTGACAGACATCAAGTACTTAACAGGGTAATAGAATATCACAAGACAAGTGGAGGCAGGGCGAGATCACAGGACCACAGGACCGAGGCAAAATTAAAATTGCTAATGAAGTTTCGGGCACTATTGTCATTGATAACATCTTATCAGGAGACAGGGTTTTGAGATCAACCGGTCTGACCAAAATTTATTAGGTGGGAATTTCCTCTTCCTAATAAGCCTGGGAGCGCTATGGGAGACTGGAGTCTATCTCACCGCTGCAATCTCGACCATAAGAGACAGGTACGCCCCAGAGGGGCCAGTTCAGAGACCTACCCCCCTAGGTGCACGTTCTCTTTCTCAGGAACGTTCCATGCTGAGAAAAAGAATTCAGCGATATTTCTCCCATTTGCTTTTGAAAGAAGATAAATATGGCTCTGTTCCGCCCGGCTCACCTGCGGTCAGAGTTTAAGGTTATCTCTCTTACTCTCTGAACAATTGCTGTTATCCTGTTCTTTTTTCAAGGTGCCCACATTTCATATTGCTCAAACACACATGCTATACAATTTGTGCAGTTAATGCAATTATTACAGGGTCCTGAGGCGACATACATCCTTCTCGGCTGACAGGATTAAGAGATTAAAGCAAAGACAGGCATAGGAAATCACAAGGGTATTGATTGGGGAAGTGATAAGTGTCCATGAAATCTTCACAACTTACGTTTAGAGATTGCAGTAAAGACAGGCATAAGAAATTACAAAAGTATTAATTTGGGGAAGTAATAAATGTCCATAAAATCTTCACAATCCACGTTCTTCTGTCATGGCTTCAGCCGGTCCCTCTGTTTGGGGTCCCTGACTTCCTGCAACAGCTGGGGCCCTGTGCCCATGCCCTGGATGTTTATACTCCTCCGAGCGAAGGCAGCTGCCTGACTCCATATGTGGAAGAGGAAGCTGGGCAGGGACGAGCACTGTCTTTATACATGGTCTGGACATGTGGAAAGCTGGCCAAGAAGAGGATGGAGCCAACACAGGATGGAGACTGAGCTTTTGGGAGATACAGAGGCAAGGAAAGCATGTTGGTAGCTGTGGGGGCTATTGGTTGCAGGCTTGGCTTCAATGCTTGGGCTCTAGTGCCTGACATTGCCATGCAGACTTCCCAGTCGTGTCCGCACTCAGCTCAACACGCCTCACTTGTGCCCTGTTACCTGGATTCACAGGGACTAAGCCAGTCTTGCCTGATCATACCTGCAACTAGATTTTGGCTTAATCCTTTGTGATGTGGACCCACAAACCAAGACATTGTAACTGATGTCACAATGTCAGTTTTGCATCGATGGGGCTACATATGCTAGATTTTTCTTTTTTAAAAATAAATTTTTTGAGACAGGGTCTTGCTCTGTCACCCAGGCTAGAGTGCTGTGGTGTGACCATTGCTCACTGCAGCCTTGACCTCCTGGGCTCAAGTGATCCTCCCACTTCAGCCTCCTGAGTAGCTGGGACCACAGGCATGCACCACCATGCCTAGCTAATTTTTTATTTTTTGTAGAGATGGAGTTTTGCCATGCCGCTCATGCTCGTCTCCTGGGGTCAAGTGACCTGCCTGCCTCGGCCTCCCAAAGTGCTGAGATTAAAGGCGTGAGCCACCGTGCTTGGCCATACACCAGATTCTGGGGGAGAGTGAGTATCAATGTCAGCCAGCCTTAGCCAGTACTGCATTACAGTTTGAAAGATGACTTTATGATAAAGATCTTAGATGTGGGTTGACTGGAATCCAGACCACTGGACTGAAGTTCCCTGAGGGCAGGTTCTGAGTCTCAGCTATCTTTGCATGCTAGCCAGAGCATAGAAACTTTGCTATGTGTTTTAAATACGTGTTTTGCATGAACAAATGAAGTCTCTCTTAATCTGAATTAAAAAGATATATATATATACCTTACTAGGCATATCTGGAAAGTGAATATCTTTATATTAAATATGCATCAAATTTGGTGTTTCTAAAAAGTTGTTTGTGGTTCAAGTTAGGGAGAAGGCAGAAAGCCTTTCCATTTAAAATTTATAATGCCAAATCTTTAAAAAGATTGTAGCCACAGTGGAACAGGGCTCTTTCCAAAAGATCTTCATTCCACTGTACTTTTTTTTTTTCTTTTTGGGGTGGAACCTTGCTCTGTCACCCAGGTTGGAGCACAGTTGTGCAATCTCGGCTCACTGCTATCTCTGCCTCCCAGGTTCAAGTGATTCTCCTTCCTCAGCCTCCCAACTAGCTGGGATTACAGGCATGCACCATCACGCCCAGCTAATTTTGTATTTTTAGTAGAGGCAGGATTTTGCCGTGTTGGCCAGGCTGGTCTCAAACTCCTGACCTCAGGTGATCTGCCTGCCTCAGCCTCCCAAAGTGCTGGAATTACAGGCATGAGCCATCATGCTCGGCCATTCCACTGTATTTTGATTTCTTAAGTGGTATACTTTGAATGTTACTTGATCCTTTTTTGATAACTCAAAGTCACTGTTACAAGCATTAATTGCTATAAAATTATGACTTTAGAGCCTACGACTGCAGCTGTCAAACTTTTTGACCCTAATTTACCTTAAGAAATGAATTTTACAGTGCAACCTAGTATTGCAGATATGTAGATGAGACACAAGTTCCCAAAGATAATACTTATCTTCACTACCTAAAAAGCACTGTGATCTCTTGTCTTCTGTTGTTTAAAATGTTGGTCAGGATTCACTAAACCATGATGATTGCCCCATCATCATGGGTGGTGCCTATGGTTTGCAAACACTGAGAAAGAATGCAAGGACTTTCAGCTTCCCCGCTTTCTGGCTTTTACCTGTATTTTCCTGCAGTCTGGTGTCACTTCTTTTTATGTGAAGGCCTGCCCCCACAATCCTCCTTAGAGTTCTAATTTCCTGAACTTGGAAATCAGACCATCAAGTTTGCTGGTATTATGTATAAACTGAGAGTAAACTGTTTCTCAATGACAGCCTGAAGGTGCCCTGGACCATGGCGTGGAGCTGAGGAGCAGCGACTCAGAGCCCCTCCGAGCCGCTCTGAGCTCCTGGCTGGGTTCCCATGCAGCTTCACTCAATGGCAGAGCTCATGATACTGAGATATTATGGAATGCACTACCTGTAAACACCTGCATGTGCACACGATGTTTTCTTTTGTGAAAGGAATATTCCAATGACTGGGGCTGGTGGTGCTAGAAAATGACAAGGGGGGCTGGGCGCGGTGGCTCATGTCTGTAATCCCAACACTTTGGGAGGCCAAGGCAGGCGGATCACCTGAGGCCAGGAGTTCGATACCAGCCTGGCCGACATGGTGAAACCCCATCTCTACTAAAAATACAAAAAATTAGCCAGGCGTGGTGGCATGCTCCTGTTGTCCCAGCTACTTAGGAGGCTGAGGCAGGAGAATTGCTTGAACCTGGGAGGCAGAGGTTGCAGTGAGCTGAGATTGCACCACCATGCACTCCAGCCTGGGTGACAGGGCAAGACTCTGTCTCAAAAAAAAAAAAAAAAAAAAAAAAAGACAAGGTCTCCTGGCAGCAATGTTGCTCCATGAATGACCATATCTGAGCCCCTGTGTATGAGGAGGTTATTCCTAAAGTAATTTACTGCCTCAGGCAGTTTGCAACGATGTGATACCTTGGCTTTCTACCCTGAGCTGCCTTTGCTCTATTATTATTATTATTTTTGAGATAGGGTCTGGCTCTATCACCCAGGCTGCAGTGTAGTGGTGCATCTTGGCTTACTGCAACCTCCACCTCCTGGGCTCAAGTGATCCTCCCACCCCAGCCTCCCCAGTAGCTGCGACTACAGGCGCACACTACCGCGCCTGCCTAATTTTTGCATTTTTTGTAGAGATGGGGTTTCACCATGTTGTGCAGGCTGCTCTCGAACTCCTGAGTTCAAGTGATCTGCCTGCCTTCGTCTCCCAAAGTGCTGGGATTATAGGTGTTAGCTACTGCGGCCGGCCCCTGTGCCTTATTATTTATAGCTCCTCCTAGTGTACACTTTAACTGTCATGGATCTTTCCACTTAAATGCAAACAAAGACAAACATTAATATATGAAATTGCAAAAAGTGTGTCAAGTTTGTGTGTGTAGATATCTTATATTGGTTTCTAAAAATTACAGCAAAAGGGGTAGATACTGTACCCCTAGACAACCTAAATCACAAGCAATCAGGCACTAGTTAAATAAATTATTGGCACATCCATTC
This sequence comes from Homo sapiens, assembly GCF_000001405.40. Taxonomy (NCBI): domain Eukaryota; kingdom Metazoa; phylum Chordata; class Mammalia; order Primates; family Hominidae; genus Homo; species Homo sapiens. The sequence goes on from NC_000007.14 coordinate 105,701,227, forward strand.
AATGGAATGCTGGAGATGCATAAAAATGATGATGCAGATCTATATTTACTAAAATGTATCCATGATAATTTTAGATGAAAAAAAGCATGTTTCAAAGCAATGTCTATAATAAGATTCTACTTTTATTTTAAAAATATAAAATATATGCATGTAGATACATATGTACAACACACAGACAAACACATACACATAGAAAAAAGATTGGAAAGTTTTACATGGAAATACTTATTTTCTTATTTTACTTGTTTAGACTTTTCTGAAATATTGGCAGTTTTTGCAGTGCATTCCTTTTATAATAAGAACAAAGGCAATTTTAACTTTGAAAAAAATAAAACTATATTATTATGCAAAACAGCACCTCTGTTTGGAGCACCACTCCTATTTGCACCCCATCCCATCCTCAAGTCAAACTTTCAGAAGAGTTCTACTCATACAAAAAAAGGGTAAGTTAAATCTTTATTGGATAATTCTTACATTAATGCATTTTATTTTTTTAGAGACAGGGTCTCGCTCTGTAACCCAGGCTGGACTGCAGTGGTGTGATCACAGCTCATTGTAGCCTCAAACTCCTGGGCTCAAGTGATCCTCCTGCCTCAGCCTCCTGAATAGCTGGGAATACAAGCATGAGCCACGGTGCCCAACTCATTAATTCATTTTAAAGCAAACCACTGGCTTATGGTTTTACTTTTAACGTCATGTTCTCTTCCCTGATGGAATTATGGAGGTGGAAACTCAAGCAGACGTGTTTGCTAGTTACTTCCTTGGCAGCAGCAGGCTATGGGCCTCTCCAGCCTTGGAGAAGACAAGTTGAAAAGCTCACATGACCTATATTCTGATGCTAGTTTTCCTAAGCCAGAGTCAATTCAAGTGTAAAACAATGTTAGTTTAAAGATGGGAATGATCCCTAACTCTTGCTAGTGCTTTTCTCTTTACAAAGTTCATTTGCATCCGTGGCATAACTGGTATCTCACAGAAAACTGACTAGGGAGGGAGGGCGAGCAGAAGCATCATTCTCAGTTCACAGATGAGGAATCTAAGGTGGGGCAACTTGCCCAAGGCCACCCTATGGGGACTGGTACAGACGGGATCCAAACCTAGTTTTCCTGGGTTTGTTCTCTTTATTCTGTGCCATTGCATTCTTTCTAGAAATACAGAAATCATATAATTTATCATCCCAACTAGACAGCTTTGAAAGTAAAAGGGGGTGCTAAATGGATGGGCTCCAGGGCAAGAGGTATAAATTGTGACTCTCCCAGGCAAATTAGGACTTCTGGTCACTTTAGATATAACCCAGCCCCTTACACACACACAGACCCACAACACACACACACACACACAGACACACATACACACACACACAGGGCGAATCACATCTTTTAAATAGGAAAGAGAAATGCAGCAGGGTAACAATGCCTATAAAGTGCTAGAGTATTAAAAAATAAAAATAAATAAGTAAATAAAAAGTACTTGAGGCCTGGCGTGGTGGCTCATGCCTGTAATCCCAGCACGTTGGGAGACCAAGGCAGGCGGATCACCCGAGGTCTGCAGTTTAAGACCAGCCTGACCAACACGGAGAAACCCCGTCTCTACTAAAAATACAAAAAAATTGCCGCCGGGCGCAGTGGCTCATGCCTGTAATCCCAGCACTTTGGGAGGCCGAGGCAGGCAGGTCAAAAGGTCAGGAGATCGAGACCATCCTGACTAACAGTGAAACCCCGTCTCTACTAAAAATACAAAAAATTAGCAAGGCGTGGCGGCGTGCGCCTGTAGTCCCAGCCACTTGGGAGGCTGAGGCAGGAGAATGGCGTGAACCTAGGAGGCGGAGCTTGCAGTGAGCCCAGATCTTGCCACTGCACTCCAGCCTGGGCAACAGAGCAAGACTCCGTCTCAAAAACAAACAAACAAACAAACAAAAAACCCCCAAAAAATTAGCTGGGCGTGGTGGCAGGTGCCTGTAATCCCAGCTACTCAGGAGGCTGCAGAAGGGAGAATCGCTTGAACCCAGGAGGCAGAGGTTGCGGTGAGCCGAGATCCCGTCATTCCACTCCAGCATGGGCAAGAAGAGCGAAACTCCGTCTCAAAAAAAAAAAAAAAGCACTTAAGTATAACTTGTATTTTATTGTTTGTGGAAGTTAGTCTAGGCTTTACATTTCCAGGTCATCAGCTTGCAGGCAGTAAGAATACAAAGTCTAGATTGGGCAACTGGTATTAATCAAAGTGAGCCACATTCCAAATGTGGCCAGTTTAAGTTTTTCTGTTATCCATATTTGGTCCAACATTCTGAACACAAAAAATGGGTTTTATTGTTGAAACTTGTGACTTAGTATAATCACTGCTAGAAACAGGCTTTTTACTGGTGCAATTAACGGTATTCAAGGTATGTAGCCTGGCCAAAACCCTGAGAGACACTACCCACCCTTGTATAAACAGGTATTAGAATCCAGCCAGGCCTGTCCCTTCAGGGATGGTGCTCTGGGCTGCCCTGTGTCCAGCCACCAAATCTGGATGGTTTATGAGGGGATGATGCTGCTTTGGGAAAACAGTGTAACAGTGTCCCCTCTCTAGAGGATTCTTGTAGTTGCCTAGGGCGAACCTTTCGTGTCAGGTGTGGTTGGAAAACCTCAAAGGAGAGAGGGCTGGGCCTTTGTCAAGCTTCCCAAACAAGCTGAATCAACTGTTTTGTTTCTACTTGTCAATAAACGTTTGTTTGATAAATGCCTGCATCTGTGGCAGAATTCAGTCTCATACCCACATTCATTCACATGGTATTCACAACTGCAAGGTTGTGCGGGAGAAGCTGACCCTCACCACATCTATCTTTTACAACCTTTTACGCTGGCAACTGTGTCCTACCAGAGAGAACCCAAGAGGCCTATGTGGCCAAACCACTTTAGGTTGGTCCACAACAAACATGCCACTTGGTGAATCTGAAATGGGTAGACTTCAGGAAGGGATCCCTTAGTACATTTTCCTCATCACCAGATTTTGAGCCTCAGGAAAGCAGAGACGGGGTCTGTCTTGTTCACTACTATAAGCCTCATGAAGTGCCTGCCCACAGGAAATGTGTAATTTACATTTGTCAAATGAATAAAATAAGAAAGAATTTTGTCATTTCTAGATCTGGCTTATTAACTGTAATCTGTGATTGTTCTTTATTCTGCTAATGAGAACTGATCTGCACAGATCACAACCTGTTCTTTGCCCTGATTAAGTTAGTACTTCAAAAAGCAACAAATAACAGGCTAATAGTAAAAACCACTGGGATGATACTGTTTAATTCACACAATAATGCAATGAGATTGGTATCATCACCCCCATGTTTGGATGAGGAAACCAATGTCCAGAGAGGTTTTATCTCTTTTTTTTTTTTTTTTTTTTTTTTTTTTAGACAGAGTCTTGCTCTGTTGCCCAGGCTGGAGTGCAGTGGTACGATCTGAGCTTGTTGCAACCTCTACTCACTGCAACCTCCCGCCTCCTGGGTTCAAGTGATTCTTGTGCCTCAGCCTCCCAAGTAGCTGGGACTACAGGCATGTGCCATCACACCCGGCTAATTTTTGTATTTTTAGTAGAGATGGCGTTTCACTATGTTGGCCAGGCTGGTCTCAAACTCCTAACCTCAGGTGATCTGCCCCCCTTGGCCTCCCAAAGTGCTGGTACAGTGGCATTAGCCAAGTTAGTAAAGCCAAGACTTGCACTCAGTTCTGTCAGACTCCAAACCCAAGCACACTCTCCTGTGCTGTGCTACCCAGAATTAGCAATAACTCAGTTTTGTAGAGATTATTTTTTATTTTATTTATTTATTTATTTATTTATTTTGAGACGGAGTCTTGCCTTGTCACCCAGGCTGGAGTGCAATGGTATGATCTTGGCTCACTGCAACCTCCTCCTCCTGGGTTCAAACAATTCTCCTGCCTCAGTCTCCCAAGTAGCTGGGATTTACAGGTGCGTGCCTCCACGCCTGCCTAATTATTGTATTTTTAGTAGTAATGGGGTTTCACCATGTTGGCCAGGCTAGTCTTGAACTCCCAACCTCAGGTGAACCACCTGCCTTGGCCTCCCAAAGTGCTGGGACTACAGGTGTGAGCCACCATGCCCGGCCGAGTATTTTTTATTACTTTTACTCTATTCACTTTCTGCTGCGCTATTGAACACATGCATCTTTTTGGCACTTCATCTTATTTTATCAAAAGCTTTTTTTGGGGGAAAAACTAGATGGATGTTGGAATATATAAGCCTGCCTTCCGGTTCTTTTACTTTTAATTATTTTGATTGACATATGGCCTTGAGGGATGTCTAAGGGCCTCTCCTATCTTTGAGCTGCAGAAGGATCCGTCCCCAGGAATCTGTCGCAGCTCTCCCTGTCTCCAGGGCACCACTCCGACACCCTCCCCCCATGCACCCCTGCCACTTGCCACACTAGACAACTGAGAGCCTTTTGTTTCACGCCTCTGTGGCTTGGTGCACAGTGTTCTTTCTCTGGAATCCTGGTCCACTCGTTTGTTCTTCACCTTGGTTAACTCCTTGTTTTCTTTCAGGATCTAGCTCAAACATTAGCGCATTTGGGACACTTAGGAGATTCCCTGCTATCCTGAACCTCTGCCAGGTCTCACCTGAAGCCCTTTCTCTCTGCTCTCTGGACCCACTGAGCACACCTCCACCTTAGCACCTGGCACGTGGCTCCGTAGTAACAGATAGATTTGCCACCCTTCTTCGCATATAAAGAGCCCAAGTCAGGAACTTTTTCTTAGTACTGGTACATAGCAGGCACTCCAAGTGTGTTAGATAATAAATGAATAAATCAGGAAATAATTAGCCAATCCACAGTAAAGCAAGAGAGAAATGCAGGGATCAGTGGGCAGCAGTCTGCAGTGGTCTGAGAGCTAGCTAAACTGAATTATTTCTCTTAGCCACTGTGCTTATTTTTTAACTTTAAGAGCATCATAGTTGTTTTTGTTTTTTGTTTTTGTTTTTGTCTTTTTTTTTTTGAGATGGAGTATCGCCCTGTCGCCCAGGCTGGAGTGCAGTGGCACTATCTCAGCCCACTGCAACCTCTGCCTCCCGGGTTCAAGTGATTCTCCTGCCTCAGCCTCTGGAGTAGCTGGGATTACAGGCGTGCATCACCATGCCCAGCTAATTTTTTTGTATTTTTAGTAGAGATGGGGTTTCACCATGTTGGCCAGGCTGGTCTTGGACTCCTGACTTCAAGTGATCCGCCTGCCTTGGCCTCCCAAAGTGCTGGGATTACATAGTTGGTTTTTATGAGACAACAGACCATTTAATTCTGAGTGTTCTGCTCCTTTGCCTGTTACAGCAAAAAACACCACCACCACCACCACCAAAAAAAACAAAAACAAAAACAAAAACAACAAACCTCTGGAAAGATATTCCTTTGTGGCCAGTTCTCCATCACTATGCCAGCCACCAGCATCCCCTCTGGGGACTGGGGTGATCTGATAGCGCCCAAGGACAGGCTGCACTCACCAACTCTGTGGCTTCTAGGTCCCCGATGTAGACCAACAAATGACCTGAGCAGAGCTATAGCTCGATCCAACTGTGGGACTCTGGCCTAATGAAAAACAATTCCCAGCATAGCCTGACCCCTTCAAAATGCAGATAAAAATAATTTAGTGATTTCCTCCCACTAAACTCTTGGGCATCAACCAAGAAATCTGCAGTGTGGCTGCTCTGATGCCATTGTACAATGGCAAATAGTTAGGTTTTCTTTGTGCTTTTATCAGTGCTTATTAGCAGGAACACACCTGGCATTTTAAGAGGGTTAATTCTCCGTTGGGTGGAATTGTTCCATGCAATGCACAGCATTTAGCACTTCTACTCCGATGGATGCCAGTTACCACAACAGCCCCCAAATGAACATTTTCCAAACATCTCTAGTGGTAAGAGCCATCAGGAATACTGGGCTTCCTGGTGGAGTTAGATTTGATTAATTTTGCAGCATCTTAGAAGAAATGGAAGAGGCCACCCAACCCAGGCGGTGGGTTGAATTCTAAAGGGACAAGGTCCAGGGAGTTAGACAGCACACATGAAGCAATGAGCCAGTTGGACCAAGGCTTGTTTGTGGGAAGAAGTGGAGGTCCTGAGAGCAGAGAAGGTGCACTGGTTCCTTGAATGAAGAAGTCAAGGCAGCGAGGAAGATGGGCTCACGGAACCAAGAGATCTGAGCTTGGGTAGAGGTCAAAATGGTACAAAAAAGATGAAGAATGAGTGGGGGATGGAGGAAGGCTGGGCTATGGGCTGAACCCTGGCTGCAGTCTGAGCCTCCTCCTCACAGCCTTTGGTATGCAGGGCATACCAAAGAAGCCAAGAAAGTCATCGATTCTGGACAGCTCCAACAGCTTAAAGTTTCTAGTTAGGAACTAGCTGTCTTCTCTTGCTTGGCCTTAAAAGAGCAACAACACAGCAACAACCCTATCACCACTGTGGTCACACCCTGCGAACATGACCTCCTGCAGAGAACTTCTATGTTTCCCAAAGTGACCTAAAAGGGCATTTGTATCCCAAAGGGGGAGAGGCTCTAAAACAAGCCCAGGAGAAAAATCCACTGAAGTGCTGAGTACAGGGCATGAGTACAGAAATCATTGCCCATCACTCTGATTTAATGGCTAGAAGCTCAACAGCTCTAACAGGAGAGCAATGGGCAAAGTTGCAGTGAAGCTACTTATTCCTGTGTCTCATCTTTCTCACTTATTTTAAATTTATTTTATCTTGTTCTGTTGTTTGCAACTTTATAAGTGGCCTTAAATCCTTTTGCAACAAAGATGGGTATAAATAAATAAAGCAAAGAAATAAAATACGTGGCTGCTGTTGTCAGCACTGCCAGACTGGGCGCGAAGTGTTTTATCTCTGATCTAAGAGGAAGGACGTGCTCTGCTGAAGTGAGAAGGGAGGAAGAAGGAGGAGAAAACTCCACAGTGTCGTGGAGAACAGTTGGCTGTGGACCCAGAGGCCTGCGTACTGTTCCGTGTCTGCATCAAAGAATCACAGAACCTCATGCAAGTTACTAACCTCTCGGGCCTCAGTGTCCCTACCTTTAAAATGAAGGATTATATTGAATGATTTCAATGGTCCCCTTATTTCCAAGCACTGTGATTCTGTGAGGCACCCACATTTGGCTCTTGTTCCTCTTCCTCTCTTCCTCAATAAAACAGCCTCTCCAAGTTGAGTGGGCCAGTAAGGGCTCCTTCTAAAGGAGTTTCTAGGGGTGAAGACAAATATAAGTCAGATGAGTCATCCAAAGAAATATTTTTGCCCCATTAAAATAAATTGGAGCGCAACTTATTTGGGAATGTAGGAAACTAAGATTTCATTGGATAATTAACTGATCAATTTTCCCACTGTGAAATGGGTTAAAAATGTTGGCTTTTATCTCTATTCACTGATGAGGTGTTAAGTTCCTTCCTTTCAAATAAGTTCTGTTATAGAAAGTAGTTATCATCTGTTTGTATAATATCTTAAGACTGCTGTACCATTCATTAGTAACAATCAAAAGAATATTATTAGCATATGTCCAAGAAATGGAAGGCATTGCTAATATTCTGGGACATTCTTCTTTTGCTTTCCATTTAAGATTTTAGACTTGTTTTGGTGTACATAGTCTCACAAAACCATAGTCACGCGCCCTATTTGTATACAGAATGTCTTAGGACAAATGTTGCTTTTAGCAGACCCAATTCAGAACATCAGAGAGTAGTGCCCTAGAGCAGTGGTTCTCAAACATCAATGACTCCAGTCTCTTGTTAAAATGCAGATCCTTATTCTGTAGGTCAATGTATTTTAATCATGCCTTTTAAAATTTTTTCTTATTTCTGGCCGGGCGTATTGGCTCATACCTGTAATCCCAGCACTTTGGGAGGCAAGGTGGGTGGATCACCTGAGGTCAGGAGTTAGAGACCAGGCTGGCCAACATGGTGAAACCTTGTCTCTACTAAAAATACAAAAAATTAGATGGGCATGGTGGCGGGCGCCTATAATCCCAGCTACTTGGGAGGCTGAGGCAGGAGAATTGCTTGAACCCAGGAAGCGGAGGTTGCAGTGAGCCGAGATAGTGCCACTGCACTCCAGCATGGGCAACAAGAGTGAAACTCTGTCTCACAAAAAAAAGAATTTTTTTTCTATATTTCCAGTGCTTTGACTTCGTAGGGCCTTGCTTAACCTGGGGAGACTGCTCTTCTCAGGGCCAGCCAATTCCTAGAGATAGTAAAGGACGCACCTACAAGGAGGAGTATATATGCAGACCAACCAACCCGAAGCCCACACCCCAACCACCTCTTTTGTCTGGCTCTTACAATCCAGACCACTAGACCCCTTCCCTAATCACCCCAGGGTTAGGTACCAGACAACTAAAGACAGGCTCTCTACCCTAGAGCCTGCTGAGATTATTCAAACTAGCCAATCCTGAACTGGGTTACTCTGCCTAGCCAATTCTTTCTGGTGGAAATCACCAGAAAGGCTTGCCTACATTTTCTCTCATTCCCTGTGCCTCCTAAGCACTCCTGGTGCTTCCTCATGTGGCTCTGAGGTGTGGTGTGCCCCCTTCTCTTGGGAAGTGTGAATAATGAACTATCATTTCAATGGCAGCCATCTCCTGATCTTCTGGTTTCCCCATACCCAAATAATAATAAAGCTTGCTTTGCTTTTTTTTTTTTTGATACAGAGTCTCATTCTGTTGCACAGACTGGAGTGCAGTGGTGCAATTATAGTTCACTGCAGCCTTCATCTCCTGGGCTCAAGTGATCCTCCCACCTCAGCCTCCTGAGTAGCTGGGACTACAGGTGTTTGTCACCACACCTGGCTAATTTTTCTTTTGTAGAGGCAGGGCTGGTCTTGAACTCCTGGACTCAAGTGATCCTTCTGCCTTGGCCTCCCAATGTGTTGGGATTACTGGCATGAGCCACTGTGCCTGGTCAAAGTTTGCATCTTAAAACAACCAGGGATGATATATTAGTCCATTCTCACACTGCTATCAAGCTCTACCTGAAACTGGGTAATTTATGAAGAAAAGAGGTTTAATTGACTCACAGTTCCACAGGCTTAACAGGAAGCATGACTGGGAGGCCTCAGGAAACTTACAATCATGGTAGAAGGTGAAGGGGAAGCAAGCACGTCTTACTATGGAGGAGCAGGAGAGAGAAACAGTGAAGAGGGAGGTGCCATGCACTTTTTTTTTTTTTTTTTTTTTTTTGAGATGGAGTCTCACTCTGTCACTCAGGCTGCAGTGCAGTGGCGTGATCTCAGCTCACTGCAAGCTCCGCCTCCCAGGTTCATGCCATTCTCCTGCCTCAGCCTCCTGAGTAGCTGGGACTACAGGCACCTGCCACCACGTCTGGCTAATTTTTTTTGTATTTTTTTAGTAGAGATGTGGTTTCACTGTGTTAGCCAGGATGGTCTCGATCTCCTGACCTCGTGATCCACCCACCTCGGCCTCCCAAAGTGCTGGGATTGCAGGCATGAGCCACCACACTTTTAAACCATCTTTTTGGTTTAAACACTTTTAAACCATCTGGCCAGTGCCACACACTTTTAAAGCATCAGATCTTGTGAGAACTCACTCACTATCACAAGAACAGTGTATTAGTCCATTTTCATGCTGCTGATAAAGACATACCCGAGACTGGGCAATTTACAAAAGAAAGAGGTTTAATGGTCTTACAGTTCCACATGGCTGGAGAAGGCAAGGAGGAGCAAGTCACGTCTTACATGGATGGCAGCAGGCAAAGAGAGAGAATGAGAGCCAAGCAAAGGGGGAACCCATATAAAACCATCAGATCTCATGAGAATTTATTCACTATCACGAGAACAGCATGGGGGAAACCGCCCCCATGATTGAATTATCTCCAACTGGTCCTGCCCTTGACATGTGGGGATTATTACAATTCAAGGTGAGATTTGGGTGGGGACACAGAGCCAAACCATTATCAAACAGCAAGGGGAAACCCATCCCCATGATCCAATGACCTCCCACTAGGCCCCTCCTCCAATTCAACATGAGATTTGGATGGGGACACAAATCCAAAGCATATCATCTGTCCCTGGCCCCTCCCAAATCTCATGTCCTTCTCACACTGCAAAATACAATTATCCCTTCTCAACAGTTTCCCAGTCTTAACTCATTTCAGCCATTAACTCAAAAGTCCACAGTCCAAAAGTCTCATCTGAGACAAGGTAAGTCCCTTTTACCTGTGAGTCTGTAAAATCAGAAACAAGTTAGTTACTTCCAAGATACATTGGGGGTACAGGCATTGGGTAAATGTTCTTGCTCTAAATGGGAGAAATTGGCCAAAACAAAGGGGCAACAGGCCCCATGCAAGTTTGAAACCTAGTAGGGCAGTCATTAAATCTTAAAGCTCCAAAATAATCCCCTTTGACTCCATGTCTCACATCCAGGCAACACTGACATAAGCAATGGGGTCCTAAGGGCTTGGGCAGCTCTGCCCTGGTGACTCTGCAGGGTACAACCCCTACGGCTACTTTCATGGTGTTGAGTGCCTGTGGCACTTCCAGGCGCATGGTGCAAGATGTTGGTCTATCTACCATTCTGGGGTGGGGAACAGTGGCCCTCTTCTCACAGCTCCACTAGGCAATGCCCCAGTGCGGACTTTGTGTGGGGCTTCCAACCCCACATTTCACCTCTGCACTGCCCTAGTAGAGGTTCTCCTTGAGGGCTCCGCCCCTGCAGCAGACTTCTGCCTAGACATCCAGGCATTTTCCATACATCTTCTGAAATCTAGGTGGAGGTTCCCAAACTTCAACTCTTGCCTTCTGTGCAAATGCAGGCCCAACGTCATGTGGAAGCTGCTGAGGTTTGGGGCTTGCACCCTTTGAGGTTTGGGGCTTGCACCCTTTGAAGCCACTGCCTGAGGTGTACCTTGGCCCCTTTTAGCTGTGGCTGGAGCTGGAGCGGCTAGGATGCAGGGCACAGTGTCCCAAGGCTGCACAGGGCAGCTGGACTCTGAGCCTGGCCCACAAAACCATTTTTTCCTCCTAGGCCTCTGGGCCTGTGATGGGAGGGGCTGCTGTGAAGGTCTCTGGAATGCCCTGGAGACATTTTGCCCATTGTCTTGGCTATTAACATTCAGCTCCTCTTTAATTATGCAAATTTCTGCAGCAGGCTTGAATTTCTCCCCAGAAAAATGGCTTTTTCTTTTCTACCACATGGCTGGCCTGCAAATTTTCCAAACTTTTATGCTCTGCTTCCCTTTTAAATACAAGTTCCAGTTTCAGAAAATCTCTTTGTTCAGCACATGAGCATATACTTTTAGAAACAACCAGGTCACATCTTGAATACTTTGCTGCTTAGAAATTTCTTCTGCCAGATACCCTAAATCATCTCTCTCAAGTTCAAAGTTCCACAGATCCCTAGGGCAGGGGGGAAATGCTGCCAGTCTCTTTGCTAAAGCATAGCAAGAGTCACCTTTGCTCCACTTTCCAAGAAGTTCCTCATTCCCATCTGAGACCTCAGCCTGGACTTCATTGTCAACATCACTATCAGCATTTTGGTCAAAAACCATTCAACAAGTCTCTAGGAAGTTCCAGACTGTCCCACATCTTCTTGTCTTCTTCTGAGCCCTCCAAACTGTTCCAACCTCTGCCTGTTATCCAGTTCCAAAGTCGCTTCCACATTTTCAGGTATCTTTATAGCAGTGTTTCACTCCTGGTAGCAATTTTCTGTATTAGCCCATTCTCATACTGCTATAAAGCACTACCTGAGACTGGGTAATTTATGAAGAAAAGAGGTTTAATTGACTCACAGTTCTGTAGGCTAAACAGGAAGCGTGACTGGGAGGCCTCAGAAAATTTATAATCATGGCAGAAGGCAAAGGGGAAGCAAGCACATCTTACCGTGGCAGAGCAGGAGAGAGAGTGATGGGGGAAGTGCTAGACACTTCTAAATCATCAGATCTTGTGAGAACTCACTTGCTATCACGAGAATAGCAAGGGGGAAATTCACCCCCATGATCCAATCACCTCCCACCAAGCCCCTCCTCCAATTTGACATGAGATTTTGGTGAGGACACATATCCAAACCATATCAGATGGGGCCTGGTGATGATGATGCAGCTGATCAGAGAACCACACTTGGTGTAGCCAGCCTCTAAATTCTGATGCTGTTACAGAATAGGGTGCCACCATGGCTGGGGTCTGACGGGAATGGCTGTGTTATATGTGTCTGGCCTGTGCCAGAGCCCAATGCGTTGCAGGAATAATGTGGGTGGAGTGGCCCAGGCTACTGCAGAGAGGGCCCTGAGGATAACTGTCAGGTTTCTGTCTTACTTTCCAAACGATGTGGGTCTGTGGAGCTTTACTAGATAGACATTAAATAAAAAGCTGCAGGGAAAAGAAAGCAGGGCCTGAGGCCCTTAAACTATAGCAGGCACAGTGGCAATAAGGGTGACTCAAGGCCCAAAGGGGAAAGGTTAGGACTCCGCAGGTTGGCTGGCTCAGGGCACCCATGGCATGCTGCCAACCTGAGCCATGTCAGACATGGGGCCTGGATGACACACATGCACCCTCAAGAAACCCCAGTCAGGAGGCCTCAGAGGGCCTCCAGGGTAAGCCTTAAAGATCCATGCAATTTTCTGGTACCCCACAGCAAGAAGCTACCCAGATGCCCATTAGCCCTTCTGCCCAGAGGTACATGAGGGCTCTGAGCACCTCACTCTCTCTCAGACGACCCAGGGATTTGAGAACTGACCTAGACAGGATCTCAAAACTTCTGACTGCAAGGCCAGAGCACTTTTCTCCACTCCAGGACATCGTGGTTCCATGTGTTGCTAATAAAAGCAAACCCTGATTAAGAACTATCCATTTGAAATACTTCACATAGCTTAGCTCATCTAATCTCCACAACTCTATATAGTAGCTGCTCTTTAAATCCTTATTTTCAAGATGAGTAAGCAAGCCTAGAGAGGCTAAGTAGCTTGCCCAAGCCACCCACTAATTGGCAGGGTCAGAATTTCAATCCAAATGCTATACAACTGAACCTTCATTCTCGATTGCCACCCCTGCAGGACACACTAGGGCAGTGTTATTCCAGATGGAGCCCACAGCTCTGGATCGGAGGCATCAGTGCCTCTGGCAGGAAATGCCCCACCCTCCTGACCAGCTGAATGGGAATCTCAGGGGTGGGTCCAGGAATCTGTGCTTTACAAGCTCCTTGGATGAGTTTGCTATATGCTGAATATACCTATACTAGAGACATCCCTGAGGGAAGCTTATTTCCCAGGCCAGGCCAACAATAATAAGACCATATTACTATAGTAATATTATAATACATATTACAGTTTTGAGTCAGAAGTTTTGAGATCCTGTCCAGGTCAGTTCTTGAATGCCTGGGTCCCCTGAGGGACAGGGAGGTACTCAGAGCTCTCATATACCTCTGGGCAGAAGAGCTAATGGCATCTGGATAGCTTCTTCTGTTTTTGTTTTTGTTTTTGTTTTTGAGACAGTCTCGCTCTGTCGCCCACGCTGGAGTGCAGTGGCACCATCTCGGCTCACTGCAATCTCTGCCTCCTGGATTCAAGCAATTCTCGTGCCTCAGCCTTCTGAGTAGCTGGGATTACAGGTGCCCACCAGCAAACACAGCTACTTTTTGTATTTTTAGTAGAGACGGGGGTTTCCACCATGTTGGCCAGGCTGATCTTGAACTCCTGACCTCAGGTGATCTGCCTGCCTCAGCCCCACTGGATAACTTCTTGCTGTGGGGCACCAGTAAATTGCATGGATCCTAAGGGTTACCCTAGAAGCCCTCTGAGACCTCCTGACTGGGTTTCTTGAGGGTGCGTGTGTGGTGTCTAGGATCCAAGGCTGTCCATGTCACCCATGGGTCCTGGATGCCACACAGGACAGGTCTTCTTACAATAGTAGTAAGACCATAAGTGTAACTTGAAGTATAGACTTCACTGCTTAGCATAAACCCTGGGAGGCAGCTTGGTATATCAGAAAGAGATCACGTGTGGGCTCAAAACCAGCTCCAGCAGAAGGTACAAGCTTGGAAACTTTGGGCAAAGAACTTAACTTCTCTGAGCCTCACCTTCCTCATGTGGAGAATGGAAGTATACTATCTTACTCCCAGAGTTCACGTGGGCATCAAGTGAGATAACTAGGTAAAGTGCTGTGCTCCATATCTAGCACCCAGGAAAGACTCTGTAAATAGCAGCCTCGGTACTTCCTCAGAGCTTCCCTGTTTTCTAAAATTCATGTCCTTTCCTAGCATCCTTTACAACAGCATGAATCTTGAATTCCTTTGGCTGCCAAGCCAAGGGAATAGCTTTCAAAAAGAAAGAGGCAGCTACCCTCCTGGATAACTGGAGTAGTATGCTATCTAAACAATGCCTAAAGGCATTTCTGTAGATAGTCACTTGGAGCACATGCTCAAATGTCATCAAACTGTGGGTAGGGGTGCTCACTCAGGGACCAAGGAAATTCACATTTAAGCAATGGTTTTGTTCTCATCTCTGTGACTCAACTATACCTGGTAAAACTGTGACTAGTGGCATGTCATTAAAAGTGTATCCCCACTGCAAACCCCAGAGGTGGAGAAATGACAGTGGTGGTGAAAAACTGGCTGCAAGCACAGACCAAATTCTGCAGTGACATTTCAGTCCTTTGAGTCAAACCAATCCTCCATTTCTGGGCATATGGATACCTTGGAGGAAGCAGTTCTTCACATTTGCTGTGACTGGAGCGTCCTAATTGGCACCAGCAGGCTTCAGGTATAGGCAAAGAAAAGGAACCCCTACCCTCCAAAAAAAGCTGGGGTGGAGGCGGGGGGGATGGGAAGAGAAAAAAGAGATGGTGTTGGAGAAGAAGGAGCTTCAGGGGGCATTTATGTCATTATTACTTAAGTCATCTGAGGCCACATCTGTCCTAAGCCATTATTAGTCTGTTTTTCAATCTGGAGGAGAAGGTACAAGTAGAATTTAAGGGATATTTTTCCAAAGATGAAGAAAAAAGTCATACTACATACTTCATTATATAAATTCATTATATACTTATTATATATTTCATTATATAAATGAAAATCCCACTAGGAGATGTCAGTAGTTACTCTTCATATCTGTAATATGAAATTTCAATAAAAGGGTGCAGGTGGCAAAATAGAAACCTGAGCAGACCTCATCTTCTCATTCTTCCCGCAGCGTTTGGAGACCTCTGCAAAGACAGACTATTTTATATGGGGGCCCAGTTGTTTTCTGATCTTTTTAGATGCTGGCCCAGAAAAACAAAACCAAACCAAACAAAAGTGAGTTCTCTTGTACCTTAACTCTGGCCCTGTGGTTCTCTGTTTTTTAAAATTACAAAAAGGTCCAGGTGTGGTGGCTCAGGCTCATAATCCCAGCACTTTGGGAGACCTAGGTGGGCAGATGGCTTGAGTCCAGGAGTTCCAGACCAGCCTGGGCAACATGGCGAAAACCTATCTCTGCACACACACACACACACACACACACACACACACACACACACACACACACACACACAGTACAAAAATTAGCCAGGTATGGTGGCATGCACCTGTAGTCCCAGCTACTTGAGGGGGTGAGGCAGGAGGATCAGTTGAGCCCAGGAAGTCAAGGTTGCAGTGAGCCATGATAGCACCACTGCACTCTAGCTTGGATAACAAATCAAGAATCTGTCTCAAAAAAAGTAAATGAAAAAAAAAGAAAATTTAAAAAATCTAATTATTAAAATGATAAGTGTATGATAAAGATTTTAGAAAATTCAGATATGAATGAGGAAGAAACTAAAAATGACCCACAGTCACCATACCATTTCAGTCAAAAATACACAGATATGTACATAATTTTTTAAAAAGTGATCATACTAAGCATTGTTTTAAATGCTGTTTCCCCCCACTTTTCACATTATAAACATTTTTTCATGTTATAAATTTATTTATTTTTTTGAGATGGGGTCTCGCTCTGTCGCCCAGGCTGGAGTGCAGTGGCACAATATCAGTTCACTGCAACCTCCACCTCCTGGGTTCAACTGATTCTCCTGCCTCAGCCTCCTGAGTACGTGGGATTATAGGTGGACGCCACCACGCCTGGCTAATTTTTGTATTTTTAGTAGAGACGGGGTTTTGCCATGTTAGTCAGGCTGGTCTTGAACTCCCGACCTCGTGATCTGCCCACCTCGGCCTCTCAAAGTGCTGGGATTACAGACATGAGCCACTATGCCTGGCCTAAAATATTTTTTAAAAGATTATTTTAGAGGCTACTCTGTAGCCTATATTGTTTGTTATTCATATTGGTTGCAATTTTTTGCTATTATGGATAATTCTGGAGTGGATATCCCTTAAAGGCATGCTTGTACGCAATTTGATTTATTTACTTTATATAAATTCTGAGAAGCATAAATTTTGGTTCCAGGTCCTTGATACATCTAGTCAAATGCCCAACATGAAGGGAGCCCCAATTTACATAACCAGCAGCTTGACGGAAAGTCTGCTTTGCTTTTTCCTCATGACCACTGGGTATTACAGTAATTTCTAAACACTTGTCATTTTCATAAGTGAAAAATACTATCTGATTGTTGTAACTTTTGTTCTTAACTGCCAGTGAGGTTGAACATTTTTCAGGTGAAAATGTTTCACTCAAAATTCAATGTTTTCACTTGAGTTTCCTCCATTTTGCCTGCTCCTACCCATTCTCTAATTAGTATATTTTTTCTCATTAATCTATAAGAATTTTTGTAATGGTAAGAATATTAATATTTTTAAATTAGAAGTTGAAAACTATAACTGTTTCTTAAGACAACTATGAAATAGTTAATATCATCAAAAGCATTAAAACGTTCTTTTGGTAAAGCAGAGGAAATGGAAGGGGCAGTGAAGAGTAAATTAGATAAAATAATTCTGTGTCAAAACCTCTCCCCTTTTAAAACAACAGCAACAATAAGAAAACACCACCCATACAAATCATGATAGAGCGGCACCTTGGATCGAGTCCTGTAGCTATGCTAGATAGCCCCACACCTTCCCAGTTAATCAGCTATAGGATACCTGAGTGGGGAAGAAAGTGCACGTGGGCACTGTCCAACCCCAGTGGCCACAGGGAAGGCAGGGTATTTTGCAGAATTGGAGCCAGCAAGTAAGCAGTCCGAATTCCGAGTTCCTGGGTGCCAACTGGAGTGAGCTGAGTGATCACTAAAAAACAATATAAATGGGATCCACTTCCACCTTCAGGATGGGCAGGATTAAGGCGTATTTAAGGAAGCCACAACACAGCAGTTTGCTCTACTCACTGTTCCAAAGAGGCAGGGTCATATCTACCTTTTGGTGTGTGTGCCTGGAGGCTCCGGGGAGAGGTGGACACAGATAACCCTGAAACCTCCCAGGCAGGGAATCACCTCTTCACACACAGTTTGCATCTCTGCAGTTGACGGCAGGAGCAAAAAATGTGGCCAGCCAGGTTGGAAGGGTGACAACTGATGGAGGCATGGAACCACCTTCGGCTTGGGGCCAACCCAGGTTACTAATCACAGGTCAGGTATTCAGGTCAGATGTCCACCATTCACACGGGCTCTTTGTCTGCCAAGGCCTGGGTCCAGGCTATGAGTGTTCAAAAATAGAACAGGAAGTTCAGAAAAAAGCAGAAGCCAAGAGAAGGTTACAGCATGGGAGGGCAGGCTTGGGAGAGAGGATTTATCTTGTGGGGAGGACCTCCCAGTTTAGGAGAGAAGCACCTGCTCTAGGCACAGGAAGACATCACAAACAGGTGATGAACAGCAGCCGGGAAGCAAGGGGCCTGTTGTGTTTCCATGTTACATCCTGATTCCAGGATGAGCAAGACTAGGAAACAGACCAGTTTACAGTGGCCACCAGCCTCACAGACTGTACCTATTAAAATGGAATGATTCTTCTGTCCTTTTGTGAGCAGGAGCCGAAGAACAGGTAAATGAAGGGAAGCAAAGGAAAGAGAAAGAGGCCTGGATGGGTGAGGGGAGCATTTGTGATCTTGGCCCACTCAGCGCCCATCCCCCTTCTTCTCTTCTTCCAGTAACAGCACCTTGATTTTCCTCCTGGGAGCACCCTCCTCCACATTCAGTCTGGGAGGCTCCCACAGAGTAGCCCCCGCCCTACAGGGTCTAGTTCAAGGACCCTCATGAAGTCCTCTCAAGGGGATGTGGGTAGTTGATAAAATCATTATCCCAGATATTTGTGTAAGGCCTTATAGTGTAAGGGTTTCCTTATAGAAATTTCCTATTTGGGGCTTTGGGTCTTTCTGGCTTCCTAAATTCATGTATAACCTTGTCTCTTGGTTCACTGGGTTGAGATTCCCTAGCCCCCTGCTGTGCTAACTGTACCCCAGGGACATATCCCACAGCTTCCTCCTAACTGCAGCAGGAGCCAGCGCAGAGAATGAGGTCAGGGCTCTTGGCCTTCTCAGAGAAGCGGACTAAGCCTAGGAATGATTAGATTTTGCTTTGGGGAAATCTGATACCTATTCAAATAGGGGGTGTACCTGGAGCCCACAGTGGAAATGGGAAGGGTTAGGATTTGGCAGCTCCATCAACAGAAGACAGATAAAAACTCACCACTTACAGAAAAAGCAGGGGCAAAAGCAGTGAGCGTTCCTTTTGGAGTAGATTTCTGCTTTTCAGCAAGCGCAGGGAACAGAAAGATCCAGCTGTGAAGGGGCCAGCGAATCATGCATTTAAAAGTTGCAATGCCAGGGCCTAGGAAAGGAGGCCTCTCTTCAGCCGTGACCCCACTTTGGATTCTTCCAAAACCCAGGTGATCATATAATCCTTTAAACGTCTCTGGCCCCTTTAACTACCAAAGCCCAGTGACATCTTAATAAGAAGCCTGGTGGCATAGTCTTGGATCTGGAGCCAGGAGTGTGCTTCTTGCTTCTTTAAATAGTCCGAATACCATGTAGGAAGCCTGAAATCTTGATCTTGGTATAGCCCTTGGGTCAGTTACCTCTCTGGACAGCTTTCCCTAGTGCAGGTGGTTAATTCTTTCATATCTGCAGAGTGCAGACTTGAACAGACAGAATTAACACTGCCTCTTGCCTACAGTGCTTACGCCTGTAATCCCAGCACTTTGGGAGGCTGAGGTGGGTGAATTGCCTGAGGTCAGAAGTTCGAGACCAGTCTGGCCAACATGGTGAAACCCCATCTCTACTAAAAAAAAATACAAAACCTGCCTCTTGCCTAGGTTAGTGCTAGGTACCGTTCATTCATTCATTCAGAGACAGGGTCTTGCTCTGTTGCTCAGACAGCAGTGCAGTGTTGTGATCACAGCTCACGGCAACCTCTGCCTCCCAAACTCAAGTGATCCTCCCACCTCAGCCTCCCGAGTAGTTGGGACTACAGGCATGTGCCACCATGCCTGGCTAATTTTTAAAAAAATTATTGTAGAGATGAGATCTCATTACATTGCCCAGGCTGGCTTTACTATTTTTGGTAGAGACGGGGTCTCAATATGTTGCCCAGGCTGGTCTTGAACTCCTAGGCTCAGCGATCCTCCAGCCTCAGCCTCCCAAAATGCTGGGATTACAGGCATGAGCCACTGTGCCTGGCTCCTTCTCTACCGCAGAGGAGTTGGTGGTGTCTTCTGGGTATCCACTGGAAAATTCCAGGGCACTCTACCTGTCCAGCAGAGCTGAGCACACCTTGGGATGTGCTCCCAAGGGAAGCTCTGCCTCCCTCCACTCAGGCCAAGCTACTTGCTGGACTTCCTGCCTATGGCCTCTCCATTCTCTTCAGACCTCGGGCTGTAGGAAGTTTCCCTCAGCACCACACATGGCTTCGCTGCCCTGCCTCTAACCCCACACAAATTCTAGCCAGGAGACCCTGCACCCACCCCAACAGGCTGAGCAGCAACAACCACGACCACCCAACACCAAATGTTGCTGCCGGGTGTGAAGTGGCCGGTCCAGAACACGGGGTCCCTGACTGGACTCACAGGGCCAGGGCTGGGAATCTTCCCCGCACCTCTCTCAGCTGGCACAGGAGAGAGGGCACACAAGAGAGAGCTTCAGGGTGACAGGGCACAGAAGTCACCCAAATCTCTGACTCTGTTCATGGCCATCATGGTTTCCAGCTTCCCTTGAGGGAGGCAGAAAAAGGGGAGAAACTGAAGGCCTGACTCAAAAAATAAAGGGTTGGGTGGGGGACAACGGGGTGCGAAGCGGAGCTGCTGGAAGGATTCCTGGACCATTCAGCACAGCGGCCTTGGAGCAGCTCATCACTAATCACGGTGTTCTGAGGCTCCGAATGCTCTGCGCAGGCCAGCTGGGGCACCGCTCTGCTGTGCCTGCATCCCGCCCTTACAGATGCTCACAGCCACGCCTGAGGCTTTGCCACATGGGAAGTAGTCTCCTCCCAGGGCTCTGGTCGGGGACAAGGGGACAGTACGAGGCTTGCACTAACTTGGGTGTCATTCCTTTGTGACCTCGTTTTGTAAAAATCGTGAACACCCTAGACCTGAGAGGAGGACCAGCCCAGATGAAAGCTTGGAAGAATTCCCAGGGGCTGGTGGCAGTCTCAGCCTGGCTGCTCTGCCCAGGGACATGGCCCACAGGGCTCTGCTTTCCCTGCTGCCAGCTCCTCAGCTGGAGACAGCATGGCCAGTGGAGGCCTCCTGTGGCTGCTTCTCTCAGACCAAACTCCTTTGAGAAATTTTGACATGAATGAGAATAGGGTAGCCTAATTGAAATACAATGGGGTCTTCCTCCTAAATTCCCACCTCTAAGCTAGTTTTCTCTTGGGAGGGACTAGTGCTCTCTTTTTAAGAGGGGTGTGTGTGAGTGAGTGAGTGAGTGTGTGTATGCGCACACATAGGTTAACAGTTTGGTTCTAATTTAGTTGCCTGTCCCAACTGCATTGTTTACTGGTAGTGGTAACTTTACTTCATCATATAACCTGCTCTTCACAGTGGCTTCAAAATGCATTGTAACTCATCACTGGTACTACCATGCCCTCAGACATCATGAAGACAGGCTGAGGGCAGGGCTGGGACTATGTGTGTACACGTGCGTGCCTGTGTGTGCCCTCACAGTTAAAGTGGGGTCCATATTAAGAAGATACAAAGGCCGGGCACAGTGGCTCATGCCTATAATTCCAGCACTTTGGAGGCCAAGGCAGGCAGATCACCTGAGGTCGGGAGTTCAAGACCAGCCTGGCCAACATGATGAAACTCTGTCTGTACTAAAAATACAAAAATTAGTTGGGCATGGTAGTACAGGCCTATAGTTCCAGCTACTCAAAAGGCTGAGGCATGAGAATTGCTTGAATTGGGAGGCGGAGGTTGCAGTGAGCCAAGATTGTGCCACTGTACTCCAGCCTGGGCAACAGAGTGAGACTCTGCCTTAAAAAAAAAAAAAAAAAAAAAAAAAAAAAAAAAAAAAAGGTTGGGCTGTGGCTTACGCCTGTAATCCCAGCACTTTGGGAGGCTGAGGTGGGCGAATTGCCTGAGGTCAGGAGTTCGAGACCAATCTGGCCAACATGGTGAAACCCCATCTCTACTAAAAAAAAATACAAAAAAATTAGCTGGGCGTGGTGGCATGTGCCTGTAATCCCCACTACTCGGGAGGCTGAGGCAGAGGAATTGCTCGAACCAGGGAAGTGGAGGTTGCAGTGAGCTGAGATTGCACCACTGCATTCCAGCCTGGGCGACAGGGTGAGACTCCGGCTCAAAGAAATAAAATAAAATAAAATAAAATAATAAAATAAGATACAAGCCAGGTGTAGTGGTGTGCACCTATAATTCCAGCAACTTGGGAGGCTGAGGAGGGAGGATTGCTTGGAGTCAAGAGTTTAAGACCAGCCTGGGCAACATAGCAAGACCCTATTTTAAAAAATGTACAGCACCACTGCCAGTTTTTAGGGAGTGTGGTTCTGGGTCTCGATGCCCTCACTCTTTGGATACATGACGTGGGGTGTATCATTTCATACTGAGGTCTCTGCAAAGCAGAGGGGCTAAGAGGGCTCGGGGTTAGACACACCTGGGTTTGAATCCTGATTCTGCCACTTTCTAGCTGTTAGTCTTTGGTCAAGTTCCTTTTCTCTGTATGCCTCACTTTCCTCATCTACAAATTGGAAATATTGAGAGTTCCTATTGCAAAGTATTGCTGTGATGACTAAATATGTGAATACATATCAAGCGCTCAGAAAACTTCCTGGCACACAGTATGTATTCAATAAATATTTAGTATTTATATTATTCAACAGATAGCAGCTGTTATTATTATAAATAAAAAAGGGTGGGAAGTTGGACTGAATCACACTTAGGTCTTTTGCAGCTCTAAAATCCCACAGTTTTATGATGTTATGGAAGACTCAACAGATCCTGAATGGATCCTTTAAAAAACACACTAGCCAAAGGGAGAGAGGCCACAAAGAATTTAAGATGAGGCTGCCCACCCTGCTCCTGGCCCCTGTATGTGCACTTTGTGTCAAAGCCCATGTGTTTCAGGTTGGCACACACCAAGACAGCACCACAGCCCTGCAGCCTCTTCCCTTGTGAAGGCAGCGGAGCGAGGTCAAAACCCTTTTTGTTTTGCCTGTTTGTGGATTCTAGCTCCATCTCCCAAGCTGCTGCTCCATTATGCTGGGCTGTTTAACAGGGCCGCCAGGGTCAGGGCTAGCAGGCTTCAAGTGTCCATGCGGCTGCTGAGACACTCTACTGGTACTTGACTTTGCTGCAAAGTAGGGAGGAAAAGGAGAAGTGATGCTTGCTGAAAAGTCTGGATTTTAGAACTGAAAGACACTGCTCGATGTAGGACTAAAATCCTTCTTTGATGTAACGAGGATATTTGGGTTTAAAGTCTCCTTTTTCAAGAGGACCAAAAGATGAGGTGTATTAGTTTCCTAGGACCGCTGTAACAAAGTACCACAATTTGGGGGGCTTACAACAACAGAAATTTAGTTTTCATCATTCAGGAGGCCAGACTCTGAAATCATGGTGTTGGCAGGATTGGTTCCTTCTGGGGGCTCTGAGGGAGAGCCTCTTGGAATTATTTCCTACGTGGTTGGAAGTTTGGATGGATGTGTGAAAGCTGATAATTTTCTGTGCTGCTGTTTAATCAGAAATGGAAATTAGGGCCGGGCGCAGTGGTTCACACCTGTAATCCTAGCACTTTGGGAGGCCAAGGCAGGCGGATCACTTGAGGTCAGGAGTTTGAGACCAGTCTGGCCAACGTGGCAAAACCCCATCTCTACTAAAAATACAAAAATTAGCTGGGTGTGGTGGTGCATGCCTGTAATCCCAGCTACTCAGGAGGCTGGAACACGAGAATCACTTGAACCCAGGAAGCAGAGGCTGCAGTAAGCTGAGATCACGCCATTGCACTCCAGCCTGGACGACAGAGCAAGACTCTGTCTCAAAAAAAAAAAAAAAAAAAAAAAAAAAAAAGGAGGCCGGGCGTGGTGGCTCACGCCTGCAATCCCAGCACTATGGGAGGCCGAGGCGGGCGGATCACCTGAGGTCTGCCTCTCTCCTCACTTCTGTTGTCACCAGTGATCTTCACTGTTCTTGGGATTGTGGCTATATCACTGTCAATCTTCGGCTTGGTCTTCACATGGCCTTTTCCCCTGTGTGTCTCTGGTTCTAAACCTTCTCTTATTCTCTTTTTTCCCTCTGTTTTTGTTTTTTGGACACAAGATCTTGCTCTGTCGCCCAGGCTGGAGTGCAGTGATGCAATCATAGCTCACTGCAGCCTCAAACTCCTGAGCTCAAGGGATCCTCCCACCTTAACCTCCTGAGTAGCTGGGATTATAAGGCATGTATCACTATGCCTGGCTGACTTCTTTTATTGGTGCCCTATAAAGATTGGTACTACCTGAATTCAGTACAACTTCATCTTTACTTAATTACATATGCAGACCCTAGTTACAAATAAAGTCACATCCACAGGTAGGGAGTGGGTAGAATTTGAGCCTATCTTTTTGGGAAGACACAATTTAACCCATTGTGACCTTGTTAACAGGGCAAACAAGGTCCAGAATACAAAGCTAAAGAGAGAAGAAAGAGAGAGTTTACTGTCTGGCCACTGGTAAAACGAAAGAAATCACCTCTGTTATGAGACAAGCTATAAAACAATAATAGGTGGAAGCAACCAGACCCCCTCCATCTTTGCACTCCCCATGCCGGAGCCAGTTGTGACAAATTACAGGACTGTTGGGGGAATAAACCATTAATGATTGATGTTCCAAGAAAAGCTGCCTCACTAACCTTTAGAAAAATCTATTTGAATCCTTCCTTACTTCCTCTTCAGATGGTGTAGTCTACAACATTCCCCAGTGCATGGATTGGCAGGTAGAGCTCTCTTTGTGAGGAATCTGCTCTCCAAATGGGAAGCACATACATTGCGAGCAACTTTAATTTCCATTTCCTTTTTTTTTTTTTTTGAGATGGAGTCTCACTCTGTCATCCAGGCTAGAGTGCAGTGGCGCCATCTTGGCTCACTGCAACCTCCCCCTCCCAAGTTCAAGTGATTCTCGTGTTTCAGCCTCTAGAGTAGCTGAGATTACAGGCATTCACCACAACGCCCAGCTAATTTTTGTATTTTTAGTAAAGATGGGGTTTCACCAGGTTGGCCAGGCTGGTCTCGAACTCCCGACCTCAGGAGATCCGCCCGCCTTGGCTTTCCATAGTGTTGGGATTACAGGCGTGAGCCACCACGCATGGCCTCCATTTCTTTTTTCTTTCTTTCTTTTTTTTTTTTTTTTTGAGACAGAGTCTTGCTCCGTCGTCCAGGATGGAGTGCAATGGCATGATCTCAGCTTATGCAGCCTCCGCCTCCTGGGTTCAAGTGATTCTTGTGTCCCAGCCTCCTGAGCAGCTGGGATTACAGGCATGTACCACCACACCCAGCTAATTTTTGTATTTTTAGTAGAGATGGGGTTTTGCCACTTTGGCCAGGCTGGTCTCAAACTCCTGACCTCAAGTGATCCGCCTGCCTTGGCCTCCCAAAGTGCTAGGATTACAGGTGTGAACCACTGCGCCCGGCCCTAATTTCCATTTCTGATTAAACAGCAGCACAGTGAATTATAAGCTTTCACACATCCATCCAAACTTCCAACTATGTAGGAAATAATTCCAAGAGCACAAAGAAGGCTCTAGGAGCATACCTCTGGCCTGTGGCAGGACAGAATCCACTGTTCACCTTATTTTAGGATGCTTAATGTATCCCCCATCCCTCAGGCAGCACAGAAGTTACCTTACATGTCCCTTAGTGTGAACAAACCAAGGCTGAGCAGAGAGTCTGAGGTGATGGCTGGCAGAACCAGGTGTGGACAAATTCAGGAAAGCAGCGCTGTCACCTTCCCCTCTGTCTCCTTAGTGCTGGGCTTCATGCTTGGCACCCAACACACACTCAGCCAAATGGCAAATGACAGGTGAGAAATACAGCGTTGACCTCTGCAGATGCATTTTGGGAGTGTCCAGTATGGCAAAGGGCATCCTAGTCCAGCCCTTAGGAGATGATCAATCATGTTTGCCCAGTGAATGAACTCATGAGCTTCCTACTCATCAGGAGCACATGAGAGACCAGGAAGGATTCTGCCCTGTGCCTGCCATCTTGGTCCTCCTGTGCTGCAGCATCTCAGGATCCTATCAAGCAAATAAGGAGTTCCTGTAGCTTCATACAGTTGTGGCAGCATCTACTTTAGCATCACTGACTGAAAGCTGGGTAGACCATTATAGACACTATCCCTCTTCTATTAATTTAACAATTAACATTTAAAAAGCACTGGAAATCATCACAGCATGAGGTTCTTTTAAATAACAGACTAGGTCTTACCTCCGTATTCACTATTCTCTAGAAATAAACATTAAGACAAATTAAAAACTAGCAATCTGGTTCTCTTCTGTGTCCCATGCAGTCATATAATAAGGAACAAGATTTTTTTTCCAGGGTGAGTATACCAATGGGCAATTTGACAGTAGTTGTTAAAACTGAAATGTGTATATGACCCAGTCATTCCTGAATAAACACTATGCACAAGAGTGTTCACTAGAGCACTGCCAATATTAACAGGGGGGAAAATGTAACCAACACTTTCATTCTATGGAATATTACTCACGAAGCAGACAGTCACGCACAGGCTTGAAAGATACCTAAGTTGAATGGTTTGGAGAAAAACAGAGTTGCAGAACTTATATATGGTACCGTTTATGTTGAAAAACACACAGCAGGCCAGGCGTGGTGGCTCATGCCTGTAATCCCAGCAGTTTGGGAGGCCGAGGCGCGTGGATCACGTGAGGTCAGGAGTTCAAGACCAGCCCGGCCAACATGGTGAAACCCCACGTCTACTAACAATACAAAATTTAGCCAGGCACGGTGGCACGTGCCTGTAATACCAGCTACTTGGGAGGCTGAGGCATGAGAATTGCTTGAATCCTGGAGGCAGAGGTTGCAGTGAGCCTAGATAGTGCCATTGCACTCCAGCCTGGGCGACAAGAGTGAAACTTCATCTCAAAAAAAAAAAAAAAGAAAAGAAAAACATACAGGAATACTAGATATTTTTCCATAGGGGTGTGTGTGTGTATGTGTGTATATATATATATATATATATATATATATATACACACACATACACACATATATATATGTATATATGAATATAAAGGCAATGTTATATATATGAATATAAATGTTTTCCATATATATATATATGCAAGAAAAATGTTTGGACAGACACATCCCAGACTAACAACCGTATGTATGTTTAGGGTAGGGACTGGGCTTGTAGTAGTATTAAGAAGGACTTTATCTTGTAATAATGTATTACTTGTGTAATGTAAAAATTATTTTTAAAAACCCAAGAACAATTTTAAAAAGTATGACTGTACTACTTTGCTTCTCATGGTAGTTGTTCTTTGTGAATTTATTATCTAGCTGGAGATAAAATGTTAAATTAAAAGGTATTTCCTTAGATCTTAGGAATGAATGCAGACAGTGGCAAGAAAATCTAACTGTATTACAAACGTGTAAAAAAACTTCACTGAAGAGGGTTGAGGGAAAAGTGCTGACCTAAGTAACTTTGAAAATGAGTAGTCCCTAAGACTAAAGGCAAAAGTGAATATAAGCACTGTCCTCTATTCGATAACATTGTTTCCCATGGGTTATAATTCTCATACTGTTATTCATGCATATTGGAACTGAACAATTAAGAAAATGGATAGCATATGGTAGATGCTGGGTTTCTTACTGTTGCAGTAGAAATTTATAGATAAGCAAAGGGAGGGGACTAGAATGATCCATATGGTAATTGGTTAGAGTATGAACTCATGCTTAATATAGATATAGATGATTACATATAGAAATATTTATAGGTATATGATACCTATTTATAGCTATAAATACACAGTTAGAAGACACACACTTATTTTCTTGTTCTGCCATCTGAGAAGGCCCAGAAGCAGCAACACTCCAGCTGCAATGAGCATAACTAGTACCCAGATCTTGGTTTCTAGTATCATTCTCCTATAAAAGGTGCCAGGACTCCCTGGAGAAATGGCTGATTCTGGGGCAGAGGCAGGAAATATACAAGATGAGCCTGGGGCATCTTACAGTACCAGAAAGTAAGGCAGTGCTAAATAAATAATAAAATCCTACAAGGATAGGTGTGTATCAAAGGGACACAAGAACCACTTGAAAGAGCTTCCAGTGGCCAAAACTGGAGGAATTTGAGAAACAAAATAAAGTAGTATTGGATTATAACCCAAAGTACAAAATAAAGATCTATGAGTCCATACTGTTATAAATGCATGATTGAATAAATAAATGGGCCACGCGTGGTAGCTCACACCTGTAATCCCAGCAGTTTGGGAGGCCGAGATGGAAGGATTGCTTGAACCCAGGAGTTTGAGACTAGCCTGGGAAACACAGTGAGACCCATCTCTACAAATAATAATAATTAATAATAATTAGCTGGGCATGGTAGCATGCACCTGTAGTCCCAGTTACTCAGGAGTCTGAGACAGGAGGTTCACCTGAGGCCAGGAGGTCGAGGCTACAGTAAGCTGTGACAGTGCCACCACATTCCAGCCTGGGTGACACAATGAGACTCTGTATCAATAATAAATGAATGAATGAATGAATGAATGAATAAATAAATAAATAAATAAATAAATAAATAAATGGAGGAGAAGATACAAATTTTCCTTGCAGAAAAATTCCAAATAATATATACAGACATTCCATCCTTAAGGCATGGAAGCATAAATCCCTACTTCTTTTTTTTTTTTTTTTTGAGGCAGAGTCCTGCCCTGTTGCCCAGGCTGGAATGCAGTGGTGCAATCTCAGCTCGCCACAATCTCTGCCTCCTGGGTTCAAGCGATTCTCCTGCCCTAGCCTCCCACGTAGTTAGGATTACAGACCTGTGCCACTACACCCATCTAATTTTTATATTTTTAGTAGAGACAGGGTTTCACCACATTGCTCAGGCTGGTCTGGAACTCTTGACCCCAGGTGATCCACCTGCCTTGGCCTCCCAGAGTGTGGGGATTACAGGCATGAGCCACTGTGCCTGGCACCACTTCTTTTTTTTTTTTTTTTTCTGAGATGGAGTCTCACTCTGTCGCCCAGGCTGGGGTGCAGTGGTGCGATCTCTGCTCACTGCAAGCTCTGCCTCCCGGGTTCACGCCATTCTCCTGCCTCAGCCTCCCGAGTAGCTGGGACTACAGGCGCCTGCCACCACGCCCAGCTAATTTTTTGTATTTTTAGTAGAGATGGGGTTTCACCGTGTTAGCCAGGATGGTCTCAATCTCCTGACCTAGTGATCCGCCCGTCTCGGCCTCCCAAAGTGCTGGGATTACAGGCGTGAGCCACCACTCCCGGCCCCTCCCCACTTCTTAAGTGTGGGTTGTGCACAGTGACTTCCTTCCAGAGAGTACAGCATGGAAAAAGCAGGGCAGGAGAGGCTGTGGGAGAAGAGTAATTTCACAGAGGACAAACTTGACAAATACTGCCTCAAACACTACCTCAGTCAGGTGATCAAGGTCAACATTAACAGTGATAAACCATGCTGAGAGTACATTACCCTTGATGTATGTGATGAAAATGGCACTTTACCTCTGTGGTCTTTACCCCCAAAACATATAACCCAAGTCTAGTCATTAGAAAACACATCAGGCAAATATCAACAGAAGGGTATCCTATAATAGGCCTGACCAGAACTCCTCAAAACTGTCAAGTTTATTTAAAAAAAAAACAAGGAAAGCCTGAGAGACTGGCACAGCTAAGAGGAGGCTAAGGGCCAGGCGTGGTGGCTCACGCCTGTAATCCCAGCACTTTGGGAGGCCGAGGCAAGTGGATCACATGGTCAGGAGTTCAAGACCAGCCTGGCCAAGATGGTGAAATCCCGTCTCTACTAAATGTACAAAAAATTAGCTGGGCGTGGTGGCATGTGCCTGTAATCCCAGCTACCCAGGAGGCTGAGGCAGGAGAATCACTTGAACCTGGATGGCAGAGGTTGCAGTGAGCTGAGATCACACCAGTGCACTCCAGCCTGGGCAACAGAGTGAGACTCCATCTCGAAAAAAAAAAGAAAAAAAAAGAGGCAGCTAAGGAGACATGACAACTAAATGTAAGTTGGTGCCCTAGACGAGATCCTGGAAGAGAAAGCTATCGTGCAAAACTAAGGAAATCTGAATAAACTACGGACTTCGGTTAATAATAATGTGTTAATATTGGTTCAAGAATTGTAGCAGATGTACCACACTAATGTAAGACGTTAATTATAGGGGAAACCAGGTGCGGGATATATATGGCAGCTCTCTGTACAGGTCGAGAATCCCTAATCAGAAAATCCAAAATGCTTCCAAATCTGCAACTTTCTGAGTGCTGACATGATGCCACAGCTGAAAAATTTCACACCTGACCTCATGTGATGGGTCACAGTAAAAACACAGCTAAAACTTTGTTTCATGCACGAAATTATGAAAAATGTTGTGTAAATGTACCTTCAGGCTATGTGTATTAGGTGTATATGACACATAAATGAATTTTGTGTCTATCCTTGGGTCTCATCCCCAAGACGGCTCATTATGTACATATGCAAATATTCCAAAGTCAGAAAGCATCTGAAATCCAAAACACTTCTGGTCCCAAGCATTCTGGATAAGAGATATTCAACTGGTATTATCGTCTCACTTTTTCTTTAAATATAAACTGTCTTAAAAAATAAAGTCTCTTTAAGAAGAAAAGGTGTACCCTTAACCTACATTACTTCTTACTCCTTTTTTTTTTTTTTTTTGAGATGGAGTCTCGCTCCTGTTGCCCAGGCTGGAGTGCAATGGTGCGATCTCAGCTCACTGCAACCTCCGCGTCCTGGGTTCAAGCGATTCTCCTGCCTCAGCCTCCCAGGTAGCTGGGATTACATGCACCCACCACCACGCCCGGCTAATTTTTTTATTTTTTAAGTAGAGATGGGGTTTCACCACTTTGGTGGCGGGTCTTGAACTCCTGACCTCAGGTGATCTGCCCGCCTCCACCTCCCAAAGTGCTGGGATTATAGGCGTGAGCCACTGCACCTGGGCTTTCTTACTCCTTAAAAAGAAAAGAAAAGAAAAGAAAAGAAAAGAAAAGAAAAGAAAAGAAAAGAAAAGAAAACCCAGCTGGGTGCAGTGGCTCAGGCCTGTAATTCCAGCATTTTGGGAGCCTGAGGCAGGTGGATCACCTGAGGTCAGGAGTTTGAGACCAGCCTGGCCAATATGGTGAAACTCCATCTCTACTAAAAATACAAAAATTAGCCGGGCATGGTAGCGGGCGCCTGTAATCCCAGCTTTTCGGGAGGCTGAGGAAGGAGAATCGCTTGAACCCGGGAGTCGGAGGTTGCAGTGAACTGAGATTGTGACACTGTACTCCAGCGTGGGGGACAAAGTGAAACTCTGTCTCAAAAAACAAAACAAAACAAAACAAAAGCCAAAATAAGCTGGGTGTGTTGGCTCACTCCTGTAATCCCAACACTTTGAGAGGCCAAGGTGGGCAGATCACCTTAGGTCAGGGGTTCGAGACTAGCCTGACCAACATCGTGAAACCCTGTCTCTACTAAAAAATACAAAAAAATTCGCTGGGCGTGGTGGTGCGTGCCTGTAGTCCCATCTACTCAGGATGCTGAGGCAGGAGCATTGCTTGAACCTGGGAGAAAGAGGTGGCAGTGAGCTGATATTGCTCCCCTGTATCCCAGTCTGGGCGACAATAAAAGCCAAAATCTAAATAAACCTAAGTACAGATTACTAATGTATATGAATTATGGATTTTTTTTTCCCTTGGGAGAAGTTTTAGGACTATGAGGTCACAACTACTTCAGATGATAGTGGAAATAAATTCATAGTTTGATTTAGCAGCTTGGGACCATGGACCCCCAAGGCCCCTCCAGCACCCAGGGACAACTGCTGAGTATGCAGTTGTTCTGAGTGGGCATTGTAGGTCAATACCAAGCAGCATGGTGCCTATGTTGGCAGGGGTGGGATCACCATCAGGTCTGTGGGTAACCCTTCACCACACTAGCAGCTAATTTAGATGGCAGCAGTAGCTTTGGAGATCCATCACTCTTCTGCTCAAATCCCTTTAATCTCCTGTAGCTGTCTGCCTCGTTTACTTCCCCCTCCAGTCACGCTGGGCTCATAGCTGTTCCTCAAACCCACCAAGCATGTTCCTGCCTCAGTGCTGTTGCACCTGCTGTTTCTTCTGACTGGAATGTTACTCCCCTAAAAAACTTCCTGACTTGTCTCCTCAATTCTTTTGGGTCTCTGCTCAAATGACACTGTATCAGAGAAACCTTTGTGGTGAAAATAGCAACCCTACATCATCACTCCCTTTTACCTCATCAGCTTCACTTTTCTTTCTCAGTACTAACATATTGTCTATTTAGTTGCTTGCTGCCTGCTGTTGCCCATTAAAAGGCGATTTCCATGAAAGCAGGGGCTTTACCTGTTTTCATCTGCTTTGGTTCACTGTTGCATTACCAATACCTAGATAGAATCTAGTAGATAGTTGGCACTCAAAAATATCTACTGAAGAAATACATGAATGAATGGGTGATTTTCTACATCACAATATGGTGAATCATATGTGCTCATAAATAATTGTATCCACAATGCATTTGTCAGTCCTTTCCATTCTTTAAAGCTCAGAAAGTTACCTACATACAAAGTATATGCATAGACAAGCAGATTATTCATTCAACAAATATTTACTGAGTGGGTCCTATATGTCAAAGCATTGTAGTGGGCATCAGGGGTACAAAGGTGAGTAAGATCCACTTTTTGACCTCCAGGAGGTCCATCCATCCACCCATCCATCCTTCCATCCATCCACCCATCCATCCATCCATCCATCCACCCATCCATCCATCCACCCATCCATCCTTCCATCCATCCACCCATCCATCCATCCATCCATCCACCCATCCATCCATCCATCCATCCATCCACCCATCCATCCATCCATCCATCCATCCATCCATCCATCCATCCATCCACCCATCCACCCATCCATCCATTCATCCATCCACCCATCCATCCATCCTTCCATCCATCCACCCAACCACCCATCCATCCACCCCTCCATCCGTCCACCCATCCATCCATCCTTCCATCCATCCACCCAACCACCCATCCATCCACCCCTCCATCCGTCCACCCATCCATCCATCCATCCATCCATCCATCCATCCATCCATCATCCATCATCCATCCATCCATCATCCATCATCCATCCATCCATCATCCATCATCCATCCATCCATCCATCCATCCATCCATCCATCCATCCATCCATGCTTTCAATCCTTTTGAGCCCCAGCCAAATTCCAGCCACTGCATATTTAAGATAGTATTTGGCACATCATCTTATCTTTCTCTCTGGATTGTTAACCCTCCTAATGGCAGGGAACTTAATAATTTAGTTGTAGCTCTGTAAAAATCACTAAATTCTGAGTATTAGTTTCCTCATCTGTAAACATGGGTTTGAGACCTCTGGTCAGCCCACCTTACAGGGATGCTGGGAACGTCCAATGAGATGATTCAGAAATAAAATAAGCTTTCCACATCATGAAGTCCTAAACACATATAAGGGATTCTCAGTCAGTAAATGCTAAAACCGAAACCAAAAACCCAAACAAACAAAACAGACAAAAAAACCCAACTACAGTCCTTTCCTCAGACTGCCTCTCAGTGGGCCTCAGAGCCCGGGGCAGCTGCTGCAGCTGGCGAGGCCAATCTGCCATCACTCAGAAATTCCACAGTTGGACAGAAATCAGGACAGGCAGCCCAGCTCCCGTCAAGGTGATCCTCTGCAGATTAAGTAGACCATCAATAATCTTTGGTAAACATCTGACTCAAGCGTGCACCAGCTCTTCCCGCCCTCCTTGCCCTCCAGCTGAGGCTCTGTTGGCTATTGTGTGCTGTTCTGAAGTTTTAGCAACCTCCTTTCATGTTTTTTTTTTTTTTTAACCTGGCTGGCTTTGGAGTTTCTTACGTGATGGAGCTTGAGAGTAAATGAAAGTGATTCCTGAATGTTGACATGTAAACATCATTGACCAGACCAGGCCCTATTCAAAAGGAAGATATTCTAAGTCTTCCAAACTCTAATCAAAGTGAATAGAGAGAGAGAGAGAGAGAGTGAGAGAGAATACAAATATGGGACAAAGCAAGAAGGTAAAGGAGCAAGCAAAGAGAGAATACCTATTAGAACATTCTTCCTGGAGCCATGAACAGATCTCTCCATAAGCTCTGGAACTTTCTAGCCTCCACACTTATGCTTTCCCTTCCTGATAGAGTGCCTGACATTGTCAGCATTAACTGAAAAGGTGGAGGCTGCCAGACTGAGCTGGTGAAATAATTCTATGGGAACAAAGACTCACACTTCTCCTCTGTGCATTCTCACCTATAAGGGCTAAAACAATTTCAAATTAAATACCTCGAAGAAATCCTTTTTTCCTCAGCCACTTTCCCACTAGATCCCCTTGACCTGGGCTATAATAACAACATCTACAATAATAATGATGATATCTGCTGGATACCTTTTATACAGTACTAGCTCAGCCAGGCATTGTATAAACACTGCCAACCACAAGAAGCGTATCTACACTGAGACTCCAGTCCTTCTTTTGGGATATTCCCCGTGATTTCAGGGTCCAGGACCTTCCATCAAGTTATGCGCTAATGGAAGCTCATCCCTATTAACATGTTGTCTTTCTCTTGTATTATTATTATTTTTTTAACATGGTAAGGCACACTTTATTCAAGAGGGCTCTGGCGATAGGCATAGAGACCTTTGCGATGAGATCTTGCAGCTGGCAAGAGAGACTGGACCCAACATTCTCCCTTGTACGCTTTGATTTTATGGAAAAATTTCAAACATACACAAAAAGAGAAAAGTGCAACAAACACCACATAGGCCTACTACCCAGTTTCAACAATTAATATCCCGTTAATCCTGTTTAATCTATTCCCACCCCCTAAATGTTGTTTTTAGGGAAGATTATAAAGCAAACACCAGACATTAGACCATTTCAGCACCACCCCTTGGCATTATTTGTCTTTTCTTTTCACTTTGTTGAATGTTGCAATGACTCTGAGGACCCAGTGAGATTTCCTGCTATGGATGGGAGGTGGTGTGAGGTATACAGGAATATAATTAATTAATCATATATTAATTAATCAAATCTATATTAATCAAGCCTAAGCCACCAATCCACTCACTTATTTATTTTTGATATTGTTTTATGGTAAGAATTGTTCAAGTTGCCTTATACTTATTATTTAATGAAACAAGGGATTGAAACTAGATTTACCCTTAAAAACTGGGGCTGAAGACAGACAGTAAAGCTAATCATTTTCTTGGCTTCTGAAGATGGGTGATCCAAAGGGACTCTAGAGTTCCTTGTCAGGGAACACCAACCACTGGAGAAATAGGATCCAGTCCCTCCCTCTTCTGTGGGCTTCCCAGGACTGAGTGATGAGGCTTCAGTCACCGAGTGGCAACAGTCCTATCCATATTGGGGCTGAATATAGGAAATGCAGAATGCATGAGGAACAGGGAAGCTGAAAACATAGATTGACTGTGTGCACACATTGCTATTTAATTATTTATGTGAACTGCTTGCCACGTGTGCTTAATTACCTTGCAGCACGATAATGAACAGGTCTGTCATTAAAATCCCATTGGATTCTAGTGATGAAAACTCTCTCTGGGTTTTCCTGGCCTTCTTTTGCAGCAGGCAAGGTTGCTGGCTCAGAACTTAAAAATATGAGTGGTTTGTTCCTGGCTAGGTCTCTGGTCTCTGAAGCTATGGCAATTGCAGTTTTGTGGAACACGTTTAAGGCTCTGATGGGAGATTTGGCACATCTATGGCCAAAGAATGGCTCTCTTACCCCTGATCATGCCAAAGTTTGGGCAAAAAGTCTCTTCTTGAACTTTTATTGAGATGGGACAGATTGGAGCTGTAAACCAGGCCTGTGGGCTTATATAATTTCCAGTTCCCCTAAAGCAATTGTTCCAGAGAGCTGGAAAACATATTTACGGACCAGCTCTTCCCCAGACTAATTAAATCAGGATCTCTGGGAGTGGGGGCTGGTGCTGCCCAGGTGGAGACCCACTGCTTTAAAGCAAGTACATGTTGTGCACACAGAGTCTTACTTTCTTCTCCATCTTTCTCTGTTAAGATAACCTTTTTTTCTCAAAGCTTTTGAGATAGAAGAGATGTGTTCTTTTTAGGTTTGGGTATTCAGGTCATGCTGGCTTCATAAAACGAATTGTGGGAAATTTTCATCTTATGCTATGGTCTGAAATAGTTTGAATAACAAAGGATCTATCTGGTTTTTGAAGACTAGCTAGTACCCGGTTATAAGACCATGAGGACTTTTAAAAAAGGGAATCTCTTTAATAAAATTTCTAATGTATTTTATGATTATTGGTCTATTCAGGTGTTCCACCTCTTTGGGGACATTTTATTTTGCCAGGAACTTCTCCATTTCCTCTAGATTTTCAAATGTATTGCCATAGATTTTCACATACAACGCTTTGATAAACTCTTTTGCGCCTTTCCCAAATGGTGATTAAATCTTCTTTCTCACTCTAATAAACTTTTCAAACTTCCTCCATTGTAACAATATTAGCTAATGCTTATTGATCACTGATCATGTGCAGAGCACACGGTCCTAACTGCTTTACTTGTACTAAACTCAGTTCATCCTCATGACAATTCCACGAAGTAGATACTCTTATAATCCTCATGCTACAGTTGGGTATGTAGAGAAGTTAAACAATTTGCCATTAGGTCACATAGTAGCATGCAGCTCTAGCATGCTGCCTACTAACGTCCCCGTGTGTGTGTGTGTGTGTGTGTGTGTGTGTGTGTGTGTGTTAAGAATTAGCCTATCATTTGACCATATAGGGTTAAGACTTAGAGGGGAGGGGGACTCTTCACCCACCCTCTCCTCCTTGTGTCCTAAGATGTGCTGCCTTGGGTATAAAATTAATTGGAGGTGGGGGTGATGTCATAGCTAACCCCAAATTCTCATTAAACAAAACAAAACATAAAAATAATGAAGGGGCGGAAGGAGTAACAACAGCGTGGAGCTGCAGGTTCCTGCTCAAAGCTCGTAAGCGGGGAGTATGAACTTTTAAGAATTTTGTGGCTGGAAGGTGACAAGAGTCCAATGGCAAAGAGTGGCCCAGAGACTTGGGGCCATGAGTTCCAATGTCTAGATGGAGGATTCTGTACTATGTAATCCTTTTGGTGACCTGGCCCAAGGTTACTTACTTGTTTTGAATGTTCACTCAGACAATGAGAGGCCCACACCAGCAACATGGAGCAGACACGAATAGGGATGAAGAAAATAACCACAACCACCTAAAAGGGGTGAGTGGTTATTATGCTCTACTCACAGCCACATCACACTGGGCAACCTTTGTATGAAAAGATAGATTTAAAAGATCTTCCAGGACGGCTCTCTGTCACTTCCAGAACAAAAGCTCAACTCTTTCGTGTGGCCTTGAAGGATTTCCACCAACTGACATCAAGTGGCTTTCTAAGCCCATTTGCTGCTGCTCCCCTCAGCACTACTGCTGTGTCAGTTGAACTAAACTCCCAGCTCTATATGTCATTGTATGTCTGTCTTTCTGCCTTTGCCCATGTTGCTCCCACCACCAGGAGTGCCCTTTCTCCACTTCTGAATATCAAAATGTGATGAATACTTCAAGGTCTAGCACAAATGTCATGATACTGCTTTCAATATAACTAAATCACACTAGCACTCACATATACTTACCAGCAATATAACTAAATCACACTAGCACTCACATATACTTGTCAGCACTTGATATTCGTTAACTGATTTAACTTGTAAAAGAATCCTGTGAATTATGTACTATTCTTATCCCTATTTTGTAATTGGGGAAATTGACGATCAATGATTTTTCCAAGACTACACAACTGTCTAGTAGTTGAGTTGGGATTTGAACCCATGTAATCCGGCTCCCTGCTCTCAACCCCTCTGCACGGTATCTGTGCCTCTCAGCAGGCATGAGCTATAATGACTTTTGTATTTTTCTTACTACACCTACCAGACAATAAGCTCCTCCAAGAAAGGCTGTGGGTCTGGTGCACCTTTGCATCCCATCCAGTTGGATGTGCCATAACTATTTGCTGGATGCAGAGCGCTAAGCCAGAGTTGGTCATGGAGCTTGTTACAAAGCTTAGTAAACATTGTAGAGAAGAATACAGTACTAGGTGGATGAGGTGGGGAGGGCAAGGGGGAAAAATTTGCAACCAAGGTCCATCCCTTCTGACAAGATACTTAGGGAGGCTGACTTTTAATAAATGATACAGTGGAAAATCACTGCTGAAGAGTGATCAAATGCAAATCCGGAAGGTACAAACTGAGCTAGGCAAGGGAGATGCTGGCAGAGGTGTGGAAATCTTCAGGCTTTTAGGGACCTGGAACCATGCCTTAAGGCCTTGCTACAGAAAGCGTGGTCCCTGGACAAGCAACAGCATCAATGGGAGCCCATTAATCACGCTTTTTGCCATTTTAAAAAATGGGTTCAAATCCCATTTTTAATGGCAAAAACCACAATTACGTTTGCACCAACCTAAGAGAAATGCCCCACCCCAGACCCATGGAAGAAGAACCTATATTTTAACAAGATCCTCAGGTGAGTTGCATGTACCCTAAAGTTTGAGAAGCACGCCCAGAAGGCCAGACATTCAGGCCCACCTCCATAGACTGTGGCTTAGTTGGTTTGGGGTGGGGCTAGCCAGGGCAACCACATTTTCAAAAACTTTTACAGTTAATTTTACCTTGCAGTCTGGGCCAGAACCACTGCCTTGCTCTTCTCTAGAAACTGGTGGAGTGAAAAGATGGAGGAGGGCAAGGGATGGAGAATCCCACTTCTGTCACTAATGAGCTATGTGACCTTGGGCATGTCATTCAATATCAAATGAAGAAAGTAGATTAGATCAGAGGTTCATGAAACTCAGAATCAGAAAATACACATTCCTGGATCAAGTGAATTATAATTCCCAGCACTGGGCCTGAGGAATCAGCGTTTTCAACAAGTTCCCTAGGGATCCTTGTGTAGCCGCCTGGCCCTGGTATTGGGGATCAGTCGGCAACATGACCTCTAGGTCTTTTCCTCTACTATTCCATGATCTTAGAGAAGGAGAATTTTGCCCCAGGTTCTAAAAGCAATGATAAATATGTGTTGGTATAGGTTCAAACATTTCATTTAAACATTCAACAGTTCAAACATTTTTGACTGCACTGGAACCTGCTGTAAGAAATATAAGTACTTTTCATGAAGACTATATACTGTATATATAGCTCCACACCTTTCCCTTACTGTGATCCACTCTGTTTCCTTCTTTTATTTTCAAATGTACCACTCTGCTGATTTCATGATACACTAGTGGGTTGAGATAATTTGTAAAACCTGGTGCAGACAATCTCTGAATCAAGAACAAAGTCAGGGCCAGAAAGCCAGAATCTGTGTCACCTAGCAGAGGCCAGACAGCACCATGCTGACCTGTCCAACCCATAAGGAACCCAAGGGGCAGCTGATCACAACATGTGAAACTACAACAAAGGGACACTGGTTGGGAAAGCTGGAAAGGAGAAGAGAGGTTAGTGGAAGGCTCAAGACTCCAGGCTGAGGAGTTTAGTGACGATCACAGAGGCAATGTGCACTCTCTGGGGCTTCCAGAACAGGCAAGATCCACAAAGCATTTACAGCAGTGGTTCTCAACACTAGAAATACATCAAATTGCTTGGAAAGCACTCACAAAATACCAGTATCCACTCCCAGAGATGCTAAACCGCTAACCCAAAGTTCTCCCAAGTGAATGGACTATGTAGCTGGGATGGAAAAACCACTGATCCAAGAGTTAGTTAAAGAGGCAGGGTGACGTAACACAAGAAATGTGGGCTTTGGGGTCTCTTAATTTCTCTGAAGTTTCCTGTGGATGAAATGGGCATAACAACATCCACCTTAGCAGCTTGTTGTGAGGATTAGAGAGGAAGTTACATACACACAGCAGCTGCTCAGTCAAAGGTGGCTCCATTCATTTTTTTTTTTTTTTAATGGAGTCTCACTCTGTCGCCCAGGCTGGAGTGCGGTGGTGCGATCTTGGCTCACTGGAAGCTCCGCCTCCCGGGTTCAAGCCATTCTCCTGCCTCAGCCTCCTGAGTAGCTGGGACTACAGGCGCCCGCCACCACGCCTGGCTAATTTTTTGTATTTTTAGTAGAGATGGGTTTTCACCATGTTAGCCAGGATGGTCTCGATCTCCTGACCTCGTGATCTGCCCGCCTCGGCCTCCCAAAGTGCTGGGATTACACGCGTGAGCCACCGCACCCGGCGGTTGCTCCATTCTTAAGCCTTCCTCAGGACCAGTGAGAACCCTAAGCCCCAGAAAGGCAGGTCCAAGTTCACGCGGCTGGGCTGCAGCAGAGTGGGGATGTGCGGAGGCTCAGCTCTAGATGTGAATTCTTTGGCACTGTGGGCCTCCTCTCAGGACAGAACAGAGCTCAGGGAGGGTCTTGTGTATCAGGCTCATCTAAATCCAACTCAAATGACCTCAAATGGCCATTTCTCTCCTTCCCCCACTGAACTTCTGTCAGAGCACTGGGCCAACAGAGAGTCTGTCACACAAAATAAAGCCTTAGTTTTCTTTACCCAATAACCAGGTCATATCCTCTCCCTAAACATTATACAAGCTTGCCTTTCAACAGGATAGTGTTTGATTTTGACACATTTGAGCTTGACGTTCTTTTCTCATAGAAGTATCAGTACGATGCCTCCGTGGTGAAAATGCAGTCGAAGAATGATTTTTCAGCCCGTGTGGAAGGTGAGTGGGATGGGAAGAGAGGGGTGATGGATCGGCCAGCTGGAAGGCAGTGTCAGCAATTCAGACATGGGTGGAGGAATTGTGAGTTTTATGGGTTCTCTCCCTAAAAGATGTTGAAGTCCTAAACACTAGCACCTGTGAACGTGACCTTATTTGGAAATAGAGTCTTTGCAAATGACCAAATTAAGACAAGGTCATGAGGGTGGGCCCTAATGTAATCTGACTGTGTCATTACAGAGGGAACTCTGGACATAGAGAGTGACATGCACAGCGAGAGCACCTGGTGAAGATGAAAGCTGAGATGGGGGTGAGGCATCTACAAGCCAAGGAATGCCCAAGCCTTCCAGCAAACCACCAGAAGCCAGGAGAGAGGCAGGGAGCAGATTCTCTCTCGCAGCCCTCAGAAGGGACCAATCCTGCTGACATGTTGATCTTGGACTTCCTGCCTCCAGAACTGTGAGATACATTTCTGTCACTTAAGATATCCAGATTGTGGCACTTTGTTATGGTAGCCCTCGCAAACTAATGCAGTGGTGTCAGATCCTTGTTCAAAGGACACATTGTCACGAACAGAGGCAAAGAGCCCCAACTGTCTCCTTTCAAGAGCTAGAACTTCAGAAGAGTAAGCATGCTCTGTCCTACAGGTGACTCTTAACCCGCAGTTGAGATGCCTGGCTTTATCTTCTGCAGAGATCTAGCCTTGAAATAAAGCTTGTGATCTAATTTCAAGACTACCAGCCTTTTTGTTGGTGTTCTCAAATATGCCTGCATCGGAGCAATAACCAGTGGCAATTTTCATATGGACTCTCTCATCAGTACAATAGGCAATAACCCTTACCTCAAGCTTAACATATGTGAGGCATTTGCCTTTTGTACATGAATCCACCCAATTTTCACAACCACCCTATTATGTGTGTACTATGCTTATGCTCATTTTACAGAAGAGAAAACTGAGTGAGACACATAAAGGTAGAGTGAGACACACAGAGGTAGAGCAACTTTCCCAAGGCTGCACAACTAGAAATGTTGGAGCTGGGATGGGGATGCAGGCAATTTGGTTCCAGAGTCTGTGTCCTTCTACACTACAAAAATGGCTACCACATGCTGAGGGCTTACTCTGGGCAGGCACTTTCCAAACACTGACATTATTAATCCATTTTACACGCACAACCATTTAGCTAAGCTTGCAGACTGTTTATTTTCCATATTCATACTTCCAGGGAAGCTATTTTAATTTTAAACATAAGATGGCCAGCCATTACCCCCACTTCCCAAACACATACGCACAGCCTGGGCCCTCCTCCAAAACAGGTCACTGGCTGGGGATCCTATAGCTTCCCTTGACGAGTATCTTCCAGCATCCCACGATTCACCTCTCCCCCTCTCAACATGCTTATGCCCTCCCCAACTTCCAGTCCTTATCTCCCCAGCCAAAATCAGGAAGTGATTCTTTGTGGGCAGCCCAACCTCTGAAGGTCAAGCTCATTGCTTTTCAAATTAGAATTTGAAGGGTCTTTTCCTCTCCTGGTCAGAGATGAGTGGGAGCTGTCAGATCTGGCCTCCCAGCTTCTGTAATTGATTTATATTTTGGTATAAAATAACTCTTGATTTTACTGAGGGAGTCAGAGGAGGGGAAGAGGTACAGGGGATCCACACGGAGGCAAAGAACAGACAGAAAATAAAGGAGAAGAAGAAAAACCAAGAATGATTACATATCTGTGCCAAGAACTGGGGCCAGGTACTCAGCACATTGCTCCTATTGCCAACAGCTGAGAGCGGTTAGGCAGTGTGTGGCAGGAAGCTGGATTGGAACCCAGTACTCCTTCAGCTGCACCTGAGTAAGAGTCCCAGGGAGGCTGCCGGCTGGCTCACTGTCTCTGACAAGCAGCAAGTCTTCTTCAGGAGAATTCTCGGTTGCATAAGGAGGCAGTTTACAGGACTCTAACAATCACTGTCACCTCTGGAAAGTCAAGGAAGGGAGCTCTCCAAGGTTCCCTGTGCCACTCAGGGCGACACTGAGAAAGCAGATATGATCGCTTTAGAAGTCCGTGACTATGCTGAATGTTACATAGCTGCATTGCAGCAGCCTAGGAGGTGGCCACACTCATGTGGCCTTCTTGGACCTTCTGACCCACCAGCCATAAATGCTAACAATGCCAAATGCGGCACAGCTTCCTTTCAGAATCAGTCAGCAAGACACCCTGTGGTTCATGCTTCCCTCCAAATCTGCTTGCTAACTTATGAGGAAATAGATCTTTCCGCCTCAGTAACAACAAAATTGGTCTTTGCATCTGCGAAAATTATGCTCTAGATGACAGCAATCCTGAACATTAATCAAGTATCAATCACTGACATGAGTGGAAAATGGAGCTGGCGTCTTTATTTAAGTCTTGTTTTGAGCAAAGCAAAGCAAGGACTGATTGCGGAGAAAACCCTTTAATGGGTTTGAAACAGCACGTTGCAGCATGAGCTTGATGGCTGAGGTCTGGTTCAATGCCCAGTTCTCTCTCTAAATGGCTGTGCTCCTTGTGCCTCAGTTTTCCCATTTGTTAAAAAACAGAAACATCATCACCTCTCAAGTCACCAAAGGATTAAATGAGACAACACATCCCCACACAGAAACAATGATCTATTAGATATATTCAGAATAACCTGGGTCTGTGTCCTTCTACACTACAAAAATGGCTACCACATGCTGAGGGCTTACTCTGGGCAGGCACTTTCCAAACACTGACATTATTAATCCATTTTACATGCACAACCATTTATCTAAATGGTTGTGGGAGACTAAATCCGCTAGGGAGAGAGTCCCTTATCTTGCCCAAGAGCTTAGAGTATATTTAACATGCTCTGTGCCCACACCAGGGGAATATTCTTTTTTTTAGGGGAATATTCAGGTTTCTGAGCTGCCCAGTCCCCACCCAAAGGGCTTGTTCTCCATGTGTCAGCAGCACTGTCCTGATCTCCCTCTGGGCTCATCCCAACTTGCCAGACTTAGATCTTACCCCCTTAAAAAAGCCTTCCACCCACAAATGCAAAACCTGAATCCAATCACAAGGAATCACCAGGTAAACCAAATCCAAGACTTGTAATCTTTAAAAACATGAAGGCCATGAATGACAGAGACTGAAGAGACACAACAACTAAATGCAATATGTACTCCAGGATTAAAACTCTTTCTTTACTTTTTTTTTTTTTTTTTTTTTAGATGGAGTCTCCCTCTGTCACCCAAGCTGGAGTGCAGTGGCACAATCTCGGCTCACTGCAACCTCCGCCTCCTGGGTTCAAGCGATTCTCCTGCCTCAGCCTCCCGAGTAGCTGGGATTACAGGCGCCCACCACCACGCCCAGCTAATTCTTGTATTTTTAGTAGAGATGGGGTTTCACCATGTTGGCCAGGCTGGTCTTGAACTCCTGACCTCAGGTGATCCATCTGCCTTAGCCTCCCAAAGTGCTGGGATTACAAGCATGAGCCACTGTGCCCGGCCAACAACTATTTTTTGCTCTAAGGGATAACTGGCAAAATTTGAATAAGCTTTAATCAATGATGTTAGTTTCCTGATAATTGTACTCTGGTTATGTAAGAGAATATCTTTGTTTTTAGAAAATACATGTTGAAATATTAAGGGGTGAAGGGATACAGTTTTGCAACTTACTCTCAAATGGGTCAGGAAAAAATTAAAAATATAAATATATATTAAAAAACCAATCTGTATAGATACACATATATATAGGGGAGGGGGTGGACAGTTTTTGCAACTTTTCGGTAAGTTTGAAATTAACTTCCTCTCCCCAGAGGAGCACTCCACAATTGATTACACTCTTTCCTCTTTCTCTTTTAACATCCTTGTAATATATTTTTTCATGTGGGCCGTGTACGGGAATTCCGTTTGTACGCCTCGTACCACTTGACTTACAGGCAAATAACATTACAGCTGGAAGGAAAGGTCCTCAGAGACCACATAATTTGAAACTTCTGGGTGCTGCAACCAGGCTGAGAGGGGTCCACGGCTGTTGTCACCCAGCTGACCAGTTCCCGAGCTGCCCTGTGTTCTAGGGGCTCTTTCCCCTACTTCACACTGCATGGCCACGCAATGCAAGAAGCTGCAAAGGAGTGGCAGGTGCAACCGATCCCCTTGGCCTTTGGGACGATGCTGGGCCTGTTGGGAGGGGCAGGAGGCCCTGGAGTCCCGGTCTTACTCTCTGTTTACCCAGAGTGGAGCCATGATGTGAAAAATGTCAGGAAGCTGCTCTAATCCCATCTGTTCCCAGGGCTCTAGGTAACACCTATGTGTGAATGGGCCTCAAATTTGTCTCTCTAACCCTGACCTCCACCTGAGGTCCACACTCCTATATCCAACTGCCAGTTCTTGAACATTGACTCAGCACCTCTAACATAACATGTCCCAAACCAAAGGTTAGATTTCTCCCTTCCCCTGCTTTTCCCTGTCTCAGGTTCAGTGGACCATTCCCCCAGTGGTTCAGGCCAAAACCTCAGGCTCATCTAACCTCCTGTTGTTCTCTCACACTCCATATCCTAGCAAATCACGTGGGCCCTATTTTCCAAACATATTCAGAATCTGGCTTTTCCTCAGTGCCGCCACCACCAGGCTGATACAGGCCAC
Organism: Homo sapiens; assembly: GCF_000001405.40. NCBI lineage: Eukaryota > Metazoa > Chordata > Mammalia > Primates > Hominidae > Homo > Homo sapiens. The sequence goes on from NC_000007.14 coordinate 105,746,175, forward strand.
CAGGACTGCTCGGCTGGACTTTTACAAGCACCTTGTGACGGTGTCCTGTTCCCACCCTTCCTGTGTCTACACTGTATTGCCTACCCAACAACCGCAGTGAGCATGTCTCTCTCTGGCTCAGAACCATCCAAGGGCTTCTGTGTCACTTATAATAAAATCTGCATCCTTAGAAGGATTTACCTGACTGGATCCCTCCCTGAGCAGTCAATCTCTTTTCTCACATTCTTCACTCCTTGACACTTCAGGCATCTCATCCCTGTGTTGTCCCAGGGGCATGAGAGCCTGGCATGTCCCCAGCTTCTGCGTCTCTCCCCTGGTGCCCTCTCTGCCTAGAGTCCTTTGGCCAAGTATCTACAAGACCCTCTCGCTGACTGCACTCCCTGATTACCTTGTGCAAAAGAGCACTCTGCCCTTCCTGCACTGACTTTTCTTCACCTGACATCATACACTTCTTTGTTTACTATTATATCCCCCAGGAAGTTTCTAGACACAGGGAATCTATGTGGTTCTCTGTGAATCCCAGCCACTGCTTGGCACATAATAGGATCTCCTTAGTACTGTATTTACTAGATTAATAAATGAATGCATTATTAAGTCAAAAAGCAAGGAGCAGAATGATGCATAAAATGCACACTCATTTATTTTAAAAAGGAAAAATATACACATGTATACTTGCTTATCTTTGGGAGGATGGAACAGCCTTGCCTTCTGCAATGGTGAATGGGTGACTGCGGGCAGGAGTAGGAGGGAGACTTTTCACTGTATACCCTTCTGTGATTTTTTTGAATTTTGTAGTAGATACATGCGCTATCTGTCCAATGAATTAAAAACAGAAAAACATATTTGCCCCTGTGATATTGTGAACTATATATTTGGTCTTCAACCCATTTTTTGGCATTCAATTCTTAAAATCCTTAGAAGCGCCAAAATGATGTCTTTTGCACGCTAATGAGTTGACTGATGGCAGCGGGTAAGTAGCTTCAGGATGGGGGCTGTTCACCAGAAAGACCAAGGCAGGATTAGAGGGCGGGGACTTTCAGCTCCACCTGCCAACCTCTGGGAGGGGAGAGAGGCTGAGGGTTGAGTTCATCACTAATGGCCAGTGGTTTAATCAATCATGCCTACATAATGAAGCCTCCATAAAAACCCAAAAGGGTTCGGAGAACTTCTGGATAGCTGAACACGTGGATGCTTACAGAAAGATTAAGAGGAACTCACTTTCAGGGCAGGGTGGCACACTCTAGCTCCATAGGGACAGAAATTCTTGTACTCGGGACCCTCCCAGACCTTGCCTTATGTATCTCTTTATCTGGCAGTTTATTCGTATCCTTTAAGATATCCTTTATAATAAACCAGTAAATGTGTTTCCCTGAGTTCTGTGAGCCACTCTGGCAAATTAATTGAACCCAAAGAGGGTGTTGTAAGAGTCCCAACTTGAAGCCAGTAGGCCAGAAATTCTGGAGGCCCAGACTTGCAACTGGTGGGACAGTGGGGGGACTGAGTCTTGGGGACTGAGCCCTCACCCTATGGGATCTGATGCGATGTCTAGGTACATAGCGTCAGAATTGAATTAGAGGACATCCAGCTGGTGTCCACTGTGGAAGTGATTGTTTGCTTGGTGGTGGGAAAAACTCCAACATGTTTGGTCTTAGAAGTCTTCTGTTGGCCGGGTGTGGTGGCTCACACCTGTAATCCCAGCACTTTGGGAGGCTGAGTGGGCGGATCACCTGAGGTCAGGAGTTCAAGACCAACCTGACCAACATAGAGAAACTCCGTCTCTACTAAAAATACAAAATTAGCCAGGTGTGGTGACACATGCCTGTAATCCCAGCTACTGAGGAGCCTGAGGCAGGGAATTGCTTGAACCTGGGAGGTGGAGGTTGTGGTGAGCCAAGATCGTGCCATTGCACTCCAGCCTGGGTAACGAGCAAAACTCCATCTCAAAAAAAAAAAAAAAAAAGAAGTCTTCTGTTGATGATTGTTGTGGTGTAAGAGCAAAGGAAAAACACATTGAGCATGATTTTTGCACACACAACACCCAACTCTAATAAAATGATTATGGGAAGACATATTCAGAGCAGACTTAGTCTGCATTTGTGACAAGGGACAAAGGGCAGCGGTGGGATGCTGGACCTGGAATGTCTAGGAGAGTGGTCCAGCTCTTCTCTACCTGTGAGACTCTGGCTGGGTTGCCTGTCTGGTCTCAGTAGGTCCCGAGTTGCTCTACTGCAATAAAGGGTTGGGGAGGTTAGATCCGACCATCTTAGGGATCTCTCTCCAGCTGCATGGCTCTGTAGTTCCATTTGATTGGATGTTACCTGTTGGACCACACAAATGGACAGGTCCTACGCTATGCCCTCGTGAGATCTCTGCAGACCCAGCACCAATGTTGCAGGAATCCTCCTGCCAGTGACACAGTTAGGTGTCCCCCTGGTTACCTGGGCCTGGGTATGACTGAGCTAGAAAGCTGAGGCTCACCCTCCTGCTTCCAGAGTCTTCTCCCTCAGGCCTGAGGCTTGGGGCTTTTGCACTGTGTACCTCTGCCACTTGAAACTCTCTGGGGAGCTGAGCAAAACAGCACTCAGGGCCAAGTGTGGACAGGGCTGCCTGTGTCTCTAGAGCTGGGCCCACCCCGGAGATAAGGAGATCGTCAGGTGGTCTCATGAGGCAGCAGGGCACACTAAAGTAAACTTTCCTTTCCTGAAAAATGTTAGTAAGAAAAAACTGCAAACGAAAAGAGCTTTCAGAGTGTTTGGGGGAAGGCCCTCTGCTGGGGAGGAATGTGAGGAGTGAGAGAGACAATGCTTGGGCACCATTCTAAATTATCTGCATGAGGAGAAGGAAGGGAACAGCTTGGGGGCACAGGAATTCGCCCCTCACTTTGGAATGCCCCACCTTACTGTTTTCCTTATTAGATTTGTCTTGTTGATGATTTTAGACTGAGACTAATGTTAATATGAGTTTAGATTCTGTCTGCACAGGCCAAGGGGTTGGTGGAGAAATGTTTGGAAGTGTTTTGGGTTTCAGAGGAAATTCCTTGCAGGATTAAAGAATTTTCTCTGGATAGCCCTCAAAATAGAGTTTAGGGTATAGTTACAGTACAGGAGAGTAAGGAAGGGTAAAATCATCATACTGCAAGTCAAACAAGAATGAGAAAGAAAGTGGGCTTTTCAAAAGAAGTTTGACAATATCTTTAGTCCTTAACCAATGATTTTAAGTCTAATTCTACCTTTATTTTGAAAGCTCAAGAGTTCTAGTCTTCGGAGTTGTCATTTGGGGGTGGAGATAGGGGCAGGATGTACACACAGTTGTCACCCTGAGAAAAGGGGCCACTAAGAGAGGTTGTATGGGACACACAAGAATCACCTGAACCCAGGAGGCAGAGGTTGCAGTGAGGTGAGATTGAGCCACTGTCCTCCAGCCTGGGCAACAGAGTGAGACTCTGTCTCAAAAAAAAAAAAAGAGTGAGAGGTTGTATCCCTTAATATCCCTGGATTAATATCTTTCATATCCTTGGATATTAAAGAAAGTAGTAGACAGCATTAGGTTGATTTCATCTGGGCAGCACCAGATCACTTGTGGGGCTTCTGACTTGGCAGGTCTCAGGTAGGGTCTCCACTTCTTTATTTCAAAAAGCTTCAGAGATGACTGTAAATCAACACAATTGTCTGTTGTCACCCCTGCTTCCTTCTCCCCCAGGTCCAAACCCACCGTTGAGGATCACTGTTGGCTGTATTCTGGGCACTTACTGCCTAAAAATGGACTAGTCTGTGAAGGTTCTTCCTGCACTATGCACCTGCACGATACACCTAAAATCTTAATTTGCCTTTAACAGCTGTACCCCACAGGAACCTATGAGGTCTTCAAAATGGGAGAACTTGGGATTGACTTTTTTCTTCCCACTCATTTAAGTGCACTTTGAACCATGTGTAGACTGCAGGCACTTTAGAAAGAAGCTGAGACTGAAAAGTCTGTCTTGACTTCCAAGGAAGGGTAAGTCCCTGTTTGCAGCCCCGGGGCCTGCTCATTGTTAAGTTTGTGTTTCAAACAACATACTTTGTGAGCAGTTAAATATGATGGATAATATAATTTTAGATTTATAATTGCTCTTTTTTTTTTTTGAGACAGGATCTCACTCTATTGCCCGGGCTGAGTGCAGTGATGAGATCTCAGCTCACTGCAGCCTTGACCTCCCGGCTCAAGTGATCCTCCTGCCTCAGTTTCTTGAGTAGCTAGGACTACAGGCACGTGTCACCACACCTGGCTAATTTTTGATTGTTTTGTAGAGACAAGGTCTGCTATGTTGCCTAGGCTGGTTTTGAACTCCCTCCTTGGCCTCTCAAAGTGTTGGGATTACAGGTGTGAGCCACCAATCCCAGCACTTTGGGAGGCAGAGGCGGGTGCATCGCCTGAGGTCAGGCGTTCGAGACCAGCCTGACCAACATGGTGAAACCCCGTCTCTACTAAAAAATACAAAAATTAGCTGGCCATGGTGGCAGGCGCCTGTAATCCCAGCTACTTGGGAGGCTGAGGCAGGAGAATCACTTGAACCCGGGACGTGGAGGTTGCAGTGAGCCAAGATTGCGCCATTGGACCCCAGCCTGGGCGACAGAGTAAGACTCTGTCTCGAAAAAAACAACAACAAAAAAAGTTACTTTTATCAATCACTCCTTTGGCAAGCGGCTTTTCCTTTTCCTCAGTTTGCATTCAAAGCCTTCCACGATCTGGTTCCAATGTGATTTTCAAACTGGCTTCTCTCATAGCTCCTGCAACCCACTTTCGTTGCTTCAAGTTGACTGGCTGCCTCACTGTTGTTTTTTCCTTCAATGCTGTAATAATGGCATAGGATTATATCATTAGAATGATGAATGTATCTTGACTTAACTACTCCCCAATTGCTGAACATTTTTCTATTTCCCTTCTCTGTGTTTTACTTTGCCAGGAAGGGTGTCTAAGGAATCATGCAGTCTAGTGGCTTTCAGCTTTGGCCAGTCACTGGAGTATGGGATTACTCCATACTCCATGGGAAGGGATGGATGGGAAGGTGGGAGGGAGGTGGGAGTGTTATAAAACTCTCAATGGAGTTATGCATATAGGAAAAGGCACAAATCACACATGTGCTGCTGGATGCCTATTCACAAACAAAATCCCCACGTAACCAGCATCTGGATCAGAAATGACATTCCCAGCACCCCAGAAAGGCTGGGGTGTAGTGGCTCATGCCTGACGGGTGAATCACTTGTGTTCTGGAGTTCGAGACCAGCCTGGGCAACATGGGGAAACCCCCGTCTCTACTAAAAATACAAAAAAAATTAGCTGGGCATGGTGGTGCATGCCTGTAGTTCCAGCTCCTTGGGAGACTGAGGTGGGAGGATTGAATAAGCCCAGGAAGTCGAAGCTGCAGTAAGCTGTGATCTTGCCATTGCACACCAGCCTGGGCAACAGAGTGAGATCCTGTCTCAAAGAAAAAAAAAAAGTCTCACCTTCAGATTGGTCATTTGATAGCTGGATTTCTGGATCTGAGGTAAACCCAGGAATTTGCATTTTTCAGATTCTCCTCAGGGGCCTCCCATTTACCACTAGACTTGAAGACTACTCATCTACCAAGGATTTTCAAAGGGTGCCCCTCAGGTGTCCCCCTGGGGATGTGGGGGTAGAGACAGGGAGCCGTCAGCTCTGCCTTTCCATGGATCAAAATCACTGGAATCTCTTTCTTATACTGGGCCTCCTTCGGTAGATAGCAATCCTTCAAACAACCATAATCTTGAAAACCACCCATATCAGCTCTCAAGGGAAGAAGCAGAACACAAGGATTAATACAGTACAGACATATCTATCAGCATTTACATGAATTTATTTCAGGTATTGACCTTTTGCAATAGTAAGAGCTGGTTAAGCAGCTTCTACAAGGTGGTTGTTTTTGCATCTGATGTGAGTATGTGAGGTTCACAGGACAGGCAGTCGGGAAGAACAATTGCGAATTCACAGGCCTTAACTGGAACCTCATGAAGATGGACTGAAACTCATGTCACTTCTTGTTGCCTTTGACCTCGATGGTACAAATGTCCTGCAGAAGCTGCAGCTCTTCAGCATGGAGCTAAATGCACACACCTGGCCCAGGAGTCAGAGAAGCTGAAGGAGGATCCAGAAGGTGGAACAGTTGCAGGCCCGGCTGGCAAATGAGTGACAACGTATGTGTTGCAAAGTGCTGCTGCCTTTCCATCCTTGGAATCTCCCAAGAATTTCTCTTAGGCTCCATCCCAATTAGAAACTCACAGGACAGGGAATTCTAGGAAATGTAGTTCACCCTAGTCTAGGATGTGTGACAGCCACCACACCACCCTCTGACTATCATTCCCATGCTTGGCTACCACTGGAACTATGCAGAGTGTTAGCTTCCCAGGTGGCTCAAACATGTAGTTGAGGCTGAGAAGCACTGGCTGTCAACTGTCACGTGGATGTGAACTTTGAGACTGCCCCAACCCAGGTCCCAAGAAGATAAATTCTACACTTTTTTCATCGCAAGAAGAGCATAAAAAGGTCTGGTTATTTTTCCTAAGGTCCTAAAATGTGGCTTTTCTCATTATCCTGCCTTCCTCCTGTCTGTCTTGTCTCAGCTAACCCAGCTACAACCTTCCTGTAGTCCTCAACACAGTGGCCGCACCCTGAACAAAGCCCTCCCTTGTTTACCCTCCCGGTACAAAGTGGATTAAGAGCACAGCTGGAAGACCCCAAGATCATCCAAATGCCACCAAGCTCATAGTGAATTGAAGACCATAGTGAATTGAAGACTCAGAAGTTTTCACTATTAGGCTTCTAAATAAAGCATCTTTTCCTCTGTGACACAGACTAATTAAATGATTGTAACACAGCCAAGTGGTCAGTGAACACTTAACCACTGTGATGTGAGCCACAGAGCTGGTGAGAGCCAGTGCTGCAGACTCACAGGTGGCTGAGCTGCTGCTGCTGAGTCTTTCTCAAGGACGGCTGAAGGAGAAGCCACTGGAGGAGATAGGGGCGGTTGTAGAAGTGGGAAAAGAGTTGGGGGCTGGAAAGAGCTCTGGTGCAAGTTGCAGCTCTGCAACTAAGTGGCCACTGGGGTTTGCACAAGTCACTTAAATTTTCTAAACCTCAACATCAGCCCTACCTCCTGCACAGGATAATTGAGACATCAAATGAGAGAATACACGTGATACAGTCTGGGAGGAAGAAAGTCCAAAAGCACGGACATTCTGTGTTAGTAGTTTTAACTCTGTTATAGATGACACTGGTATAAGGTGAAGATTATCTAGTTTATAGATGGATTTTTATTTAGATATTTTGCTTTCTTTTTCCTATCTATGATGTGGTTGTTTCTAAAGAGGTCTGCTGGAGTGTGAGATTGACACAAGTGACTAAAATGGGATCTTTGGGATTAACTTTGGGTTTTTATTATTTATGCTCTCCCTCTCCTCTCCATTACAGCAGACAGCTGAAGACAGGCTGAACCACCCATTCTACACTCTGGAAATAAGTTTACATAGAAAGAACCCTTCTAAGAAAAAGCAACAGCTAACTCATCTTTCAGAGCATCCTTGAGGAGTAAAACTGGGAAAGGATCAGGCAGTGCTGCTCTATGTTTATTGGTATGTTCACTATTTATGGGAGTTTTCTCTTTCAGAATCATATTTTCAGCTTCTTGAGGGCAGGTCTGAATCCTGATGAGGCTTTCTGTCTGCATTAGTGCCTGGGACAGTGCAGTAGAAAGGATGTGGGTTGTAAGGATCCAAAGTTCTGAGATCTAGTTACAGCTCTGCCCCCCCAAAAGCCATTTTAATCCTTCTCGGTCTCAGTTTCCTCTCTGTAAGGTGGGAATTACCCACTGCATGGGAGTATTGTATAGCACAAATTAGACAATCTGTGGGAAAATACTTCTATGACCCAAAACGTGCTGTGCAAGAGGGATAGACTGCGGTAAGAGCTCTGACGTCTCAAGAACTCTATACTGGTTGATTTTCCTGTTGAGGATAGGCAGGCACAGAGCACAGGTGGTCGACCCTGGGCTTCAGACGGGAAAACACTCAGGAGTGGAGGAGAGGGGAAGGACATCCCTGGCAGCCCCTGGAGAGACCACAGACACTTTCTCACTGCCCATCTTGGAAGATCTCTGCACTATCTCTTTTGCTTCAAGCTGTTTGTTAGTCTGGTCCCTTGTTTATTTGTTCTTTTCTTTTCTTTTCTTTCTTTCTTTTTTTTTTTTAAGAGACAGAGTCTCACTCTGCTGCCCAGGCTGAAGTAAAGTGGTGCGATCATAGCTCACCGTGGTCTACATCGTGCAGCATTAGTAGTACAGTGGTGAGCGTAGCTGCCTTCCATAGCTCATCGCAGTCTCAAATTCCTGGGCTCAAGGGACCCTCCCACCTCAGCCTGCTGAGTAGCTGGACTATAGGCATAAGCCACTGCACCCAGCATATTTTAAATTTTTTTGTAGAGACAGGATCTCACTATGTTGGCCAGGCTGGTCTTGAATTCCTGGCTTCAAGCAATCCTCTCCCCGTGGCCTCCCAAAGTTCTGGGATTACTGGCATGAGCCACCATACTCAGTCTATTGGTTCATTTTTTAAATCAGATGTTCACTGAGCACCTACTATGTGCCAAGCACTGTGCCAAGAATTGAGAATTGAATGGTAAGCAAAACCAGGTAAGGTCCCTGCCCTCATGGGGTGGAATCTGGCCTGTTTCTTCCCAAACATGACTTGAGTTTGGACTCAAGCCTATGCACTAAGTCCTGTGGGTACCATCCAGCCCTGGGGACAGACATAAATGTTGTGTTTTAGTGGGATTCCAGATATAAGCTGAAAAATATCAACAAGTTTAGGCCAGGTCCAACAAGGAAAAAAGAAAAGGCAAAACTCCCAGCAACCTCTTTTTTGGGTCTTCCTTCCTGTGCCCTCATCGCCGGTTTCCAGAGTCATACTCTTTATGGTTTTACCCTCTTTTGGAACTCTCACCTAACTCATTCATATTAAGGTGTTTCCTTCTCTAGAAGCACTGAATTTAACAGGGAAAAAAACCTTAAAGAAATGATACCCCAGCTGGAGGGATGTTAGAGGACATCCTAAATCACACCACTAGGGTAGTCATTTCAGAATGGCACTTTCAGGGGCAACAGGTATAGAGGAAATGGGTGCTGGCAGCAGGGATGGGTTCCCTTAAGCAAATCTCTGTGCTCTTTAAACATTACTCAAGGTAAGGAGGGGAAAGGCAGGGAGCAATATGGCTGCCATCAGGGTCCTTGTTTTTGTTTAGAGGAGGTGAGTTTGCAAGGGCTTATTCCATTACTATAAGTGATAACTACATTATTCACTGTATAAATGAACGTGGAAAAAAATAAAGACCAGGGGAGTCTTCTGTAGCCAGAGCCTAGAAAAGCCCCATCCACTGGTCCTCTTTTTAAATTTTTCTCTAATTTCTGACCAAGCTGTCAGACAATCCTACTGGTGAATTTCCAGCTGGAATTTCAATTTCCCTCTTAGTGAGAAAAGTGAGACACATTTTATTATTAGATCCTAATCCCTAAAGTGAAATTCCCGAAAGACTGTTGGTTACGTGAACCCTGAGTAGACTCATTAAAAGAAAAGCTTTGTATTGTAAAATAAAGCATGGGCACTGAACACCACACGAAAGAGATGCTCTGCGTTGGGAGGGATGGGAAGGGCAACATCCAGGTAACCGTCATGCAGGTGGAGACACAGAACTTTGCCAAGCACCCCACTCCATGTGTCTGGTCTGCTTGTAGCCACCCACCTCCCTCCAAAAGTAAGCAGACTCCTGGCTCCACAGTCTTTGTGTCCTTGTGTGTGTTTATGATGTCATCACCCACGCGTGTATCGTCAGAGGCTGCATTTCAGTCCTCCCATTTTTTGCATGCCTTTTAAACTTATTTTAAGTGACCAATTTCCCCCTCATTCTTTTCCTTACAATTTTTCTGTTGAAGACTCTTGCTGTCCAATCTGCAGTTTCTCACTGTCTGGATTTTGCCCTTGATGCATGCCAATATGTCCAAATGCACTCATTTTCATGCAAATAATCACCCATTTAAAAAAACTCTGTTTGCCAGCCATGTTCTTAAGGAGGGCACAACCCACCATAATCACTTTCTCATGAGCATGTGGGCAAAGGGAGTGCTCACAATAGAGGTAATGAGACAGAGAGAAAAATGTGAATGTGATTTATGAAAAAGAAATATATATATTTCCAATTGGAAGCGACCAGGGAATGCTTCTCTTTAATGCCTTTCAATATAGTTTGCTTTAGTAGGAAACACATTTGGAAAGGGATTTGGCATCATGTTGTACTCTAGGGTCCAGGGTTGCATGCATTAGTTTTTATCAAAGATGACTGCATAATAGGAACCTGGATGTAGCAAAAACCTAAGGAATCTAAACCACTAACCAAGCTCACCAAATGTAATAAATATAAATCACAGATGAAAGGAAGATTAAATCTGGCTATTCACTTATGCAAGAAATGAAAGCTTTAAGATTTTTTTTCGTTTTCTAATCTCAGCAGGCAGGCCCATGAACATAATTATTAGTATTTTCAAGGCTTGATCAAATATTGGCTAATAAAGAACTCATTCACTTAACGGTGATGACCTCCAGGTACCTGCAGTAAGTCCAGAACCCTAAATTATATGCTCCAGAGCTACGGCACCTACATGATGGACAAAATAAATGAATAGTGTTATACTAGTAGATGGGAGTTTTTTTTAACACTTAAAATTAAATATGCCTGAATTAAATACCTGTTTCGATTTGCAGAGGGGGAAAAAAGCTCCCAAAAGATGGATATGATAAAAGGCTCCCTTCACACCCAACAGACTACAAATACTACCTTCAAAACCATCACAGCATTAGTTGTACAGTCACGAAAGGGGCCAAAAAGACATAGAGGGGAATAAAAGAAATTAGGCGAGGGCCTAAATGAGCACATGCTCGCTCTCTATTCTTATTTCTTTCCTTGGTTTTCCTAGGGATTGTATTTTTGAAAAAAAAAATCAGGTTTGTGAGGCCTCCTCTCTGCTCACATTCACTAGAGAGAAGGTAAGGACAAAAAGGGATAGGGAGGGAAAAGATAATCACAAGAAGGATGGAGGCAAATTTCACAGGCAGACTGATATCTTCCTTGGGCTCAGGAGTTTTAAAACTCTGCTTGCAAGATTAGGTTCTTGCTTTTATAGTATAGATGGTAAGAGATTTCCAACTCTGATTTTACAATGCTCTGGGGTATATGCAATTATTATGATGTGTGCATTTAAAATTCTCAAAGCCAAATTAATTTGAATTCTTTTTCACCAAAAAGGCAGACATTCAAAAGCTTTTTTTTTTTTTTTTCAGTTACCATCCTAGTCTACCTTTCTGTATTTTTTTTTTTTTTTTTTTTGAGACAGGTCTCACTCTGTCACCCAGACTGGAGTGCAGTGGCACGGTCACAGCTCACTACAGCCTCCATCTCCGGGGCCCAAGGAGCGATCCTCCCACCTCAGCCCCCTAAGTAGCTTGGGCTACAGGCATGCAAAACCCCGCCTGGCTAATTTTGACATTTTTTTTTTTTTGTAGCAATAGGGTCTCATTATATTGCCCAGGCTGGTCTCAAACTCTTGGGATCAAACAATCCTCCTGCCTCAGCCTCCAAAAGTACTGGGATTACAGGTGTGAGCTACCATGCCTGGCTCTTTTTGAAAGATTTGATACTCCTTGGAATTTACCCTGCCTGGGCCCTGGTACACAGTTGCTCTGTTTCAAGGCTAAGTACTTGTCTTCCCAGCTGGCTGGTGCTCTTCTTCCAGGCCCTCTCTGGATCACTAGGAATTCCATAGTTCTTCCCTAAGCCTTTTTTCCATCCTTGTCCCTCTTCCGAGTCCCTACTCCAAAACCCCTCATGGACTGCTCTCTTCTTGAGGTTTCCCACCTCGGCCTCTAAGAGCTATGGTGGAATGAAATTCCTGGTGGGCAGGCTGGGCTGGCTCCCAGCAGTGATATGTGAAGGGGGAAGCAGAACTTCGCAAGGGGAATAAACCTATCAGGGCCTTCCATGCTTCCATCAGCTCACTTCTCCTCCTGGGCTGGGCTCAATCTAAGTATGTTACATCCATGACGGTGATTAATCCTCATACCACCTCTCTGAGAAGCATGATTATACCCATTTTCCACACATGAGAAGATTTACACTCAGTCAGAGCAGGAGCTAGACAAGGCTGGCTGAGCAGTGAACCTTGCTCCCAGCCCGGCTCTGAACCATCACACTCTTCAGTGTGAAGCAGGAGATTTTAGCCTCACGTTTCTGGACATTGGAAGGACTCAAGAGCTTTGGGGTTTGCTCCTTTGGTAGCCAGTGGAGGACAGATCAGTGGTGACAGGTTCTGGCTCTGTGGCCCCCTGCCATGCCACTCTGAAAGGGGGCCCTCCCCTGCCTGTGCCTAGGCCTCCCTGGCCACCACCCAGTTTTTCCATGAGGGTCTACCGCAGAATGCAGGTGTGAAGTCTTTACTCTGTACCTCCCTACACTGCCCAGGGTAGAATGTGCTGGTTCTTCTCAGGACTGTGCCATCTGTAGATAGACCAGGGCCTTAGCCTTCCTTCTTAGCAAACGAAGTGTATCAGTTCATAGGAAACCACTCTGCTGATGACACTCAACATCTGAACACAGGACAGTAAAAAAGGCCCTTGATTTGGGAGGTACGGGGAAGAGAATGGAGACAGGCACGATTCTGTCTTTACATCTTGAGCCATCCCTGCGGAAGGGGGTCCGTGGGGTGGCCGGGGGTGGTAAGGCTTCAAATCCTTTCTTTGAACCATTTTAAAGTTTTCTTGCATGTTGCCTCCTTTCCCCATAAACCCATGTAACACATCACCAACTACTACACAGAAAATGTTAAATATATAATAAATATACTAAATTATATAAAAATATTATTTAGTGGCCTTTTTTTTAGTTTATTCTTACTTTTTTTTTTTTTTTAATCCAGGTACCCAATTTTATCAGCCACGTTTGGAGTAATGGGTTGATGAATGTTGATACAGTCATGGGGTTTCATTTATTCATTATGTCTTCCTTCTTCTGTGGGAGGCAGCGCTGAGATGATAAATGCTGGGCTCAGATCCAGCTTGGGCCACTCACTCCCAAGATTCATACACAAACAGACCAGCTTGATCAGGGCCCAGCAGGGAGGTGAGGCTTAAACCTCCTCGCTGGAGGAGGAGCCAATAAGAAGACTGGCAGCTTGGATAGTGAGTGTGTGTGTGTGTGTGTGTGTGTGTGTGTGTGTGTGTGTGTATGTCAGAGTGACCTATCCCAGGTGGATGCTGGGAGTGGTGGCAGGAAGTGGGGTGTGATCAGAGAGACAGGAAAATGCTCAGAGAAATGTGTGATAGCTCAGATAGGTCTCAAACCACAAGGCCCTGTCTACACATCCAGCACGATTCCTTCTGGAACACAGGGAGTTAAAGATGAAACAACTCTAGAAACTGAAACCAATTATCCATGGCAATTTATTAAATAACTAAGGTTTCTAGGCCTTATTAAAATAAATGTTTAGTGTATTTTCTTATTCTCTGACATTCAGTTCTTTACTTGTCAGCACCTGCTGGCAGCAGCTGGAGTAATCTTACCAATTTTGCCATATGTGCAAATCAATTTGATTTCCGCCCCCCCCAAAGATAGAAATCAGTAAAGTGATTAAGTTACAATTAAGGCATGTCATTGAAAGCCCAGATAACATGAAAAGGCTGAGGAGGAATCAGCTGGAGGTCACCAGTGATTTCCTTCCACCCAGGTTAAATGATTTTCCCCCCTCATTCTCCTGCCTGCTCTACTGCATGTGACACTGTGGATGAATCAACAAGCCTCCTCCTACTTCTGGGAAGTCTCTCCTTTTTCTGGCTTCCATCATGCTTTCCATATGCCAAGTTCTCCTCTTGTCACTCATACTGGCCCCCTAACTGTTAATCTGTCTGTCCATCTATCCAACCATCCACCCATCCAATAGATGTTTAATGACCCAGTGTGTCATGCACTGGGAAAAGTGACAAAGGATATTTATGTATGGTTTTACAGTTAAAAAAATGCTTTTCCATATATTATTTAATTAAATTCCTGCTACAACCATATGAGGGGGCTGTTAGGATCCCCATTATTTTATATATGAGGAAACAGGCTCTGAGAGGATCTGCAATTTATTTAAAACAGCACAGCCAGCAGGTGGCAGGGTCTAGACATGAATTCAGGTTTTCATCCCATTAAGAATTCCTAATGGTACTCTCCTATATACTGGTGAGGTATAATTTCTCAACTAGCCTCACTGTTCCTAATGAAATGTCACGCTCCAGCTATCACGTATTAACTGAGACTATGTTAGGCTCTGAGGGATGCAAAGACTGAGTCCCCATCCTCACAGAGCTTGTGGCTGAGTTGGGAAGGCAGACATTAAACATTTCTGTTCACACAAGAAATACTTGTTTTCAACATATAAGGGAGAGCTCATCTAGTTGTGAAAATTAGGGGAGTCTTCCAGAAGGAAGTAATCATTAAGATGCAGTCTGAAGGATGAGTCAGAGTTAGCTTTGGAAAGCGGGGATGAAAGAAAATCACATGTACAGAGGGAAAAGCATGTATGTGCAAGGGCCTGTGGCAGAAAGACCCAATGTGCTGAAATTTTGAAGGCCAGCTTGACTGGAATATAGACAATGAAAGGGAGCCTGGCACAGGATGTGGCCCAGACCACACAAGACTTTGTAGCCATGATAATGATTTTTACTTTTAGCTTAAGAGCAAAGGGAAGCCACAAGTCAAGAGAATGACATGATGAACTTTGATTTTGATTCTGACTTCTGCGTGCAGAATGAATTGTAGAGGAGCAAGAGTGGAAGCAGGAACAGCTGGAAGGCTTTTGCAGTTGTCCAGGTGGGAATTGATGGCAGCTTAGACCAGCTTTGTGGTGGTGAAAATGAAGAGAAGAACCCCACAGGTACCCCCTGCTCTGCTCAAGCCCATTTCCTTACTAGATCCTGACACCAGAGTGTGCTCACGAATTTGCAGTGAATGGAAGCTTGTCCACACTTCAGGGCTCTGCTGGAGTCTCCTCTTCCAGGAAGCCGTCTCCAGACAATGCCAGTCCTCTGAGATCTTTCAGAAGTTGTACGTCTCTTCTGCGTTTTCCATTCTCACACCTGATGCTTCTCTATGGCTTGGCTGCTCTCTGGTCCACTCCTGGAGATGCCTTCATTTCTCCTGTTGTCTTGCTTTCTCCCTTTGGAAAGTAAATGCTTTGTTGGCATTTGCTGAATGGTATCAACATGGCTCCTTTGGAAATTATATTTGTAAATGATTACTCATGCCAATTGCCATGTTTCCCCCTAAATTAAACACTGGTTGCTTAAATGCGTCTTCATGATCTTGTTCTATCAAAATGTATGTCCCAATTTTTCCATTACTTCCTCTAAACTCTTTTCCATATTTCTCCTAGTAGAAAGCAGTTTCAGGGGGAATGGAATGGCGGTGGGGTGGGGGCAGGAGTGCAAGACCTGAATTCCTATACCTTTTTAATGGGGTATTTGATTAATCCTTTTCATGGGCACCATTATTCATGCCTTGATAGAATCTCATTTTATAGCTCTTAATACATGGACCCAATTTATCCACATCACATTGTATTCTAATACTTGTCATCCAAGTTATTAGCTATCTCCTTCTCAGTGTAAAATCATCAGTAAGTTTGATTAGCTTATTCCCTGGGGATGATAGGGGAGATAAGAACAGACACAGTACAATATGACCCCAAGGGCTCTGCATTCTCAAAAGAAGACTGCTACATGGAATCCATTTATGGAGCCAGGGTGGCCAAAACAAACATCCACCCCATGGGAGGGACTCTGTGCAACCCAGGAGCTGTAGCCATGAAGGGCTGACTGCTGCCATTACTGGCAGGACTGAGCTATCATCCTAAGTGGGATTTTAATAAAAAATAGTGGGGTTCTTCCACCACCTGCTTAACACTCCCTCCCAATGACTTTCCTGAGAATCACAGCCCAGAAGCTTCTCTTTACTCCTTGACACCCTTCTGCCTTCAATCCCTGTTCTTTTCCTACTGGGCACCTGGCAGGGCGGACAACCTAGAAGGAGATGCACAGTGCTGTGTACTGCTCTTTCTCCAGCACAGCCTTGGGTCTAAGCCTCCAGCCCTGTCTTTCTCTTCTCTGGAACCAAATCTGAGCCTTGGGACTCATAGGTGGCTTTGCTTTTGTAAGCAAAGTCACTCTTTAGCTTGAAAGAGAGAAGGGGCCTGCACAACCCCTATAGGATGGTAGGCTCCAAGCCCATGGAGAGTTTCTAATGCCCCTTCCCCTACCCAATCACCTTTCTTCAGCCCAATCAGGTGCATCCCTATGGCCCCAATGGCTGCAGCCCTCCTCATCTTTACACCAAAGGCCCTGTCAATGATTCTTGTGCTTTTCTGAGCCTGGCAAGAGTCTCACTGAGGTGACACTCTTCCTTTCCAAAGGTGGAGCCCAATTCCCTTCCTGCAGTGTGTGGGCTGGACTTAGAGACTGATTTCTAATGAACAGAATAGAGTGGATGTGACAGCGTGTCCTTTCTGAGACTAGGCCATAAAAGGCATTTTGACTTTCTCCCTCCCTCTCTTGGGTTGTTGGCTCTCAGGGAAGTCAACTGCTATGCTGTGAGCAGGGCTGTGGGGAGGCCTAAGGTACTGAGCACCAGGAACTGAGGCCTCCAGCCAACAGCCATGTGAGGGAGTCATCTTAGGAGTGGGTCCTCCAACTCCAGTTAAGCCTTCAGATGAAAGCTTGACTGCAGCCTCATGAGAGACTCTGAGCCGAACCACACAGCTGAGCCACTCCCAGATCCCTGGCCCACAGAAACTGTGCAAGACAACACAGATTTGTTGTTCTAAGCTGCTAACGCTGGAGTCATTTGTTATGCGGCAACAGGTTACTAACACACTCTTCCTACTTTAGGGTAAGGCTCTCGTCTTCTCCTCCCCTTCAATTCCCTTCTTAGGTTCTATTTTCATCTCTTCTCTCTTGAGGATGTCTGGTATCCCTGTTGCCCCCTCCACTGACCCATCCCTCTGTGTCCACTCAGTCCTCACAGTCTCAAGGACTCTTTCCCAAGAAGGGGGAATGGAGGAGGGAGGAGCTCCCCAGGACCTGGGTTTGCAATTCCACTCTTGCCTGCCATCCAGAGTGACATCTGGCATTAGGAGAATGACTTTTTTGCAGAGGGCAGTCTTCCTCAGGCCATGAGGCTGCCTCTTGTTTTTAAACCTGGGGGCATAATAACTTCAGCCAGGCCCACAGCCAGCATGAGAAGACTTTGCAAACATCATGTTCCCCTTTGTATCATATGCTCATCTCCTGTGCCCTTTTTGCTCATCTGCAATTTCTGCAAAAGGTCATGTCTCATTTCAGCTTTGCCATTAAGTGCATTTGACACTAGGTGGGAATTCCAAAACTGGATGAAGATGCAATCTGGCTTAAATGCTGCAAGGTGGGCCGCTATACTTCACCCCAACCAGCTGTGTCCTGCTAGCATAGACACCCATGCAGGAGGTGGCAATCTGATAGTCACTTCCTTCATAATTATACATGGGGCAAAATGTAGTTTTTTTTTTGTTGTTGTTGTTTGTTTGCTTTTTTTGAGATGGAGTCTTGCTCTGTCACCCAGGTTGGAATGCAATGGCGTGTTCTCGGTTCACTGCAACCTCCGCCTCTCGGGTTCAAGTGATTCTCCTGCCCTAGCCTCCCAAGGAGCTGGGATTACAGGTGCCCGCCACCATGCCCAGCTAATTTTTATATTTTTAGTAGAGATGGGGTTTCACCATGTTGGCCAGGCTGGTCTTGAACTCCTGACCTCAGGTGATCCACCCGCCTCAGCCTTCCAAATTGCTGAGATTACAGGCATGAGCCATGGTGCCCGGCTGTAGTTTTTAACTAAAAACAAAAAAATCCAGGTAGCTTTTCCATCTGGTCAAATCCTAGTAATTTTTACAAAATCAATCTCAGTTTAACGGAGCAAAATCAGACAGAGATAGATGTCAATTTTCTAGAAGGCTTGGCAAAGCTTAAAGAAAAAAAAAAAACCACAATGGACCTAAGCAGTGGAGTGGACCCCAAAGCAGTGGTTCTCAAAGTATAGTCCCAGGGCCAACAGCATCAGCGTCATCTGGGGACCTGCTAGAAATGCACATTCTGGGGCCCCAACCCAGATCTACTGAATCAGAAACTTGGGATGGGGGAGCCGCAGTTGATTTTAACAAGCCCTCCAGGGGATTCTGACACATGACTACAAGTTGCGTATCACTGACTTAAAGGATTAAACATCTAAATCATTCATTCAGTCATAAGCTATTGACTGAATACCCACTATTTGTCAGACATGGTGAACTCTGGGGCAATGTGGAGGAATGAGAGGGAATGTCTTCCTCAAGGAGTTCACAATACTCTCTTCCCTTGCTTTATTACAAAGCTTGAAAAGAATGCAGGAATCTGAAGACATAATCCAAGGAATGGAAATTATTCTTTATATGTAACTTTTCAATGGACAGGAGGCACATCAAAATTTTTTTTTCCAGGAACGATCATACTCTCAAAATAGTAACCTTTCTAAAGTAAGTAAATGTGTGGGTTTAATATATCATGTACAGCTGGCTCAGGCTTTTAGGCTTAAAAAAAAAAAGATTATGAGATTCCACCATGAATGAAATGCAGGATTATTTCAAAGATTCACTTAGGCATCTGTCTGTCTTAATGAACAAACTATTCAGTGTTACCATCTTCCTTGAAGTAGGAGTTCTTGCCACCTCTCTTAAAATAAGTCTAGGCCGGGCGTGGTGGCTCACACCTGTAATCCCAGCACTTTGGGAGGCTGAGGCAGGTGATCACTTGAGGTCAGGAGTTCGAGACGAGCCTGGCCAACATGGTGAAACCCCGTCTCTACTAAAAATACAAACATTAGCCAGGCATGGTGGGGCATGCCTGTAATCCCAGCTACTCAGGAGGCTGAGGCAGGAGAATTGCTTAAACTCAGGAGGTGGACGTTGCAGTGACCAGAGGTGGCGCCACTGCACTCCAGCCTGGGTCAGAAAAAAAAAAAAAACCCTCTAAATAAGTCATAACAGCTCATTTGTATTGTGTGCTGGGCTTGGGATATCTGTATTCATTAACTCATTTGATCCTTCCCTGATCCTACAAAGTAGATGCTGATCCTACAAAGCAGATGTAGCAAACACATACAGTCTGCAGATGAACAGAGTCTGAAAGAGGCAGAAACAGGAACCCAGACTCATCTCTTAACCCCAGGCAAATGATCCTCCTGTGCTGTCTCTCATCCCCCTTGGGTCATCTTGCTGCTCATTAAACTACTAATTGGGAAAACATAAAAGGAAATACTACTCTCCCCTAAAAGGTTTCCAGTATGAAATCCCCGGCTAAAGCTTAAACTGTGGGATTTATTTTGAAATTTTAAAGTTCATGCTAGATTTCTCCTTCAATACCATAGATAATGAAGAGCTGGCTATAAACTTCTTATGGTCACCAGCATTAGTAGCCTGTGTAAGAATCCGATCCATGCTCAACAGATCCTGCTTGGAGACGATGCTCCACATTTCCTCCTTTCTCAAGGTGTCTCAAAGATGCTTATGGACTCACTGTAATACTATCAGAGTAGATGACTTTCCTGTATCTGGGATGAACTTGAACTGATCCAGTCAAGCCTGGGCCCTTGTGACCAAGGATGTCTAGTTAATCTGGCAGCTGTGGGGATGAAGAATGTGACCTATGGCCACAGAAGAAATCAAAACTGTCTGGCTAGACCAGAAACACACTCAACCCTTTGGCATAGGCAGGAGGTGTGCCGAGGGGCTGAGCTCATTCGCCACACAGGCTTATCCTTCATTTACAAAGGAATCGCAGGTCAACCATGTTTTGGCAACTAGATCAGGAGCCCTCTTCTGCCTATTGCATCCTTGGACATAATCTGGTGGCTTTATCGATATATAAGCAACAAATTCAAAGTCCACGTGGGCTGCGTAAAAAACTCTGAATGTATCTCTCAAGCCACTTACAGTGCGTGCAACGTGAAGGAAACTGAAATGTATGCACCTTTCCCACTGACTTTCTGTAATCAAGTCTTTTTAGCACAAAAAGTTCAACTTCCATCTGTTTTTAAGTCAGGGATGCTTGTTGGTTTGTGCCGAGACATTGATTTGATTAGTAGCATTCTGTGGAACTACAGACATGAGATGTTGAGCTCACAAACGTATGATTCATTTCGGAATTTTGAAATGAGAAATGCACCTATCAATGACACAGAAGCTGGGAGATTCTGAGAAAGCATTTCATGCATATAAATGGGACATGTGATGAAAAAATATGCTTATGGTTACAACCCCGAAGCCAGGGACCACCCCACTGTGCTCTCCACCCTCGAGAAGTGACGGCTCCAAGGGAAACCGCTGGGATTAGACGATCCTGTGTTTGGACACCCATATGCTGCCTCATTTATCTACCTGTGACAGGGACAGTGCTGGAAGAGAATCAAAAGATGACAAATTGCTTCTGGTTTTAAAGGAGCTGTTCAGGCTGGGTGTACACCCAGGGGGAACCAGCTTCCGTGCCAGGAGCCATCACTTCATCCCAGTCTAAGGCCACATTTTGGCAAACATCAACCAGCAGATGACTGCTGTCTCCTTTCACCAGTGGATTCAAAGACGCTTGCTCTGAAAGCCCGAAATTCAGTCTTTCTGAAGACGTGTGCAGCAGAGAGCAGATCTGCCCACACACTGCAGTGAGGCAGGACGGCGGGCAGGAAGCAAGGGTTCCAGATGACAGGGATTTTTCCCGTGTTGAGGCAGACAGATAACAGGGGAATGATTTTGCAGGGGAATGACTCCAGAGCAGAGAAAGTATAATATCAGTAAATGACCCTAGAAAAGACTGATACAAGTGAAATAAGTGCACAAAAATTTCCAAGATGCTGGCCACTGGAATCCGCTTTTGGGGACACAGAAGCCCCCAAGATTCCAGCTTTCCTGGGGGTAGAAGGGAGGCCCACCGGGAGTTTCAAGAGGGTCCACCTGAGCAAAACCCGGCCCTCCATAAGCCCCTATACTCGCCAGCCCCTGGTCCAGCCAAGGCCATGTATCCATCCAGCTACGATCCTTGCTGCTTCTCTCCCGCCATGCGTCCTCTCTGGGAATGACTATGTAATTCATGGTTAACCCACTCAGTCCTCTGGAGGTGAGCTTTCCTCAGCCAGTCCAGCTTGTTTCTTCTCTGCCATGTGCTGAAATTCACAAGGCCAGAGAAGTGCCTTGCTGTGTTTAAGTGTATAGATGTCTGGTGTTCTCCTACATGTTGCAGTCCTATTTACTTATTTTATCCTCCTGACAACCTCTGAGACAGGTACTATTATTACCCCCATTTTGAGCTTGATGAAATTGAGGCACAGAGAGATGAGGACTGGCTGAAGGTCATACAGCCAGTGAATAGCAGAGCTAAGGTCAAGCCCAGATAGCTTGGCTCCAGGGTCTGGCTCTTTCAGAACCCCTCTGCTGCCTCTCCGATAGAAAGCTCCTTGAAACCCAGCAGCTGCAGCCCATGTGGGCACTGGCTTGCTCAGGCCTTCCTCCTTCTCCAGTCCACCCCTCTGGAGTTCGACTGGTACTCAGGGCTGGAGTGCAGAGCCTGCAGTGTGAAAAGACAGAGGCTCATCTCCAAGCCCCTTATTTGTTTCTAAATTCAGGCCAGACGTCTAAACGTTTGTTTTGTGCTTGTTTTGAACATTCCATCGTGATGCCCAAGGACGCTTCATAGATGATCTCTCTGTTCTCCTTAGTGAGCATCTGGCCCCCTCTCCTCAAACCTCTTGTCTCTGGGAACACTCTTCCTGCCACCAACTGATGTTCCCTGCCTAACCTCATTACACATTTCAGCTAAAAATGCCTATTTTCCATGTGGCAGTGAGGTATAATTATAGCACAAGTTACATGCCAAGGCATTTTCAAATTTATCATTTCTAATAATAACCTTGGTATATAACCACCATACCCATTCCATAGATGGGCAAACAGAGGTAGGAGGTCATAGCAAGGTTGCAAGGGACTCCCAAATTGCCAGGTCACTTGAGCCACTTGCATACAATTCTCTCTCCAGATCGCTTTCTCTCAACTTCCTATTCAACAAACTTATCTGTGGCCTAGGAATGAGAGACGTTAACAGGATCAAGTTGTATCTGTGCCTGTACTCCAGCTCTCAGAATACTAACAAGCGACTCTAAGCTTTGGTGGCAAGGTTATCAATGCTTAGCTTTCAGCCAAAACCCATCACGAGTAGGTTTACATGCATGAAACATGTACTTGGAGTTTTTGGTCTGCACAGTTCTCTTATTACCCATTGTAACTAATCAGAATGCTGAAGGGATTTATTCCCAGCATCTGCTGAAATGACCATAACTTTTGTTCTGATAGAATCTTCTGGCCAAGCAATGAAAGGGTAGACTAGAACCTACAAGAAGACGAGTAATCTTCCTTCAGAGTCAAAATCGTAAAACTGGTTTTCAAATAGTTATTGCAGAAAGCTTGGGTCCTGAGTAAGGAAGATAGAAGACAGCTAGAGGATGTATTCATTGCATGTAAATCTAGAATTAGAAACTGTAAATGTTGGAAGTTTCATAAAAGTAAATTTGCCTCCTGTACTGGGTGCATTTTTTTGCTGCTCTGTAAGCCTTTTCCCCCCCTGGGGTCTCTATCCATGGAAAATGCAGTTGTGGGGAGTCAGGAATCCTGACTTCTAGTCCCAGCTCTGCCCCTATCACTTGTGTGGCCTCAGGCAAATCACTGAATTTCTTTGAGCTTCCAAATCTGTGAAACCAGTTTCCGCCAGTGTACCTTACTGAGTTGTTATGAAAATGAAAATGAGTGAGCTACAAGAGTGCTTTGGAAACAGCAAGATACTGTAGAAATGGAAGATATTTCTATAGGCAAATGATCAAGCTCAAAAGGCAGTCGTGAGTACAGAAGACTCTCAACTGTTTTCAGAGGAATCATCTTCCAGAGACATTGCTGAGAAGTGGCTTCTGGAAGCGTGACCATGGAAGCGTGACCATGCCAGTCTACCTCACGGTATTCAAAAACAGGCGACGGCACACTATTTTGTGTGTTTGCTGTCTCTACTCGTGTTCGTGCTTGACTCTCTTATCCCACCACTCAGGCAATGCTTGGCCCATAGTGGGTGATCAGAAATGTGAGACAAATTAAGGAATGCCAGCCTAAGTATTTTAGTCCCCCGAGCACAGGAAGTTTGTTGGTGGGAAGGAATGGGGGCGAAGACGGGAAATTTCTGGAAGCCTGAGTGTAGGGTGACCGGCTGACTCAGGCCTAAGGGATTTCCCAGGACAAGATGGTCATTCTACCTGGATGTCCTATTTGAATATCCACTTTGCTTCCTCCCAGTCAGCAGGGCATACAGTATCTGAAGAGAAGACTGGTAGAAGGCATAAGTGTCTCTGAGTTCCTGAAGAGTAGATCCCTAGGGATTTATAGCCTGGGCATTTTCTTTTACCTTTTTGTCTCCTTAGTTTCAATAGGTGGCATCATCTTTTCACCATCAGGAATCCCACAGAATCATGCCCCTTCCATTTTTCCTGCATCAGATTGTCACCTCTAAGTTATTTTCCTGATCCTTGCCAGTGGCGTTCTGCCACCAGCTGAATCTTCTCCCTAACAGCTCGTGGCATTCGGCGTAAAACTGCAGCCTTTAGCAGGACTTGCATTTGGAATTGTTACAAGTGCTTTGTGCAGGCTTCACCAGAAACACGTGCACTGCAGAATTGCTGCCTGGATCAAGATCTGACTGGTGCATGTAGCAGGGAGATGACATTTTGGGCCAGTGCAGTGATGTGATTAGTTGGGGATTTCCCCTTTAAAAACTTACGGCAAAAGCCTGCCTGAGACAATTCAATATTCATAAATGGAAAGCATAGATGGCGTTTCTGCTCTGCCAAGAGCAATAGCTATTTATCATGGCAAATGACTGAAATAGTTGTACATACAATGCTTTACTCAGCGCTGTAAATTACAGTATACAGAAGATTAAGCTTAAGCCTAATGCTACCCTTGAGCTTCAACAGCTGAGTCCTATAAATGGATACCCGTTAAGAGGAGAGAATCTTTTTCCTGGTTACTACTTAGGAGTGTATCTCTATTAAAAGCTTGTCTTAAACATAAATTACCAGGAAGCCTGCCCCTTACCCCAGGCAGACTTTTCCTCAGGGCATTGACTCACATGAGTCACATCTAAATGACACAGTGACAGGCCTGAGACTATAAGTGTGTGCTGTGCTGACCTCAAGAGGGACAGCAGAGGAAATGGGGGTGGAGGTGGAGGGACTTCACAGAGCACTGAATGACCACTCACTTTTAGCCAGTCTGATCTGAGCCCAAGGAGGGATGGAGAGACCCTGCCAGACCTTAAGGAGACCTTTAGAATTAAAATAATCCTGAACCCCAACCCCTTCAAAGAGAAAGTTTCTTTATCTGTTATTCTGTAAGCATCAAGGAACCATGACCTAGAGCTGAAACTTAAATTTCCTAGCTAAATTCTATTCTCCAAGCTCTTGCTTCTCAAAGTGGGTTCTGTGGACCAAAAGCACCAGCATCACCAAGGATCATGTTAAAAATACAGACCTGGGCTAGGTGCAGTGGCTCATGTCTGTAATCCCAGAACTTTGGGAGGCCGAGGCAGGCGGATCACGAGGTCAGGAGTTCAAGACCAGCCTGACCAACATGGTGACATCCCGTCTCTACTAAAAATACAAAAATCAGCTGGGTGTGGTGGTGGGCACCTGTAATCCTAGCTATTCAAGAGGCTGAGGCAGGAGAATTGCTTGAAGCCAGGAGGCAGAGGTTGCAGTGAGCCGAGATCGCGCCACTGCACTCCAGCCTGGGCGACAGAGCAAGACTCCGTCTCTGATAATAATAATAATAATAATAATAATAATAATAATAATACAGACCTACTGAATTGAATCAGAATCTGCATTTTTACAAGATTTTTTGGACGATGTATATGCACAGTAAAGTTTTGAGAATCAAAGGACAGGGAAGCAGGTGTCAAGCAGGGAGGAGGAGCCCCCTGATGTTCTCACTGAAAATTATGACAAATGACAAATCTGATTTATGAAAATAGGTCCTAGTAGTGGATCATAGGATTCTGAGTTCCCCTTTGTCCAATCCTACTTCAGAACACTTTCGGGAACTTGAGAGAGAGATTATGAGCTGTGAATGAAGTATCACTTGAACTTGAGATGTGCCCCAAAGCATCTCAGGGTGTAAAACAGTGAATCAGCCAAAAGTTCATGCTTCACAAATTAATCAGGGTGCCTCTAATCCCCTATGAATTAGTAGGCTGAGAAGCATTGCCAGTGTTTTGGGCCATGATTTCAATTCTTTATTGTAATTACCAGTTGACTGTAAGTGGGTAAAGTATGCAAAGATTTTTGTGTTATCTGAGAAGACAGAGATTGTGGATAACTTTAGTCTTTAAAAACTAAAGTTCTGTATGCATGTTAAAAACGTAATGGCAATCATTAAACATATAGATTTTAGAAATAAAATCTATTGTGACCAAGATACCAGGGGGAAAAATGGGGACAGGTTAAGGAAAATTGTACTAATCTAATGGAAGGCAGAAAAGGAGAACAAAGAAGCAAACAAAAAGCAATGTAAACGGAAATATAAATTAGAAGTTAGAAATAAGTCCAAATATATAAAGTAGTTACAATAATTGTAAATGGATAAAACTCACCTATTAAAAGACAATATCAGATTGGAATTTTTTTTTTTTTTTTTTTTTTTTTTTTGAGACAGAGTCTCG
Organism: Homo sapiens; assembly: GCF_000001405.40. NCBI lineage: Eukaryota > Metazoa > Chordata > Mammalia > Primates > Hominidae > Homo > Homo sapiens. The sequence goes on from NC_000007.14 coordinate 105,772,106, forward strand.
CTCTGTCGCCCAGGCTGAAGTGCAGTGGCACGATCTCGGCTTACTGCAACCTCTGCCTCCAGGGTTCAAGCGATTCTCCTGCCTCAGCCTCCTGAGTAGCTGGGATTACAGGCACATGCCACCACACCTGGCTTATTTTTGTATTTTTAGTGGAGATGGGGTTTCACCATGTTGGCCAGGCTGGTCTTGAACTCCTGACGTCAGGTGATCCGCCTGCCTAGGCCTCCCAAAGTGCTGGGATTATAGGCATCAGCCACTGTGCCTGGCCAGATTGGACTTTTTAAAAAGCCAGCGATATACTGCTTTACAAGAGAGACACCTAAAACAAAATGACACAGAAAAGTTGAAAATAAAAGATTGGAAAGAAATAAATGAGGCAAATACATATTGACCCAAAGAAAATTGAATAGCAATCTTAATCAGATAAAATAGAACCTAAGGCAAAAGCATTAATAGGCACAAAGACACCACTACTAAAAAGACCTCACAATTAAGCTTACATATACCCAACAGGACAGCCTCAAAATTGTAAAGCAAAAGGTGTCAGAGTTACAGGAGAGACTGACACACTTAGAATTATCACAGGAGACTTAAAACTCTCTTCCCAGAAATTACAGAGCAAGCAAACAAAAAATGGCAAGAATGAATAAGATTTAAACAAAATAAACAATATATGGAATACTGTACACAAGAGAGACATTAAATAAATTTTCTAATAATACATGATCTAAATTACAAAATATACAATAAATATATGGAACTCTGCCCACAACAGAGAGATTATATACATTTTTCAATCACGTGAGACATTTACAAAAGTGGTTCACATGCTAGCTAGTCACAAAGGAAGTTATCATGAATTATAAAATGGATAACCTATAACTAATGTTCTCTGACCACCATCAATTAAACAAGAAATCAAAAATAAAACAATAGTAAGGCCACTCCCTCACCATCCTTTACATCTGAAAACTAAAATCACATTCCTAAATTACCATCTGGCAGTGGTGTGGTTTTTTTCCTATGTGTGGCCTAGTTGCTATGGGACTAGTTAATTTACATGACAATTATCAGGGGTATCACAAGAAGCAGGAAACTCCCAGACCATTGTAGCTTCATTATTTTCTATTTTGAACTAAACTCTAAGCCAAAGGGAAAGTGAAGCACCTGATTCCCACAAGACAAGAAGGGCATGTGTGAATTAATTATGACCTAGTCATACGGCACTAGAAGCTGCTCTTGGTACATTCCCAGGCCCATGCCCTGCACTGCCACACTATACCCATCTCTTTCTGCTCGCCAGTGCTGGGTGGATGACGAGACTGTCCTTGAATTGCCCCTGGGACCTGGGAAAAGGTGCTATTTAATGGCTGTGGCACCTTACAATTAATGTCATCCTGGAATCGAGAAAATACCGTAGTTAACTGTTTGTAGGGGACCTTCTGTCTGCTCTTTCACTTCTGAAAAAGGAGTGGGAAAGGCTAAACAGGAGACACAGGGGGAAGATATAGGCCCAGGTATCTCAGGAAAAATGAGCACTTCCCCCTAAAAATCCCCCCAATCAAAACCAAAACCAGATGGATAGTTCCTCCCCAGGATGTGCTACCAGTCCAATGCAACTCCAGTGCCGGCTGAATAATGAAACAAATACAAAAAAGAAACCCCCTAACAACTTAAAAAGGATGGAACGCAGGATCGTGGTAACATTGATCAAATCACATTGATGGCAGGCCTACAAGTTGTGTAGACAAGTGAGGGTCGGGGAGAAGTGGTTAAAAAAAATAAATGATAGGACCGTAGTTCTTCAGCCTGCATGTGGGGCACCGGGGAGGGCAAAAAGTCCAGTGGTTTCTTGGCTCACAAACATTACAAGCCACAGAGGAGGGCAGCTCTGGGGTACACCCTCTTCCTCTGGCCACCCCACTTGTCTCCCAGGCTGGCTCTGCACTGCCACCATCACCAGTACCCACCTCAAAGAGCAGCTAAGGCAAAGGTTGGCCATAAGGGCTAGAAGTTCCTCACCACCAAACCCTAGGGACCCATGGGTTTGTTGTAAGAATATGACAAAGGCAGCTCAGCCAAGAAAGTGGGAGGAAAATTTTCAAAGGGCCACCATCTAGCCCCTGCCTTCTTAAACGCACCGGGAAACTTGATTCATGTTTTTGGAGCTAGTGTCACTATCAGGATGATGCCCAGAGCTGACAAATGCAGGTCACAGGATTAGGGTGTCAGTCAGAGCCAGCAACCCTTTTTTTTTTTTTTTTGAGACAGAGTCTCCCTCTGTCACTCAGGCTGGAGTGCAGTGGCACGATCTTGGCTCACTGAAACCTCCACCTCCCAGGTTCAAGCGATTCTACTGCCTCAGCCTCCCTAGTAGCTGAGATAACAGATGTGTGCTACCACACCTGGCTAATTTTTTGTATTTTTAGTAGAGACGGGGTTTTGCCATGTTGGCCAGGCTGGTCTCCAACTCCTGACCTCAAGTAATCCACCTGCCTCAGCCTCCCAAAATGCTAAGATTACAGTGTGAACCACCGCGCCCGGCCCCGCAGCCTTCTCATTAATAAGAAGAGCACTACCATATACTCATTAATAATGAGTATTATTAATGCGCTTTGGTTAAGAGGGTTGCCTCATTTAAGAAGGTGCTTGTTTAAGAAGATTACATATGGGGTGGAGGCAGCCACTTATAAAGATGAGCAGAAAACCACAGCCACAATGTAAACTAAGCCATTGTTATCTTAGGAAAATGCACCCCTAGAGAAGGCTTCGGAATTTGAGAAAATAATTCAGGGGGAGAAAAGCAAAGTATCTATGACGCTAATAAACAAACAAATAACAGAAACCAAATCTTAAGACATCTGTAGTTCCAGCATGGTAAAACAAAGACAATGGTTGCTTTCTCTGGAAAAAAAAAAGATTATTTTTTCCAGGTAAAGTGGGATTCATCATAGTGAAATGGTTTACTGACTCTTTCATCCTTTATGCCCCCCAATTTATGTTTTGCCCTAGACCTATCTATTTCCTATGAGTCTCCTATGCAGCATTCCCAAATTTGCACCCAGTTTTCAGAAGCGCCTGGCCCTGCAAAGGAGCAAGGGAAAGGTCCTACCCAAACAATCAACGGTATTCCCCGATTCTAGGATGCCATTAATTGTGAGATGTAACATTAGTTTAACAGCACCTTTTTCTGGGGAGGGGGGAACCCAGAAAGAAAGCCTGGCAAAGTAGCTCTACACATCATGGGAAGAAGCACTGCGGGTTTAGAAAAGATATAGCTTGGAAGTATCTTTAGAGATTTGTAGCATCTGGGGGCAAGCCTGCACACAGGTTTCTAGCATGTGACACTCCAGGAAGGAGTCAGTAACTCTCCGTGATCCCAGATGAAGACATAAGAATCGGCTCCTTGAGAATACTCCGAGGGCCTCCCTAAAGAAAATTGATGCAGAATGCTGCAGCTTACATGGGATTGGGTTCTAGTGTCAGGGTGGGAGGCGAAAATCCTGTAGGACAAAAACTCCTCTTGAAAGAGTACAGTACACGTAGTATGTGGGACAGTGGGCCCTTCCCATGGCCAGTTTCTCCTCCAGAGTTGGGAAACATCTTTGTTTCTTTGCTCAGACACCAGACGAAAGGGTGAGCTAGTGTCTAGGCCCACGTTCTTAGGAAAAACATGCAGTTTTGTTGTTCTTGTTGCCCACTGCATGTGGCTGAATTTGGATGAGGGCGATGTGACTCCAATGTGAAATAGATGCATTTTTGTTTTTGACTCCAAGACCTCTTGGCGCTTTAATGTGCTAATAGCTGCTATGAGGCTCTGGGAGGGGGAGTCTGGCACAGTTTCCCAAGGGTATGCATCTACCCAAACCCTTGTTCTTCGTATGGGCTCACTGTTCCAGAGAAAGCACTGTTTGGGAGATGCTTCTCTGCTTATGGCTCAGGATAGGGAGAATTCCGAGATGACCTTTTGAATCAGCGCTGCTAACATTCTTTACTCAGATTTAAATACAGGAATGTTTGTTACCCGAATTCTCCTCGGTGGATACAGCTCTGAGGAATGGAATGGAGCAGCCTGTATGGCAAGGACACACCAGTGATGAGTCAGAAGCCAGGGGTCACGTTACAGCGAGAGCCCTCCAGCAATCAGCTGTGGTCAGGGATCAAAGCCATGGCCTCCCCACTGCTCACAGAGGGATGCCTTTCCAACTGCGTCTCAACAGAGTTGGTCATTCTCTTTCAAGCAGCCATGTCTTCCAAATGATTGTACTTGCTTACATGTGGAATTTGGCTTATTCATAATTGGTGAGCCAATTTCCCTTCCTTGCTGGCTTCCTTCCTTCTTTCTTCCAAGATTCTTTTTTTTTTAAGAAAAACAAACAAACAAACAACCCCCCCCCCAAAACAAACAAACAAACAAAAAACAGTATATTGGGCATCAACTTTTGAGATCCAGCACTCCTTGTGTGGACTCAGGGAATTGAATGGTGAGCCTGACAGGGGTCCTTGTTCCTTGAGAGTGTGAGAGGGGGGAGGGGTGGATAAGTACATAAGAATTTGCACCAGCCACCATATATGCTAATATTGGTGAAGCAGAAGGTGCCAACAGCACTTGAATTTGGGATTGGAGGAGTGCTTCCTTCTGCCTGTTTATCCACCTGTTTATCCCAGACACTTTTTTTTTTGAGACATAATCCTGCTCTGTCACCTAGGCTGGAATGCAGTGGCACAATCTTGGCTCACTGTAATCTCTGCCTGCCAGGTTCAAGCGATTCTCGTGCCTCAGCCTCCTGAGTAGCTGGGATTATAGGCACGTGCCACCATGCCTGGATAACTTTTGTATTTTTAGTAGAGCTGGGGTTTTACCATGTTGGCCAGGCTGGTCTGGAACTCTTGACCTCAGGTGATCTACCCACCTTGGCCTATCCCAGACACTTCTGAGTGTCTACTAGAAGCCAGGAAAAGTGCTCCCTGGTGGGACTCAGCGATGCCCAAGGAACAGTCCTAGCCTTCAGGAACTCACTGTCTAGTGTTCACAGTGACTCTTCTGCACAGTAATCAGTGCTATAGGTCACAGAGATGCAGAGGGCAAAGGAGCCAGCTGACGATTGAGTTGGGTGGCAGCTAAGCCCAGCATACATGCCAATAAAACACTGAGGGTACTGCCAGCCTAAAAATGGTGCCTGTTGGTGAAGCAAAAATGAAGTCATCTGTCCTTGGAAAAAAATCTCAAGACACAAATAAAATCACCTATTGTCAATTGGCTATTGTCAAGGCCAACAACCCTCAGGTTGCTAACTTAGCGACCTCTTCTCTTTAGTGTCTTACTCAACCTCTTGGCATTTGACATGATCTATGAAACGCTTTCTTCTCTTGGCTTCCGTGTAGTCATTCTCTGCTGCTTTTTCTGCCAAGTCACTGGCCATTCTCCTTCAACCTAACTCTAAATAAATGTTGACTCTTCCCTTTCCAATCTAATCCAATCCATTCTGTCAGCAAATTCTGTCAGCTACATTTCCAAAATAGATCTCGAGTTTATCCTTTTCTCTCCATCTCCACGGCTACCACGATGATCTGTTACCGCTAGCTATGCATTAGCTCCTTCCGGGTCTCCTGGGCTCCACTGCAGCCAGAGTGAGCTTCAGAAAACAGAAACCAGATTATGCCTTTCCCTCACTCAATACCCCCCAGTGTCTTAGCACCACACGTAGAGTAAAACCCAACCTTCAGACTCTGTTCTACATGACTCTGACATTCTGGTCCTTGTCTACTACTCTGAAGCCCTCAAATGTGCCTTGTTTGTTTTTACTCTTCTGTGTTCTCTGCTGGGACACTCTTGTGACAGCTTTTCACATGGCTTGATCATGTATTTGTTTATGTTATTTAACCTACCAGAACATAAGCCTCAAGAAGCCAGGCCCTTATTTGTCTTGTTCACTAATGCATCTGCAGCATTAGAACAGTGCCTGGCATATAGCAGGTGCTCAATAAATATTTTTCAAATAAACAAATGAATTGAAACCATGTGACTCTGGAGAATGTAATCCAAGACATTCAGCCTTCAAGAAATAGGCTTTGATGAGATAATAAGTAGAAGATTGTTTCAATTAAAAATGAATTCTGGCTGAATGTGGTGGCTCATACCTGTAGTCCCAGAACTTTGGGAGGCTGAGGCAGGAGGATCGCTTGAGCCCAGGAGTTTGAGACCAGCCTGGGCAACATGGCGAAACCCGCATCTCTACAAAAAAAAAAAAAAAAATTAGCCAGACATGGTGGCTTATGCCTGTGGTCCCAGCTACTCGGGAGGCTAAGGTGGGAGGATCACCTGAGCCTGGGAAGTTGAGGTTGCAGTGGGCAGTGATCATGCCACTGCACTCCAGCTTGGGCAACAGAGGAAGACCCTATCTCAAAAAAAAAAAAAAAAAAAAAAAAACAAAGACTAAATAATCCTAAAGTTATGAAGATCCTATTAATTTATTTCTAAATTTGAACTGAACCATTATATCTGCTGTGTGCTTATTTGCAACATTTCTACTCGATTCACAGAAACATGAAAAAAGAGAATTTCACTGAATGGAGGAAATTTATCTACTCTTTGTGAGTCTCATGGATCTGCTCATTTGTTGGGGATAAACAAGAAACTACAGGTAGAATTTTTAGGAGAACATATGTGGTACCCACTCCATCTCTTCTACAAGCTTCCTTCTTTTTGCTTTCATGTATTTAAAGGTCTATTTCAAATGCTGTGGTTAAGGCTCTAAACACATTCCCTATTACCAATTTATTTCTCCTTCTCCCTTACCTCAAAATTGTGTTCAAGTTCTCTGCCTATGCCAATAAGCAGAGAAGATCAGTGGTGTGGATTAAAATGAGAAAGAGCAATGAAGCTCACCTGCCCCAAGCACCTGTTATTTACTTTTCAGCATCCTACAGGGGATGGAAATGACTTTTCTGCATCAAAGTTTAGTTATGGTATTGCAGCGAGTTTGAGACACAAAACATATAACTGATGTAGTAGTTAAGGCACTCTGGAGTCAGACATTGGAATTCTGGTTCTGCCAGTTACATCAGCCTGATCTTGAACAAATTTCTTAAGTCCTCCGGGTCTCCCTTTCCTTGAGTGTGAGATAAAGATAACACGACCAGATATCACCTTAGGGTGATGGCATGATTAAATAACACATTAAAATGTTTAGCACATAGTAAGTGCTCAGTAAGTGTTTTAGCTTTATTGCTGTTATTTTTATCCTGCATTAGGGGAGTGAAAAGTGGGACCAGGTCAACCTGCTATGTTCTGGACCCAGCATTAACTTTAATTTGAGCAGTAGCAAGTCCAAAATATAAAAACTTGAAGTGAAGCAAAACATGGTCCTACTTAGTCGTAGATTCTCTCGGTTGTAATGCTTGATTTATGGGATAATCCTTCGTTAATCAGTCATTCTGTCATTTCTTTCCTTTGAGATTTTCCTAGGGTCCATCATAAGGATTTCCTTAGCATCTATAGTGTAACTGCACTTTACTAGGGATGGTGGAAAAATGAAATAAGCAAAAACAATAGCAGACATTGTTTCTGATCATAAGGAACTCAAAAGATGATATCAATACCAGGAGTTAATTCTGGATTTGGGAAAGACTGATCAAATTCAAGTTAAAAAAATTCTACTGGTGAAATAAAGTTTGCACAGATTCCTGTGCTCTTGCCAAGTCTTATTAATTAATGTTATCAAACGACAAAGAATATGTTCAATGAGAATAATTTCCTTTATTTTATACTTCTGATGTTAAAAAAATCTAGTCATATAAAAGACAACTAACAATAACAGTAACAACAATTTAATGTCAGCAAACAAATCTAACTTAATTGACAAAAAAACCCAAGCCCCACGCAATGGCAATCAACACCTTCAGAAAGGAAGTCTTGGCGGGATAATTAGCAGGTGATAATGCCCCTGACACTCTGAGAAGCCCAGGGGGCACTGACATCAGGAGGGACTAACTCTCTCTAGGGCTCAGAGGCACACATGGTTTGTCTCTTCCTCAACCAGAGGTCACCTGGAGATAGACAAAATAAAAAGAACAATTGCAGGGAACCTTGGATCCTCATGATTTAGGCTCCCATGTGTAGCACTGCTGAGACATGCTGTTCTCAGTATCCAACCAGCATCAGCATCTGGATGTACACAGAAGGATGGGGTGCCAGCCAGGACATGCCATGCCTCACTCCAGGGGTGAGTTTCTGCCACTTATTTATTTTTCTGCTCAGCCTCTCTGCTTTAGCTCACAGTTCATTAAATTCTACTGCATCACCATCAACATGAAAAACAGCTACTTGAAGGGCATTCAAAAATATAATCAGAAAAGGGAATAAAAAGCCCTCTCTGAGAAGGAGGAAAAAAAATCTAATCCTCTCTTGTCTATTGAATGACATCCAGGTTCTCTGGTTCTAAACCATTTTTTTTTTTTTAAGTAGCAGTGACATCCAAGGATTATCTCTGTCTGATGGGCGGGGTGTGCAGCCGTATGGCCTTCTGCTGAGAGGACTAGTGCCAAGTGTGGCAGACAAATTCTGTGGGATCTGTGTACATGAAGGTGTTATTTCTTTTGCCTTTAAAAAAAAATTATTTTGAAGTGGAAAGGACTGCAATTTTATGGACTGCTGTAAGATAACTTGTTTTACACTTTGCATGTATGTGTGATGGGGAAATAATTCCAATGGCTAGCTCTGTGCAAGCTGAAGGAGTCAACTTTCTACATGCGGCTGTGATTCCACAGAAGTCATTTCTGGGCATAAACACATATTTTACTTTGATAAAAAATTTAAATACAGAAAAGCATGAAATACAGTATAATAAACAGGGGCATGTTATATTTTACGGCAGTAGTTCCCAACTGGGGGCGATTTTGCACCCTAGGGGCTATTGGCAATGTCCCGAGATGGTTTTGGTTGTCAAGATTAGGAGTGGGGTAGAGACTGCTATTGCTATCCAGTAGGTAGAGGTCAGAGAAGCCACTCAACATCTTATAGTAAGACACAGAATGAGCCCCACAGCAAAGAATTATTCAGCCCAAAATGTCCACAGTGCCCATGCTGAGAAACCCTGCTTTACTGTAGGTAGTTATGTAACTATATTAGAAGATAAGGACCCCCCAAAAAATCCTACTTCTTTCATTTAGGCAAATCAGACAACTCACCATAAACGTTCACCCCAATTACAAAACTACAACCTGGATCTACCTATTATTTTTTTCTTTAATTACAATAGTCCAAATTGACTGAAAATACACAATTACTAAAAAGTAATAAAAAATTTTTTTCCAGTATAGGCACCTTGCACCTCCTTGTTTTTGTCTTACATACATGCCTGTGCACACACACAGAGCATCATCCTCTGCCCTGTCCCTGGATTCTCTCTGGGCTGAGGTAAGGACCCACCACAGCTCTGACAAGACGAAGAGTCACAAACATCTCCTTTTCCACAGTAATCACAAGTGAAAACTCTGGACAAGATTTCATTATAAATCTCTGTAGCTTATCCCTCAGTTAATAATTGTGAAACTTTTTTTTTAAAGCAAACTTTGTTGTACCACTGTGCTTTCCACATGCAAGTTCCTTTAATCAACATGAAACTTTATGAGATAAACTATTATTTCCATTTTAATACGGAAACAGAAACACAGAGGCAAAGTAACCTGCCCAAGGTCACACAGGGAATAAGGTGCAGAGCTGGAATTTTTTTTATTTTTATTTTTTGAGACAGGGAGGGTCTTGCTCCATTGCCCAGGCTGAAGTGCAGGGGCACAATCTCAGCTCACTGCACCCTCCACCTCCCAGGCTCAAGCAATCCTCCCATGTCAGCCTCCCAAGTAGCTGGAGCACAACACTACGCCTGGCTAATATTTTTGTATTTTTGGTAAAGATGGGGTTTCTCCATGTTGCCTAGGCTGGTCTCGAACTCCTGAGTTCAGGGTGATCTGCCCATCTCGGCCTCCCAAAGTGCTGGGATTACAGATGTGAGCCACTGCGCCTGGCCTAGAGCTGGAATTTTAATCTATCAAATGGGTCCTAGAGAGGTTACACTCAACCACTAGGCTCACACGCCATGTCAATGCATCAAATTGGGATGGACAGCTACGAGGGACAGAGATGCCTGCAGAGTGGAACTGGGACTCCCAAGGTAAGGCTTCTTGTTTCTGTTTCCCCCTTTCTACAACTATTCCTAAATAAGCTTATCCATTCACCTAAGGGACTTTAGAAACAAACTAATCCCTTGAAATCCTAGATCTCGTGGGGAGAAGTTTAAAAAGTGTCTAAAAGGCTGTTGGTACAGACTTAGGAAACAGACCCTAGGAAGCCATCCCTAATGGGGTGACACAGAACGTGGCTCCAAGAGCACTCCACTTCCATGCCAGGCAAAGGGTCTCCCCAGCAGTGGTTGCACCTGCTTTCTACATCTGGGATGCCAGCATGGGGCACACGATCAGGAGCAGAAGGACTGTGGCCAGCCCTGGGCGGGGGGCTCCATGTCACCCCTGTAGGACGCTATGGCACAGGCTGGATGGACCTCGGCAGGGAACGCAGAGAGATACTGGAGCTTCACGGCATTTCTAAAAGAGCTGCCATAGGGGCCTAATGTGAATGTAAACCAATATTTGCAAAGCCAAGCCCTCAGGACTCCTAGCAAATGTAATCATATTCAGGCCAGCATTTCTTGCCTCCAAGAGTGTGGGAAGCAAAAGATGAATCACAGGCGAAAGTCTGTGGGCTGACCTCAGCGTGCACATCCTCTGAGACAGGGCAAGAAATGAAGGCAGGAAGCACTTGACTGAATTGGTTTTCCCATTTTTCATAAGAAACATTCAACTTAATAAAAAATAGCCACAATTTATTGACAATCCTTTCTTTATTCCCTTACCATGTGCCAGAAAACGATACAACCTTTTTCTGTGTTCTTCACAGGAACTCTGCAAAGCAGGAATTGCCATCCTTATTTTATAGACGAGGAAAAGAAGGCTCAGAAGGTCATATAAGTAGCTCAAGGTCAAACAGCCCGTAAATGTTAGGATTCTAACCTGCCTCTGTTTGACTCCAAAATTCATGACTTTTCCACTATGACATTCTATTTTTCACACTGGTGCTGTGATATTGTGATATAATAGGAAACATATATTTGGTCTTTATCCCCAGTTTCTGGCACAGAGCTCCTAAAACCCTTGTAACTTCCTGAGTGACAGGGGTGATAGGAATATCTTTCATTGTATTGGTCTTAGTCCTCAGTTTCCTGACACAAGAGCTTCTCAGACCCTTGGGATCTCTGGAGTGTCTTTTTATGCTAATGAGATGACTGGTGGCTGGCGTACATAGGCAGTTTCAGGCTGGGGGCCGGTCACCAGAAAGACCAATTGGAGATTGAGCCAATCACCAATGGCCAATGATTTAACCAATCATGCATGGAACCTCCAAAAAACCCTAAAGGATGGAGTTTAAAGAGATTCCAGATGGGTACACACATCCACATGCTGGGAGGGTGGTGAACCCCAACTCCACACAGGGACAGACGCTCCTGCACTTAGGACTCTTCCAGACCTCACCCTATTATCTCTGACTGTTCATTTATATCCTTTATAATATAAATAAACCAGTAAACATTAGTAAAATGTTTCCTTGAGTTCTGTGAGTTGTTATAGCCAATTATTGAACATAAGGAGGGGTGTGGAGACCCCTAATTTGTAGCCAAGTCAGACAGAAATGTGGGTAACCTGGGGACCTATTACTTGTGACTGGCATCTGAAGTGGGGACACAGTTTTGTGGGACTGAGCCTTTAACCTGTGGGGTCTGTGCTAACTCTGGGTAGTGTTTTTTTGGTTCATGTTTTTTTGAGACAGGGTCTCACTCTGTTACCCAGGGTGGAGTGCAGTGGCACCATCATAGCTCACTGCAACCTCAACCTCCTGGGCTCAAGTGATTCTCCTACCTCAGCATCCTGAGTAGCTGGGACAACAGGCACATGCCAACATGCCTGGCTAATTTTTAAATATTTTTGTAGAGATGTGGTTTCACCATGTTCCCCAGAATGGTCTTGAACTCTTGGGCTCAAGCAACCCTCCCTCCCTTGGCCTCCCAAAATGTTGGGATTATAGGTGTAAGCCACTGCGCCCGGCCCCAGCTACAGGTAGTTATTGTCGGAACTGAATTAAATCGTAGGACACTGAATTGGTACCTGCAGAGAATCCCCTTGGTATGGAAAACTCACAATTTGGTATCAGAAATGTTGAGTAAGCAACAGTTTTCCTTTAACCACAAATTTCTGAAGTCCCCATAACTGACTGGCTAAACACACACACACACACACACACACTTTTTTCAATTTAAGTTAAATGACTAGTATACCAAGATCTTGAACACTGCCATGCACCCATGGGAGAAGCGGGAGGTGGCACACATGACAGCATGGCAGGAGGGGAAGTGGCACAGGAGAACAGAGTTTTGTGGCTGTTCAGCACGAAGAACTGCATCCAGCTGGGGGCGATGGGGAAAGACGCCATGGAGAGAAGGGAAGAGAAAATGAACCTTAAGCCTCACATCAGTCACATCATCCCAGCAACCCCCTGAGGCAGGCAGAGTACCCATTTTACAGATGAAGAAATGGAGGTGAAGAGGGATGAGGTGAGCTGCTCAAGGTTGCACAGTTAGTGGGGGAGTCGTGAATTGCTTTGTCTCATTCCAAAGCCCATGCTGTCTCCTCTACATCAACAAAGTTCAAATAATGTTCTGTGGAGCCCTGGCAGGTGGGGGGTGAAAAAAGTTAGGAGAAGGCTGCGTCCATGGGGCTTGGACCCCTGCCCCAATTTTAACCTCAACAGCTCTGCTTCCCATATATATTTATGGATTGGGGTTTTATATAAGATTCCATTTGAAAGAAAGTTTGGCAGTTAACCACAGGGTGTTGGCCTGTGCCCAAAATCAGACCTCGGGCAAAGCACTGACCTCCTAAGCCTTAGCTTCCTCAATTACAAAATGGGTATAACATTAACACCCATGTCACAGGGCTGTTGAAAAGATTACATGCTCAAAGCGATGGAGGCTGGGCACGATGGCTCATGCCTGTAATCCCAGCACTTTGGGAGGCCAAGGTAGGCAGATCACCTGAGGTCAGGAGTTTAAGACCAGCCTGGCCAACATGGCAAAACCCCGTCTTTACTAAAAATACAAAAATTAGCCAAGTGTGGTGGCGGGCACCTGTAGTTCCAGCTACTCTGGAGGCTGAGGCCGGAGAATTTTTTGAACTGGGGAGGCAGAGGTTGCAGTGAGCTGAGATTATACCACTGCACTACAGTCTGGATGACAGTCTGACTCAAAAAAAAACAAAACCCAAAAGACAAAACGAAACAAATAACAGATATGGAAAGCACTTGGCACAGTGTCTGGCACTCGGCACACTGGCATTCTTATTAACTTGTGGAAAATAGCAAGGCCAGTGCTACAAGGAAAGAGAAAAAAAAAAGAATATTGCTATGGACTGAATGTTTGCGTCCCTCGCAAATTCCTATGTTGAAATCCTACCCGCAATGTGATGGTATACGGAGTTGGGGCCTTTGGAGATAATTAGGTCATGAGAGTGGAGCCCCCATGAAGGGGATTAGTGCCCATATAAGAGACCTCAGAGAACTCTTGTTCTCTTTCCACCATGTGAGGACACAGTGAGAAGCTGGAAGTCTGCAACCTGGAAGACAGTCCTCGCCAGAATCTGACCTTGTTGGCATCCTGACCTCAGACTTCCACCCTCCAGAACTGTGAGAAATACATTTCTGCTGTTTATAAGCCACCTAGTCTATGATACTGTTATAGCAGCCTGAACTGACTTAGACAATCATGAAGCTATTGCAGGAATTTTTAGGGACACTAAAAAGTACTCCCCACAAAGAGCTACAATGGTTCTAACCTCTGCTTTGCACTCTCTGGGTCTTGATAAATGTAAGTTTGTATTTGTACTAGGACACACACCTAGAGCTGAGGGAGGCCTTGGTGCCTCAATTTGCTGAGTTGTGATCATGTCCCCATTGCTGCTTGTCAGCTTGTTCAGCAAGAAGCTTAACGGAGACTGGGCTTTGAGGGACGAGATCAGTAACCCCAAACCCCCAAACTAATTTACTGCATTGCTCAGAGCTCCCAAAGCCATGGGCTGTCCCCTAAGCTGACTCTTGGCTCTTATGCCAAGAGCCCCAGGGTTGGGGGAGGCAGGTGTATCAGCTCTGCTAAACACCAGAGCCTCCTCCCTTGGCAATCTGGGACCTTTCCCCTGGGAAGAACTCTGCAGGGGACAGCGGGGTCCCATGTTTTGGGTCCCTTTCAGGATCCTTCCATCAAAGACTCCAGTGAATTAAGCTCTCAGTGAAGATTTTTTGGGTTTCGTTTTGTTTTATTGTTTGTTTCTCTTGAGACAGGGTCTTGCTCTGTTGCCCAGAATGGAGTACAATGGCACAATCATAGCTCACAGCAACCTCGAACTGCTGGGCTCAAGCAGTTCTCCCCCTCTGCCTCTCCAGTAGCTGAGACTTACAGGTATACCACCACACCTGGCTAAATTTTTTTTTTAAGAAATGGGGTCTCACTATGTTGCCCAGGCTGGTCTCAAACTCTTGGCCTCAAGTGATCCTCCTGCCTTGGCCTCCTAAAGTGCTCGGATTATAAGTGTAAGCCATTGAACCCAGTCCCAGTGAAAGTTTTGATGGCTTACAATAGAATGCAACCCCTTGTTCCGTGCCTATAACAGCTGCACATCCTTGTGAATTGAGTGAATGAAAATCATATTCAGGATGATGTAGCCTCTGCGTTCTCACAAGACGCACAGAAGCACTGGTCACGGAGCTTCTATGCCTGGTCACTGAACCACTGGCTGGGTGGGACCTTCTTGCCATGGCTCTGCTTTGGATTCTCCACCTGTCATCTCAGCTGGTGGTACCAGCTGACAGTTTCTCTTTGGAGAGGTTTAACCCTTTCTCTCTTCCAGGCAGTGGAGAGGGTCATTTGGTACAGAGCACTAGGCAAGAAGGTCAACTTGTGCCAGGCACACGACTTGCTCCTTTCCTGCTCAGTCTGCCAGAATGAACATGTCAGAGCTGGACACACCCACAGAAGTCATCTTCCCATGGTAGGGACAAGGAAACCAAAGCCCTGAGACATCAAGCAAGTAGCCCGAGGACACAGTGCTGGCTGCAGGGAGGGGCAGAAGACTTGGCCTCTGACCAAACCTCCTCCTATAGCGCTTTCTAGGGCCCTTGCTTTGCCTTGTGCTGGTTTGAAAGTCCTGGACTCACTCCCAGAGGTGCTCCGTAAGCCTGAATTCTACACATTACAAACACAAAATATGCCTACAGTATATACACAGATACAGATTATATATATGTAGATATGTATATATCATATACATACATATACACGTGTTTGCAGTTGATAATTTGTATATAGAGAGACTGTTAAAGAGCTTGGATAAGCTCAACTCCCTTTATTTTATTATAGAATAATGATAACTGAAGAGGTGGGGAAAAGTCAGAAATTCGGAACGTGAGAAAGGGGAAATGTGCGTAATTTGCAAAAGCATATTCAATATTATAATTGCTTTGACTTTTTTTAGGCACAATAGAATGTACTTCGAAACCTTAATGGTAAGGAGGGCATTCAGATTTTATGTTCATCAAAAGGGAATACAGCTTAAATAAAAAGATTGGGAGATACTGTGCTGGACTCACAGCATATTACAGCTTTGGAAATTGTCTAATCCAATTCCCTGCTATAGATAAGGAAACTTCCACCCAGAGAGGTTAAGTGACTTCTAGTCTAAGGCCAAATGGCTGTTTATTCATCCCCGGGGTGGGGCAGCCACGTGGACTTTATCTGTTCTGTCCATGGTTTGTTGATGACCAACTGAAGGAATTTATTACATCAAGGATGTTTAGAGACGGAAAGCAGTTCCCAACCCCACCTGGGATTTTTTTTAACAAGGAGGATTCTTGGGAAAGGTGAATTGGAATGTAAGGTTTTACTGATGCACCATTTCCTTGGGGCAGCACCCCAGTGGGCCACACACTGGGCTGTGCTTGGCCGCAGCCCTCCTTTTTGTAAGTCTCGGGGAGACTCTCTCCTGACCCTCTTTCAGGGGGAGAAAATGTCTGGCTGCAGGAGCGACTCCTTAAGCAGCTCTCCCCTCCCCTGGTCACCTGCAGAGGCCATCGCTAGGCTGGGCAGATGGCTTCAGTCTAGTCCCATCGACCGAGACAAGTTGCAGGTTTTCTCTCATTTGTTCTGACAGGACTGCGGATTTCAGCAGAAGGACTACAGCTCCTAAAACAGCCTGCGAGCAGAGGCAGCAGCCCAGGAAGACTTTACCCACAGCCTCAGGCTGAGACAAGACATGGCGAGACCCTGTCGGGGAGCCCAGGGGAAGGCGACTGTCCCCAGGGCGGCAGCTGCAGATGTGGCCGACGGTGCAGGGGTCCACTTACCGCAGTGCGACTGGAAAACCTGTGGCTTGACGACCTGGTTACAGGCACTGCACACTACGAGATAGAAGTCGTCATGTGCTGGGTAATGGCCAAATAAGTGCATATCTGTGGGGGAAATGAAAACAAGTGTGTTTTGAAAAAGCAATTAAGTCTCAGAAGGTGTACAGTTTCCTCTTGGAATTTCTTCAAGGACAGTTTTTCAAACACAACACGCAGAAAGGCAATAATCTTTACTAACGGGAACTCGGTTTGTCATAAGGCAACTCCCCGCCTCTTAGAGAAGCAAGTGCTTCAGAGAATCCCTCCTTATTTCTCCCCTGGAAATGCACTGCGGCTGCTCCTGATTCAGTCTGTGGTGTCGAGGGGCTGCTCTGAGTCACATGCTATGGGAATCACCCTGTCCTGAGAGAACCCACATGTTAGCTGGGATTCACACACTGAGGCTCTATATAGCTCAGGATGCGGGGAACTCCCCCAAACCCATTCCTGCATAAGCAGCGGTCCCTCAGGGAAGTGAGAGGTGTCTGGCTGGGGACAGAAGAAGTCATTTGGCCTCGGCAGTGCCTGGGTTTCCCCATCACTTGAGGGACATGCTAAGGCTGAAGGAGTCTGCTGAAGAAGTGGCTCATTTGCTGCCATCATTACCCATTATTCATTCAGTAAATATTTACTGAGTGCCTGAATGTGCCAGGCACTGTGCTAGGTGCTGGGAAAAACTGGGGAACAAGAATGAGTTCTCTGCTCTCCTGGAGCTTAAGGGAGCAGAAGAGAGAAGCATTAGGCAGACCACCACACAAGTCATCATTGCCTGCAGCTGTGTTAGGGGCTATGGAGGAGACACACGGGGTCCCCTGGGAGTGTGCGGCAGGTGGCCCTAACCTAGTGTGAGGCAGAGGAGAATGCTTCCCTGAGGAGGGGGCAGGTCATCTGAGACTCCAGGATGAGTAGAGGTTAAGGAAGCAAAGGGCCAGGCAGGGGGAAGGCGGAAAGTTTGAAGCTGAAGCCAAGGAAGGAGGCTCTGTGCATGGAGGGAGTCTTGGCGCCTCTTGGCTGGAACAGAACAGGGGAAACAGCAGGGTGAGGCTGGCCAGGCCCAGAAGCCATGAACCTTCCATGCCCAGGTGAGGATTTTGACTCTGACTTTAAGAACAATGAGAAGTACTGGGGCTTTTTAAGCAAAGAAGTGACGGGATCAGGTGCATACTGTTAAAAGATCAGTTACGTGGCAATACCTCCGAGACAATGAACACATATGTACATGGATGTTCACAGCAGCATTACTCAGAATAGCCAAAAAGTGGAAACAACCCAAACACCCACCAATTGACGAGTGGATAAACAAAATACCACAGAACATTATCCATCCACTGAAAGGAATAAGTACTGATCCGGTCTACAGTGTGGATAAACCTAGAAAATATTAGGCTAAATGAAGAGAGGCAGACACAAAAGGTCACATATTGAATGACCCCATTTATATGAAATGTCCAGAATAGGCAAATCTATAAACACAAAAAGGAGGTAAGTGCTTGCCTTGGGTTGGGGGGCCTGGAGGAATTCGAGGGTGACTGCTAACAGGTATAGAGTTTCTTTTTGGGTCAATGAAAATGTTCTAAGATCGATAGTGATGACAGTCACATAACTCTGAGAACAGACTAAAACCCACTGAACTGTACACTTTAAATGGTGAACTGTAGAGTATGTGAATTATATCTCAGCTGGGTGTGGTGGCTTACACCTGTAATCCCAGCACTTTGGGAGGTAGGATGATCAAGACCAGCCTGGAAAACGAAGTGAGACCCCCATCTCTACGAAAAATGTACAAAAATCAGCCGGGTGAGGTGACTTGTGCCTGTAGTCTCAGCTACTCAGGGGGCTAAGGTAGGAGAGTTGCTTGAGTCCAAGAGGTCAAGGCTGCAGTGAGCCATGATCACACCACTGCACTCCAGCCTGGGCAACAGAGTGAGACCCTGTCTCAGAAAGAAAAAGAAAAAGAAAAAAATTATCTATCTATCTATCTATCTATCTATCTATCTATCTATCTATCTATCATCTATCTACTATCTATCTACTATCTATCTATCTATCTATCTATCTATCTATCTATCTATCTATCTGACAAAAAAAGGTCAGTTATAGGAAACCCATGGTCACATCTTGTGCACCATCGGGTGGAGACAGGGCTCTGGCAGGCACCTCCGCACTGCCTCCTTTTAGCTGACTGGCTTTGAGAGGGCAGCCATGAACACTGGCAGGGGTGATACAGGAATTAAACCTCCTCTGGTTGAGAACCCCCACAAGCCTTCATCTGCTAGGTTCAACCTGTGTCTTTAATGAAACCCCTCAAACACGATGGTTCCCCTGACCACGATCCTAGGCCAGAAGAGGGGAAGGTTCAAACCCAACAGACACCTAAGGGAGGCCCCCAGGCTCTGTGCTGCATTCCCAGAGCAGCCCTGCTGCTTCAAGGGAAATGGAACTGACAGGTTTATCATAGGCAAGGGGTGAGGCCCCCACTTGCCCTGAAGGAAGCCTATGATTGAAAGAGTGGACCAGGCCTGCCTGGAGGCAGGTGACTCACACTGTAGGGGCCTCCCCAGGTTTCAGGTGCCCGAGGTGGCTGCTTGCCTCATGGAGGGTGACCAGGACACAGGCCCAACTGTATTTTAAAGGGTGTGGCCAGTCATCCCCCTCATCTCTCCCTACTGCCACTTCTAAGACTGGCACACACTGTCTTCTGGGAGTTGCTGGAGGGGAGCGTTATTAGTCAGGGCCTGGTAGGCAGGCGGGAGGCCTGTGGGAAGAGAGGCTGAGACAAGAGCCCGAACCTGGGCCCAGCCAACACCCTGTGGGCAGGCAGGACCCTCAGTTCAGAGCCTTAGAGCCGCGGAGATGACCCTTCTTGGGCCTTAACTGTTGACACAGCTCTCGATTTGCTTTTAATTTACAGGTTATTTTTGTAACATATATTCATTTTTTAAAAATAAAACAAAAGGGATCCAAGTTCTCCGAAGATACATTTGAAAAAATACAGAAAACCTAGAAGAAATTAAAGAAAAATACCATTACCAGAAAACTTTATTAACACTTCGCATCTCATTTCGACTTAAAGTCACATTTTATATCCAGGAACAGGTAAAACCAGGAGCTGATGAGGGCTACAACTTATTTATTTATTCAATAAGCATTTATATGGCTGCCTGACATCCTTTCTGCAACAGGTCAAGCTATGAAGGAATATAAGGTGATATTAAAAATTAAAACAACAACAGCAACAAACCAAACCAAGCATTAACAAAAATTTCTTGAACATCTACTCTTGTGCCAGAAACTGCCGAGTGCTGGGAGGCTGAGACCAGACATTGGAGGGTGTGGGGAATTTGTCCCTGCACCTTTGTCTTACATGCTGGGTGACCTGTCGAGGCCTGTCAGGCTGCCACTGACGCCCCATTCTTCTGTATTCCTCCAGAGACCTGCAGAGCCCATCCCGTCTCCCCCACCCCCACAGTCACACACATCTGTTATGTCAGTGAGCGGAAGGTAAAGGTTCGGCTCCTTAGAGACTGTGGCCACCTGGAGGTGTGTTCCCCTCCAGGCCTTTCCCGTTGAGACTTTTCCTAGTTTCCCTAGAGGGAAGTGTCAACCTTGTACGTGTCTGATCTGAGCATGTCTCCTGTGGAAAGTGAGAGGACCTGGGAATCTGCTTGATTATTCCTCAGTGAGTCAACCTTAGGATCTCCTCTACAGGCTGCCCAGGTCCTGAGGGCCCTGCCGATGGCGAGCAAAGACAGGCAGCTGGCTCCCAGGAAGACCACCACTTCACACGGCTGGGTGTTCACAGGCACTGTGCTGTTCCATTAGAGCAATGCGGGCTGGGGGACAAAGCAGGGAGGGAGGGCAGGGAGAGAGGAGAACTAATGACAGGCATAATGCTAGGCACTCTGCTAATTAATTCTCTTTCCTTCCCTCTCTCTCTAATTTACCCCCAAGCAAAACGTTCGGTGCACAGTTAAAAACAGTGGTGAGCTGAAGTGGGCTGATACCAGCTTGTGAGAGCCAATCATACATGTCGTTTTCCAATTTCATGTTTAGTGTCGTCATGGCAGTAGCTTGAAATCAGCCATGGTGGAAGTATTTACACCAAGGAAATGGGCAAACACTACAAATCAGGCTTTTTGTTTTTCTTTTGTTAAATATTTACTGGTACACCACTGAATAAAAACGGGCAAAAAAGTGAAGAGTGAAACCACCTGTAATGCCACCACCTAGTGATAACCACTGTTGACATATTAATATATATCTCTCCAGATTTGTGATGTGATAACGTTATCTTAGTTAATCTTCATAATGAACCTGCAAAATTGTCAACATCTCCACTTTCCAGGCAAGGCAACTATAGTAAAGTAATTTGCTTGCAATCTCACAGCAGTGATTTGTAAAAAGTAGCATGAGATTCCCGGATACTCTGACTCTAAAGCCATTTCTCTTTTCTCAGCAAAATGCTTCTTACGTAGAACAACATCCCATTTCACAGATAAGAAAACCAGTTTGGAAGGGCTTCCTGGATGACTAACAGGCTGTCCTGAGGCTCTGAAGGGGCTGTTGGCCTGGGCACTGGCCTGGGGTCAGAAGGTGAGGTTGGGAGCAGAGGGCTCATTGCTGAGCCTTTCCTAGGGTGAGTGTCCTCATCTCTGAAAATGGCTAACAGTCTCTGCTTCATGGGGTTGCTGTGATGACTCCTACACACTGCTTGGCCTTGTACCTTTTTCCAGGAGGGACTCAGGAGAGAGTGTGGAGAAAGCTTTCATCATTACCTCTCTTATTTTTAAAAGTTCACTAGTTCCCTCCAACACAGAGTCCTTGCTCCTAAGGACTCTCCCCCATGACATTTCACAGCAGACTTAGGAAGGCTGATCCCTCTGACTGCAGAACTTCATGTGTGTGTATGTGCACATGTGTACACATGTGGACAGAGGAAGGCTGAGAGCCACTGGGAGGCATCTCTAGGCTGTGGCTGAATGCCAAGAAAACATGTGCCCAATGAAGACGGAACTTTGTCCAAACACAATGTACAACCATCTCCCAAAGAGACAAAGCCAGACCTGTCTGCTTTGCCCTGTTTTGTCACCACAAATGGATAAACTGTGGATTAGATAGAGTGCTAGCACCACCACAGCATTATCACAGAGTGATCTGGTCACCCCCTGGCCTGATCACAGGCAGGGAGGAGGCAACTCCATTAACTCCATCTTTCAGATGAGAAAACAGAGGTACATTGGCTTCTGGGTCAATATTTTTAGTTTTTGACCCCAACCCGCTATAGACATGTAGTCATCCATCCATCTATCCATCTTTCCATCCACCCACCCACCCCACCCATCCATCCACCTATCCATCCACCCATCCATCCATCCATCATCCATCATTGAAACATGTGGTGTACACGCTGATATTTTCTGTTGTTCTATTCATTTCTTCTTATTTTACTCTATTCTATTTCATTTAAAAAATGCTCATTCAGCTCCCTAAATTAAGTTCAGGACTGTTCAATGGGTTACAACTCAAAGTTTGAAAAACACGCTTCAAGGCACTGTAGTGAGAGGCTGAGCAGAATCTGAGAGTTAAGTTGGGATTTAAAGTGGTCTGAGCTGGTCCTCAGTGGTCATCCAAGAGCCTGAAGCCAGAAACTGAATCATTAATGCCATTATGCTGCAGCCAGCTAGTACCAGCTCACAAGAGCTGAAAATGTGCAATTCTTCCCAACTCTGCATTCAGTGATGCCATGTTGGTAGCTTGAATCAGCCAAGGTGGGAGTATTTACACGATGGAAATCGGCATCCACTACAAACCAGGACTTCTTCCCGCAGAGAGCTGGTTGTTAAAACATTTACACCAGCACTTCGCTGACTAGTGTCCCCTTCTAGCATCACTGCTTCCTGGCTCGATTTCTCCAGCTATAAAATGGAAAATTATATTCATCATGTACCATACTGGGACGCAGACAGGTTTTATGAACTGAACTGAAATGGAAATCATTATATTAATTTAAAATTATGGTTACCGCATCAATTATTGACCTAAGAACTTATGCCCAACAGAGCCAGGTAAACAAGTTGATCACCTCCTGTGTCAAATGAGGCTATAAATTGTCATGGGTGGGGTGGGGGATGGGGAATTAGGTTACTGGAGTTCTTTCCAATGTCTATTGACTTAATGCTTACTCATTAAAGATTATTCAGGAGATTACTCACAGATCAGGCTTGTAGCATTAAATCAGGTCTGCTTATAAATTTATCACACTCTTCTCAGTGCCTCTGTTTCGAGCAAGCAGCCCTCCACTTCCCTTACTGAACTTCTGGTACAATTCCCATTCATGGCAGAGTCCATCACATTCACGTTATCAGCTTGGTCTGGCACTCAGCCTGCTTCCCAATAGCACTGAGGTTCTCCCAGGCCTCTGTCCACTCTCACAGCCTTCCTCCCGCTGAAATCTGCTTCTCACACCCCCAGGTGGCAGAGGAGGGAGGGATGGAACAGAACTCAGTTGTGACGTAAGGAGACACAAAGTTTGGGACAACAGAATGGTTCCTACAAAAGTAAAGTACTAACTGACTTCCCAGTGTAGTTGGTAAAGTGCTTCTGAAGTCAACACTGAAAAAGAAACTGGCAGCATGGGAGCAGCGTTTTATTCCAGATAAACAGCCTTCTAGAGAGAACACTTTTGACAAGCAAAGTCATGTGTTTATAAACTTTAGTTTATATCCAATATTCACTTTTGAAAATGGTTACAGTTAAGGAAAAGGCAGGGTGACATCTCCAATTCTCTATTTACACAGGACTTGTTTCTAAGATGGGAAGACAGCTGGTTTTGTGGATTCAGGATCAAGCTAGATGCTGCGTGCCTTTGAATTTGCCCCTGGATACCTTCCAAGGCTCGAGACTTTGACATTATGAAGCAACAACTGGTGAGAGCTCAAATGATGAAAACCTTAAGAGAGACTAAATAAGGCTTGATTCCTCCCTTTTGCAAGCAGGAATTCCAGGTGAAGCACCAGATGTACAGAGAAGCTGCAAGAAGCAGACACTACTTTGAAGGCAGTCGGACAGCCTATTGGCAATCAGTGATATCTACGCTCACCATAGAGAATCCCACGGTCGGAAAAAAGAAGACAGCAAAACAGACAACCTTAAATTCTAGTTTCTTGGAAAAAATAACACAGCTCCTGAAAATGGCCTTAGATTTCAGGGTTGTGAAACTACCTCAGTCGCTATAGGAATTACAAAAATGTCAAGATGGCATACGCTATAATGCTATAGCTATTAACATAATTTTATATAATTTAAACATTATGCTTTTCATTTTAACTTACTCTAAAAGGTACTGTAATGAAAAAAATTGGGGCTGTATTTATGTTAATTTAAACATTCCAAGCTCTTTCCAGGAAGGTAGATGTGAGCTCTACCTAAAAAGTAAGTCTTAGCTGGGCGTGGTGGCTCACGCCTGTAATCCCAGCACTTTGGGAGGCCGAGGCGGGCAGATCATGAGGTCAAGAAATTGAGACCATCTTGGCTAACACAGTGAAATCCCATCCCTACTAAAAATACAACCATTAGGTGGGCGTGGTCGTGCGCACCTGTAGTCCCAGCTACTTGGGAGGCTGAGGCAGGAGAATAGCTTGAACCGTGAGGCGGAGCTTGCAGTGAACAGAGATCGCGCCACTGTAATCCAGCCTGGCAACACAGCAAGACTCTGTCTCAAAAATAAATAAATAAATTAATTAATTAAGTCTCTGCTCACTGGGAGGTAACTGGACCCACAGATCTCGGTAGGACCTACGGATGTGACAAACCTGTGACAATGGCCAGAGGACCAGGTGCTATTGATCTTCCTTGGAAAACTATCAAAAAGCTGTGCTGGTGGCTGACAGTGGTTTTGATCTGTGGGCTTCTGCTTACATGAACTCAGACAGGCCAAATTCCTGAGAAGAACAGCAACTGTAGTTCAAGGATATGTGATTCACTCCAAGCAGATTCAAATCTGGACATAGAATGGCTGGTCCTAAGAGTCTTCCTTTCCCCTAATAATCTTTATGCACTTATTATACTGTATTTATTAATTTTTCTTTTTGCTATCAGAGTTTTCAGTTGCATTTTAATCACTTAACGGTGCATGGAAAGCTTAAGGCAATATACAAAGATGTTTCTCCTTTGCTCTGACAGAATGATTTTATTTGTTCCCCAATTCTAAAATCTCCTTAAATTCATAGAACAAAACAAGTTGGTGTCTGAAAATGACCTCAGACTCGACATCTCCTACTTCCCCAGCAGAATGTTGAGCTCCCCTCTAGGAAAATGTGATCACTTTCTGTTTCTCAGATCTCTGGAAACCAAGGGCTCCATTGTGAGAGATTCAAAATCAGTGAAATCTGCAAAGGGAAAATGAAGGAAGAGAACTAGAAAAGCAAGCAGCAGCGGTGAGCTCTCCAGCATCACTCCAGCATCAAGGGGAGTGAGCGTGCGGGTGCGTGCAGGCGGCAGCAGCAAAGCTTTTCTTCTTTTGCAAACCAATGGCTAAAATGACTCCTGGCCTCTTCCTGCCACGGCTAGGCTGGAAGGCATCCCCTCCCTGGCTACAGCCCAGAGCCGGGCCTGGTAGCAGGTCAGTGCTGAGAAACACAAGGGGCAGGTGGAAGCTCCTCATTAGGCTGCATGAACAGGATGTCCGCCCCCGGACCCCAACCCCAACCACCCAACAAAACATGACCACACAAGACAGTCTCAGCCCCACTTCCTCAGGAGAAGGACCTTTAAAGACCAGCATTCAAGATGTATGGAGGCGAAGGGGCTGCACTGGGTCCCCAGGATGCTTCCTTAGGCCTCAGGTCTCGCCCAGAGTTGAGAACAAAAACTATTAGAGATGGGCCTTAAAAATGCAGTGCCTGCTTGCTGAGCCCTGGAGTTTGGAAGCCCAAGTTCAAATTTGGCATTTGGCTTATAATCTTCTCTAAGCTTGTGTTTCCACACATGGAATTAGATGACTTATTTGTGAAGAGGCTGGCACACAGAAGGGATATAAAAAATAGAACATGTTATTATCTGTGGCCTTCTTCTCATCTCTCCCACTCACCTGGCCTCTCCTCAGGGAAGCCTCCCTCTCCCCTCCTGGTGCGCCCTCACTCGGCAAAGCCCGGCAGCTTTCCTAAGGCTGTTGTGGAGTGGCTGGTTTATGTCTCTGACTCTCACCAGACGGCAATCTTCCGGAAGACAGGAATTGTGACTTATCGCCCTTCCTATCTCCATAGTCAAACAGTCTGGCATGTGGTAGCTGCTTAATCAATGGTAATATGTTAACTAGGCTGAGGTTCCCAAGAAGTTGATTTATTTTCCATACTCATTCATTTTCTCTTCTCTCGAAAGGGGAAGTAGTAAATGATAATAAATTGCCCTAATATCCATGCTGCTATCTAAGATTACGAGGTCAATAATTGTCTCTATTTATTCACTCTTTGAGCTCCTTGGAAGATAAGCAC
The DNA here is from genome assembly GCF_000001405.40 of Homo sapiens. NCBI lineage: Eukaryota > Metazoa > Chordata > Mammalia > Primates > Hominidae > Homo > Homo sapiens. The sequence goes on from NC_000007.14 coordinate 105,798,134, forward strand.
TAAGGGAATCTAAGGCATGATCCAGGTGAGCCGTCAGTGGAGAAGTGGTCTATTCCTGTGCCCACCATGCCAAGTGCATGAAAGCTGTTCCTTCCCCCCACCCCATGGCAAACACAGCTACTCTGCACTCAACAAGGCCCCCTTCAGAGCCAGTGTTTGGGATGGGCTTGGGTGTTTTTTGGATGCTCTCTCTGGTCCCATTTTCTACTTCCTGACTTTGGGCTGCCATTGACATCCAGACTGTGTGTGATCCTGGGCCTGGAAGATCTAGACTTCTCCCTCCCCTTCCTGTCTCAGCTCTGCACTGTCTGACACTGGGCCAGCATGCAGGGGGCTAACTGAGGGCACATGTTGGCAATCTGAGCCCAACCTGGCAGAGATCTCACTGATTGGCTAGACAGTGATGACCTTGGTAGCCAAGAGAATAACTGTGCAAAGGGCTCCCCTTGGCCTATGCCTGCCTTAGGCTCATGCATATCTTCATCTTCCCCACCCTATCATTCACAGTTCCATTCACAGTAGGAGCTAAGTAGAAGTCTTACTTGAAGATCTCCTTGTAGGCAACTGAATTCAGCCTTCTCTCTGACATTTAAGTAGACTTTGGAATAAAAAAATAGCTACCCTGAAGTATAATGAAGAACTTGATGTCCGCCATATTGCTTCTTGAGATTCACATGCTGAGAGGCTTTTCTTCTATTTGGATGAAAAAAAGATAGGAATCCCAGGCAAAGAAATGGGGTGGATGATCAGTTGTATGTGGGAGCTAAAACGCTGTATTAAGGGCTCTCATAGCTCCGCTAAGACTAGAACAATGATGAGAAACGCAGTTCTCACTAGGTCTTCTATTACTGTTTAGAGATTTTAATTTAGAAATGGACCAAATAGCCTCAGGAGGGGCCAGGCAGCAGCATCCATCTACCACAGACAGAGATGCACCACCTGTCCCAACACAGCATTCTGAGAGATTTCTTGGATAACACGTTGCAGGACTACACTGGAAGAGAGTCCATAAAGAAGCCCTCCTGCGGTGCCTTACATGTGCAGGAATGTGACATTTGTAAAGGCACAAGGAGAGGCCTTTGCCAGTGGGACTGCATCGCAGCAGGCCTCAGCTGTCAAGCTATTACTACAAATGTCATCCAGAACATGTGATGGAGACCACATGAAAATGCCCACTCCAGAAAATTCCCCCATCGTGTTGCACACACCAACCCCTGCTCAGTGGTAGGGGGGTTATATCAGTGTTCTGCTTGAAGATTCAGAGATGAAGAAGAGACACACTGCTCGGAATCCCTGAGACTAGAGTTCAGGAATGACAGGCAATCCCACGGCTGATGGTCTTAATGGGTCCTACTGGCCATGGTGGGCGAGAGACCTCTGATCCTGTGGCACTTGTTAGTGTTTCCAAGAGGAAAGCAGAAGTTGGTTCTGGCTGTGACTGATCTCTAACTGGCAAAGCAATTGCGACATTTTTTTTTCTCCCTATGGAACGCCTTTAGTCAAGGCTATTGGATCCCCACAAGCCCCTCAAGATTACAATAATCGCCCAAACGATGCTGCCAGAGCTCAGAGGTAAATGTGCTCACTTCGAGGTCAGTGTCCACTTGGGAGAGCCAGAAAACAGTGGAAAGGAACTGTGTAATGTCCCTGGGAATCGGTGTTCAAAGCACTCCAGCCACTGGGACAGCCAGACTACAGGAAGCTGCTGACAGATATCCCAAGGCATTCTCCCAGGAATGGGTGCTTATAAAGGGAACCAGAACCACTCCAGCTGGACTGGCTACCGACTGCACCAATGCTGCCGAGGGACAGAAATAAACTTTTGCTGTAAGGGAACAGAAAGAAGCACTGGGGCATCTCAGCACATCTGGGCCCCTCAAGCCAGTCGTATGTGCCTGGAAGACCACTTTGAAGGTGCTGGGGCCTAAAGCACAAGGGCACAGGAATTAAAACTCCCCCATAGAAGAGCTACAGAAAGTTGTTTTAAGGTAATGGAAAATAAGATCGATCAGCTAGAGGAGAAAAATCACAATGTCCTTAATCACAAGTCAAGCATGAAACTAGTTATGGGCCAAAGAAAAAAGGGACACTGTTGGCAAGATTCATGAAGCCCTGTGATTGGGCCCCAATCCCTGGGTTCCCAGCTTCAGTTTCCACCAAATCCTCTTTCACTGCTGCCCATCCCCGACTCTTCCCTCCATACTTGCCAAAATCCTGTGTATCCTTCAAGGTCCAGCTTGGTGTAGCCTCCTTCAGGGAGCCTTCTTCAATTCCCGCAGAAACAACAAACACTTTCTCTGTATTTGCACGCTCCTCTGCATCTTAGTGCTGCACTTAGCCCACTCTGTCTGGTGTTTAAAGATAGTGGTGGATACGGCTGTCTTTCCCATTTGTACACTGTTTTATATACAGACTCAGACATTTATCAGTCAAAAGTGAAGACTGCCAGAAACGTACTCAAATGCTTAAAAAAGCACCAATGAATCAAAGCTGCCTTAGACTAAAGAACCACACAGGAAACTTAGCTGGGCAGCTGTGGGGTAGTGGAATGAGCAACAAATTCCTGTTCTGCCTCCAGTTGGCTGTGCAACACAGGGCAAGCCACAGAACATCTCTGGATCTCCCTTCCCTCTTCCAGAAAACAGTGTCTTACCTCCCCTGTAAGGTTGCTGCTAGGATTAAATGAGATAACTTATGCCAGTGATAGCATCTTATAGGTATTCAATTAAATGCTCAAGAAATTTAGCTGAATTTTAGCCTGAATTCGCTAAGTAAAAAGCCAAAGACCCTCAAAGGAACACTATTTTACAGAGGCAGCCGTGTTTTGCTTAGAATGCAGGTTCTGGAGTCAGATCGCCTGAACTTGAATTCTAGCACCACCTACTTGGGAAATTTCTCTGGGCCTCAGTTTCCTCATCTGCAAAATGGGGTGGTAATAATAGGGTAGTTGTCAGAATAAGATGGGATAACACATGTCTGATGTCTGATACTTGGGATGCTGTCAATACATATCATTTAGAATCAGATTTTGCATGGTGGGATTTAAAAAAACAGAGCAAAACAGTTAGTATGAAGTTTCACTGGAGCAAAACAGTTAGTATGAGGAATAAAATCACTGTTAAAAGTCACCAGACCTTGAACTTCCAGGCTTCTAAACCACAGGGTGAGCAAACAGTAGATGAGGGCTTCTCAAAGTATGAATACGACCTGTAACTTTCTTGCCAAACACAGATGACTAGACCCCATCTCAGATCTAGGAAATCAGATTCTCTGGGGTATGGAGTCGAGCAGAATGCTTTTTAAGCAAGCTCCTCAAGGGATCTGATAGCTCCTAAACTTAGCCAATCATTGTCCTATCATGATCACTACTAAAGTGGAGACACCCGCTGATATATTCCAGTATTAATGTGGTAATATGGAACTTCTTGCTAGTTAAAAGATTCTGTTAGCTAAGGGGAAAGAGTGTTCTGTACATGTAGGGATACTGAGGGTACACCTGGCACATGGTTCAGTTTGCCCCTCTGAATCACCTCTACTTGTGAGCTCTTTGGATATATGCGTTGGAGGCCCATGAGCTCAGTGGTGTGCTGGAGCCGAATGGAACTGCTCATGACAGCCAATTGTGCACATCTTTTCCCAACTTCATATTTACAGACTTCACATTGGTAGTTTGAAATTGGCACAGTGGGAGTAGTTACACCTTGAAAATTGGCAAACACTACAAATCAAGGCTTTTACATTTCTTCAGAGAGCCAGTGTATTGGCACACCACTGGTTCTCATTCATAATAAAATTCTGTGCAGGAACCCAAACTCGACGGAATGTGGCCCACGGCATTAAATTTAGGTCCGGGGAAGGTTTGGGGTCACTTAAAGCCTGGTGTCTGAAAACCTTCCTAAGATGCTAATGATGTTCTAGCATTTTAATCTGCATAGCTTGGCTCAAGAGAAAACTTCCCTTGTGCTCTGTGGTCATCCTCTAAACCCCAGCCTTGGGCCAACCACCTAGCAAACTGCAGTCTTGATACCCAAGTGGAACGAGTCAAGGCATAGACGCTTCAGGGTCAATCCTTCATCACCATTAGAAAAGCAACCTGTTCTCCCGAGGGCTGCCCAGTGGCCTCCATACCTCAGTAAACCGATCTATAATATGTGGACGGCGCAGAGGTCCGACAATCAATCTCTCATCTCTGGGTTCAGAGGTAAGGTGGTCTAGCTAAGCATCAGCCCCCAGTCCCCAGCCTGCTGTTCAGACACCCCCAGCTGCCTTTTAAAAGGTCACCCATAAGGAGCCGTAAGCCCTGCAGTTGGCCCTGTTTCAGCAGATACCACTGGGGAAACACAGACCTTTCCTTTAAATTCCTCCCCTCAGCAGTCAGGTGAGTCAGGGAAAATTCAATCCAATTTCCCAGCAAATCCTACTATGCTCTGGAAGGACATGGTTTGAAAAATCTATTTTTGTGCTTTTATTTACTTAAGGTCTGCATGCCTGAGGAAGTTTTTTCATAGTGCCATCAAACTGCTTCTTGCTTACCAGGAAAAACAAAGATCCCACCTTTCTGTAACACCACCAGCCCAGCCACAGAATCCAGAGGAACTGCAGCTCCAGGCCCTTGATTCCCAGCAGCAGAAGGCTCACTCCAGCACCCTGCACAGCAGCCTGGCTCTAGCGTGGGGCTTTCCCCTCCCTGGGCTGCCCAGGGCTCACACAGTTTTGTTTTTCCTGGTTTAAATGAAGTTTCTGATTCAGAGGCATGACCTGTCTCTATGGGGTTTGTGTCTGTGATTCCAGCAGCTTCGTAGTGTAAACTGCTGGGGTCAGGGCTGGGTATCTCTGGATGGTCCCATCTTTCTAGAAGGGTCAAATGCCCACATGAGAAAACAAAACCCCTTCAATCTATTCAGGACTTGGAGTTGTCTGTATTGGTAAACTTAGACTTTGTCCCACATCTACTTTCTACCCCTGTGTCAAATCCGTCAGCCAGCCAACTTCAACTGAGACTCTTAACAGGACTCAATGCAACACACGGGCTTCACTCTCCACCTGCCCAGCAGTGGTGGGTTGTAGAGTGGCCCCTACATTGCCATGGGAGGCCAGGGAGGGCAGTGGGCCGAAGCAGAGGGCATCCATGCATCCACACCACAGGGCTCTGAAAGAAATGGCCAAGGGCCCTTCTTCTCTGCCCTAGCTCTTTCTCAGCTCCCCTGGGAGCGTGGCCTGCTGGGACCCCATGAGTCAGTGCTCCCCTGCTGGCCCCACCCTGATGTCCAGGATCCTATCTAGTGGAGGGACGGCTCCAGCCCTGGCTGCTGTGAGAAGGTGGCAGGACTTGAGCAGTATCCTCGGTGCTCTGGGCCTTTATCACTAACTTTTCAAGGCATGAGACCTCTCTGGGGCCCTAGAACACCTTCCACCTTTACTGCTGAGATAAGGCAGCGGGACAGGTTAATGGGTCCATACCTAACTGTGCATTGGAATCTTTCAGGAGCTCTTAGGGGACAGATGACTGGGTTCCAGCCAGCCTGACTGAACTGGAAATTCTGGATATGCTTCCATTGCAAGAATCTGCATTTTGGAACAAAGTTTTCCAGGTAACTTTGATGTAGCTGTTCAACCCGGCACTGGCCTAGACTTCCCTAATGGTAACTTCCCATAGGAACAGTCTATGATTTTACCTATTTCCACCCAGTTATGAACTGGAACAGGGAAGGCTCAGGGGTGAGAATCATGTGCTTGATTTGCCTCTCCAGTGATCAGAGATGGGACTATAATACTGTCCCCTCTCTGAGGCGGCTAAGTGGTCCAGGAAGGAACCCTCCACAGGTAAGGGACTGAGAGCTGTGTTCAATAGGGTTTGTGTCCCTGTCCCCTCCCTGACTCTCAGTGGGCAGGACTTCTACCAGCCTTGGCCAGAGGGAGAGAAATGGGCATCCCTTAGCCAGGATGCCTCCACCTGGCCAAGCTCCAGAGGCTAGAATGGGGTGCCCAGCTTCCTTTCTGGCCTTTGAGCAGAGTCTTCCTGGATGCCCTGTCAGGTCCCTCAGGGTGTCTTCCCAGAAAAGCCCTTCAAGACAGGTGATAGCCATGCTGAGACCAAATCAAACCAGGAAAGCAAACCCTAAACTCTGATATGAATAGAGGGGAAGGGTCTAGCTGTCTTGCTTCCAAAAAGGCCTGATTAAGAAGGGACTCCTGAGACTGGCTGTCCCCGACATGTGCATGTATGGGTGAAGAGCCAGCATAACCCACCCTGCCCCAAGGTAAGGTTCAGAACATGGGCTGTGTTCACAAGAAGGAAGCTCTTGTTGGAGATGAGTGGAAACATCTTAGGGAAAATTAGCCTCTCATTCCAACTAACAAGGAAGGGGAAGCATTTCAGGGTAGCCCTAGAAATAAATTTATATGCTCGCCTGACAGTTCTACAAACACTTATTCTATGTGTTGGGTGCTGGCCTGGGGCTAGACTATGATAGACCCTTAAGGAGAAGATTTATTGATAAAATAATATTATTGAAAAAACATCAATCACAGCAGCCGGCATTTATTGAGTATTTACTCCACGTTAGGTACTGTGCTAAGTGCTGTTCATTGATTGTTTCATTGAATCCTCACAGCAGACCTGCAGGGGTGACATTATCTCCATTTTATAGATAAGGAAATAGAAGCTCAAAGAGGTTAAGCTATTGGCTCCCAGTCTCACAGTTTGGGAATGCTGGAGCCAAAATCTGAACTCAAGGCTGCTGGATCTTAACTCTTAGGATGTTGTACCTTTTTAAAGAGGACGGCAGCTGGGAGAAAGGGAGACAGGCAGGCAGGGAAGTAACAAGAACTCTGAGGTCAGTTATGAATAAACACCCGTGGCGTAGCATTTACCAAATGTCCAAGAACCAATAAAGAACAGAAGCTCCTGTCTACAATGAGGATCAGCTAGGATGACAACATACACACTTAAAACAACGAACGAGCCGGACAGTAGAGTGAGCTGATGTAGTGAAGGGCTAACCTGAGCCAGACAGTTAGAGAATGGGATGGCATAAAGTGACATGATTAAACAGGCAGAAAGGGCAAAGTGTGCTAGAGGAGGGAGCCATGAGCTCTGGCTAAGGTGCCAAGGGCTTTCTCTATAACCGGCCTTCCTGGGGGCAGGCGAGAACTTGCCAGGGCCCTTAGTGCTGTGGGGTGGGAAGGAGAACGCCAGCTGCTCCAGGACTTGGTAAGTTGGATATGCAGGAAGTTCAGGGGGCTGGCAGCTAGTGGCACTTGTGCCAGTGGGGAACCTGGGGTGACTCAGTGTGGGAAACAGGAGGTTGTTGGTCTCACCCACTGCCCTCATCTACTCACTCATTTATCCAACACTTATTTATTGTCATTGATTATATGCCAGACACTGGGGTACAGAGAAATGAATGCGATGATTTATGCCCTCAAGGAGCTCACAGATCATGAAAAGAGACAGGGCGAGACTCACAAGCCCACAGTACACTTGGCAAGTGATAAATAGGACGTGTGCGTGGCTCATGCTGCGGCAGAGGGCAGGGAGAGCTTCACCAGGATGACCCCAGAGTCGGTTCCTGAAAGATGAGCACAAGCTTCCAGGCAGTCGCAGGGGGAGGGGCAGCCCGGGTCGTGGGAACAGCAAGAGCAAATGCAGTGTGGTGAGATGTGCTGGCCTGGTGAGGGTGCCACAGGTGGGTGAATATAGCAGGGAATGAGGATGCTGGGGGGAAGGGCAGGAGATAAGGCCAGAGAGGTGCGAGGCAGAGTTTTACCATGTGCTCATGAGTATGAGAGAGAGAATGCAGAGAGCAGTGATCGGGTGTTTGTTTTGGAAGCAATGCTGAGCTTGCTGGAACAAGGCTGGAGGTGAGAGGGCTGCTGCAGGGTCTGGGGCTGCAGGGACAGAGAGGACGCAGGACCCAAGAGACATTTATTTGGAACTGACCACTGTGGGAAATGACTTAGAGCTTTCTGGCTTGGCCTACCAGGAAGAGGGGAAGACAGATGGGAATGCAGGTTACATGGTGCTAGAGACTGAACTGCGTCCCCCTGGATTCATGTACTGAGACCCTAGCACCCAGTGAGGTGGTATAAGGAGATGGGACCTTTGGGGAATGATGAGGTTTACATGGGGACCTAAAAGTGGAGCTCCATGATGGGATTAGTGCCCTTGTAAGGAAAGGAAGAGACACCAGGGCCCTCTCTGCCCAGTGAGCACCCGTCCACTCACCATGCGGGCACCCTGATCGTGGGTGTCAGCCTCCAAAATTGTGAGAAATAAACCTCAGTTGTTTAAGCCACCCAGGCTATGGTACTTTCTTATAGCAGCCCGAGCAGACTGAGGACATATGGGGAGGAGAGCTTTGTTTTGCAGCCTACTAAGTGTGAGAAACTGATCTGCAGTCCAAGAGGCAAGCTGGGGCCAGAGAGACAGAGTGGGGACATCATGAGCAAGCGGGGGCCAAGCTGGGGTTGTGCACAGTCTCCCTGTGAAACAGTGTTGTCTGACAACAGGGTTAAGGCTAGAATTTGGGGAACACCAATAAATAACAAGAAGATGAGAGGAGGGAAGGGGCCAGTGAAGGAAGCTGAGAGGAACGCTCGCAGAGGGAGGAGGTGAGTCATGAGGAAGTGCCCAGGAGGACCCAGCAACAGAGTCAGAGGCACAGAGAAGCCACGTGGGAAGCACTGCAGTGTTCAACACCTCTGACAAGGAGTGAAAGCTCTGGGGAAAAAATAGGGTGTGGAAGTCAACTGGCAGTTGCTGTGGGGGGATGTACAACCAAGAAAGGGTGACTTACTTGTTTCAATTTTAAACAACAAATATGTGAACAGGGCTTTAGTCTGCAAGAAGCCAGCAGAGCCTTCTTTTCCCTTTTGCCATCTTCACCTGGCCTCCTGGGCCAGGGCACGCTGCCATCCAGGTGTCCAGCCAAGCTTCCTGTGCATGGATGACCACCTGTTGCCCCAGGATTTGGCACTGTCCAACTTCCCAGCATAGCTGCCTTTCTGCTGCCCCACCACAATGCCAGCTACATTGGGTGCTGACCACATGCCACACACCCTGCTCCACAAACATCAGTTAGTGTCCTGAAGAACCTCATGAGGGAAACTTGACCAGACCCAGCTTAGAGGTGAAGAACCCAGGCTTTAGAAAAGTCAAGTCACCTGCCTGATGTCATACTGCTGGTAAATGCTGTGCAGAATTTGAACACTGTGTGTCAAACTCCACTGCACTTCCCTGCCTCAAAAGAGCCTTTCATTTCTTCCTTGAAAGAGCTGCCCCACACTGACACAAACCCATGCAGGGCGAGAACAGGACACACCTTCTGACGCGGCACTCCTGGGTAGGCTGTTGCAGGAATGGCCCCCCAGTTGTTTATACCTTCCAATCTTCACACCCTTGGGTTCCCCCTTTTCACATTGATTCTGGGCTCAGTCACATGACTTACTTTGGCCAACAGACCATTAGCAACTGTGACAGACACTTATAAAATACTTATGCACTGGGTTTGTGTGCCCTCTCTTGTTCTCCTTGGAACCCTCATGTGGAAAGCCCGGGCTGGGCTGCAGTAGCATGGACGGACCCACATGGAGCACAGGTGAGCTGTTCCTGCCCAGACCTCTCCAGACCGAGCAGCCTCCCAACCACCAGACAGGTGAGGGAGGGCCTCTTTGACCATCCAGCCTGGGCTGCGCTATCCGCACCAGAAGAAACACCCAGAAGACCCACAGAATCATAGTAAGTAATGTTTACTGTCTTAAGCCATCAAGTTTTGGGGTGGTTTGTTGCACAGCAAAAGCTAGCTAACTGATACAAGTCCTTAAAGAGGCCTGAGCTAGCATCTCCTTCCAGCTCTGAAGCACTGGAGGATAATTCTTGGATCTCTAGTGTCCACAGACTCTTTCTGCAATGTCAGAACCACCCAAGAATACAGCACTGTCCTTGGCCTGGAGGGTCACTCTGCTCCTAGAAAGCAGGAAAAGGAAGAGGCCTTTATATACCTTCTCCCCAGGACACACAGGGCCTGCAGGCAGCCCTGGTGGGTGCCAGGTTACTTAGGGACAAGGTGACAGTGGCATGCTTTTGCCATTTGTCCCCAGCCAAGTGTTTTTCCACTGATGTGAAAGGAAAAAGATAATTTCTCTAGTGAGCCCTACTGCAAAGACTCTGAGGCAGCATTTCATCAAAGGGTGCTGGGAAGCACTGGGGAGACAGCAAAACCCAAAAACCTCCAGCTCCACTCAGCAAGGAGCTTGCTGCTTCTGTTTCCAGAGAGGCGGAAAAATGAATGAGCACTCAGGAAAGCCAACCTGATCAGTGGCACTTTGATAAGATGACAAAATTGCTCCCTCCTCCAGTCCAAATCCACTCTCTGTGGTGAACTATTATGGGAAGGAAGCATCAACTAATTAGAAGCATCTCTGGGACATGAGAAAAATCAGCACCTAAAATGCCTAAGCAGAGAGAATTCCTTGTTAAGAAGAGAGAAAACAAAACAAAAAACTGCTAGGATGTCACTTTGCCCAAGCATATTTATAAAGGGAGGAGGAGATAAGAATTAATTGGGACAGGAGCTTCTACCTAAGTGACATAAAAGACACAATTATTTTTGCTGCTTTTACAGATCAAGTGCCCCTTCCAGGTGGGGATAGAGCCCTGGCACCACCCACCATTTTGAAAAATGACTTTTAGTCTTCCGTAGTTCTAACTAAGCTTGAAATTAAGATGGTTCTTTTGTTTACTCCCCCTGTTGGGGAAGCTCTAACCACCTATCAAAAACACCAATGTCTGGATTATTTATTTCTCATTGTCCAACCTACGGGGCATAGAAGAGTTTTATGAAGCCAACATGTGAGGCGTTTCTCCCAAAGAAGCGTGGATGCACCTCCCCATATTGCAGAGCCCTTTTATACTATGGTCCTTTGATAATCTGGATTTTGACAGACAGAACTAATGCCTGACTTGGAGCAGGACAAAGAGCCCTGGAAGTCAGAGGCTTCATTCTTGTCACCCTCTTTCCTTTATAAGCTGCGAGCACTTGGGTAAGTCCCTTAACCTTGAGAAAATTCAATAAAACAAAGGGTTAGTGACTAATATATTACATCCTTTTTAAAAAACAAGTTGTGGTTTAAAAAGCCCCATATAACATGAGATCTACTGTCTTAACACATCTGTGAGTGTATAGTACAGTATTGTTAACCATAAGCACACTGTTGTAAAGCAGATCTCTAGAACTGACTCAGCTTGCACTACTGAAACTCCACGCCCACTGAGCAGCAACCTCACTTCCTCCTTCCTCCGGCCCCTGGCACTCAACCATTCTATGTTCTGCTTCTACGAGTCAACTGCCTTAGATACCTCATATCAGTGGAATCAGGCAGTATTGGTCCTTTATGACTGGCTTATTTCATTTAGCATAGTGTCCTCAAGGTTCAAATATATATCCTTACAATGATACTGACATGGTACTCACTGTTTCCATGGTAAGTGGTTACATATATTAACGTATTTAGCCCTCACAGAAACCCTTCAAGGTAAGGTGGCATGATTATCTCCTTTTGATAGATGAGGAAACTGAGGCAAAGGGAGGTGAAGTGAGGTGCCTATGCTTACCTGCTGTGTAAGTGGCTCCAGACTCCTTTTTTTTTTTTTCCAAGACAGGGTCTCACTCTGTTGCCCAGGCTAGAGCATAGTTATGCTATCATAGCTCACTGTAGCTTTGACCTCCTGGGCTCAAGTGATCCTCCCAACTCAGCCTCCCAAGTAGCTGGGACGAAAGGCACATGCCACCACATCCACCTAATTTTTTAAATTTTTTGTAGAGACGAGGTCTCACTATGTTGCCCAGGCTGGCCTCGAATTCCAGGACTCAAATGATCCTCCAGCCTTGGCCTCCCAAAGTGTTGAGACTACAGGTGTGAGCCACCACACCCAGCCCAGACTCCATTCTCTTGAACATAACACCATGTTCTTTCTGTACAGTTTAAAATTTCTATTTTAGCAAGTAGGCTCACAGAGATACTGAAGTCACTGAGGAAGATGGCAAAAGATGGGGCAGGGAGGATAAACGAGATGTGGTGTTGGAGAGATCTACCCTTGTATAGTTCAGAGTGGTCTTTCACAGCAGGAAGAGGATGGCCTTGGAGCCAGGGAGACCTGGGCCCAGTCCTGGCTCTCCCTTGCTCTAGGCCCTTGGGAAACACCAGTCACCAAAACTGGCAAGACCCTTGCCTTGTAGACATCACATGCTAGCAGGTGAGACAAACAACAAACAATAAGTATTCCCAATAATGTCTGCTATAGAAAGGGTAAAGTGTTATAAAAAAACAAACAAACAAAACACTGGTGCTGGGAAGGCTGGCTGGAATTGTAAAAAGGGTGCCACTGAGAAGGTGATATCTGAGCAGACTAGAAGAAGGTGAGAAGGTAGATTGTGAGGCTGGAGCACATCTAGGGGATGGTGTTCCGCACAGAGGGAAGAGCTAGTGCAAAGGTCCAGAGAAGGGGAGAGCCTAGGACGTATGAGGGAGAGCAAAGAAGCCAGCCTGTGTGCAGGAGCCAACGCGAGCCAGCGTAGAGGCACTGAAGCCGGGGATGGCATGGGGGCGGCGGAAAGGCTGTGCCAGTGACTCTGAGTGGTGTGGGAAGCTATGCAGGCTTTTGAGCAGAGGAGTGACATGAACTGATACTTGGCTTTTATAGTAATTTAGGTGATGGTGGCTCAGATCAGGGCAGCAGAAGTGGAGGTGGGAGAAGCAGTTGGTTTTGAACCTAACCTGTTTCCTAGTGGACTAGATGTGGATGGGAGAAAAAGATGGGAGTCAAGGATGACACCAAGAGTTCTGTCCAAAGCAACTGGAAGAATGAAGTGGCTATCAGCTAACCTAGAAAGGCCACAGATGAAGAAAGTTACGGGGTCCCTGAAAAGATATGGTGAAGTCCTATCCCCAATACTTGTGAATGTGGTCTTATTTGGAAACAGCGTCTCTGCAGAAGTGATCAAGTTAAGATGAGGTCATTAGGGTGGGCCTTAATCCAATATGACTGGCGTCCTTATACGACGAGGAGAAGAGACACAGACAGGCCTGGAGATGATGTGAAGGTGGACAGGGAGAACACCATGTGATAAAGGAGGCAGAGCCGGGAGTGACACAGCTATAAGACATGGAAAGCCAAGGATGGCTAGCCACACCGGAAGCATGCAACAGATTCTGCCCTGGAAGCTTCAGAGAGAGCGCAGCCCTGCCAGCACCTTGACTTTGGACTTTGGTCTCCAGAACAGAGAGAGAATGAATTTCTGTTATTTTAAGCCATCTAGTTTGTGGTACTTTGTTGCGGCAGCCCTAGCAAACTATTACAGGGGGTAAGCTAACAATTCAGTTTTCCACATGTTAAATGCTGGAGATGTCAAGCAGGTGGTGGGATGTCTGAGTCCCAAGTTCAGGAGAAAAGCCCAGGCTGCTGACAGGAGTCTGGGACATGTCTGCAAATAGAATGCATTTATAGCCATGGGGCTGGATGAGGGCAGCAAGGAATAAAAGTATACATGGGAAGGGAAGAGGGCCAAGGATTGAGCCTGGGGCACTCCAAAGCTGAGACTGGGAGAAGCAGAAACTGGCAAAGGACTCTGAGTTGGAGCAGCCCAGGAGGTAGAAGAAAAACCAAGAGTGCCAAGTCCTGGGGCCTGCATTTCTTCCCTGGCCCCATGGCTCCTGGTGGGCCAAGGCCTCCCTGCTGACCTACCTGCAGCCACCTCTCCTCTTCCCCTCACAGGCTAAGTCCCAGAGAGCCCACTGAACAGACCACTCTCAACTGCCCCCATACCTTGTCTTCAGACAAATTGTCTCCTCTGCCAGCTTCCCCTTTCCCTTCTGTTTTCTGGGTCTCAGCCTAAGAGCTCCCCTGCCTTGTGAATGCTTTGGACCACCCCAGGCACAGGGAGGCACCCTGCTCCCTTCTCAAGCCCCCCTGGATGCTAACCTTGCCTCAACCTTAGTGCTCATCTCCTATCCCGGGGTTGATGGGGATGTCTGTCTCTGTACACAACCAGCTCCCTGGCACAGAGCAGGCCTGCAATAAGCATTTGTTGAAACTGATGAATCCAAACATGGATGGCTGAAATGGGACTCTTCTGGCAGCTACCGTATTAACACTAAGTTTGGAGTCAACGAAAACATATGAACTTTAAAAGCAAGGTTTCTTAAGTTATATCTTTCCTACCTGTTCAGTTGATTTCCAAGTCTCAAGAATAGTAGTTTACATATATTCCTGTTAAACTTTTAGTTCTTGAGAGATCTAACTCAGACTAGCAAGATATTTGGGTCTTGATTCTATCAGTTTCTAAACTAGTTTTCAGGCTTAGCTTTCTGTTCTCCACAAACTTTACTGAGCATATCATCAATGTCTTTACTCGAGTCCTTAATACGAAACAAAGCAGGACAGGGGCAGGAAAGAAGCCTGTAACATTTCCCTGCAGTTGTCCCTCTGGCTCAGTTACGGCCCACTCACTGTACAGATATTTACTAAGCACCCACTGTGGCATTGTTCTAGGTGTCAGGAATTCATCAGTGATAAACAAAGATCTAGCTGGGCATGGTGGCTCACGCCTGTAATCCCAGCACTCTGGGAGGCTGAGACGGGTGGGTCACTTGAGCCCAGAAGTTCAAGACCAGCCTGGACAACATGATGAAACCCTGTCTCTAGAAAAAACACAAAAATTTATCTGGGCATGGTGGCACACACCTGTGGTCCTAGCTACTTGGGAGGCTGAGGTGGGAGGAATATCTAAGCCTGGGAGGTCAAGGCTGCAGTTGGCTGTGATTGCGCCCCTGTACTCCAGCCTGGGTGACAGAGTGAGACCCTGTCTCAAAAACAAGACAAAACCAAACCAAACCAAACCAAACAACCCCACCACCAAAACAAAGATCCTTGCTCTGACTTCTCCACAGATACCGCCTTTCAACTGTTATGAATTTACCTACTTGTATGACTTCATGTGGATTCCATCTTTTCCACATACATTTCATGACAGACTTTTGCCAAATGCTTTGTTAAAACCAGAGACACTGTATCTATAATATTTCCTGGCCTCCCAGCCCAGGAGAAAAGGAGATGGGATTTCTCTGGTGTACACAGTTCTTAGTAAACCCAGGTTGGCTCCTGGTGTTCACTACCTTCTTTTCTAGTATTCACAATCTACAATTTTTTTTTTTTTTTTTTTGAGACGGAGTTTTGCTCTTGTTGCCCAGGCTGGAGTGCAATGGCACAATCTCAGTTCAATGCAACCTCTGCCTCCCAGGTTCAAGCGATTCTCCTGCCTCAGCCTCCCTAGTAGCTGGGATTATAGGCATGTGCCACCACGCCCAGCTAATTTTGTATTTTTAGTAGAGACGGGGTTTCTCCATGTTGGTCAGGCTAGTCTCGAACTCCCGACCTCAGGTGATCCACCCGCCTCGGCCTCTCAAAGTGCTGGGATTACAGGCATGAGCCACTGTGCTCGGCCCACAATCTATAATTTTAATAATGCACACTAGACTCTTCCTTTATCTGTAAATTCTGAAATTAAGTTTTTTTTCCTTTTCTGGAAACCAGAAAATCATTTGGCCACTTTCTGTTTTCTGGGAACTCTCCTTTTCTCTCTGACTCTGCTAAGCTTACCAAAAGCAATTCTATCTCTCTCTCTCTTTTTTTCCCCCAGTATCCTAGGATGTCATTATCTGAACCTGAATTCTGAACTTGAGATAGCTGGGTGTTTTCTGATAATTTCTCCATGTATCCTGGATTCCAATTTCCTCCCACCAGTATGAGTCCCACCCTTCCAAGTCTCAAATCTTTCTTTTTAATGCCCCTCTAGCCTCAATCCTTTCTTCCTCTCTTCCTCCATTTCACCTTACACAAAAGCTGTCCTTCCAGAGGAGACGTCGTCCTCAGGAAATCAGTCTAATAAAACCAGCTTCGCAGCAGTCCCCATTCTCTGTAGGGTCCCACATCTATCAGGTGCTCAGACCCTGCCCTTCAGGATGTATCCTCTCTACCTGGGGACCATCCAGTGTTTTCTCTTACTCGGCCTCCAATTGTGATCGCAATGCCAGCAGCTGTGCTGATGGCCCCCTGAAATTGACTTGGCAATTCACTATCCTCACTCCAGTGAGCTTCTAAAAACTCAATAAACTTGATCTTTGCCCCGCCTCCTGCCACTTGAAGCTTTGGTGGCAATGATGATGGTGATGATGATGATGAAGATGTTGAAGAAGGGGATGGGGAGAAGGGAGAGAAACTATCAATTCAGTGTTTTCCAGCAGGGTTTTTTTTTTCCAGGTTGTATGTCTGAGGAATATGAAAGCTAGGATGCCCATATACATTAGCATAAATATTGGATTATATTTACATATTTTAGGTTATTCATAGGTACTTTATGATTACTTGACTTTCAGGCAGTTGCTTTTTGTTTTTAGTTTTTTTCTTCTACTTCTTAATTCCTTCCTCATTACACAGGCTTGTTGACTCCAATGCTTAGAAATCCTTTAAAATACAAGTGAGGAAGAATCATGTATGAGAAAGGAAGGAAGAAGAGTCAGAAAGGGGATTGACAGAGTTGCAAAATACTTGCAGAATTTAAAAGATAACATTTTAAGTTGTCTCTCACTCCTCATGGCTAAACATTCAGAAAAGATACAGAAAATCTCATGTACAAATAAATTCTTTAAATAAGAAGAGAATGTTCTGAATGGCTTCCTCCTGGGGCTTTGTATTTATTACTTGGTTTCACAGAAATTGCCAGTCTAGAACAATCAGTTCGTAGGACTGTTACAAAAGATCATTTACTAGAAACATATAAGAAATGGAACTGCTGCTAAGACAGGATGGGGGGCAGTGGATGGGACTAGTCCTTTCTGGAAAGGGGGGCCCACAATGCTCTCCTATTCCTCTATCCCCATGTCAGTTTTGCCTCTTCAGGGAAAAGATGTGAAATCACTCTTACACGTATATAAAGGTGTTCATTTCCTCTCTCTCAGACGTTCTGAAAACTGCTTACTTGTGCCTGAAGAACCAGGTATTATGGAGCGAAGAGGGGGAGAAGTACCAGGTGCAAGACCATCTGAGAGTCAGAAATCATTGAAATCTCACATTTGCATTTTGTGCTTGGCTCTAGGAAAAGGTATGTACACTGCAGGCTGACTTTCTACCTTATTATTAAGAGTTGTGTGATTTTGAAACCCCTAACTGTTCTACATTGAGATCACTTAGCTTTTTTAAAAAATGATAAAGAGGATATCTCATAAACTTCCAGAGAGAAAAACAGGTTGCATCAAGGACTCAGAATGGCACTGGGCTTTTCATTAGTAACACTGGAAGCTGGAAGGCAGTGAAGTGTTAGCTTCAAAAGTTGGAGGGGAAATTATCTTCAGCTGAAAACTCTATACCCAACTAACCATTATTCAGACTGAGGGAAGGACAAAGGCACTTTCAGACCCACATGGCGTCAAAAACTTTGCCTCCCAGGCACTCTTTCTCAGGAAGCTGTCAGAGGATGTACTCTCCCCTAAAATGGACAAACTAAAAAGTAGGAAGAAATAGGTCCAAGAAAAACAGGGATCTAAGCCTCAGAGGCACAGCAAAAGGAAATCCCTGCATGATGCTCGGCAGCTTGCCTAGGGAATCACAAGTCTAGGCTGGAGCAGGAGGTGGAAGATTCGGGAGCTGGGGACCGAGAGTTCACAGGATGCTTGTGAGCGTTTGGCAGATGCCACTGGTAGGCATTTAGGAGAATGTGCAATGGGCATCTCATAGACAAAGCGGTCTTTTAAAGGCAATTATTAAAAGAAAAACAAAAAGTTATGTAAGAAAGGAAACCTAATCCCAGTACACTGGTTGGCTCCCTAGTGAATAATATTTAAATCACCATCATACTGTAAACACTGACCATGAATTTTGCCTACCTGTATAGCTGTACTGGGAGGATGGGGAGGAGAAGTGAGGGTGGGTGGTACAAGAGGGCCAAATTCTTCTAACGGGAAGTCAGTAGGCAGTGTTTAAAACCAATAAATCAGGAACGCAGTCTAAGCATCTAATTTAGAGGGGTTAATACCAGAAAAAATAACAAAAAGATTTTAAAGAGGTTGTTCTGGGGAGAGGGTCTGGGGGCTGGGGAGAGTCTGAGAAGGGCACTAGCTGAATTTTAAACTGGTTTTAGAAAACTCTGAGAGAAAACAATTTAATGAGGAATGCACTGCCTTGAAACTGAAATTTTTATAGACACTAGCTTTTAATAGGCGAAATGGGGTGACAGAGCAACTTAAAATGAGAGGTTAGGGTGGAGGAGGAGAAAGAGGAAGTATTACAAAATTCTTAGTGTGAAATGGTTCAGATTCAGAACCTATAAATGTGATTTTCGTGCTGCTGAAAACTTCCAAGCACAGCACTCTTGCAATGCTCCTTTCCCCACAGCCCTCAGGGAAGGGGCCCAGCAGCCAAGAAGTTTCCCAACATCGCTGCCACCTTCACCATACCTGTTCCTGGCCCAAGTGGAGGCCCCAGTGGGAAATGTGTGTGCTGTCTCACCTCCAGCTGGGAGCTGGAATGCTCTGGAAGGTTCGTTCCTATGCAGGACAAGCCAAGAACTCTAAGGAGTTCTAAGCTAAGTTCTCTAAGCCAAGAACCCTGCAGAGTGCAGGGAGCACGGTGAGATGCAGCTGATGACAGCTGTCACAAACACTGACCACTGAATTTAGAAAACAGGGGGAAACAGGCATGGGTCACTTATCAGTAATTTACCCCAGCAGGTGGGGTTCATGGTGAAAGTCAGTCAAGGAAAGGAAGCTCAGCAAAGAGGATACAAAGGATATTTTATTTAGCGGAGAGCTTCTCCTCCTCTCAAGGGCCGTAGACATAAAAAAGCAACATTTTCCCATCGGACCAGGAAAGTGTTAAATTATACTGGTGTTTACTCTCTCATTTCCAAGGCCTGGGAGCAGGATGGGATATTTATTTTTATTATCTCTCTGATGTGTTTAGAGTCCCTAATGAGGGCAGAAAGTAAACAAACATTTGATTGAAAACAGAGATGTCAATATGCACCCTCTACCTATTGTTGATACAGGAGAAAGCAATTTCAATAAGATTGAAACAATTAGACTTGAAGATTGCTGTATGCAAACCACATGAAAATGGAAGCCTACTGCTCAGTGTGTAGAAAAAAATAAACCACTGTCTGTTGGTGGTTTTTTCTTCTGATTATATTAAAGTAAATGCTTGCATGTTATATTTACTGAAGTTGAAAACTGTACTGAGGTTATGTAAGAGAATATTCCTATTCTTAGGACACATACACTGAAGTAATTGGTAAAATACCACGAAGAATGTAACTTGCCCTCAAATGGTTTAGAAAAATATTACGTGTGACTATTGAAAATATATCTGGATCGGTCTGTCTCTCTCCCATTCCCTACCCCCAAGAAACAGAAGGACAAAGCAAATGGAGCAAAATGTTAACAACAGTTGGGCCAGGGGCAATGGCTCACACCTATAATCCCAGCACTTTGGGAGGCTGAGGCTGGAGCAACATTTGAGGCTGGGAATTCGAGATCAGCCTGTGCAACACAGCGAGACCGCTATCTCTAAAAAATAAGAAATAAAATAAAAAATTAGCTGATGCAGTGGTACACACTTGCAGTTTCAGCTACTCCGGAGGCTGAGGTGGAAGAATTGCTTGAGCCAGGAGTTCCAGGTTACGGTGAGTTATCACTGCACCCCTGCATTCTAGCCTGGGCAACAGAGCAAGACCCTGTTTCAATAAATAAATGTTGAATTTGGGTAAAGGCTATAGAATGTTCTTTGTGCTATTCTTATTTTTGATGTTTTTGGAAATTAGAAATTATTTCCAAATAAGGAGTTAAAAATAATATAAAATCAAATGAAGCTGTAAGAAAATCACTGAGGTTTCACAAGCATTCCAAAAGCATTCTGGTGAGTGCTGGATACCAGACTCTCAATGTAACAAGCTGCCTGGGCTAAAATCCTTGTCTTTTCAAATTAAAAAAAAATTTTTTTTTGAGATGGGGGGTCTCATTCTGTTGCCCAGGCTGGAGTGCAGTGGAGAGATCTCAGATCACTGCAACCTCTGCCTCCCAGGCTTAAGCAATCCTCCTGCCTCAGCCTCCTGAGTGGCTGGGGCTACAGGCACGTGCCACCACGCCCCAGCTAATTTTTGTATTTTTTGTAGGGATGGGGTTTTGCCATGCTGGCCAGGGATCCTCATGGGATCCTCCCACCTCGGCCTCCCAAAGTGCTGGGATTACAGCATGTGAGCCCCCATGTCCAGCTCCTTGTCTTTTGAAATAGATTTAGAACCAGTAAAACAGGCTTAGAATGTTCAAAGTGAAAGAAAACGACTCTTTCAGGGTTTAACTCTGTAATGGCCCAAATTCAAGGCTGAATGATCAGCTGCCCTAACACAGCTTTGTTTAAAAGAAAGGAACCATCTAGCTGACTTACCAAATTAAGATAATTCAGAAAAGGAAGTCCCCAAAAGTTTGGGCACTACTGGGTAAGTCTGCAGCCTCCAAAGATGCAGCACACATTGAAGCTGGCATGTATTAGGATAAAGCTGCATAAAAATGCATAATGTACCCAGGGGAAATCCTTTACCGAAAAACTGGGGTACCAGAACCACTCAGGACCCCAAAACACTGCAGCTAGAAAAGATTATGACTCTATCCCTTGTTGTTAAACACATGGGGACAGCTAATCTACCCACTGCATTTTTTTTTTTTTTTAAGTTCTAGGGTACATGTGCACAATGTACAGGTTTGATATAGGTATACATGTGCCATGTTGGTTTGATGCACCCGTCAACTCATCATTTACATTAGGTATTTCTCCTAATGCTATCCCTCCCCCAGCCCCCCACCCCCGGAGAGACCCCGGTGTGTGACGTTCCCCACCCTGTGTCCAAGTGATCTCATTGTTCAATTCCCAACTATGAGTGAGAACCTGCGGTGTTTGGTTTTCTGTCCTTGTGATAGTTTGCTGAGAATGATGGTTTCCTACCCACTGGATTTAAATTTGGTTTTTAAATTTCAGGATCAAAGTTAATCTTGCACAGAGGGGATAAGTCACTGGGAGGGGTTCACAAATGGCATCTTGGTAACCCTTCAAAGAGTGATAGCCTCATACGAGTTTGTACATTTGTTTTATGAAGCTTTCTGTATCTGGGTTGGCTATTAAAAAAAAATCTGTATATGCTGGATATTTAACAATAAAAAATTTAAAATTAGAGCAAAGCAAAATGCATTAACTTGTATTTGGGATTTAAAAAAAAAAAAAAAAAGAGTGTCCTTTCCCAGGGGGCTGCTGAAGATGGCGGAGGGGCAGGTCCTGGTGCTTGATGGTCGAGGCCATCTCCTGGGCCGCCTGGCGGCCATCGTGGCTAAGTAGGTACTGCTGGGCCGGAAGGTGGAGGTCGTACGCTGTGAGGGCATCATCATTTCTGGCCATTTCTACAGATACAAGTTGAAGTACCTGGTCTTCCTCCGCAAGCAGATGAACACCAACCCTTCCCGAGGCCCCTACCACTTCCGGGCCTCTAGCCGCACCTTCCGGCTGACCTCGAGGCATGTTGCCCCACAAGACAAAGCAAGGCCGGGCCGCCCTGGAGCGCCTCAAGGTGTTTGACGGCATCCCACCGCCCTATGACATGAAAAAGCGGATGGTGGTTCCTGCTGCCCTCAAGGTCATGCATCTGAAGCCTACAAGAAACTTTGCCTACGTGGGGCGCCTGGCTCACGAGGTTTGCTGTAAGTACCTGGCAGTGGCATCTACCCTGAAGGAGAAGAGGAAGGAGAAAGCCAAGATCCACTATCGGAAGAAGAAACAGCTCATGAGGCTATGGAAACCGGGTGAAAAGAACGTGGAGAAGAAAACTGACAAATACACAGAAGCTCTCAAGACCCATGGACTCCTGATCTGAGCCCAGTAAAGACTGTTTATTCCTCAAAAAAAAAAAAAAAAAAAAAAAAAAAAAGCGTGGGCCTCATTCAGATGTCCTTCACCCCATCTGTTCCTGATGCCTGTAGGTCACAGCAATAGAAGCAAAGCCTTTCAAACTAATATTCAAGAAAATCATCAAAGTGTACCTATCACCAGCAAGTCATATATTGGCTTAATATTCATACTGGGGTATAGATGACTGATAGCTTAGTGACTTTCTAGAGCGCAAGGCTTTTTGGAAGGAGTGAAGAGTGAGCACTGTGGGATGGGTATGAGGTGAGGAACATGCTGGGCAGTGGGGTGAAGGTATTAAAGTTGGAGCAAGACCTCCAAGGCTCACCAGTCCCTTGATGAGGCTGCAGCTTGGCTAGACAGAGAGCTGTGGTTCTCAGCACAACAAAGCTCGGCCATGTAGCTGCCTTCTGTGGGGCTAATGCTTTCTTACTTGCACTCCAGTTTCCAGTAAAAGGGCAGGGTTGGGTTTTTTTAAATTGCAAATTTCCCTCCATGTCCTTGGAAGACTCAGTTATAATAAACCAACAGATCACCTTGATATGGTTTGGATGTGTGTCCCCTCCAAATCTCATGTTGAAATGTGATTCCCAATGTTGAAGGTGGGCCCTATTAAGAGGTGATGAGATCATGGGGGTGGATCCCTCATGAATGGTTTAGCACCATCGCCTTGGTGATAAGTGAGTTATCACTCAGTTCATGTGAGATCTGGTTGTTTAAAAGTCTGGGACCTACCCTCCACCCCCTTGCTCCCACGCTCACCATGTGACATGCCTGTTCCTGCTTTGGCTTCAGCCATGATTGTAATCTTCTTGAGGCTTTTACCAGATGCCGAGCAGGTGTTGGTGCCATGCTTCCTGTACAGCCTGCAGAACTGTAAGCCAATGAAACCTCTGTTTTTTTGTTGCTGTTGTTTGTTTTTTCAGACGGAGTTTTGCTCTTGTTGCCCAGGCTGGAGTGCGATGGCGTGATCTCTGTTCAATGCAACCTCTGCCTCCCGGGTTCAAGCGATTCTCCTGCCTCAGCCTCCTGAGTAGCTGGGATTACAGGCATGTGCCACCACACCTGGCTAATTTTGTATTTTTAGTAGAGATGGGGTTTCTCCATGTTGGTCAGGCTGGTCTTGAACTCCCAACCTCAGGTGATCCACCTGCCTCAGCCTCCCAAAGTGCTGCGATTACAGGCGTGAGCCACCACGCCTGGCTGAAACCTCTGTTTTTATAAATTATCAAGTCTCAGTTATTCCTTTATAGTCATGCAAAAAAACTGACTAACACACACCTGCTGCTGCTGCTTTAAGATCCTGTGCAGTGAGTCTGGGTTTCTAACCTCAGGAGAGTGGCTAGCAAAGGAGATCGCTAGTCTCCTTCCAGTTTTGTCCTGTTGAATGGCGTAGAAGATTGATTGTATGGGTATCAGAGAGAGGAGTCACTAACAAAGATGAAAATATAGAACTCATTTGATAGGTGGAAGAGTAGGGTGGTTTCAGGTATAGGTTTTGGAGACAGAGCAATCTGAATTTGATTGTGGCTCCGCCATGATTGTGAGCAAGCTACTTAACCTCTCTCACTTTCAGTTTCTTTAACTGCAAAATGGAAATGGAAACAGTGAGGATTAAATGGGATCACACGTGGCACACCTTGCACAGGCTTGCATAAAGCAAGTGCGCAGTACAGTTAACTGTGATTGTTGCTCCTGTGCTCACAACACTTCCATTAACTGGTGCTTGGAACATCTTATTTTCCCTTTGCATAATTAATCCTCTACTTTGGTTGACGCCAGAAATGCAGTTTTGCTATACGGTGACATTGCACATACTCCAAGTGTGTAAGCCCCAGACACCTTTCAGTGACACTGCTGTAGGGCTTAGTGACTTGCCACCAGGCAGCTCACATAATTGTCTTGCTGAGGTCATAGAGCCCTTCCCTATACTTCAGCTGGACACACTGAAATTCTTCAAGTCTTAGGAACAACATTGCTGCTTCTCAACATTAGATTTACTTTCTCAAAATCCATAATGTCAGCTGGGCACAGTGGCACACAGCTGTAGCTCCAGCTACTTGGGAGGCTGACGTGGGAGGATTGCTTGAGTCCAGGAGTTTAAGGCAGCGTAGGCAACACAGCAAGACCCTGTCTCCAAAAATAAATCCATAACATCTATAGTGTGGAAAACATAACACCCTTGGAGCTGTAGGGAGAAAGGTGCTCTCCTGTGAATGGGGAGGATGGTACTGACTAGCTGCAGAATTTGGGCTTGAGTTGCTTTGTGGTTTTGTCTCTCTTTTTAAGTAAGGATGAGAGACTTTCACTGTTTCATTTGTCCACCTTCATATCATTACTTCTTATGACCTGCAGGAAGGATATCTGGGGTGGTGGAATAAACTCAGGGAGAAGTTATTGGCTGGGGCATGGAGGTGGCTAACTGGTCACACAATTGAGTTTGCATGTTGCTGAGCGCCTTGCAGTTTATAAAACACCTACAGAGCTCATTTCATCCTCAAAGCCACCCTATGAGAAAGCCAGGGAAATTGTAGTATTTTTATTATCACTTTACAAATGAGGAAACTGAGGCTTAGAATTAAGTAGCTTGCCCAGTATCTCATAGCTAAGCAATGGTGGATGGTATGACCAAGTCCTCATTTCCATTCTCCCAGTGAGTTGTTTCTAAGTGAGCTTTATATGCCCAAGATGATCTATTAGGATGGGGAAACATATTAAAACTTCTAATTCTAGTTATTTTTAGCTTGCCCTTTTAACTTTTAAATTTTGTTTCATAGTATCACTAATGTATTAGACTAGTATGCGCATGTAATTTATAATTAAATACACATACTCTTGGGTTCCAGCTCCAAAAATTTTTACTGATAAGGGTGCATGATTAAAATAGCTTGAAAGCCACAGCTCTAAGCTAGTAAGAGTCTTAGTAATACTGGAGATTAATACATCCTCTGGCCCTTTATCTTTTTTTTTTTTTATATTATTAGTTACTTTTGGTCAGGAACTTTGATTGGTCTGTATTCTTCAGATTAAACCACAACCTTGTGAAGTGGTAATCCTGATTTTCTAGAGTAGCAGAAGGTGTTTTCTATCTCCTACAAAGTCGAAGGCTGACATGAATCATCTTTTGTTGTAAAAGGCTATTCCGGTGCTTTGCAAACTTGATGGCTCCCAGCTCATACAGCAGAGGCAACCCCATTTCCAGTATCATTTGTGATCACTTACAAACAGCAAGGGTTCAAGTAAGCATATGGGTTCACAGGTGTCTGCACATTGGTTCTTGAATCGTAACAGGCCCAAGCTTCTCTTTACAGGTTTATGTTGCTAGACTTGCTACTCTGTGGCATTCAAGAGCATGGTACTTCCAATAAACACTATATTGGAAGTTTTAAGAAGGAAGGAATTATTGTCTGATTTGTTCACTTCTCCATCCCCAGCAGTGCCTTGAACCCACTTGGTTCCACTATCTGTTGATTGGCTGAATGAATGGTGGATTAATGGTTACTCCTCAATTTTATCTTTTCTCTTGACCAAGACACCCCTAAAATGATGGTAAAGAAGTGAAAAAGAGTGCAAAGACAATGGAAATGGGAGATATCAGCAAACAAGCACATGTTTTTGGAAGACAGGTGAGGAGTGATTGCTGACTGGGCAGAGTGGAGGAAACAGTGATCTATGTGTCTACAGAAAGGTGTTTGGATGCAAAGTGAGTATATCCGCCTGGGATATAACCCTTGGGAGGCCTGGGAGCTGAAGGCACTGTGTACTTCAGATGGCAGGGGTAATGTGAGGGGAGACTGCTTGAGAGTCTGAAGGTTTGTTTACTGGAGAAATGGGTTAGAAGAGGATCCAGACCAGGGGACAGGAGGCATGGTGAAGGGATGGGGTGATGGGCAGGCTAAACAGAGTGGATGGACTGAGGGTGGCCACTCTCATGGCGTGATGCCCTTGGGCCTCTGCCTCCATCTGCTCTTAGAGCACCCTCCAGGCAGGAAAGGGGATAATTCATCTCTGAAAAAACAGAGAGGAATTCTTCTAAGAAAATGCCTCCATATGCTGGCAACTGAAAATTCTCCAAAGAAATGATGAGTTCGCAATGTAATCCCCCTTTACAATGGGCCACCAGTAAAAAGCTCCACTAAAACACCCTGAACCTCCAAGCCGCTTGTAGTGCCTCACTCTTAAATATGAATGGCCAAGAATCACCAGACATTTAAAGACAGCACCCACCTGAAAGAGACTGAGACACAATAACCAGGAATAGAGGAATATAGAAGCTCCACAATGAGTAGAAGAGAACTTCAAAAACACTTATTAATGTCCTCAGAGAGAGAAACCAAAACCAGGATGCAACGGTAAGAAAAAAAGCAGAAAACAATCAAGAGCTCTTGGAAATTAAAAATATGATAGGTGACATAAAAATTTTACTAGAAGGCTTACAAGAGCCTTCAAAAAAGAAAACAAAAGCAAACAGAAAGTAGAAACTGATAGAGTTTTAGAATCCATAAGGTCCAATATCTGACAAAAGGAATTCTAGAAAGAGAGAACCAAGTGAATGGGGAGGAAGAAATTAAACAAAACAAAACAAACCACCACCAGTAAAAGAACGTTTTCCAGAATTGAAGAATATGCATTTCCAAATTAAAAGGGCCCACCAGTGGAGTGCCCAACCCAAAGAAAGAAAAAAAGACCTCCATGGGTGTGAACCTGGTAGGCAGGGCTTGCAGTGAGCTGAGAGCTGAGATCACGCCACTACACTCCAGCCTGGGCGACAGAGTGAGATTCCGTCTCAAAAAAAAAAAAACAAAAAAATAAAAAAAACAAAAAAACCTCCATGGCATATTATTAAGTAATTTCAGATCAACAGTGTTACAGAGAAGATCCTAAAAGCTTTCAGAGAACGAAAGTGGTCTCACACAAGACTGGCATCTCATATTAAGAGTGACACTAGAGCCAGAGGACAATACGAAAATGTCTTTAAAATCCCGAGAGAAAATTACTTCCAACTTTGAATGTTCTGTAGCCACCAAATTACTAATCAAGTCTGAGGACAGATCCAAGACATTTCCATATTTTGAAGACTCGAAAAATTTACCTTTCATGTAGGATGCCCCTGGAAGATTAGTCCTAGCAAAAGAGGGAGTAAATTGAGCAGGACGAAGACAGGCTTCCAGTCAGTGGACTTCCCAAGACAATGAAGAGGGAAGCTGTTGTCACAGACCAGCAGCACAGTAGGCTGAGGGGCTAATGGGCTCCAGAAAATACAGGGGAATTGATGGGTTTATTCAGTATGTCTGACCAGCTGGGCCAAAAATAGTGACAGGATATACCCAATCTAGTGGCCAAAATTAAGGATAAACATATAGGTAAGAATGCAAGTAAAAACCATGAGGCAATAATTTTAGGACAAGCAAAAACCTACATACGAGAGGAAGTGGAATTGCCAATATTGCCTAATATTGGTAGACAAAGACAGACTCAATAAGCATGTTTTTAAGACACAAGGAAATAAATACTCCTTGGCTCTGTAAGTGAACAGTATAGATGCCTCTCACTATCCAAACACTTAGCCTTCATCTTTTAGAAGGGAACAGATTTGGATACTTTTCTGGAATCTGTTCCTCATCATTTGAAATTCCACTACTCACATCTGAAACCCAGAAACCAAATAAATTTGGATGTACAGTGTCTCTCATTTTCTGAGCTTGTTATCTGACTTAGAAACTGGATAGATTCAGATACTTGATATTTACAAGCTTGATGTAACCACATACCTTCACTGAGAATGGAGAAGCCATAGGGAAGGGATGGAGGAAGGAAAGGGGGTGGAGATGTGTGACAGCCAAACCCTCCGGTATGTGATGGAAGGTTCCGAGATCCTAAATACCTAAAACCAATAAATGAAGAAGTACTCATATATATACCCTTTATAGAGATATGGAGTAAATACTAGAAGAAACAGCTAAAAGAGTGAAAAGTGGTTGCCTCTAGGGAGACAGGACTAGCAGTGGGTAGAGACAGGGCAAGGGACTGCTATTGAATTAAGTTTTTAGTACAACTTGGCTTTTAAACTGTACATATATTACTTTGGGGGAAAAAAGCACATAAAAAGTTTAATAAGAACACTAGCCTGGAGAACTGGGTTCTGGCTCAATGTCTGTCACCAGCCAACTGTGTTTGGTTGAGCAAGACACTTTGATCTCAGGTCTCAGTTGCTTCATCTATAAAACAAGGAGTTGGAGTCCTTCCCAACTGTCCAATTCTATGACTGCATGGTTCTAATGTGCAAATTTGGGTTCTCTGCCAATGTTGGTGGTATCATCCAAACTTGAATTACTGGACTGTAATATTATTTAGCACTGTGCTAAGAAAATAGCATTTTATTACATAGACATATACCTAAAAAATGGAGACATTTGGAAAAATGTGCAATAAGGGAGTCTTGTGATTTGCCAGACACAGAGGAATGTAAATTGTGACTATTTTGCAGAAGAATGCAATATGGAAGAAAACACAGGATCGTCAAAGAAGATAAAACAACATGGCCACCAAGAAAAAAACAAAGCAATAATAATCAAATAGACAAGGAGGGTTAGACCCAGACCAGGTCTAAATGAGAAGGAGGCTGGACAGTGGAGAAATAGGACCTTCCCATGGTTTTTATACAGGTGAACAGAGAAGTCTGAATGGTAGATGATTTTGGCAAAAGCTTGAGACTGGGGATGAAAAATGATGAGAAAGATAGTAGCTGTAATATTTTACAAGAGACTTACAAATATTTTACCTTTGGGATATAGAAGGAAGAGCTGATACGGTTTGCCATCGAGGACAAAGGTATGAAAAAGACACAAGACAGCAGGGACCACCTGAACTACAGGTGTCCAGGAAGCACAACATCTCAGAGTAAGGCCACCTTGGATTCCACTCCAACCTGTGTTTAATGTATGCAGAACGGAAGGCGAGGTTGAAAAGGAAAGGATGGGGACTCTGTCTTTGCTGGCATAAGCAAGCTCTGGGTCAAGAATACAGAAGAAAATCTGACAGTCAAAGTGGCATCCATATTTGCTGAAACTGACTTCTCTTGTTGGATTTGGAGCCTCTTTCCAAAACAAACAGCAAACTTCCTTTAGATCCAGGCAGTAAAATTCATTTTTATATCATTCATTAAACATTTAAACCATTCACTTAAAAAGAGAACAAACATTTTTACTGTGGTAAAATAAACCACTCATTCTCATGGACACAGTACTCTTTTATGTCTTTAGGAGAATAATAGCAAATGTTTATTGAGTATTCACAGTTCAGAGACCATTCTAAGAGCTTTATGCAAAATATAGTTGACCCTTGAACACCATGGGTTTGAATTGCGTGGGTTCACTTATATACCAAAGTTTTTCAACCAAATGAGGTTGAAAATACAGTATTTGTGAGACATGAAACTCGCCTGCACAGAAGGCTGACTTTTCATATATTCGGGTTCCGCAAGGCCGACTGAGGGATGTGAGTAAGCATGGATTTGGTATACCCAGGGGTCCTGGAAGCAATTCTCCGTGTACACTAAGGATGACTGTATCTTGTTTAATTTTTTCAACAACCCTATGAAGTAGCTACTATAGATCCACAATCCCTTATCCAAAGCTCTTGGGCTTAGTGGTTTTCCCAAATTGAATTTATCAGGTTTTAGTAAGGTCATATGGTGTACATTATATAACACCCCAGCAGTCGGGCTGCATCCTATAATCAGAAACACTAATATTTCTGCAGTGAAACATAGGAATAATCACACTAATTTGGATAAAGTGCATAATAAATAGTCATATGTCAGTTCAGGGCAGACTTTGATGCCAAATGAGTGTGCCTCAAATTTAGGGGAAAAAAAACAACTTTGTTTTCAGAGTGCTTGAAATGCACTCTTCAGAAATACAGATCAGAATTTTTATCCCTATTTGATAGATGAGAAAACCAAGGCACAAAAAAAAATTACATAACTTGCCCCAAGGGTCAGGGATTGACCCAGGCAGTGTGGCCCCAAACCTAGGTTCTTAACTGCCCTTGCCATATTGCTTCCTTGTATGTGGCTCACAGTTTAGGATTGGGGTTTAGAGGGCATAAATTACATTTTTACCGCACAAGTAGTTAAGGAACATGGTATTCAGAACCAAGCAGAGTCCTGCTGATATGGAAGACAGCCAGGTGACATCAATGCTTCCCATCCCTGAAGGACAGGGAGAATGACCTGGAGGAAGCCCAAGGCGTGGAGTTGTCCATAGAAGATCTTGAACCAGAAAGGCTCCAGGCACACACAGCATCTTGGAAAGGGGCTGTGCTTGCTTTTAATCCCATGGGATGAGGAAAATACAACAAAGTCCCAGATAAACCAGGTAAATATGGTCAGGGAGACAGGTGAATATGAATGTAAGAACTGAGGAGGCAACAAAGAGAAATAATGACTACTCTTTATCAAACACATACTCTATGCCAACTACTGTACTAAGCACTTTGTAAGCAATATCATGTTTTTTCCATGCAAAAAGTTTCTGAGGGAGAAACCATTATTATTCTCATTTTATAGAAGAAGAGGCTGAAGCTAAATGCACACAGTCCACAGTTTGTTGGAGGCAGAGCTTAAGGGGAAGAAAGAACTGGTGGGAGAAAAAGTACAGGGTTTGGAAGCTAGAAAATTCACTGAGGGAGATGAGAGCTGTGAGCACTGACAATTTCTAAAGAAGCAATACATGGACTCCACCGGCAAGGGTATTCATGGCTTATGCAATGAGAGCTATTTTCTATGAAGATACTTCTCAAATTATGTCTTCATGGGATAATGCCTTTGACAGGGTAAATGAAAAGCAAGTTTAAATACTAGATAAGCAGTCTTATTTGCTTTTTCACTAGGGAAGATAAGCAAATATGTAGCTCCCAATCTCCAACTTGGAGAAGGCAATCAATACATTTGACAGGCTGCCTGCTCAGTCCTCAAATAGTGAAGTGAAAAAACAGCCATTTCTGGGCCAGGCGCTGTGGCTCACGCCTGTAATCCCAGCACTTTGGGAGGCTGAGGCGGGTGGATCACTTGAGGTCAGGAGTTCGAGACCAGCCTGGCCAATATGGTGAAACGCCATCTCTACTAAAAATACAAACAAAACAAAACAAAACAAAAAAATTAGCTGGGCGTGGCGGCGTACACCTGTAGTCCCAGCTACGCGGGAGGCTGAGGCAGGAGAATCACTTGAACCTGGGAAGTGGAGGTTGCAATGAGCCGAGATCAGGCCATTGCACTCATTGCACTCCAGCCTGGGTAACAGAGTGAGACTTTGTCTTAAAAAACAAACAAACAACAACAACAACAAAAAACCAGCCATTTCCCACTCAGAGAGAAAGCTCCTATGGGCCAGCATGGAGGAAGGAGGGGAAATACTGGGGCAATTTTATGGTGATTTACTTAACGTAATTAACAGCTACAAAACACCCACAAATATACACTCATTGAGAAGATCCACACTACTGCCAGGGTCCCCATCTTCAACGTAACCAAAATCATAGATTTCAGCATGCATTATCAAAATGCATTTACTAAAGTAAGGCTACTTCCAAAGACAGAGGAGAAAATATAAAACTTCCTTTTCAAACTGGCCAAAGACAGAGTATTGTTTACATTCCAAGCAAAATCACAAGCACTTAACAACTGGATGTTACTACGACCTTACAGGGACCTTCTCTGGAAAGAAGAGGTTGAAAAGAAAACAGTAGTTGTTGCAAACTGTGCAAATCAGGTTTTCTAAAACATTCCCTGCAGGAAAGCTGTTGTGGGGCTCAAAGCTTACCCTTTGGGGGCAAGCCTTCTAAGTAGGCAGTAATAAGAAGCCTCCTTGTCACTGGGGACACACGAAGTGGCTCACTCAAAGCTAATAGTGGTAGATGTTACCCCATCCCCCGACAGCCCCATTTTAAAGATGAGGACAAGAAGGCCCTGGGAGGCTCAGTTATTTATCCTACTAGGTCACGACAAGTATAGGAGGTAGATCCAGAAATGACCTGGGGGTCTGTCCCTATAACTGGAGCCTCTATGGCAGAGCTGGAAGAGGGGCTGGAGTCTTTATTTCACTTCATCCCACTCTTCAACTTGAGCAGGGGTTCCATGTTTATCTGTTTTACTGACTCGGCTTTGCCTTAAGATTTTCTTTGGAAAATGATTCTATCCTTCAAACAACAACATCAACAACAAAGACAACGGTTTTGAAAACCACTGCCCCATACCTGTGACTAGAAGAGTTGTTTAATTCCCCCTCCCACCCAGCCCTGCCCCATGGCGGGTGTGGGGTATGGCCATTGATGACTGTGGAAGAGGATAAGATGTCACTGTGTAGGAAATGTTATACATACCTAACGTGTGATTTGGCAGTGGAAGATAACATCTGAGTCATCAAGCAGCCCCACATCAAAACAGTAAATCAAAAGCAAATGATGTGGGAAAACAAATTCCTGTATTCTTACAGAGCCTGTGTTGGGAGGATTCCCATCCCAGGGCTCTTAACCCATAAATCAACAAATCTCTCTCTTCTCTAAGAGGCAGCTAGAACCAACATTCCTGCTTCCACTTCTGTGCCAGGAAAGGGAGATTAGGACAGTGCCTGCTATGCCATGTCAGGTCCAGTGGCCTTCCATGGGACCTGCACTTCCTGGGACTGCACTTCCTGGGACCCCAGCTGCAAAGAGTGTTTCACTTCTGCAGAGCAGTAAGCATTTGAAAAGGCAGGGTTCACAGAGCTGTCCTATTGAGACTTTAGAGACATCTTCAAGTCCAGTGCTTCTCAATCTACGTCCACAGGAGCCTGGGATACCTTGGAAGTATCTCAGTTCATTCTGGGGGCATCTGCCCCTTCTTCAACCACAACAGTTCCTCTTTTTGCGTTTTATACAGAGGGCTCTGTGTAAAGTTTGGATAAAGAATGAGGTGCTCCAGTCCACCTTTACCGTAGATGGGGTGACTGGGGCCTAGAGAGCAAAAGTAAGTTGTGCAGTGTACACACTTGTTGGTGACCAAGCTCCACCCTGCCTGACCAATGCATGCCCTTTATGCTACCCTGGTTACATGAAGAATTCTACTTCAAAATAGCTGTATAAATGCAAATGCCATGTAGTCTCTTCACTGTAGCGAGAAAGGCTGAAAGCACATTAGGCTCATTCAGGAGGTCTCCTAAATTGCTCTGGGAAAACCCTGGGAGATTTAAAATGCCTAGAAAGCAATTTGTTGTAACAGCGCTTCCAAATTTCCAATTTCCAACTCTGTGGGCTGAGCTGGGCAACAGGTGGACAAAATCATTACATAAGGAACATCTGCTGACACCCACTATAAAAAGGTCGTGGCCGAGGAACTATGAAAAGTGCTCTGGGATGCTTTTTGTTAAATATGGCAGGTTGATAAACTATGTCTATCTCTACTCTCTCCTGAAGCCCCACAAAAAATGACAGTAAATTTAATTTTAAAAAGCGTAAACTACCAGAACAATGTGATAGTCCTACAATATAGGAGATGAGAGTAGACCCAAGATGCCAGTAAAATTCTGGATGCTGCTGCAGAGCAGTTGGATAAATGGTAAATGACTTAGCTGAACACAGTTAGTGGGTGGGGTGAAGTGGGGGGCATTGACATGGGCTGATTTTAGCCCCCAAAGCCCAGAAAGGCTACCCTTGAGAACAGGGATGTGGGGTGGGCTAGGCATGGGAAGCTTGGTGGGAACTCTGTATAACCTTCTACCCTGGTATCCTTTGCTTCTTCTCTGCAAAAGACTGAAGAAATCAGAGTTGTTTAAGAAAGGACATGTAATAATAGTATGGCAGGTCATTCAGCTGTGAGTAATACTCACATGATCATAATAATATAAGCCCCTAATGCTGATTTAGTGAGAAATGGCCATGTGACTATATTGGAAGGCTGCATGGAAAAGGGGTGTGCAGTGGGGAGGGCCTATTGAAGAAATAAGCCCTCACTTTTCATGGTGGCAAGTTAGTAGATAATATAAAGCTTTTAAGAATCTTGAGATGGCAGGAAAACCCAGTTACTTGACATTATAGAAGTAAACAGAAAAGAACAGTGAAAAATTTTTTCAAAGTATTTGCATTTGGGGAGTAGAAATTGAGAATAGGGAGGGGATTGCTAATTTTCTGCAATTCGGAAACTCAAGAGCTCTGAAACCAAGTTTTACCTAATTTGGTGACTAAACTGCCTTCATAACAACACCTGACCTGAACTAATGTGAGGCTATTTCTAGTCTTTATTAATCTGTTTAAGTGTGAAGATTACGATTTGCTACAGAAATACCTTATGTGTTTGATGACAGGTGACGCCCCAGACCTCAGTGAGTGTAAATCGATTACTTTTCCAAAGTCTGAATAATTCTGAATTCGAAAACACACCTGCCCCCAAGGGCATTGCAGATGCCCCTGCACCTTCTGTGCACCAACAACTTGGAGTAGTTCTGGCCTCTTCCCTTCCTCCAGTGCTCACCCAGCCACTGCCTGCCTGACTTCTCCACGGAAAGCTTTGAAAGGTGAAGTTTCCACTTTGCATTCAACATGTCCAGAACGGAACTACTGATTTCTCTCCTCCCCAGAGCCTGCTTCTTACACAAGTCTGCCCATCGTAGTTATACCACCATCATTCACCCAGTTGCTTAGACAAAGAATCTAAGAATCTTCCTTGACGCCTCTCTTGCCCACATCCCACCTTTAATCCTTCAGGAAGTAGAGCCAGCTCTACCTTCACAGCTGCTAACCACATCCATTACTATCCCAGCACAAGCCTCCCTTTCTGACTTCCGTGCTTCTACCTTTACCCCAGAAGAGCAGATTCTCCACAGAGCAGAGCTTTTAAAAACAGAAATCAGACCATGTCTCTCCTGATTAAAACCCTCTAATGGCTTCTCACCACACCAGGATAAAGTCCTTACTCCTCACATCACCTGCAAAGCCCTGTATGGCTTGGCTTCTGCCTCCCCCTCTGACCTCCCACCCTATCATGTTCCCCTTCCTGCCTCAGGGTCCTTGGATCTGCTGGTCCCCAGGTCCCCTAGACTCTCCTGACCCTCACTGGCTGTTTCCTCAGATCATTCAGTCTCCCTTGACCACCCACAGCCCCTCACTCACTATCTCCCTGCTGCATTATCTTTTGTTCACTCATCTTGCCCCTACTAGATCGTAGGTGCCGTAAAGGCAGGGAATTCTGCAGTCCTGTTAACCCCTGGAGCCCCTGTATTTAGGGCAGAGCCTGGCACACGCTACATGATAAATGAATACCCATTAAATAAAAGAGCAAATAGATGTACTCACACCATTTAGAACGTAAAGAATACAGCGAAGAAAATAAAATCAGCCTTGGAATCCATTGCACAGATATAGACATATACAAATAAATATGTGTGCTTAGTAGTAAAAATAATTGGTAATGTTCTATATCTTAATAGGGATTTTGGTTTCATGAGAGTATCCATTTGTCAAAACTCAGAGAAAGTATAGTTAACATTTGTACATTTCACTGTATGTAGTTTTTTCCTCAAAACAAAAAACCAAATAGTTAACACTAGTTAATGATATGCATGCTGGAGTATCAAGGGGAAAGCATGCTGATGCCTGAAATTTACTTTAAAATGCATTTAAAAATCAGATGCATTATTGGATGAAGAAGAGGGGGTATAGATGATAAAACAAATATAATAAAATGGTAATGATACAGCCAGTGGTAGTTATAAGGAAGATTTCACTGCAAAATTCTTTCAACTATGCTATGTGTTGAATATTTTTATAATAAAATGTTGGGAAAAATTAATTCGGATATTGATTACAGTCAGTATTCAACATGGTTTACTGAATATTTTATGGTATTTTCCCATGTCATCATTGTCTTTGTTTTGTTTATTATTTATTTATTTTTGAGACAAAGTCTCACTCTATTGCCCAGGCTGGAGTGCAGTGGTATGATCTCAGCTCACCGCAAACTCTGCCTCCTAGGTTCAAGCAATTCTCCTGCCTCAGCCTCCCAAGTAGCTGGGATCACAGGCATGTGCCACCACGCCTGGCTAATTTTGTATTTTTAGTAGAGACAGAGTTTCACCATGTTGCCCAGGCTGGTCTTGAACTCCTGACCTCAGGTGATCCACCTGCCTTGGCCTCCCAAAGTGCTGGGATTACATACGTGAGCCACCACGCCTGGCCTCATCATTGACTTTGAAAGCTTGGCTTCACCCAGCTGTATAGTATGCCACTGAATGGATATATCACAAATTACTTAACCAGTCTCCTATCTTTGGAACTATGGGCCACCTTCAATTTTACACTTTTATCAACAACAGAGTAATGAAAATCCTTGTATATAAATCTGTGTGCCTAATGTTTGCCTACTCAGTTTATGTGCCCAGAAATGCAATACTAAGGTCAAACGTCATAACATTTTAGGATCCTGATACGCACACCTACCTTGCTGAAGGGTGCTATTCTGATGGGTATATTCTTATTTTCTGATGAGTCTGTAAGTTTCTTGAGAGAGAGCAACTGCTTTGCTCTGCCTCCCTCACTGGGCTGAGCGTACTGCCACACACACTGTAGGCTTGCAGAAAAACAACTTCAATAACGTTCAGAGAACATGACTAGAACGAATCCTGCCACACTGCTGAGAACGGGGAGAGGTACTCTTCTTTACAGGAAATTTGAGGCTGCCTTTTTGTGATGGAGTGGAGGGGAGAGGGCTGCAGACGAAACGCAATCTAGCAGCCAAAACCAGGGTCTTTCAGATGCCTACTGGGAATCCAGGGCCAGTTTTTCCCAGGGCTAAAAGTGGTCTCTGGGACTCACTGAATGGGTTTTGGTTGAACCAAAACAATGGAATCCTCTTGACCCTTAAACAGAATGAGGTCAAGCTGCATGAATGCTGGGGGAGAGGCAGGGTGCAGGAGGGGCTTCACTTTCTGTGCTCCATGCCCCTGTGGAAGCTGTTTTTTTTTTTTAATAATTTATAAGTGTGTGGTTTTTTTTTTTTTTTTTTTTTTTGAGAAAGGGTCTCACTCTGTCACCTGGGCTAAAGTGCAGTGGTGCAATCATGGCTCACTGTAACCTCTGCATCCCGGGCTCAGGTGATCCTCCCACCTCAGCCTCCTGAGAAGCTGGGACTACAGGCGCATGCCACCATGATAGGCTCATTTTTGTATTTTTTGTAGAGATGGATTCTAGCCATGTTGCCCAGGCTGGTCTTGAACTCCTGGGCTCAAGGGACCTGCCCACCTCAGCCTCCCAAAGTGTTGGGATTACAGGCGTGAGCCAGTGTCCAGCCTTAATTGTATAATTAAAAAAAAAAAAAGTTTCCGGAGGTAAGGGGCCCAAGTTGGTGGGTTGACTCTTTCAGACCACGCACTTGAAATCAGCATGTGAGTCTTTCAGCCTGAACTCCAGTAGACCAGCATTTCCATTTCAGAGCTCAGCGGAGACGGACTCCTCACTTCACACACTGGTCTTAGTCCAAAAGTTCATTTGTAAGTTGTGGTTTGGAGCTTGGAACATATTTCCCTATACAATGGAGACAGTTTCTCTTCTGGCCAACAAGAGCTTTTCTGACCCTTCATAAAACCAAAATAAATCCCATTTTCTTAAAGGATAGAAAAACCCTATTAACAGAAATACTGAAGGGACTTTCACAACACTGGTGACAGAGGCAGAAATTTTTCTAAAAAAGAAACTTTCTTGGGAAGTTTGGCTAGTGGCACCCTTCTCTCTCTCTCTCTTTTTTTCAAGAGGAAGAATACCAAGGGAAAAAAACCCTCAGAACTTTCTGAGGAAACCAGCTAAGGGATAAAATGTGAGAGGGTAAAGAAGTCTTCAGAAACTGTGAGAACAAGCTTGCTCTGAGGTGAAATGTCCAATTTATCCAGGGAAGAAGCAGCTGGCACGCGCTGCATCCCCAGAGTAAATTAAAAGTAGAACGGTGACAGCCAAGAGAGGCAGTGCCCCAAACCAGGAGGGCTGGGGGAGAAGGGGCATGGGATGGCACTGGGCTATGGGGGACCAGAGATGAAACCCACAGGAACCCCAAACTCTTGCAGTGAAGGGAATATGCCTACTGCACAGAACATGGAGGTTTCTATCATGTTCAAGAGAAAATATTTAGCCGAAAGTACTCTTATACCTGGACCCTTGAGAATTTAAGCCTCTGAATCACACAAGAGCTTCAGGGTCACCCAAACAACCAAAATGACCCAAAGATCAGAAAAACAACCGAACAAATGAGACGAATGTGTTAAAAAGCCCAGGAGAGAGTGATTAGGGAGAAAATGGGATGCCAGCATTTAAATGGTAGGGCAACAAACTCCCAGCTGAGGGTGATGTTTCCAGAGAAGCGGGGAAGGAAAAGTAAATTATCAGGGACAGATGGCAAACAATATCAGGTGGCATAAGCATCCCCAGAAGAAAGTGTTAGAACTGGGAGACATCAGGGCAGGTGGTTCCCTCCACACATCTGCCTACTCCATAGCACCTGGCCCTGAACAGAGTCTCAAAGGACATCTCAGGATTTGAAATCATCTTGAAAGCAGTCTGTTAGGCTGTTCTTGCACTGCTATAAAGAAATACCCGAGGCTGGGTAATTTATAAGAAAATAGGTTTAGGCTGGGTGTGGTGGTTCACGCTTGTAATCCCAGCACTTTTGGGAGGCTGAGACAGATCACCTGAGGTCAGGAGTTTGAGACCAGCCTGGCCAAAATGGCAAAACCCCATCTCTACTAAAAATACAAAAATTAGCCGGGTGTGGTGGTGTGTGCCTGTAATCCCAGCTACTCGGGAGGCTGAGGCAGGAGAATCGCTTGAACCCAGGAGGTGGAGGCATGGTACTGACATTGCTCGGCTTCTGGGGAGGCCTCAGGGAGCTTTTACTCATGGTGGAAGACGAAGCGCGAGAGAGTGAGTGGGTGGGGGGAGGTGCCACACACTTTTCAAAGATCAGATCTTGTGTGAACTCAGAGCGTGAGTTCACTTATCACCAAAGGGATGGCTCAAGCCATTCATGAGGGGTCCACCCCCATGACACAAATACCTCCCACCAGGCCCCACCTCCAACACTGAGGATTACCTTTTAACATGAGATCTGGGTGGGGACAAATATCCAAACTATATCATAGTCATCCACTGGCCTTCTGATTCCTTCCTACTTCTTTGAATCTACAATGCCCTAAGATGCACCATTATTTTATCTACTAGTAAGAAACAAGAAACCAAACTACCCAATGATAACACAACATGAAATTTAAGATGGATCCCTGCTTTGGAGAAGTTAAAATGTGAAAAAAAAAAAAAAGTGGGCATCTTAGAATCAGTGAAATATGAAGGGTTGGAAGGATATACTACTATCTGGCTGTTTTCAGAAGGGGTGCATGGGACCATGACACTGCCTCCCATCCACAGCACCAGTGAAAGGGTGCCAGTGAAAAGATTCACTTGGCATAGATGTATCATCCCCAGAATCCACATATGATGGGGGAAGGAAGAGCTGAGAAGGAGGTGAACGCATGAACAGGGAGCAGCAAAAGACAGCAGGGACGGAAGGACTCCCTGGGGATCTGCTTTACTGTCTCTGTGGAGGGTGGACTCAGCCATGGAACACGTCCCTGGCCACCCTTCTCCACTCACATGGCGAGCCCGATGCCAACAGCGGAGGCCTCCGTGAGACAAGTGGCACTCTGGACCTCTGGGGACGTTTGCCAAATGCCTGCCTCCCTCGTGAATGAACACTACACATGTGCGCTCGCTCTCGATGGCGCAGGTCCTAAAAGCAGGAGTCGGGCTGCACAGGAAATGTTTTGCAAAGAATGAACCAAGTCTTCTCCCTCGGAAAATAGCTTCCCTCCAGCCTCCTTCAAGGGAGTTGGAAAGGAATGCTTCCCATTTGCAAATCAATAACTTACATTGGCTGTGTAGACAATAAAGCGCAATATGTGATCCTAGAGACCCATAATGGCTCAGTGTTCTAACATAATCCTGCCCTCCAAGAAGCAGACAAGAAAACGACACAGGCCTCCCAGCTGTGTCTGCCCAGTGCCACACCAAAGGCTGGTGGTCTGCCTGTCGTTCTTTCTTTTTTTGGTGGAAAATCAGAAGGCTTCGGCTGAGCATGCTGCCAGGAGCCGAAGACACTCGACATTTTACCATTTCCTACTTTTCACAGCTATTTGCATAAGCGTTGTTAGGAAAATACCTATACCAGGAGGGAGATGGTTTAATGGAAAAAGCATTTCAATCATTCACTTTCAGCCAGAATTTCACACACTCGGAGGCACTTGACATTATCCTTGGAAACCAGGAGAGAAACAGCTGCTGCATAGGCCACACCCCTAGGGATTTCAGCCTTTTGATATAAGAGGAGTGGCCTGTGCAGAAATCGGTTAGATTCTGTGAAATTCCAGCCAGGAGCAGGGGCTGAGAGACTGGGTAATAAACTGATCTCTGTCCCACCTGGATCAGCCCAGTATCCAACCCACAGGGACAATAAAAAAAGGCCTGTGGCTGGCAAACATCATCTTCCCTGATTGTTCCACTCCTTTCTAATTACTCTGCGCGTCTGGCACCCAAACAAGGGCCCAGAGCAACGTGGAAATGACCCGAACTCCTGGATCACCGGGCACCCTGCCAGCCAGGTCTCTAGGAGTCTAGGAATGTTCCATTATCAATCCACTTGCCTCATCTGAAGAGTTGGCTGGAGCACACCTCTACTTCCTTTTCACTCACGAGAAAGACTCTAGGAACCTCAGTCACTCCCAACAGAAAAGCAAAGGAATCCATTCCTTCACGAAGCATCATCTCTGCTTAAACCAGGCATTCCTCAGGTTAGGCAGAAATCTCTGAAGAACTCGGGACTGCCCACTCAACTTTAGGAAAGCCAGCCCCTGCGGGAAGCCACCCATGCAAGGCAACCAATCAAACTAGCCAGCAGCATCTGACACATTCAGCTGTGGGTGTTCTAGATACAAATACAGAGGTTTTTCCTTTTACAAAGGCCAAATAGCATGCTGTTATGGGCAATGGCTCAGCTGAGAGACGTTTTTAGGAAGCTGTTGCTGCTGCATGAAAAAAAAAAAAGCTTGTGGATTTTGTGCACTTAAAATGAAAATCAAAACTTGAACATGGAAGATGGTTGCCTGATGGTTTGGCATCTCACCCTGGCCTAAACACTCCAAATCCAACCCTGGGCTTTCCATGTCTCAGCCCGATGCACTCTTTACTGCCTTCACTCCCAGTTTGCTGGGCACATGGGTGTAAATGCTGGCAGCTTCCCCGTTTGGACTGGGTTCAAGATGGTACCTGATTAGCACATATGAGCCTGTTTGGCCATTCAGCCTACACTGAATGGTCCATCTGGGGTGTCTGAATGGCAGCTGTTACAGTTAGAGCACAAGGTGAGATGAGATGAGTCTTCTCCCTTTTCTCCCTGCATCTCTGCTCATGATACCCAGAGGAGAGGAAGAACTTAAACACCCCACAAGGGATGACAGCCTTAGGTCCAGCCTCATATGCAGGGCAGAGAGGACTGATGAGTATCTACTTTGTTGCACTCAGAGAGCCCATGAACACCCATGGGAAAATACACCTACTGAGCACCTACTATGTGCCAGGCATGGGAAAGAGGAATATAAATGAGACATACGGTCTGTGTTAAAGGCACCCAGAGTCCACCAGAAAGGAGGACAGGTGAAATAAGAAATAATACAATATTATTATATGCTGTAACAGAAACACCTGAAATGTGCTATGTAAACAGATGAGGACTTGGCTAATTCTGCATGGGTCTGAGGTTTAGGGTGGTGTCAGGGAAACCTCATTTGAACTGGGCCTTCATGGATGAGTAGGAAGTTGCCAGGTGGACCAAGGCAGCAGTCAGGATCAGAGGAGTCAGAGGAGAGGGTGAGTGGTCTGTGGAGAGCACAGGGACTCTGCCGGCAGGCAGTGGCTGGGCCTGGGAGGGCCCACAAGGGCCACAGTGAGGGGCTGTATGCCAACTTCACCCAGCAGACCCCAGGGAGCCACTGGCATGAGTGTAGGAGCAGAGTGACAATCCGATCTGAGTTCTGGAAAAGTCATGCTGGAGACAGTAAAGCTGGATTGGAGAGTCACTAACCAGGCACTAACCAGGAGAAAGCCCAGTCAAGAGGTTACTATGAAGGTCCTAGAGAACGGGGGCTTGGATAGCCTGCTGCTGTGGCGAAGAGGAGGGGCCAGAGCAGAAGTGCTTCAGGGTGGAGTCCACAGGGCTGCAGGTAGCAGGAAATGATGCCTGCCTGGGGCCAAAAAGCCTGGCGCCTTGAATGTGTCTGAGTCCAGGCTGCCAACACACCAGCTCTTCTGCCACATTTTCTGAACCTTCCTGATTCTCAGATTCACCAGTGCCAGAATCTGAGCAACACCCCGGCTCCCAGCTCTGTTGTATCTTCTCCAGATCACACATACTGCCCCCCAGAGCTTACAACCCAGCTGTCAAATGCTGGGCCAGAGAGCCTCCCTGTCCAACCCCTGCATCTCCAACGGCTCCAGGGCCAGAAGCCCCAAGAAAGAAATGGGGTATACTTCCCACTTGATTCTGTCTACAGACCGCCTTCTAAATACAAAAAAGAAGTAACTTACCGGCGGTGAGCACACTCTTCCAGGTTTACCTGCCCCAGCTGGTGTCAGGAATTCCAGTATTCATCTGGTTTACCTTTGCCCCCAAGTTCTGGCCCCATGGAGTGATGGCAATCTCAGGGTCCTCTCAGAACCCTTATAGGGACATTTTCCTGTGTCCAGAGAAATCTGGACATAAGACAATCCTAATGTCCTTGGTGAACTCCAGGAGGAATGCATTTTGGGTAAGGCCAGGACAGATCACTTGGGCAGATGAGCTCCAGGTGTTTTTTCTATAAATCTCATTGCTAATATCTGAGACAGGAGCAACACTGAGCTTTGTGCGTGCTGCACAGTGTTTTTGTTTATAAGACAGTTTCCCGGTGTCTAATGGCATTGGATCCCACAACACCATGGGAGGTCGGGGGGTCAGGCACTCCTAGAAGGCCACATGGAGCAGAGCATGAGACCGCAGGTTCTGCAGTTGAAATGCCTGTCCTGGAGCACTGCTCAGCCTCTCACTGGCTGCCTCACCTTGGACAAGTACTCTGTTTCCTTGTGCCTCATTTTCTCCAGCTGAAAAGTGGAACTAATACAGCAGTCCTTGCTTATCCACGGTTTCACTTTCCAGTTTTAGTTACATGCAGCCAATCATGGTCCAAAAATATTAAGTGGAAAATCCCAGAAGTAAACAATTCATAGGTTTTAAATTGTGCACTGTTAAGAGCAGCTTGATGAAATCTCATGCTGTCCACTCCATCCCACCTGGGATATGAATCATCCCTTTGCCCAGCAGATCCATATTGTCTATTCCACCTGCCTATCAGTCACTTAGTAGCGTCTCAGTCATCTGATGGAAGGCTGTGGCATCTCGGTGCTTGCATTCAAGTAATCCTTACTTTCCTGAACAATGGCCCCAAAGCGCAAGAATAGTGATGCTGGCATATTGTTATAATTGTTCCATTTTGTTACTAGTTATTATTGTTAATCTCTTACTGTGCCTCATTTAAAAATTAAACTATCACAGTATGTACGTATGCATAGGCAAAAATGGTAGACACAGGGTTTAGTACTATCTGTGGATTCAGACATCCACTGGGGGTCTTGGAACTGTATCCCTTGTAGATAAGGGGGACTACTGGACTAATGCCTAGCACATAGTGGGTACTTTATAAGCATTCTTAGAGAAAGATCTGCAATTTAGAATGACTTAAACAGGGTGCTCCAGGCTGAGGAACTTGCCTGAAGTTGCCCGGCTGGAATGTGAGATGGGGAACTAGAATTCTTTGGCTCCCAGACCGTACTCTTCATGCCACGTCAAGCCACTCTGGGAAGCACCTATTCTCTGGCCAGTCCCTCTTCCTGCCTGGGAAAGGGCCTTTACATGGCAAACAATGTATATTGTCATCTTACAGCAATAACCATTAAAGTAGAAGGGTTTTTTTTTTTTGAAAATTTTTATTGAGGTAAAATTCATATAACACAAAATTAATTATTTTAAACATTGCAAAGTGTACAATTCAATGTGTAATCCTCAATGGTGTGTAGCTACTACCACTATCTAATATGAGAATATTTTTACCACCCCAAAGAGAAACCCCGTACTTCCCAATTCCCCTTTTTGCTCAGCCTCTGGCAACCACTAATCTATTTCCTCTCTACGGATTGCCCTATTCTGAATGTTTCATATGCATGGAATCATCCAATATATGGTCCTTTGCTTCTTTCTTTCACTTAACATAATGTTTTCAAGGTTCATCCATGTTATAGCAGGTATTGATATTTCACGCCTTTTTTTGGCTGAATAATTCTCATTGTAGGATATACTACATTCTATTTATCCATTTATCATTTGATGCACATTTGGGTATTTCTACCTTTGGGCTATTGTGAATAGTGCTGCTCTGAATACTGGTGTACAAGTTTTTGTGTGACCTTAGGTATATAACTAGAAGTGGAATTGCTG
This sequence comes from Homo sapiens, assembly GCF_000001405.40. NCBI lineage: Eukaryota > Metazoa > Chordata > Mammalia > Primates > Hominidae > Homo > Homo sapiens. Next base: position 105,842,725 of record NC_000007.14, read on the forward strand.
GATCATACCATAACTGTATGCCTAACCTTTTGAGGAACTGCCGAACTGCTTTCCACAGTGGCTGTGCCATTTTACATTCCCAACAGCAATGTGTAAGGGTTTCAATTTCTCCACAATCCTCGCCAACACTTGTAATTTTCCTTTCTATTTTAAAATATATATAGTATTATAGCCATCCTACTGGATGGAGAGTGGTGTCTCTTGGGGTTTTGATTTGCATTTCCCTAATGACTAATGATGTTGAGCATCTTTTCATGTACAGTACATCTTTAGGTTCTTGATATTATGGAAGTTGAAATAAAAGATACGAAATCTTCAGCTTTTTTTCTTAAAATGAAGGCGTGAGCTTGGTGCAGGCAGAGCAAGCTGATCCACCTAGAGACTGCAGCAGGGAAACCGAATACCCAACAGACAGGGTCCTTTGGTCATTTCCTATGTTCAGCAAGCAAATGGTGGCCCCAAGGTTAGGGTGGGATTTGGGAAGGCTGCACCAGCTCACAAAAGCTTCCACATCTAGCTGGGGCCCACCCTGGTTCTGTTTCTCTGGTTATTAGGTCCTATCTGTCTTTAGAATGGCAGTCCAACTTTGTCCACAGGCTTGAAGGTGGGATTAGCAAGATGGTCTGAGATGCTCAGCTTGCAGACCAATTGCGGGCCTCAGAAAAGCCGGGGCATTAAGGATAAATGCCACATGACAGATCCATCTAGGAAGCTAAGTGAGCGGATGGCCCCAAATGCCAGCCAATGGCAGGTCTGGGCACTCACAGAAGCAAAACCCTCCTGTGGTACAGGGGCAGCAAAGTGGCTGAAGGCTGACTGATGTGTGAGCCCTGTGAGCCTTTGACTCACTCTGCCAAGGGCAGAGGCAGAGTACAGCTAGGCAAGCACCTTTTGGAAAACGGGCCACTGGCCACCACTGTGAGGGGTGGTTACCCTAGGCATGGGTGTTCCAGGACCCAGGTTCCCTCTTCTTTTCAATGCTGCCTTCTGGCCATTTCATTTCTCAGGGCCTTCTCAAGAGACAGGAGATAAGAAAACACCATTGCATGTTTCCACAATTCTTGTAGAAAGCTATGGCCCAGGGATGGCTGGAGCCAATGGATTCCTGCTCCATTACTGTGTAAAAAGCTACCCCAAAACTCTGGTTTAAAACCACAATTTGTTATTATCTCTCACAGTTCAATGGATTGACTAAACTCAACTGGGCAGTTTTCCCTTACAATCAGATGTCAACTGAAGCTACAGCAGTATCTGTAGATCTACTGAGCTGGATGTCCAAGATGGCCCATTCACATGGCTGGCATCTGATGCTTGGTGTCAGCGAGGGATGTTGACTGGAGGGCCTCCACCCCAAATGGCCTGCACTTCTTATAGCTTGGTAGCTGGATCCAAGAAGGTGCATCCTGACAGTGAGTTTTCAAAGAAACTCAGGCAGAAGTTGCAAGACCCTTGTGACCCAGGCTCTGTGTCACTTCTGCCATATTCTATTGGTCAAGACTGAGTCACAAGGAACACTCTCCAACTCTTTGAGGCTAGTATCACCTTACCAGACAAAGACATCATAAGAAAACTAAATCCCTTCTGAACATAGACATAAAAATCTCCAACAAGATACTAGCAAACCAAATTCAGCAATATATAAAAAGGATTATGTACCATGAACAAGTGGAATTTATCCCAGCAATGCAAGAGTGGTTCAACATATGAAAATCAATCCATGTAATATACCATATTAACATAATAAAGGGCAAAACTACACTATCATCTCAACGGACACAGAAAATGCATTTGACAAATCCAATCCCCTTCTTAATAAAAACACTCAACCAACAAGAATGGAAGGAAACTTTTTCAACTTGATAAAGTGTATTTATGAAAAGCCCACAGTTAATATCATACTTAATAGTAAGAGATTTAATGCTTTCTCCCCAAGATCAGGAATAAGACAAGAATGTCCACTCTCACCATCAGTACTCAATATTATACTGAATATTCTAGCCAGAGCAATTAGGCAAGAAAAATAAATAAAATGCATTCAGATTGGAAAGGAAAAGGTAAAACCATCTCTATTTGCAGATGACATGACCTTATATACAGAAAGCCCTAAGGAATAAATACACACAAAGAAAACTATGAGAGTTAACAAACAAGTTTAACACGGTTGCGGAATAAAAGAACATACATAAGAATCAGTTGTGGGCTGGGCAAGGTGACTTATGCCTTTAATCCCAGCACTTTGGGAGGCTGAGGTGGGAGGATCACCTGAGGTCAGAAGTTTGAGACCAGCCTGGCCAACATGGTGAAACCCTGTCTCTACCAAAAATACAAAAATTAGCCGGGCATCGTGGCGGGTGCCTGTAATCCCAGCTACTCAGGAGGCTGAGGCAGGAGGATTGCTTGAACCTGGGAGGCGGAGGTTGCAGTGAGCCAAGATTGCACCAGTGCATTCCAGCCTGTGTGACAGAGCAAAACTCTGTCTCAAAAAAAAAAAAAAAAAAAAAAAAAAAATCAGTTCAGTTGTATTTCTACACACTAGCAATGGACAATCAGTAAAATTAGGAAGACAATTTCATTTACAATAATATCAAAAATAAAATACTTACCAATAAGTTTAGCCAAAGAGATGTAAGACTTGTACATGGAAACTATAAATACAGTTGACAGAAATTAAGATCTAAGTAAATACAAAGCCTTCCCATGTTCATGCGTTGGAAGACCTAATGTTGCTAAGATGGTTTGCATTCTCTAAACTGATCTACAGATTCAACGTAATCTTTGTAAGTACCCAGTCTTTTTTTTTTTTTTTTGAAGAAATTGACAAAGTAATCCTAAAATTCATATGGAAATTCAAGAAGTTCCTATTGTTTAAAGCCAAAACAATTTTGAAAAAGAACAAAGTTGGAAGACTCATACTTTCCAGTTTCAAAACTTTCTATGAAGCCACAGTATCCAAGATAGTGTGTTACTGGCATTAGGATATATAGATCAATGGAACAGAACTGAGAGTCTAGAAATAAACTCATATTTATGGTCAACTGATCTTCATCAAGAGTTCCAAGACAATTCAATGGAACAAAGAATAGTCTCTTTCAAAAAATGATGCTGAGACAACTGGATAGCCACATGAAAAAGAATTTTGGCCCCTACTTCACACCATGTACAAAAACATACCTCGAAAGACACCATAGATCTAATGTAGGAGCTAAAACTACAAAACTCCTAGAAGAAAACATAGGAGCAAATCTTGTGACCTGAAATTAGACAATGGTTTCTTAGATATAACACCAAAAGTGTAAGCAATAAAAGAAATATTTGATAAACAGGACATCATCAAAATTAAAAGCTTTTGTGCTTCAAAGGACATCATCAAGAAAGCAAAAAAGACAACCCACAGAAGGGAAAAATATTTGCAAATTATATCTGATAAGAAATATATAATTTCTTATACATATCCAGAATAAATAAAGAATTCTTAAAACTTAAAGAGAAATAATCTAATAGCTATTAGGGATGCTAAGGTGGGAGGATCGCTTGAGCCTAGGAGATTGAAGCCACCGTCGGCAACACAGCGAGACCCTGTCTCTAAAAGAAATAAAATTTGTAAAAATGGCCAATAGGTGCCATCAAGCACATTAAAAGATGGTCAACATCATGTAGTCATCAGGAAAATGCAAATCAAAACCACAATGAAATACCACTTAAAACCCACTAAGATGGCCATGATAAAAAAGACTGATAATAACAAATGTTGGTAAGGATATAGAGAAATTAGAACCCTCATACATTGTTGGTGGGAATTTAAAATGGTGCGGCTGCTTTAGAAAACAGTTTCACAGTTCTTCAAAAAATTAAGCATGGAGTTACCATATGATTCAGCAATTTCACTCCTAGGTATATACCCAAGAGAAAACATATGTCCACAAAAACTTATACACATGCTCACAGCAGCACAATTCAAAATAGCCAGAAGGTAAAAATAATCCAAATGTCCATCAACTGGTAAATGAATAGACAGAATGTAGCATATCCTACAGTGGAATACTGTTCAGCTACAAAAAGGAATGAGGTATTGATACCTGCTACCACATGAATGAACCCTGAAACATTATGCTAAGTGAAAGAAGCCACACATAAAAGGCCACATATTATATAATTCCATTTATACGAAATGTTCAGAACTGGGCAATCCATAGAGACAGAAAGTTGATTCGTAGTTGCCAGGGACTGAGGGGAGGAGGGAATGGTCAGCAACTGCTAATGGGTACAAGGTTTCTTTCGGGACTAACAGATATGTTCTGGAATGAGATAGTGGTGTTGGTTGTACCACTTGTGAATATATTAATACCAAAAACAACTTTAAAGGAGTGAATTTTGTGGCATATGAATTATATCTTAATGGCAATTATTAAAACACATACATAAAGTGTGTCACAGGGTGAGCCAAGCGTCACAGAGAAGAGACTACATGGGAGGCGTGTTCCCTGAAAAGGCACCTCTGAAGACCAGTTACCATGTGCACTCCAACTCACTTCTTGGCTTGATGGGTGAGAACATTGGGAGTTGGCCACTAGATTAAGGACTGGATGGATCTAGTTTTAACTTTTGATCCTGAAATTTGAGAGAGAAATCATATCCTGGTATCTTTTGGGCTTCTTTATCAGTAGCAAAACAGTCAGACAGGACCTCTAGCAACAAGGAGAAAGCATGCAGGCTGGAAGCCTAGAGAACAGGTCCAGCTGAGAAATAATGTACAGCAGCAAGGGCAGGTAAAATCAGGGCAGGGTTGACTCTTCTAGAGCCAACCAACAGGTCCAGATGTGGATGGTGCTAAGGAAGACCTAAACTGTAAAACTATTGTTTACCCCAAGAACAAGAGCTCAGGACAGTAGAAAGTACATGGGTGGTAGAGATGAACAGATCCAGGTTCAAATCCTGGCTCTGCCACTTATTAGCTGTGTGATCTTAAAAGAGCTTCTTAATTTTTCTCTGCCCCAGTTTACTCGGCTCTTTGCAGGGTGATAAGACTGAAAGGCTAATATATATGAAAAGTGCCTGGCATATAATAGTTGTTCAGTAAATGGTAGTTTTTATTATTAGTACTGTCTTGTCAGCATAACTATTCATACGAAATGGCCCCTGCCAGCATTCAGTAACACCTGCCATGTGGTTTGAGAATTATCTGGAAATTTCTATTTTCCTAGCTACTTTGGTCCTATAGGCAAGATTGGATAGAAAATGTTTGAGCATTAAGATTTCCTAAAACTCATGTGATCCAAATATGACAGACATGGGTAAGTTAGCCTTAATCTATAGAGGGCTCTTAGAAAACAATGGGAAAAAAGATTAATAGGCCAATGGAAAATTAAGCAAAAACCATGAAAAAGCAACTCATATAAGAACATACACAAAGCTAACGAAATGTTCAACCTTATTAGTAATCATAAGAATGAAAACTAAAATAAGATAACATTTGAACTTATTAAATCATCAAATATCTGACAATCTTTGGTGAGATATTGGCCAGAGTTGGGAAAACAGCCACTCTCATACACTCCTGATGGGAGTATTAATTGGAACAATATTTCTAGAGGGCAATTTAGCAATGAGTATCAAAAGCCTCAAAAACAGCACACTCTTAGACTCAGCATTCCACTTCTAAGAATTTATGCTTTAGAAATAATCATGAATGTGTGCAAAAATTTAGCTACAAGGATATTCATTTGATTGCAATATTATTTTTAATAATGAGAACCTGAAAACAACCAATATATCCAATGACAGGGAATTAGTTAAATAAATTATGAAATACATTTACAATGGAATACTTAATAACTAGGAAAGGTACTCACCATAATCAACATAATACAAAATTATCCCATTTTTGTAAGTTACAGGAAACAAACAAAAGGTCAGCACTGGTTAATTCCAGATGACAGGGGTATAGGCTAGCTTTTTTCTTCTTTTGTTGATGTGCATCTTCTACAGTGATCACATATCACTTTTGCATGAAGAAAAAGCATCATTAAATAAATCTACTCATGGAGGTCCAGGCCCTCCATGATTGCAGCTCCGTGCACCCAGCCTAGAGCATGCTGCTCCTCGGCCCAGTGACTATTCTTCTAGCCTCCAGTTCCCTCAGCCTGCCAGCCCAGAGTGTGTTCTCAGGGCTGGGTCACTGCTTTCTGCTCCTCTCTGGGCCCTCTCCCTGCACTGCATGGCTCTAGACTCAGGTCTGCCACTAGCTATCACCCCAGTGGATCACTTGGTCTCCTCACCTCCATTCCTCCACCTGCAAGTCCCATGACCTAAGGCTTATCCTCCACTCCTAACCCCACGACACAGCAGTCTGAAAATAAAACTGCTCCACTGAATTTGACCATTATTGCACCATTATCACCACCCTATTATTAGTCCATCAGAGGGGACAGGCCATCACCACTGGCCTGAGAGGAGATGGACAATCTCAACAGGGCTTGGAGGTGTGATTTCACTTCCCTGCCAAGGAGGTGGCAGAAGGCTGGTCACCACACCAGGGCGTCACTCCTTGACAACACCACAACTGCCCAGAGTCCGTCCCTACGTAGTGATATGCAGGTGGGGAGGGCTCTGGCAAGAAGTTAGTGTAACCAGATCCCTTCTGACAGACCTGAGATGCGCAGGAATTCTTAAGGGCAAGAGGGTCAAGCCTGGTTTTCTCCCTGAATCTCCACCCAAACACCAAAACACCAGGGCTGGGCCCCCGCTAGAAGATGTGCTGCTCATGGGTCATGCAGGCTGTACTGAAAGACAACAAGTCACAGGAAGCTGCCTCTCTTACAGGGTGGTGCCGTCCTGTGGTTTCCCACCCTCTTGGAGGTGTAGCCATTGTTTGCTTGGTTTCATGACACCTCTTCTCCTCCTGAAAGTGCTGTATGTTGATTTTCCTTCTAAGTGAAGTGAACACAAATGATTCACCAGGGGCCCTGAGGTCACTGGGGCTCCCTGAGGATGTTCAGGCCCCTGAATGACAATGGGTGCTCTGAAGTCTGGGCCACTTCCTTCCCTCCTGCTTCCCATCTGAACTTAGAGGCAGATTAAGCCCCAGCTGCTCTCAGCTCTTTAAACAGAGTTGCCCTGATGGGCTGGCAAGTTCACACATACCTGCACCTTCTGAGGCTACCACAAGAGCTTTCTGTGACTCTTCAAATTTCATGCTTTATCTTAAAAATTAATGCAAATTTTCCTTGATACTCTATTTTTGCCCTACTGTATTTTATTAATTCTAAGCTGCACTCACCCCCACTTCCATTGTAACATCTTTAAAATCAGGATGTCTTAGAATCCACAGTGGCTGTAGTTTAATTGGCAGTGCTTTTTCTCAGTGTTACATAAAATAACAATGTATTTTCTGATAAATGGCATCTTAGAGTTGATGAAATATAATGATAAAAAAATACTTTCCTGTAGAATTAGAGTTGAACTGACATTCTGAAAGATGTGCCACCACGTTTGCACACTCCTGGCTCCCTGCCTAGGGCCCTGGTTTAAGGACCATTTCCAGATGTCATTTCCTCATGCCTGTCATGCCCCATGGCATCGGGAATACAGCCTTCACCAGCACACTGTTCCCACAGGAGAGGACCATGAGGAAGCTCATCCTGAAGGACACCCCCTAGTCCTCTGTTCCAGGGGCTACTCAATGGCAACCAAAGGAAATGTTCACTGCGCATTTCCCATGGGCCATGCATTGAGCTAAATGCTGTGTGTTCACTTCCTTCAACTTTGCCAACAACCCTATGAGCTACCTGTGATATCCCATTAAGCAGATGGGAAAAATAAGGCTGTGAGAGGTTATAGGACTTTCCTCTGTGCTGAACCCAGATCTCTCTGACTTAAGAGGCCTAGCACTGATCCCTGTGCCTCCTGAAGAACGAGCACAGAGCGAGCATGGGCTTCTGCTGCAAGACACTGTGGTGTCTCCTTCTGCACAGAAGGGGTACCCATGCTCCATATGGCCTGCCTGTTTGGAAAGTGATCCTCACTTGCCTGCAAGAGAGTCCCTCTCAGGAGCTCCCGGTTTCCCATCTCCCCAGACTCTGCAAATGCCCTCAGTGGGGGCCCTGGTGTGTAGGCTGAGCTGGAGGACAAGATACAGACAGATCTCAGAGATAATGAAAGTCAATATCAAAAGGGGCAGAAAGCCATCTCTGCCCCCAGGATATGTCACTTCAGTTCTTATTCCTTCCTGCTGCCCCGCTTCCTTATAACTTACCTCTTCACCTAGACACTTCCAAACTCAACTTCCCACAACACCTCCCTCCCCTTGCTCTCAAATTCTGGCTCGTTTTTTATGTGTATCCCACAATGATTTACAACCCTGAAACTAACCCAGGGAAACCACTGGATTTCTCAGACCTGCCCTCTCCTCCAGGCAATAATACCAGCTACCATTTTTCTGACCATCTATAGGATGGCAGCTGGTGACTTATCCCTAATCTTCCTAGGTCTGGTCCTGTTGTCCAAATGAGCAAGCAGAGGAACAGAGAGGCAAGGTAGCTAGCCTAAAGTCACACAGCAAGCAAGCAGCAGGGCCAAGAAGTTAGCTAAGGTCTGACTGCAAAGCTACGCCTTTCCCCCTGCACCATCGAGTTCCTCGACGATCAACTATACGCAGAGATGGGACTGAAAGGTGGCTTCTCCAGCTAGCATACATATTACCAGTCTTTCTCTGTATCTCTGTCAGTCTATCTCCCAGTAAAAATCCAAACACCAATCATGTCAATAGGGCTAGATTTGCAAGTGGCTGTCCCCAGCCCTTTACCCCAAACAGGGAGGACTCTTCCTCAGGAGATTTGCATGTATCACAAACCCTAACACCAAAATGCAACTTTTAAAGCAGCAAGCTTATTCCTCACGTGTTTCCATCCCCCTCCCATGTGGCTCACCCCCTTGTTATTTCTGGGCACAGGTGTGTCTCCCCCACAAGCTGTAAATTTCTTTAAACATTTTGTTGTTGTTGTTGTTGTTGAAAGGGCGAAGAAGTCCACAGGAAAGGAAAAGGAAAAACCACAGAACCATCCCCAGGAGAAATGTGCACACACAAAACACGCCCTCACACCTCTGCAATTCTTCATGCAACAGGAGAGCTTCACAGGGCACAAGTGAAGAATCACGATTCTGTTTCCCTCTTGCACCCTCTATTCTGTGTCTGTACACAGTAAGTGCTGAATAATTTTATGAAGGATCAATGCCACTACTTCTCTCTCCTCCTCCTTCCACCACCATCTTTGGTCAGAAAGAATGTAGCTGTTTACTTTATCACACTTTCTATGAGGCGCTTCCCTGGCTCTCAGATTTCTAAGTTCTCTGTACCATCCTCCCTCTGTGAAGTTCCATCACCTTCCTGTTCTATGTCGTCCATACCCTGTTCCCAGAGGCTTGCCCCTGCCTCTCTCTAGTCCCCCATGAATTTTGCCAGTTCTTTATTGACAGGCAGCCCTATACTACTGGCAGGGACCTTACAGTCCTCCCCTCATCTCACAGATGGAGATCACCAGGACTTGCTCTGTAATTGCACAAGGTTGCCCTGTTTTCTGACAGAGGGAGACCCAATCCCAGGAATCTTGACCCAGTTAGTTCAGCCTTCCTAACCCTCCCTATACAACCTCTGCCCAGCAATCTGCTGCCTCCTCCCTGGAAAGCAAAAGCACTAGTGGCCTTGTGTGATCCTGGCCTCTCAGATTTTCAGCTCTGGCAGGACTCTTCCAGACCATGAAGCAAGGACCTTTGTGCAAGCTAGAAAAAGGCACCCTCTCTGGTCAGATGCAGCACAGGGGGCGCACAGTTTGGCAAGCAGAGTGCCAGCTTGATCTGACCCCTCGGCCAGCAATCCTGCACAGGGCCCTTCCGCACACACATTCCTGTCAGCTCTGATGGAGAGGTGCACCTCGGCTGGCTTATCTCGGAAGGACTGAAGCATCATCCCAGTCACATCAGTTCTCTCCAGGTCTCTGTTTGACCCGCTCACAGATAGAAACAGGTATACATTTGACCCACTCACAGATGGAAACAGGTATACCCGCATTCACAGCAGCATTATTCACAATGCCCAAATGATTGGATAAATAAAATGTCAAATATACATACGATGAGATATTATTTAACCTTTGAAAGGAAGGAAATTCTGGTACATGCTACAACATCGATTAACCTTGGAAACATTACGCTCAGTGAAAGAAACGAGTCGCAAAAGGACACACACTGCATGAATCCCCTTATATGAGGGGAATAGATGATTAGAATAGGTGACTTCATAGGAACAGAAAGTAGAATAGAGAACGTAGAACAGGTACCAAGGCTGAGGGGAGGCAGGAATGGGGAATTATTGTTTAATGGGTTTAGAGTTTCTGTTTGGGATGATAGAAAAGTTCTGGAAATGCATAGTGGCAATGGTTGCACAACACTGTGAATGTCCTTAGTAACGCTGAATTATACACTCTAAACTGGTTAAAGTATTAAAATTTTAAGTTACATATATTTTTAAAAGTTTAAAAATTAAATGTAGGCTACATGCAGTGACTCACGCCTGTAATCCCAGCACTCTGGGAGGCCGAGGCGTGTAGATCACCTGACTGAGGTCAGGAGCTTGAGACCAGCCTGGCCAACATGGTGAAACCCCATCTCTACTAAAAATACAACCATTAGGCTGGGCGTGGTGGCAGGTGCCTATAATCCCAGCTACTTCGGAGGCTGAGGCAGGAGAATCACTTGAACCCGGGAGGCGGAGGTTGCAGTGAGCAGAGATCGCACCATTACACTCCAGCCTGGGTGACAGAGCAAGACTCGGTCTCAAAAAACAAACAAACAAAAAACAACAAACAAACAAAAAAAACAAAAAAAGCCCCACAAAAATGAGCTGGGCGTGGTGGTGGGCGCCTGTAATCCCAGTTACTCGGGAGGCTGAGGCAGGAGAATTCCTTGAACCTGGGAGGCGGAGGTTGCAGCGAGCAGAGATTGCACCACTGCACTCCAGCCTGGGCAACAGAGCGAGACTCTGTCTCAAAAAACAAAACAAAACAAAACAAAACAAAAACAAATTAAATGTGCTCTATATTGTGGCTTTAACAAAAAGGGCGGGCGGTAGGGAACAACAGCACCTGGCTGTACCTCTCTCTGAAAAGATGAGGATTCATAATACTTCCCACAAGCGCTTGATGCACCAGGAGCAGCACCTCATTTCCCGGGGCCCGACACCTCCACAGGGGCCTAACATCTGTGGACACGCGGCGGTCTAAGCACCGACTGGCTGAAAGGTGCCACATCGATTTAAACATCCCCTTCATCCTGGCCGTTCCCTCCACCCCCAGAGCCCATCTCTGCAGGCAGGCAGTTTTCCCTATAAGGCCGCGGCAGCCAGGCCCATTCTTGGTAGGCGTAAACTGCCATCCTGCTATAAATCCTTTCCCACAAAGCACTGGAGACTGGTCCTCTCACTGTGCCAAGAAGTCTTTTTCTGACCATCTGTAATCCATTCAAAGGCAACCGGCAGGAAATGGCGGCAAGGAAAACCCCTGCAAAATGCAACTGGTGGGACCACCTCTCCTCCCGCTAGTGGCCAGAAACAGGAAGTGGGCCTTTCTTGGGACACACAACATCTGTGGGAGTTCTGGAGGCTGCTGAGCGTCTGTCAGGGGCTGAACGGCTCGAGACAGATGCTCACAAAATTTGGTAAGAAAAGCATGCTGTATTGGGTTTGAAAATTAGCTCTGAAAAAAAAAAAAAAAAAAGCATTTGAAAAACCAAAACAAACCCCAGACCCTTATAGAGGAAAAAAAAAAAAACACAAAACACAAAAACCCCATCATATGAAAACTAACCTCAAAATTGCTTTCTTCTGATTTCTATGGACAATTAGACCATAATTTCAAGCAGTTCAAATCCTTCTTAGTGAGGCTCCCCCTCCAATCTGGTATTGTCAGCTGCTGCTGCTTAATAGTGACAGCTTCATTTTTGGCACTAAAAGCTGAAGCCCTCAAAGCTTTGCAGTTGTAAGCTGGGGCCAGCTTGTAAAGGCTCACAAGAGCTGATTGTTAAATTCTCAGGAATGTGGTGAGCCAATTATTAAATTATTAAAAGTTATATGACATAAGCTTACAATTGAATATAAAACTCATCATTTCCAATTTATCTTGCTACATTTCACTTATTATCTATGCTTTGAGTATGGGTTGGGAACTTTCTCTTTTCTTCTTCTTCTTTTTTTTTTTTTTTGAGATGGAGTCTCACCCTGTCACCAGGCTGGAGTGCAGTGGTGTGATCTTGGCTCACTGCAACCTCCACCTCCCAGGTTCAGGTGATTCTCCTGCCTCAGCCTCCCAAGTAGCTGGAACTACAGGTGTGCGCCACCACGCCCAGCTAATTTTTGTATTTTTAGTACAGATGGGGTTTCACCCTGTTGGCCAGGATGGTCTTGATCTCTTGGCCTCGTGATCCGTCCGCCTCGGCCTCCCAAAGTGCTGGGATCACAGGCGTGAGCCACTGTGGGTAGTAAAAATTTTAGGCTTTGTCTCAACTACTCCATGCAGGCATTGTAGTGCAAAAGCTAGCACAGACAATACATTAAAAAATGAGTGTGGCTATGTTCCAATAAAACTTTATTAAAAACAGGCAGCCCATGGGCCACACGTTGCTTAATCCTGCTCTCAAAGTCATTTACCATCTAATGTATCTGTATGGAGGATATCCTACGTAACAGTGTGCTGATGCATATCTCTTCCCAACTCTGAGTTCTGTGATATCACATTGACAGCTTGAAATGCAGTGGTAGGAGAGTTTACACCATGGAAATCATCACATACTACAAATCAGGGCATGATTTATTATTTTTTTGATTATCAAAATTTAAGAAAGTGATGGAGAAAATTTTAATGATGTAAGTTAAATTAAAAGAATAGTCAACCCTCTGAATCTGTGAGTTCCACATCTGCAGTTTCAACTTAATTGCAGATCAAAAATATGTGGAAGAAAAAGAAAAGATGCCTGAGTCTATACTGAACATGTACAGACCTTTTCCTCTTGTCATTATCCCCTAAACAATTCAGAATGACAACTATTTACACAGCATTTACATTGTATTAGGTATTATAAGTAATCTAGAGATTATTTAAAGTCTATGAAAAAACTGTATAAGTTATATGTAAATACTACACCATTTCATATAAGGGATAAGAATCCAAGGATTTGGGGTCTCAGAACCAATCCTTCGATATCAAGGGACAGCTGTATATCATGTCTCTAGCTTTATTGTGAATACTACAAAACAATGAGGACATATTCTTTTAGTACTTGAAAACCATTATTCAGTTCAGCAAGAAAGTCACGTCACTAACAATCAAGTGAAGTTTTAACATTTATCTTTGTTCTTTCCCTTTCAACTTACTCACTGACTTAAATGAAAATATCAACCAATACTTATGTGGGGTTTACACCTGTTTGTCAATTTAAACCTTAGGAAGGTTGGGGATATAAGAATTTGGCAGAAGTCAACCAAAGCATTTGGTAAGAATCTATAGACTATATGAAATCTACAAAAAAGAATTTAGGCTGGGCATAGTGGCTCAGGCCTGTAATCCCAGCACTTTGGGAGGCTGAGGCGGGTCGATCACCTGAGGTCAGGAGTTCAAGACCAGCCTGGCCAACATGGTGAAACCCTGTTTCTATTAAAAATACAAAAATTAGCGGGGCATGGTGGCAGGAGCCTGTAATTCCAGATACTCGGGAGGCTGAGGCAGGAGAATCGCTGGAACTTGGGAGGTGGAGACTGCAGTGAGCCGAGATAGTGCCATTGCACTCCAGCCTGGGCAACAAGAGTGAGACTCAGTCTCAAAAAAAAAAAAAAAAAGAATTTAAATATTTTATTCTTTATAAAGCATATGCTAAACAGCTTTTTTAAATCAGTAAAATGTATAATAAACATATATTTCCATATGCACTAACTTTTTTAGATAGCAGATTGTTAAACATTTACTAGCACAACACTGATTCTAATAGAAAAGAACTTACAAATTAATTGGTCAGCAGCACCCAAAAAGTGTGTGTGTATGTGTGTGTGTGTGTGTGTGAGACAGAGAGAGAGAGAGAGAAAATAACTCTCCCTCCAGCACCCTGAATGGAGAAAGCAAAACAAACACTAACACTACCAAAGAAAACAGAAGGCTGTTTTCTGAAAACTCTACTTCAAAAAAAGACGGCATGGAGTTAGGCACTGAGTGTGTCTACAACTGGAATAAATTATGAACTGTTTCTCTTTGGTATTAATGGAGTTTCACCATAATTTCTTTTTCTAAAAGCAACCTCTTGAGGAACTCATAGCCCTCAAAGCCTTTGCTTAAGCTCTTCCTTCCCTGTACAATGCCCTGAATGTCCAAATCCTAGCTGCTGTGTTGCCTCTGCACGAGGTGTCCATTCATTCATTCTTTCATTCATTTTTCAAACATTAACTTGACTCCTACTAACTATCCTTTACTGTGGCCCATGTAAAACCACAAACCAAACAGCCTCTACCTTTAAGTCAAAGGTCTGAGACCCAGGTTAAAGGTCTGGCTGACCATAGACTGAGATATCTTCCTTCCCTGGGCTCTAAGGCATTCTAATCACATTTCATTTTCTAAGCAACATCAGAGTTCCCAGGTGCTGCAAGTGAGTTCCTAGAGGGCAGGGCCACTGTTCCACCTTCACATTCCACACAGAGCCCAGCCCAGGGCCTTCCACCTCCTGGACAACTGGTCACTTTCTACGCAGTCAGCAATGCAGGAAGCACAGCTCTGGCTTCTGACTTGCAGAGCATCACTCATCATGACTTCCCATTTAACTTCAGTGGTTCACCAGACCCAGGCTAAATACTGTGCTCCCTCTGAAAGGTGGGAGAAGGATTATTTTAAGTATAATTATCTTCTTCCTTCCCCAGGTTAAAGTAGAGGGTCACTTGACTGTGTGGGATAATATTTCTCAATGTTTTTAAACTCATGCTCTACCAAGATTGGATCACACTTTACTTCCTGAGGTTTGTACTACAAAGCTCACTTTCTCTCTAAGACTTCCCACTGATTGTGGTTTTCACACTATACAAGCATCTTCTTGAAATTCTAGTGTACCCAGTCCTAAACCTTGTTCCTCCTTAGCTTAAGAATCACAGGCCATCACCTTCACCTTCAAGATTAGGCTACAGGGGGAAAAAAAAAAGAATCATAGGCTGGTGCAGTGTTCATGCCTGTAATCCCAGCACTTTGGGAGGCTGAGGCAGGAGGATTGCTTAGGCCCAGGAGTTGGAGACCAGCCTGGGCAACATAGCAAGATCCTGTCTCTACAAAAAATAAAAAGTTGGTGTGGTGTGGTAGTATGTGCCTGTAGCCCCAGTTACTCGGAAGGCTGAGGTGGGAGCATCGCTTGAATCAAGGAGGTCAAGGCTGCAGTGAGCTATGATCATGCCACTGCACTTCAGCCTGGGCAACAGAATGAGACTCTGTCTCTCAAAAAATGAAAATGAAATAAAATAAAAGAATCATCAGTGTTCAACTACTTACTATGAGCACTGATAATTAAAGAGAAAAACTTAACTCTGCCCTTTTAGGAGGAATTTAATAGTTCATCCCCTGTTGATGGGAAAGATGTCTTCTATATTGAAGAATGTCAACCAATAAAAGCAGATCAGAATGACAGAATTTGAAAATGACCATCCTACAATCCCCAAAGAAATAACTGATCCAGGCAAGGGTCATCAATGAATGCCCAGAGGATTCCACAAAATTTCCTTTTGGGGGACAGGATATTCACTGGGTGTCAAAGCATTACCCACAGAATGACATGCTAATTGCAGAAGGAAAATACAACGTTTGCAATGGGCAGCAGTGGTCACCACCTTACGAAGTCATCCATATCTAATAATAGGGCACCCTGATATCTTGTAACCCCTGGATGGGATGCTTAATGAAGCACTCAGAATCACCTGGGACACATTTGCACCAAAATGTTGAGTCTGAATCCAATGATACTTAAGCTCAAACTTCCAGAACAGGAGAAAAACAGGGAATAGCAAAAACAAGGTAAGACACCACAAGGAAGTGACAAGACAGACCAGAACAGGAAGCATTTTAAATGGCAATGTTTTATATATTTATATATAAAAATATGTATACATATATATAGAAATATGTATTATACATATATTCACACACATGTGGGGGAGGGACACTGTTCTAGATTAAAAGCTACTGAAGAGATATAACAACCAAATGCAGTACATGAACCATAACAGGATCTAGTTTGAAAAATGCAGCTATAAGCTTTTGGGGGTGGGGGCATGACAGGTGAATTTTGAACGAGAACTGGGTATCAGATATGAGTATGGAATTACCATTAGTTTTCTAAGTGTGATACTGGTATTATGATTAGGCCAGAGAATGCCTCTAATTTTAGGAGATGCATGCTGAAGTATTTAGGGGTGTCATGCTGTCTGTGACTTACCAAATAGTTCAGCAAAAACATACATACATATTTATGTATGATGAGGCTCTGAGAATTTAAGTGAACAGCTCAAGGTAGCACAATCAAGATGTGGAAAAATGATAAATATTTAAAGGTGAAGTGTCGTGATGTCTATAACTTATTTTCAAATGCTACAGAAATATAAATATATATATATACACATACATATACATATACACACACACAGTCGCATAATGACACTTTGGTCAACAACAGGCCCATACTCAGTGGTCTCATAAGAGTATATAATACCATATTTTTTACTGTACCTTTTCTATGTTTCAATCTGTTTAGAGACACAAATGCTTACCATTGTGTTACAACAATTACCTACAGTATTCAGTACAGCAACATGCTGTACAGGTTTGTAGCCTAGGAGCAATAGGTTATACCAATGGGAATATCATAGAGTGAACTTACACAAACCTAGATGGCATAGCCTATTGCACACCTACAAAATCACCTAATGACATAACTCTCAGAACATATCCCCATCATTAAGGAATGCATGACTGTATATTTCTTTTTCTTTCTTTCTTTTTTTTTTTTTTTTTTGAGACAGAGTCTCGCTCTGTTGGCCAGGCTAGAGTGCAGTGGCACGATCTCAGCTCACTCCAACCTCTGCCTCCTGGGCTCAAGCATTTCTCCCACCTCGGCCTCCCAAGTAGCTGGGGTTACAGGTGTGTGTGACCATGCCTGGCTAATTTTTGTATTTTTAGTAGAGATGGGGTTTCACCATGTTGGCCAGGCTGGTCTCGAACTCCTGACTCCGGGTAATCCACCCGCCTTGGCCTCCAAAGGCTGGGATTACAGGCATGAGTCACGATGCCTGGCCTGTATATTTCTTTATAAGACATATATACAGATAGATCTTTATATGTAAATATATATATATATATATACATATATATATATATATATATGAAAACAAGACAAAATGTGAACTAATGTTTAATTCTATAGGTGATCATGGTACCGTTATTTCAACCTTTTTATACATGTGAAAAATTTTAACACTGAGCTGCAAGGGCAAAAAAGAGAATGGTGCAGAGTGGGGGTTACTACTGAATATTAAATGAAAAACTTTAGGTGCTCAAAGATGTCTGTGACTCTGCACCCCAGCGGTAGCATTTTTTCATGGAATTTTCTCTGCTGACCTAGGATGCTGGAGCTAATGTCCTAAGGTGAGCTGTGTTTTGCATTGTAGCTCCAGCTATCCACTTGAACAGAAACTTTAGGAGTCCTTCCAGTTCTTAGAATCTTGACAACTTCAAAATATCAGATGGTGAATCAAAAAACCTCATAGGCCATCTCCAGACTGACTTTTTAAAAATGAAAATACAAATGGGAACTGTTGTTTCATGGGTATGAAGTTTCAATTTTGTAAGGTGAAAAGAGTTATGAAGATTGGCTACACAATCATGTGAATGTCCTTGACACTACTGAACTTTACACTTGAAAATGGTTAAGATGGTATAGTATTTTACCACAATTTTCTTAAAAAAAGAAAAAGACAATACAGGTATTTCAAAAACAAGATGCTTAGTCGAACTATAACACTGCTGGTTGAAAGATAACTTAGGAAAGAAAAGGGGATGATATGATCGCTTTTCCTCCACCTTGCCTCCAGAAGATTCTAATGCAGCTATGATGACAAGACACATGTGGACCATGGGAAGAGTCTGCAGCAGTGCAAGGAGGTGCGAGATTTGGGGGCAAAGTACACGCTGGGCATGGCTAGCATGCACAGGGTGCGGAGAAGGTCCAGGCGGGGTGGCCCGAGCGGCAGGGTGGCTTCCTTAGAAAGTATGGCTGGCCCTGGGGAAGGAGGATGAGGGGCAAGGGGAAGGGGAGAAGGGGAAGACACTAGATGCAGAGGGCAGGCAGAGGCAGAGAAGGGGGCAGGGAAAGGACTCCACTTGTCCAAAGTGCTGCTGCAAAGGGCAGGCCACCTGTCCGGATAGGAAGGGACTGAGGACTTTGAATGCTGTGTTAACTGGTCGATGAGGGAGTGCTGAGAGGTTTTCACTTGAGGAACAAACTGATACATGTGAATTTTCAGAAGATTAATTTTTGAAGTGGTGTGCAGGGAAGATACAGACAGGAAGACCAATTAAATAGCTATTATAAAAATCTAGGTAGGCTATGAGGCAGGCTAGCTGGGATGGGGGTGGGGGAGTGGAGAGAGATGGAGAGGTGCAGGGAATTGCTAAGATGGGAGGGAGGGAGGAGAGGAGGAGGGGGTCTTTCTAAAGATAGTGATGGGGAAAACGCACAGGCTCGGCTTGCTCTTGGGTCTAGTGGAGTCTGAGATGCACAATGACATCTGTGAGGGGCTGTCTGGTGCGGCACCCGGGGGTGGGATGAGCACTCTGTGGAGGAGAGGTCAGGAAAGCTGCAGGCATGTCAGAATCGCCACACACAGGGACCACCTGGGGTGTGAACAGGAGCCAGGGTCCGGAGCAAATGCAGAGCAAACCGAGGGCAAAGCCTCACGCTCCAAGGGAGGAGCTGGCAGAAAGGGCACAAAAGCGGGTGCCATGAAAACTTCTGTGAAGCAAATATGATTTTCAAAAAGCTGTAGGGTTGTCTACTGTTTAAAGAAATGCCCAGTAACTCCATTTGGAAAGCAAATAAGCCCCTACTCTGTTTAAACCTGGCTTGTGTACCGGGTTTGTGTTCTGCCATTAAGTCTTTTGTCTCAGCCACTGAAAGTGGCAGGACTCATCTGAGTCCCTAATTCTCTCTGGGTCCTGCCCCGCTTCTGCAAAAGATGATGAGGAAGGGCACAATGATGGAAGGAGTAACTCAAGGGAACAGAAGCCTGGAGTCTGGGGACTTGGCTAACAGGGCTGTTGTACATGGGTTGGCCAAATGGATTCAACCTTAAGCAAATGTAACCAGTTCTGGTGGGCGTGGTGGCTGACTCCTGTAATCCCAGAACTGTGGGAGGCTGCAGTGGGAGAATCGCTTGAGCCCAGGAGTTCGAGACCAGCCTAGGCAACATAGGGAGACCCCGTCTCTAAAAATAATAGAAAAAATTAGCCAGGCATGGGGGCGTGCACCTGTGGCCCAGCTACTTGGGAGGGAGGCTGAGGTGGGAGGATCACTTGAGCCCGGGAGGTCAAGGCTGCAGTGAACTATGATTGTACTACTGCACTCCAGCCTGGGCGACCGAGCTACTGCCCCTTCCCACCCAAAAATGTGACCAGTTCCTCTTTTCCAGTGGATCACCCTCTTCTTGACAGTCTGGCTGGGATTCTGTCCCATTAAGTGTAAAAGGTGCTTGAACCCACAAGCTCCAGGTCCTTATCAGAAGAATCAAACCACCAGCTGGTAGACAATGGGGTCTGGGGCCCATCGAAGGTCACCTGAAACCCCACACAGAGGAGGTGATTAATTAGGAGAGGGGACAGCACTGAGGAGGAAAGGACTGTCAAGGACTCTTCTGGTCTGTGAAACCACTGAGAGAGAGACAGGGGGGTGACACCAGCTCCTCTGGGACCAGCAGGGCAATCACTATAAAATGCTTAAATGTCCCAGTTAATGGAGAATGGGTGAAATCCAAAGTCACGGGAAGTAAATGTTGCCACATCGCCCTGTCCTCATGTGGGAGATGCATTCTGTGCCTTTCCCAGCCACTCCAATCCAAAGGATCCTCTTTGTCACTGCCCTCTCAGAGACAGTGACAACTAGGGCATCTCTGTGGCTGAAGAAGGTAAAGGACTTTCACACCCACTTAGCAGGCATATCACCATCAAAAGGACACCTCTAATGTGGCAGTATTGAAGAGTGATCTCCGCTCCATCATCCTAGAGAGCACACCCTTCATGAAATTACTAACAATCCCAATGCCATGAGGGAAACTGAACAGCGGCCTAGAAGATGTTCAAAAGGAGGAAAAAGAGAGAAATCATCACTCTAGATAGACGCCCCTGGAGTTGCTTGGCAACCATCTTTGCTAACACCTTCTCCCAAAAAGGAACACAGTTTGCATTAGCTCCTGTGATTTCCCTGAGGCCAGGACTCTGGCCACAGAGGCCCCAAAGCTGGGGCCTTGGAATGAGAGAGCGTTTCCCTGATGGGGAGACCCAGGGCCCTATCAGGAGGCCACTGGCTTACACAGTCAAGGGGGAATGAAAGGTAGTTCAGCCTTGCCATTTTGCTTAAAGAACAAGCTCTCTTGGCCAAGGATGGTGAGAGGATGAGTGAAGTCAGGTGCCCAGGTGCAACACTTAAGGGGCACTCACTCCGCACTTGCAGAAGCCCACGTGAGCCCCTCCTTAAACAGGTGTCCTGGGTGCCTGCTTGCTTCCCCTTAGTCCTAACCCTGCTCCTAGGATGACAGACATCAGGACACAGTGCTTAGAGCACAGTCTCTGGAATCAGCCTGCCTTGGGGTTCAGGGCAGCTCTACTATTCCCCAGCTATGTTACCTTGGGTAAATCACTTGACCTCTCTGAGCCTCAGCTTCCCAATCTCTGAAATAGGGTTGATAACAGGATTTGCCTCACAGGGTGGTCATGAGGATTAAATGCGAACATGCACATTTAGCCCTGTGCCTGGCACCTAGTTAATGCCCAATAAAAGACAGCTAGGATTGTTACTTAAAAACAAAACAAAACAAACAAAAAAACACATAAGTTGGGCTGTGTTTAGCCCAAAAGGTACCAGAAAAATAAATTTAAAACACAAACAAAAAACTCCAAAAGGAAATACATAAGCAGCTCCCTAGAACCCCTGAACCTGGATCTATAGAATCAGAATCTCTGTGGGTGGTCCTGGCATATTTGCTTTTAAAAAGCTTCCCAAGGAATTTTCAAGGTAGGCAGGGTTGAGAACCACTTCTCTCAACCAATAAACAGTAGTTCTCAAAGTTCAGGAAACAACAGAGCCACCTGAGGAGCCTGTTTAAAATGCACGTTCCTGGTCAGGTGTGGTGGCTCACACCTGTAATCCCAGAACTTTGAGAGGCCGAGGTGGGAGGATCACCTGGGCTCAGGAGTTTGAGACCAGCCTGGGGAATATAGCAAGACCTTGTCTCTACTAAAAGTCAAAAAAAATTAGGCAGGCATGGCAGCACACGCCTGTAGTCCTAGCTACCTAGGAGTCTGAGGTAGAAGGATCGCTTGAGCCCTGGAGATCGACGCTGCAGTGAGCTTGATCATGCCACTGCACTCCAGCCTGGGTGGCAGAGAGAGGCCCTGTCTCAAAAAAAAAAAAAAAAAAAAAAAAAAGGACATTCCTGGTTCCTGTGCTTCACTCCCGGTTGTTTCGTTTTAGTATGACCAGCCTGGGGCCGGGGGCACGAAGTACCCTACAGGACAACACAGCAGGGTCTCCAGAATGAACACACTTTGCAAAACATTGAAACAGATTCATTCGTTTTTTTTTTTTCTTTTTTTTGAGACGGAGTGTCACTCTGTCCCCCAGGCTGGAGTGCAGTGGTGCAATCTCGGCTCACTGCAACCTCCGCCTCCCGAATTCAAGCAATTCTTCTGCCTCAGCCTCCCAAGCAGCTAGGACTACAAGCACATGCCACCATACCTGGCTAATTTTTGTATTTTTTTTAGTAGAGATGGGGTTTCACCACATTGGCCAGGCTGGTCTCGAACTCCTGACCTCATGATCCACCCGCCTGGGCCTCCCAAAGTGCTGGGATTACAGGCATGAGCCACAGTGCCCAGCCCCAGATTCACTCTTGAAACTAACAGTACAGGGACACCAGTCCAATCCCTTTGTCTTTATTCGGGGCATCCTTAAAGAACTGGAGACATACAAGTTGACAAAAGATGCCTGGTGAGCCCCGGGCATCCCCCGGAGCAGTAAGAACGCAGTCTGTCCCCTGGAAGTGGCAGCTCTTAAGACAAAGGCGAAGACCCAAGTGCCCGGTAAAAACAACGATCATCACAACAAAGGCTTCCATTACTGAGTACCTACTTTATACCAGATAGCATCTCATTTATTTCCACAACAATTCTGATAGGTACTATTATTCCTACTCTGGAAAAGAAAAGTAGAAATTGAGGCTTAATTTAATACACAGCCAATAAATGGTCAAGATTTAAATAATGCTCCATTAAACTCCCAAGCCTGCAATGCCAATGAACCTTTTTGTGTGTGGTAAAATACACATAACATAAAATTTACCATTTTAACTTTTTTTTTTTTTTTGAGACAGAGTCTCGCTGTGTTGCCCAGGCTGGGGTGCAGTGGCGCGATCTCAGCTCACTGCAACCTCCGCCTCCCGGGTTCAAGTGATTCTCCTGCCTCAGCCTCCTGAGCAGCTGGGACTACAGGCACGTGCCACCATACCCAGCTAATTTTTTGTATTTTGAGTAGAGATGGGGTTTCACCGTGTTAGCCAGGATGGTATCGATCTCCTGACCTCGTGATCTGCCCACCTTGGCCTCCCAAAGTGCTGGGATTACAGGCGTGAGCCACTGCACCCGGGCCATTTTCACCATTTTTTATGTGTACGGTTAGTTCTGTGACATTAAGTATATTCACAATGTTGTACAACCATCACCACAGTCCATCTCCAGAACTTTTGCATCTTCCCCAACTGAAACTCTGTATCATGGCAACACTAACTCTCCGTTTCCCCTCCCCCAGCCCCTGAATACCCACCATTCTACTCGCTGTCTGTATGAATCTGACTACTCTAGGAACTTCATTATACATGGAATCACAGAGTATTTGTCCTTTTGTGACTCATATACTTTTTGAGAACTGGACTATCACCTTGGTCTGATATAACCAAACTGGGACCATGTCTCCAGCATCTTCCATACCCCTGGAATGCTGAACTCACCTGTGGTTAATATCATCGGACTGGGTGTCCTGTGTCCCCACCCCACCCCAGGACTCTGTGGCCTGTCAATGCCTTGAGGTAAGGTCACGTAACTCACACTCCCCCTACAGTTAAGGGTATCCTTACACCATTAATGTTCACAGATTTACAATTAGCATCACAGAATCAGGTACACCGGTAAGTGCTTCTGTGTTCAAAGAGCCTGTCATCGACTCACTTTTATCTTCCCCATTATGGTGACCTGGTGCCACTTCGTCCTGCCCTGGAGAGTATTTATTTGGTTTCCATTTCTTCTGTAAGCACTTGATCCCTTAAAATTGGCAAGCAGAATTGTGTTGAGAAACCACAGGTACAAGGATAAAGTGTCTCCATAAAAACATTGCTTTCCCCACAGCAGAATTCCAGCTTCACTTATAGACGACTAGGGCAGCCAGGTCTAGCCCCTGAATATTAAGGATGCTCCGCTGTAGCCTCAGCCCACTTGCAAGAAGGGATTTCCTGAGGTTTCATCATTAGTTCAAGCGCCTCAGGGTCCAAATCCAGGTCCATTTGGCAGTCTGAGCTCTACCACAGGAGAGAGTAAGAGAATGCCAGCCAAACGGCATCAGCTGGGAGCACGTAATCAGCAGAACACTGGACCGGGAGATTTAGGAGACAGTCACACACAGAAGTCAGTCCTTGCCATTCCTACAATATTCTGAAAAAGTAGAACCCACTGGCTAAAGCTCTCCCTCTCCATTACGGCTATGTTTGATTATTGCAATCACTCAGTGACCACTGTCTCCAGATGTGAATAGTGGGCCACCTCAGTGTGTGGGGTCCTTAGAGAAGAGGGATTTGACCAGGACAAGGTCTCACTGCATTGAGTACTACCATCTTATGCCTACTTCTGAAATATGTCATGAATGAAACAAAATGTCATAAACGAAACGTTAACCTGAAGGATATAAATGCAACCAACCCGGAAAACCATACAGAAACAAATCTGCCTAACTTTTCTAAATCAATTCTGCAGCAGAGACGGCAGGCCCCTGGGAACCGCCGGCTGAAAGCATCAACATGGCCTCACAGTCTTAACTGATGCTGCAGACCACCTGGCACACAGGTCAGAAGGCCTCAGGAATCAGACCCTCCCCTGCCCTTTGTACCTTCCCAGGCTTAACATGGAAATCATGAAAGCAGCCACTTTGCTTTCCGTCATGTGCATCCCCATTTCAGACATATCCCGTGGGTAATCAAACTGCAGAGAACGCCAGTTGTATTTTCAGCCTGACTTTAAATATAAACTGAAATCCTTACTGCTTCACCAATGCGATGTGGTACTTTTGACATCGGGGGCCACTGTATAATAAATGCCATCATTACCAGAATTGATGCTTTGGGTCTCCTCCACCCACAGTGAAGGAGGGTTGGGCCACCCAGAATTAGAACCTGCAACTCACTATTGTCACCAGTGACTGCAGACTGGACTCCAAGGTTTGGAAGAGTCATCTTGGGAACTTTGGGAGGAGGGTTCCCTGGGGGACCGAGGCTTCTCTCTCTTTAGATCCTCCCAAATGTAGCTCAGCGCCAGGGGATAGTCACAGTACAGGTATATCTGCTGAGTAATCGACAAGGCTGACTTACATGGGCTGAAGGCCTAACACATGGACAGATATTGGCAGAATATTTCTGTATCTTAGTCTATTTTTCTTGTGTTCTTACCTCTCCAGCCTCACCAGCCAGTGATTCTCTATCAGAGCGATTTGTCCCCCTGGGACATTTGGCAATGTACGGAGATATTTTTGGTTGTCTAAACTTGGGGGAGGGGAGGGAGACACTGCTGGCATCTAGCAAGTGGAGGCGCAAGATGCGGCTCAGCATCCTGCCATACACAGGACAGCGCCCCCAAAAAGAAGCATCTGGCTCAAACCATCAGTGGTGCCACTGGTGAGAAATATTATACTACTGTGTGCTTTGCTATCTTTACTCCAGCAAGAGGACTTTTTAGGTTCAGAACAGTCTATATTCTCTGGCACTTGGGCCTTTATCCCTGTCGTTTCCTCTAACTCTGTCCTGCCCAGCTCTACACATGGGTAACTTCCTGTATCCTCCAGGTTTTAGCTTACATAAAATTTCCTCTGGGAGGCCGGCACTGAGCCCCTACCTCAGTGAGGCCCCCCCACCATGACCTCCAGCAGCACCTGAGTTTCCCTATCAGAGCACTCATCGCGGTCTACCTGTACTTTCGCCACCAGGCTGGAAGCACCCTGAGGGCAGGCAGGGGTTGTGGTTTTTCACTGCTGTGTCCCTGGTGTCTAGCCCAGTTCTGGCACGTCAGGAGAGCTCCCTCCAGGTCAAACACATAAGGGAGGCTGAGAAACAGTTGAGCGTATTAAAAACTTGGCAAGACACCCAGAGGCTTAAATTGTTACCCTACTATGCAGGCACCAAAAGAGAACATGGCGACTTCTCATGAACTGACATGGACAGCTCTCTAAGATAAATGGAAATGGCAAGATATCAGCTAATACTATAGGTTTCTATCATTCACGTGAGAACAAGAAGACAAAATTATATATGTATCTACTTGAATGCACACAGAATATCTTTGGAAGAATACACAAGCAACTGGGGATGGGGTGGGAGGGAGACTTACTTTCCACTTGGATAGCCTTTTGAATTTTGTAACATGAACATTATTAAAAAAAATAAGTAGTTTTAAAATGAATGTGTATGTGTGTGTAATGGTCTACATCTTCTAGCAGTAAAAACATTATTCTCATAGAATGATACAGGATGAGACCCTGGTACAGGGCAACTTAGAAGGCAAATTATCATATACAGTGTTTCCGTGTGTCCATTCTAGCTTCCTGTTGTGGAAGTAGACAGAGCCACATTTCTTCCACACGGGAACCCAGGCACAAGGAAATAATTGTATGTATAAAGAAATACTCATTTTGGAAGCTTTGTATTTTCCAAACTAGATGATCAGGATGTCCTTTCTCATCTGTGTTGTGTTGGTTGTGGCATGCCCCTGCTCCATCAGTGGGCTGCACCTGTAGAGCTTATAGGTCTCCAAGCCCTTCCCTTCTCCGTCTCATCTTTCCTCCCTACCACCTTTAAGCCGCTCCATCTCTCCCATCCTTCCATCCCAAAAGCTGGGCCAGATAAGAGAGATGATAATGTAACGCCAAAGTGAACAAATGTTACTGCTTGTTAGCAAAAGGGGAGGAAGGTAGGCTTAATGGGGAATGAAGTTGAAATTAATGGTAAAAATGAGGTTTATCTGTGTAATCTGTGGACTTTGTGTCTTCCCATCTCCTATTAACATAGATAACAGAGTTGTCTATAATGATAAAGGGAAGCTGTTCGCAGTTTCCCATAAATCTCCATGGCCTGCTGCTGGCTTCTCTGGCTTGGATTCTAAGAAAACTTCATTCTTAACCAGGTCAGTTGCCACCTTCTCCAATTTGCTCCCATCCAGCCACAACTGCAAGACTCCTAAGCCTGAGCTGAACATGCTCCTATGTTCTCTGCACCCTCCTATATTCCAGCCCAATTCCACCAGCATCTCAGAAGAACAGCAAACTCTTATAGTCACAGCAATATCTTACTGGCCCCAGCACAATTTTCAAATTGGAAACTTTCCACCAGTTTATCTACATCACATCAAAACATGTGGGAACGTTAAAACACAGGCAAGTTTTCAAAGTGACAAGTGTAGGCTTCCAAGAGACCCAAACAGGAATCTATTCAGGACTTTTTTTTTTCTCAGTGATAAAATAAAACAACTTATCGATCATTGAAAAAAGTTTTTTAGATCTCCCAGTCCCTAGAAAGAACTTTGTATAAACTCTTCTTAGCCATAGGCCATATACAGCCTAAGTATTATTCGACAGCTATTGATAAAACTTATCAATGATCACTTAACTGCACTCTATTAAAAACATTGATATCTGGCCGGGTGCGGTGGCTCATGCCTGTAATCCCAGCACTTTGGGAGGCCGAGGCGGGCGGATCACAAAGTTAGGAGATCGAGACCATACTGGTTAACACGGTGAAACCCAGCCTCTACTAAAAATACAAAAAAATTAGCCAGGTGTGGTGGTGGGTACCTGTAGTCCCAGCTACTCGGGAGCCTGAGGCAGGAGAATCACTTCAACCTGGGAGGTGGAGGTCGCAGTGAGCTGAGATCGCACCACTGCACTCCAGCCTGGGTGACAGAGGGAGACTCCATTTCAAAAAAAAAAAAAAAAAATTTGATATCCATAGAAATTGTTTCTTTAAAAAATCATTAGTGTCATAAAATTACAACAAAATGGTTTACTCTAAAAATAAAGTTTCTGCTACGTATCTTTTCTTTTCATCACAGATTAGTTTAAAATCCTAATTAGAATAAAGTTTTCTAGAGCTAGCTTCATTAATAATGATAATAATAGTAAAAGCCAACATTCATTAAGCACTTACTATGTGCTAAGCCCTTTTGTATTATCTCATTTAATCATCACAACAACCTTATTCTTTTCTGTCTTATAGTTAGGGACACTTATGAGGCACAGGAACCCTATTCCTTATCTATGAATTGGTATTCTTTAAAAAAAAATTCAGGTGAGGCAAGGGGAACATCTTTCTAAATCACTGAGAGCTTTTCCCTAATTAGCTTGAAAAAGCTGAGGAGGAAATTATTTGAAAAGGTTAGCACAGAAGAATGGCCGTCCTTGGAATTTTCTCTCATAAACACCTTTCACAGATTAGGCTAATAAGGTTTCTGGGAGTCCTCCTCTCAGGAAATCTGAATGCCTGACTGATCCAAGCTGACTGGGGTCAAATCATTCCTCACTAGGGGAACACATTGGGTTTTGGACTCAGAACCCCACTTTTCTCGGAATGCTGAAGGCCAAATACCATTCACAAATGATTTGCAGCAGAATATTGCTTGTGTATGAGATGCAGTGATTTTTGCCACCAAGAAGTTATAAATTGAGAAAATAAACCCAGTTATTTTTGAAGTAGTTTAAGATATTTTTAATGTGAGGGCTTGGGTTTTTTTTTTTTTTTTTTTAAGTTTCTTTAGAAACAGTTTGCCTGCTATAACTGCATCTCAAAGGAAGGTACATTCAATAGAGAAGCTTGGGTTCAGAGGTCTCAAAGGGACCTTAGAGGACATTCAGTTCCACCCCCCTTTCTTTAAATATGGGCAAATAGGCCAAGAGAAGTGAAACGACTTCCAAAGGGCATAGATCAAAATGTAGGAAGCTGACTCAAAGTGCTATCCTGCTCCTTCCAGTACCCAGGTTGTCCTGGATATAAGCCCATCTAAGCATATCCACCCATGGATCTAGCAACGCCTTCTGAACCCAGGTGATGACAACATTCAAAAGTATTTGGGGCCAGGTGCAGTGGCTCATGCCTGTAATCCCAGCACTTTGGGATGCTGAGGCAGGCAGATCACCTGAGGTCTGGAGTTCGAGACCAGCCTGGCTAACATGGTGAAACCCATCTCTACTAAATATACAAAATTAGCCGGGCGTGGTGGCGCATGCCTGGACTCCCAGCTACTTGGGAGGCTGAGAAAGGAGAATCGCTTGAACCCACGAGGTGGAGGTTGCAGTGAGCCAAGATCATGCCATTGCACTCCAGCCTGGGCAACAAGAGCGAGATTCTGTCTCAAAAAAAAAAAAAAAATTGGCAAATTCCTCTTAGCTATAATTTAGCTAATTTTAGATGAAATAATAACAATGACATGAAAACTTTATTACAGACATTTCAAAGCATCCAGTTAACATTTCATACTTTATAGGTGGAGAACTGAAAGAAATGGAAAGAATTGAAAGAAAGTTTAAAGGGGTGAGGAATGGGGAACTGTATTACAGTAATCAAGTTATTCAAAAAGTCTGCAAGTCCTTGCTGTGTCTTCTGAAGTTGTGGCCAGATAGAGGTAGAAACCAAAATAATTTTTTTTTTTTTTTGAGCTGGAGTCTCGCTCTTTCGCCCAGGCTGGAGTGCAGTGGTGCGATCTTGGCTCACTGCAAGCTCCGCCTCCCGGGTTCACGCCATTCTCCTGCCTCAGCCTCCCAAGTAGCTGGGACTACAGGTGCGTGCCACCACGCCCGGCTAATTTTTTGTATTTTTAGTAGAGATGGGGTTTCACCATGTTAGCCAGGATGGTCTCGATCTCCTGACCTCCTGATCCACCCACCCCAGCCTCCCAAAGTGTTGGGATTACAGGCGTGAGCCACCATGCCTGGCCAAACCAAAATAATTCTTATTTCACATTTCCAGCCTAACTTCTCTTCCTGAGTTTAGTCTATTAAAAATATATGACACCAATGTTCATAGTGGCATTACTCAAAATGGCCAAAATATGGAAACAACCCAAATGTCCACCAACAGATAAGTGGATAACAAAACGTAGTATATATACACAATGAAATATTATTCAGCCTTAAAAAGGAATGAAGTACTGATCCATGCTACAACATGGATGAGCTATGAAGAGATGCGAAGTGAAATAAACCAGATACAAAAGGATACAGATTGTATGACTCCACTTATATGAGGTATCAGAATAGGCAACTTCATAGAGACAGAAAGTAGAACAGTGGTTACCAGGGCTGAGAGGAATGGGGAATGGGGAGTGATTGCATAATGGGTACAGAGTTTCTGACTGGGATGATGGAAAATTTGGGAAATGGAAAGTGATGATAGTTGTGTAATATTATGAAAGTACTTAGTGCCACTGAATTGTATACTCAAAATGGTTAAAATGATAAATTTTATGCTATGTATATTTTACCACAAAAAAAAAAAAACATCAAAATCGGAACCACCCGCCGGGCACGGTGGCTCATGCCTGTAATCCCAGCACTTTGGGAGGCCGAGGCGGGTGGATCACGAGGTCAGGAGATCGAGACCATCCTGGCTAACACGGTGAAACCCCATCTCTACTAAAAATTCAAAAAATCAGCCGGGCTTGGTGGCGGGCGCCTGTAATCCCAGCTACTTGGGAGGTTGAGGCAGGAGAAGGGTGTGAACCCGGGAGGCGGAGCTTGCAGTGAGCTGAGATTGCGCCACTGCACTCCAGCCTGGGCGGCAGAGCAAGACTCCGTCTCAAAAAAACAAAACAAAACAAAACAAAACAAAACAACAACAACAACAAAAATCGGAACCACTTCCCTTCAATTCCCAGTTGGAATTTCTAAACTGTATTTTGTTCATTCATTCCCATTAAAGCCGAATTTCTTCTCAAGACCTGCTTAAAGCCAACAGTGTCATGGACAATCTACATACATTCATAAGCACAGGTACACAGCCACACACAGGCTACTTTGTGTCCTGCAGTGACCCATCCACAAACATGTATCCGTCCCAGGACTTTGTTGATCACTCCAAAAAGAGGGCCCATGGCAAGCATTACTGGAGATCCAGGTAACCAAATAAACACCCTGTCTCAGCTCAACCCTTCAATTTCTCACCATGGGGGAATACGTATTCAGTATATAGATATTTTATCTATAAAGAAAACTGCATGCATATATACCAGAAAGACCATCAGGAATTGCTCACCCAAGTCTGTTCCACCAGGCCTGTGAACAAAGAGATTTCAGCCCATATATGGCTATTTTGGTGAAGTTAGCAATTTCAAGTTACACTGAACAGTGGGTGTCCTTAATGCAAATATGTATAATTAGGAGCTAAATCTTCGTACCTTTATAGGACAAAGGACCTAATAAGCGGGATGTACCACCTGTGACTTCTGAGGAAAGGAGAGCTTTTCATTTTTTCTTAAAAGAATCCGTTTCTCAGCCAGGCACGGTGGCTCATGCCTGTAATTCCAGCACTTCGGGAGGCCAAGTGGGCAGATCACGAGGTCAAGAGATCAAGACCATCCTGGCCAACATGGTGAAACCCCGTCTCTACTAAAAATACAAAAATTAACTGGGTGTGGTGGCACGTGCCTGTAGTTCCAGCTATGCAGGAGGCTGAGGCAGGAGAATCGCTTGAACCCGGGAGGCGGAGGTTGCAGTGAGCCAAGATCGTACCACTGTACTCCAGCCTGGCGACAGAGTGAGAATCCGTATCAAAAAAAAAAAAAAAAAAAAAATCTGTTTCTCATGAGGCAAAGAGAATCTGAGAACAACAGTCTTCTGAAATAGAAACAGGGACTGGGGGGAAAGGATGTGAGTTTTGTGTGTGATAGTCATAACGCATCACCCAGACCTGAGAGGTGACAATCCTGTGCTATACCATGACCTTTACTCAACTTTAATTTAAAGATTTCCACAGCCTCATCATCTTTTATGGACACGTTGCCAGTAGCCTGATAACTGGGTCTTGCAAGCACTTAGAGATCTCAAGAGTTTGTGTGTGAAGAAAAATAATCTCTAGTGATGCTTCCCACTGCCAACACACATGAACATTTAACACAAATAAGCTGCCACTTGTAAGAAGTCCACTTGACATCAATCCCTCGTGCATCCTGAAGACACCTGTCAAGATCACACTAAGATATTTAGAAGCAAACATCTTTAGAATAATGTTTTGTTCCCAAAGTGCTTAATTAGCAGAAACATTATGCTAGGGAACTGTCCTTGAATATGTACGCATTTTAACCTTCATGTTATTTTTTCTGAAGCACAAAATTTCCTCTCAGTGGATGGTCAGGAAATGATTGGGCACAGAAAACCAACCATCTGAAGTGTTGATTCATAAAATGAGTTCCATCTTTCCACGCAGGCTTCAGCTGCCTTCCAGGGTGACATCCCTTTTTATGAGGGGGACCATTCTTTGGCATCTAATGGCCTTTTCTCCATTCATTTGGGATGACCAATGCACCTATGGCCTACTTATGTCTGAACTCTTTCAATACCACCAACCTCTTCTGTCCCCTTGTGCCATCTTCCCACCCCCAATTTCAGCCAATTATGTTTATAAGACATCAGTTAGTGAATCACAATTCAAATGAATCCACCTATTTGCTTAGCAGCAAGTGGCCCCCGGAGTTGCTCCATTTGAAGCCCATAGGCCAGAGTTACATACGGCAGGCTTGCAAATGAGAACAGGATATGATTTATTTATGACGACCATATGTGTTTGATGCCCAATTGCAGCAGGTTGTGGCTTCTCTTGCATATCTTGGTCTGGGATGACCTATCTACTCAGTGTGTCCCATTTCAGGTACCGTATTTCCATGCTGGGAAAAGAGAGATGATGACTGCTGAGGGGCTGCACATACAGATGCTCCTAACCCTGCTTGCCACATAACAATCTGTGACCAAATGCAAAGTGGGCCAAATGTAACTTGCTGCAAAGGTTTGCCATGTACAATGGTTTTCAGTGGTGAGTGGAGAAGTAGCTGCTGGAATGACTGACCATGTGGGGTTCATTAAGCTGTTGTGCATTCACCCACGAGAAAGGCTGGGATGCTTGTGAAGGGAACTCCACTCTTCATTTCAGAAATTTTAACGCCCCACCATTTGGCAATGATGCTCCCAAGGAGAATGGCAGATATGCATCAGAAGGTTCAAACGTGGAGTCCAACTGAAGTGCAGTAAACTTCTGCCTTCAACAGTCTCACCCCCCTTTACCCCCCCCCCAGTTGTATTTATACTTTGAAAGAAGTTAACATGAAGCAGTAGTCACCTGGGCGTGCTCAATTTTTGACAAGCCTTAGTCACTCTGTACCCAGCAGAACAATTCACATTATATTCGAAATCCTGTGAAGATTCTGCCACACATGCTAACACTAAAATGCCAGTAGCTCCACTTACCTTCTTTATTAAGCCTCATAACCTCCCTGCTTTTTCCACCCTCTTTTCCAGCCTCTTCTAAATCTACATCTGCAGATGAAAAAGAAAAGGAAAACAGAAAATAAGGAAAAAAGGGGGGAAAAAAGCCAAAGTCAAGGGGGGAGGGAGAGTGTTTATTTGCAAACAGATCGATATAAATACTGTATATGAAATTCTTTCAAAAATTGACAATGCAACATTTTCTCCCAAGTCTGGGTTTCCATCTACCTGGCCCAGATAGGTACCCAAAAAACTATGCAAGCAGCAACAAAGTAGCCTTTTAAACGGACAACACCGTGGGGCTGCGAGCCCACCCCGCGGGCTGCCACGGGGAGCCGGGCACAGACAGACAGACAGCCCTGGCAGCCGGGCCTCTCCCTGTGCATTGATGATCTGTCTCTGTGTGTATTTATTTAGAGAGAGAGGGAGAAGCATGGAGGACACCGGGGGCCACTCTCTCTCTCACACACACACTTTTTCCCAGTGGCTCTAGGTGAATGGAAAGGTTACAGGATAATAAAAGGAGGAGGAGGTGGTGGGGTTCTTACTGTCGGAGCAGTGTAATTTGGCGGCGTCGATCCAGGAGGACCAGGGTTTGCCCAGAAACGCCTCCGGACTGGGCACTTTGCGATCCAGTGTCGCCATTGCTCTTCCTTCTTGTTGCTTTTTCCCTGTTCCTTCGGCAGCAGCAGCCGAGAGACACGGGATTCGAGAACGCTCCGACGTCATCTTCGGAACGTTCCGACATTGAGTGTTCTGAAAGGGGGAGGGAGGGAGGAAGGGCGGGATGGGAGGAGGGCGGCGGAGGAGGAGGGGAGAGGGAGCGGAGGAGGGGCGGGCGCTCGGGCTCCCGGAGCCGGCTCGGTGGGGCTCGCGCGCCCGCGGCCGCCAGGGGCAGCAGAGAGGCACCTGCAGTCCGCGCCCGCCCGCCCGCCGGGGCCGCCCGCCTGCCGGGGAGGGGCAGCGCGGACGGGCGAGCGCCGCGTGCGGGAGAGCGAAGGCTGCAGCGCGCCCGGCAGCCGGGATGCAGCGGCGCCGCCCAAGCCTGGGGCGCAGGGGTCGGGGCACACGGGGATAGGCCCGACGCGGGGCCGAAGGAAGGGTGGTCTTTCCCGCAGAGTTGCCGCTGGAGGACCGAAAGTTTTGCAGGCAGCCCTTGCTTCCAGCTTGTCGCTCTCTCCCCGCGTCCCTGTCGCCCAACGCGAGGCGCCCCCGCTGGGGTCCCGACGGCTTGGTGGGGAGGAGCCGTGAGGGGTTGCGCCCCCCACCCCCACCCGAGCCAGGGAAGGGACCCTGGTGACCTCGCCTCCCAGCCCTCACCCCCGTCACCCCTTTCTTCTCTTTCCTGGAGGACTTTGGACCATGGAGATTCTGCAGTTGTTGCTCTAGGAGCTGAAACCAGTGGGTAGATGTCGTTCTGAAACGCAGGTGAGTTTGGAGCGCTACGAGCTACCTTCCCATCTCAGGCTGCGGGGCGTGCAAAACTCAAAAGTTAGGGCCCCCGGACCCCCGGGTTCCCCGCGCGGTGCGTATCTCCGGCTCTCAGAGAACCACTGCATGGACTTTGCTCCAGGGTCAGCAGAGCGGGAGGGCGAATTTACGGCTCTTGGAAGACGACGCTAACGGGCCTAGCCCCTGAGCCGTTTCCAGCGCTCCCTGCCGTGAGACGAGGGTGGCCCGGGTTTGCGCAGGCAACCTTTGGCCAGGAATCTGATTCCTGGGAGAATTCACTTCAGGCTTAACTGCTCTAGCCAGCTAGAAAGGGAGCGCTAGATTTCCTCTGGATTTTGGACGTTGGGTGCTTTAGTTGAGATTTTCACCCTTTAAAGAAGGCTTTAAAAAGTCTTCTGTTACTTCTTTTTAACAAATCCTTTTGTTTACTAGAATTATCTAAACTATATGGACACCGCCCTCACCCCACAAGCGACATATTTTTTTTTCTCTTTCGCCAGCACCCTTTTAGCTCTCACCACTGCTGTTTCCCAAGTTGTCACAGCTGAAGCGCACTGATTGGAAGTTGCTTTGTACTGACTGAGTTCTGCCCTGGCTGAACCATCTAATAATTTCCCTGAGCTTGGCACCCTGTATCGCTAAGCCAGTGTTAGGATGGGCGATGAAGGAGGAGCTGCGGATTTGCCTTTAGTTGTGATGTTTGTGTGAGTCGGCTTGTTTGTGTCAGACTCAGATAAACTGCATTTGCCTTTGCTCTCTTTCGAAGGGCTCCTACATAGCTAAGGTGTCGCTGGGTGAAGAATTCCCATTGTAAGAATTGGTGGTGTTAACAAATATGTATTACTTGTTGACCTCTTGTTATATGCTAGACCCTGGGCTTGACATTTCCTTCCTTCCTTCCTTCCTTCCATCTGTCCATCTTAAGTCAACCAATATTGCCTGTCATGGAACAGCTGTGCCCTCCTGTCAGGAGGGAAAGATGAGTGAGACCCATCCTCACCCTCACAGAGATGCAGTCTGGTGGTCTCTGGAAGAAGGAAGTTGTGAAACTTACCGATTCCTTGGGAAAACAGGCAGGTACACAGGGACTGGCCTGTGCAGTGGGTGGGGTGGTCTCTCAGCTGTGCCAGTTCATAGAGGAACCGAAATCTAGTTAGGAGTGAACAGAAACTGCGTAACAGAAGATGGGCTCTGCTCTGCATCTTGGAAATTGCCAAAGATTTGTAATGGTAAGGTGAAGACTGGTCTTGCGGAGGGAGGGGGAATAATGGTATTAGCAGAGGCTTCAAGCTGAGTATAAACATGGTGTGTTTGGGTGTTGAGCATGGTTTGCCTGGGATGGAGAATTGTTACTGGGGGCTTGGGGGTGATGCATTTTGATACCCAGGCCTGGATCAAATTATGGAAGGCACCAAACGGCAGCCTAAAGAGTCTGGATTTTGTTTGACAATGGGGAGCTACTGAAGGGCTTTCTGTACCATAAAGATAAGTTAAAAGTGTGAGTTAGAAAGATTGGAGTACGGAGCCTGGTTAGAAAAGTAGTGCTGCAATATTCATGGTGTGAAGAGATGAAAGCCTGAACTTTGGTGGTGCTATGCAGGTAGAGAAGAGGAGACAGGTGTGAGACTGTGAAGAGAGCACCTGATCAGAGGGTGTGCTGTTGGGCTAGATTTAGAGGTGGGGAGAGAGAATGCGAGAGCTCTGAGGCATGAGTAATTAGATGCTGGAACACTTTCCCTTTCCCTTCTGCTTCCCTATTTTCCCTCTATTTATTATCTATTTTGATGTTTATTCCTGTGTTGTTGTGCATGCAAGGAAGGTGTAGGCAGCAGCTAATGTGGCCCCAAAGGTCTGTACCTCCTGGTGTTCATGCCCTTGTGTAATCCTCTTTTCTTTAGTGTGGGCTAGACTTAGTCACTTGCTGATAACAAAGAGAATATAGCAAAAGTGGTGGGATGTCATTTCTGAGGTTAGGGTACAAAACTGCTGTCACTTCTGTTGCTCTCACTCTCTCTTGCATGCCCTGTCTTGCTCTAAGGGAAGCCCACTTCCATGTTGTAAGCTGCCTTATGGAGAGGACTGTGTGGCAGGTAACTGAGGGAGGCCTCTGGTCATCAGCCAGTGGGGAACTGAGGCCCTCAATACAACAGCCAGTGAGGAGCTTAATCCTGCTAGTAGCCATGTGAGTGGGCCACTTGCTGGGAGTCAGTGACTTGAGCTTCCAGAATGCTGTCTCCTCTTCTGGGAGCTACTGTAAACCACTCAAAAAAATCAAAGGTGGCTTATCATCAGAAGTCAGGACACCTCAGTTATAGTGAAGCAAATCAGTGGTTCCATATTTTAACATGAGCTTACTTTCCCAGCAGAGTCTGTCAAGTGGAGGTTACTACACAGGACCTTGAAGAGAGTCTGACAGCCCAAATATTATTTCCTTCTATTTGGGATGATTTTACTCCACAGTACGGTAAATTGTGGGCTAGAATCTAAAAGTGATTTAGCATCTCTACAAAAGAAGACTTCACAGGCATTGCCACATTTAATTGATAACAGAGTATGTCTACATTGTTGCAGTTAGTTATGGAGTATAATTGTAGAGTTGCTTTACTCTAAGCCTTCTCCAGTCTCTCCATTGACTATAGACATAATAATACTGACTTGTTGAAACTATAACCCATCTATGACTGTGTTGGATAACATGACTGTCAATCAAATTGCATAACTGAGAGGCAGAGAATAAAGAAAGCATCGCTCATCAAACTACTAGACATTTACACTTGACTTTGGATGAAAATTGAGGTCAGTTGGAAGTAGTGTTCAGGTTTACATGCTGTGTATGTATTATATACATATCAATACTCATATATCAACTATATATGGTGATCGATTTATTACAGAATTGAATTCCTTTTGGTAGTAAATAATTACAAATGCTGTTAGAGGCAACAAGAATCTAATACATCCTTAATAAGGATAAAGTGACCTGTAAAACAGTAATTTAAAGCATATTAGTATAATGTCTATGTGATAAAACTATCTAGCAAAGGCAAAACACCCTCTTCCCCTCATGATTAATGTTTAGGAAGAAAAAAGGATGTAAATATTTTTATTGTTTTATTATCTTTCTTAGGAAAATGACAGTGTGGTTGGTTTAATTAAAAGGGAGAGTCTCCCATAGACCAAATAAAGAAATCTGTTCTGTTTTAATGACAATGGAAAATACCTATTTAACTTGAATAACACCTGGTTCTGTAGAAATGTGCATCTATTATGTATCCTGCATTCACTTAGTCTGATTCATGTGCTGTTTCACCACATTACTGAAAAGAAGAGAAGAGGGAATGTTAGCTCTCTCATTTGAGGATATTAAACTCCTGCCGTGGTTGAGGCACGGTGTGAGCACCCTACTTCCTACCTAGACTGTTGGGAGTTACCTGGAGGCAATGAGGAGAAAATGACATGTTCCATTAGAATGAGGCATCCCTGGAATTATTTGATGTTCTTTGCCTTAATTGAATCCATCTGTCCCATCTGCCACTCTTCTCTCTAAATTTATTTCCCTAACCCTTTCTCCCTGAGAATTATAATTTGGGGGAAATTTGTTACCTACATTGTTACCTTTTATAAAAGCTCTCGGCATCTGGAGGGCAGGTGTGCCTTCTACTCTGCCTTGCTAGACAACTTTACCTGCCTCTTTCCTGCCCCTTGCAGGCTGCTGGATTAAAAACAGGACTGGATAAAAGGCCCCCAGTAGCAACAGGAGTGGGAACGAAAATAGAAATTCCAGGCTTTTACTTATTGGTTTCAATACAGAGCCCTAGCCATGTGCCAGGCCTGGCTAACCGTGGACTCTATTAATAAATATAACTACACAAACATTTGCATTCTGACTGGGTCAGAACAGCCAGCACGGGAGTGTGTTATCTCAAGGGAAAGCTGTCTTAAAACTCTTGACTGATTCACCTGTGACTTTGGCCAGTTGGTGCTCCCTGGAACTGCTCTGGTGCTGAAGGTTGAGGTCATCTCTGTTCCCCAGAATGTGGCAGATCCAGCCCCATTCCTGACCACTATCCTTTGCAAGGACGAGACAGGAGAGATGATAGCTTCTCTTTAGGATTCTTGTAGAAATCACTTTTGGCCCTTAACCTACATATAAAGAAATTTAACATTAATGTACACATATTGATTTGAGCAAAGCCCATCCATATCTCCAAACCTACCATTTACTATGGTGCAGGAGGCAGTACAGGGTGGAGGCCAGAGCATAGGCTTGAGATGGGCAGGTATGAATTAGAATTGCCCTTTAGTCATTTGCTTGAGAACCTGCCTTGATCCTTCTGAACCTCAGGCTCCTCATCTCTGAAATGGGTAGTAAAGCTCTTCTCTTGGGATTGTTGTGAGGATTAAGTGAGATTCTGGATACTGAGCCCCAGGCATAGGGCCTGGCACACAGTGGACAGTGGTTCAATGTTCACTGTGATGATTACTTCAGTTTCAGTGCATCGTTTAGACAGCAGCTGCCAGTCAGAGACAGGCTGACACTGACCTAGGAGTAGCTCCTCTGGTTGCTTCTGACAGACATCCTTCTGCTTAGAAAGGAAACTTAAAGCACTTCTCTCTTTTACACGGAGCTGCTGGCCTGCATCAGTTATGTGGAGGCCTCTGTCTGAAACCTCTGCCCAAAACCTCCTCTTGACATATACATCATGGTAATATATAAATATACCTTTATTCAGGAAAGGTCCTAAAAGACCGTTTGCTATGCAGAGGGACTGCAAAATCCAGTTTGGTTGCAGACAAAACTGCCTTTGCATGATGAGGTAAATAGTTGTCTTAAAACTAAGTAGAGTGTGATTTCTGCTTGTTATTGTTTTCTTTGAAAAATTTGTTTCTTCCATAAAAGAAACTTGACAGTGAATTTTGAAAATCATGTGATATAGTTTGGCTGTGTCCCCACCCAAATCTCAACTTGAATTGTATCTCCCAGAATTCCCATGTGTTGTGGGAGGGACCCAGGGGGAGCTAACTGGATCATGGGGGCTGGTCTTTCCCATGCTGTTCTCGTGATAGTAAATAAGTCTCACGAGATCTGATGGGTTTATCAGGGGTTTCCGCTTTTGCTTCTTCCTCATTTTTCTCTTGCCGCTGCCATGTAAGAAGTGTCTTTTGCCTCCCACTATGA
The DNA here is from genome assembly GCF_000001405.40 of Homo sapiens. Taxonomy (NCBI): domain Eukaryota; kingdom Metazoa; phylum Chordata; class Mammalia; order Primates; family Hominidae; genus Homo; species Homo sapiens. The sequence continues at coordinate 105,882,461 of NC_000007.14, forward strand.
TTCTGAGACCTCCCCAACCATGTGGAACTGTAAGTCCAATTAAACCGGTTTTTTTTTTTTTTTTTTGGAGACAGAGTCTTGCTCTGTCACCCAAGCTGGAGTGCAATGGCACAATCTTGGCTCACTGCAACCTCCGCCTTGCAGGTTCAAGTGATTCTCCTGCCTCAGCCTCCCAAGTAGCTGGTATTACAGGCATCCACCACCACGCCTGGATAATTTTTGTATTTTTAATAGAGATGGGGTTTCACCACGTTGGCCTGGCTGATCTTGAACTCCTGACCTCAGGTGATCCACCCACCTTGGCCTCCCAAAGTGCTGGAATTACAGGCATGAGCCGCCATGCCCGGCCTAAGCCTCTTTTTGTTCCCAGTTTTGGGCATGTCTTTATCAGCAGTGTGAAAACAAACTAATACATCATGAATAAACATGTTCTCCTCATGAGATAGTAAAACAATAGAGATAAGGGAGAAATATCCCCTTCAAATGTGGTCACTCCTGTACCCCCAGGTCTAAAGGCATTTTTCATACCATTTTCTACACATTTACCTACGGTATATGTCTGTCATTATGGGTGTAGATGATATTGCTGTGTGCGTTGTCTTTTTTTTTTTTCTTTTTAATGTGAATAGTATCACTTCACGGACATTTTTCTGTAATTTTCTTCTTTCACACGTGCTGTTAAATGTTATTATGTGTGGAAATACCTCATTCTTTTAAACTGCTTCATGGTATTCCATAAAATGTTCCAGGGTCTATTTATCTGTTATTTTTATTCTTATTTATTTATTTATTTATTTTTCGAGACAGAGTCTTGCTCTGTTGCCCAGGCTGGAGTGCAGTGGCGCAGTCTCGGCTCACTGCAACCTCCACCTCCCGAGTTCAAGTGATTCTCCTGCTTCAGCCTCCCAAGTAGTTGGGATTACAGGCATCTGCCACCATGCCCGGCTAATTTTTGTATTTTTACCAGAAGTGGGGTTTCACTATGTTGGCCAGGCTGGCCTTGAACTCCTGACCTCAAATGATCCACCCACCTTGGCCTCCCAAATATTTATCTGTTAAGTTGATAGACATTTAGGTTTCTAGTTTTTATGAAAAATAGGTAGTCAACGTCTTTATTTTTATGTATGTTTCCTGGGCACGTGAGGAAGTATTACTACCCAGAAATAGAATTGCTGGGTATGTGCATTTTTAATTTTAATAGTTCTGCCAGATTGTCTTCTGAAGTAGCTGAGTAATTTATACTTCCACTAGCAGTACAGAGATGTGCCCATTTCCTTAATTAATGCTCCACATTTTCAAACCTTTTAAATTTTGCAAATGTTATGAGTAAAAAAAATTTGATTTGTATTTCCCTCATTTGTGGTGTGTTTTTGAGCATTTTCCTCTCATGTTCATTGTATTTGTACTCTGTAAATTGCTGTTAGTATCCTTTGATGATTTGTCATTGGTATTATTTAGAGCTGCTTATTGATTTGTAGGAATTCTCTATGTATTCTCGATTTGGATCTTTTCTCTATTTGGAAACAATGTAATTTTCCACCTTGTTGCTTTTCTTCTTTTGACCTTGTTTATGGCATCTTTTCCACACACGCTTTTTCTCCCCTTTGGAAATAGTCGACATTTCAGGCTTTTCCTTGAGGCCTTTTGTTTTCTGTGTCTTGCTTAAGAAGACCTTCACTTCCTCAAGGTCATAAAATAGTTTCTTATATTTTCTCTTTATGCTTTATAGGTGTTTGGTTTTTTATTCAGATCTTGGATCTTTTGGTTAATGATGTGAGGTAAAAAGTTAATTTTCAATCTTTTTCCAAACAGTTACCATTTATCCTGAGAACCATATATTGAATAGTTTATCCTTTCTGTAGAGATCTTTCTTATGCTTATTTTCCAAACACCTGGGTCTGTTTCTGAGCTCTTTTTCTGTTCATTGTTTGAACTGTTTCTTTTCCTGCACCAATTAATTACTCTTCTTTAAATAATATGCTTTGTGGTCTACAAAAAATCTTTTTCATTATAGATTTAGTAAATTCTATCTCTAAAAAATTATTATTATTATTATTATTTTTATTTTTTTTTTTTTGAGACGGAGTCTCACTCTGTCGCCCAGGCCGGACTGCGGACTGCAGTGGCGCAATCTCAGCTCACTGCAAGCTCCGCTTCCCGGGTTCACGCCATTCTCCTGCCTCAGCCTCCCGAGTAGCTGGGACTACAGGCGCCCGCCACCGCGCCCGGCTAATTTTTTGTATTTTTAGTAGAGACGGGGTTTCACCTTGTTAGCCAGGATGGTCTCGATCTCCTGACCTCATGATCCACCCGCCTCGGCCTCCCAAAGTGCTGGGATTACAGGCGTGAGCCACCGCGCCCGGCCAAAAAATTATTTTTTTTAATTCCTGGGAAGTGTGTTATACATGACATTGTTCAACATTTGCCATGTCTAGAAGATCATAGGAAACAGAGCCTCACCTCATGCCCACAGGATGCTGTAAAGATGGGCCCAGCGACTACAGCCACCTCGGCTCTTGGTGAAGCTTCCCCTGAGATGATTTTCCAAGACAAATATCTCAGACTTGGGGAACTGAATTATTGAGAGATATTGTCTTCTAAGTTTCTAAAAAGGCCAACCTCTGTGGGTGGTGGTTGGGAATTTTCTTGAATGATGTGGACGCTCCCAGCTGTCCGTCAGGCCAGAAGGGAGAAAGTAGAGCCATGGAAAGTGAAGGCTGGAGGAGAGGGAGACAGCAGACCTGAGACAGGGCATGGAACCCCTGGGCTTCCCAGAGGGGAAGGGACTGAAGGTCTCCCTGGGTGGTGGGAGAGAAGCAGGTGGACCCTGTGGGCTGGGAGCTGGGCCAGGCAGCGTCTGGAAAGAGGACCTGTCTGGAATGACCAAGGTGTGACTCTGGAATCCTTCAAATCCAGTACCCAGTTGTAAGGTTTTCTGTGTTGTCATTTCTTTTATTTTACCCAAGTTTTTATTAAATGACCTAGCCTTCGATAGCTGTGCTATGGGAAACTAAATTATGAGTTGATACTGCTGTAGGAGCCACAACAGGAAGGCTGCAAGTATCCAGCTTCATGCCAGCCCTGTGTGGTAACAGCACCATTATTCAAGAGAAGATGGCAATGCTGGGAACCTGGCAGGCAGCCAAGTACCAAGTGAGCAGAGGGGGATGCCTGAGCTGTGATGTTGTCCTTAACACTTTCCCCCAGCCCTACCTTTTAATACCCTGCAAAGGAGGAAATCCTGGAAGTGAGAGACCAGAGTCTGGGTTTTATTTATATGACAGGAAGTAGAAGCTAGAAACTTTAAGGTCACAGAACACCCATAGTAGAACTTAAAGTCCAGGTCTCCTTTGGTGGGAGGCCAGCTTGCTGTTTCCCAAGAATGATGCTACGGCCATAAATTTGAATTTCTGTGTAGGCCAGTGTTTCTCTACTGTGGGCAGTTTTGCCACCCCCTCGTCCCAGAGGACATTTGGCAATGTCTGGAGACATTTTTGGTTGTCATGACTGGGGGGTGAAGGTGCTACTGATATCTAGTGGGTAGAAGCCAAGGATGCTGTTAAACTTCCTACACTGGAATGCACAGGACGGCCCCTACCTCAAAGGTTGATCACGTCCAAAATGATAGTGATGAGATCGAGAGAAACCCTGATGTAGGCCAGTTAATTTTAGGTTTTCTTTTTTTTTTTCTTTTTCATTCCTGGATAATAAATGCCTAACTCTCACCAACTACCTTGCCATCATGGGCTTCTTCGATCAGAAATCTAGTAAGAGAGTATGGTGGGGGCTGCGAGACCCATCATCACTACCAAAAAACATGAAGTCTTTTCACTTTCAATATGTGAAGACCTAAATTATGTAATTGGATGAATGATATTTGTAGAGTCAAAGAGAATGTGAGTTCTCCGTCTTATGGGTATAGTTATTATGTAATAATCAAGTAATGTGGTCTTTTATTGTCTTAATCTTTCACAAACCATTGCTTTCCTACTCCAATAGGAAGCCTGATCAGATACTAGATAGCTCTTATTATTGCCAATGTATGGATGATGAAACTGAGGCTCAGAGAGGAAGTAAAATAAAGCATGGCTCCCCCCTACTGGTTTACTATATTCCAAAGTTATTAAACACCTGGCCAGCACTGCTGTGTAGGTTGTACACTGCACAATTGTGTCCCTTCTAAGGAGTCAGTGTTCAAATCACAGACATCAGAGATTTATTATGATAATTTTTCTGGCAGATGGCAGTAAAGTAGCTTATTCTAACAAAATTGGGAATATAAAGACTATTTTCTAACAGATGGAAGTAGTTTTTTGAAGCAGGTGAGCCTTTTCCTGATGCTCACTCAGGTGCTAGATGGACTAGCAGAAAGAATGGCGTCATTGATGTCCCTTTGTATGTGTTACCAGTTCATCTGGGAATTTTACTTTTTGCTGGAAAAGGAGTCACCCTCCCTTGCCAACCACATGTGTGGTTATACATTGGTATTGCAGAGTGATGCCATTTACAAGTAATACATTTGAGTTGGCAGATTTCCCAAGGTTTCTTTTGTATATGAGAAACATAGTGCCTTGGGTCATGGAATAAATATAAGAGCCTCGGTATCTAATTTTGGTTGTTCACACTTCAGTTAGGGCTTAAGTCATCCTAAGCTAGGCTTGGAAGAAAGAGACATTGACATTTGTATTAGTTTAATAAATTTGGCAGCAGGGAGGTGCAAAGAATGTTATTTCAATTATAGATTGACCCATGATTGATTTAGCAACATGCGTTGCTTAGGTTGTAATCGATGCCAAGTAATGGCAGGTTCTGGACTCTTAGGAAGGTGGGCACAAATGTTGGGGAATTGATCAATGGATGAGCTCCATATTGGCCTTCTACAGGGAGAATAAAAATACAAGTAAAATATTGTAAGATGGGAGTGATAGCATTGCAGATGTTAACACAGCCTGTCCAAGCTTTTATCCTTTGTACCTACGCAGCCATTTTTTTTAACACATGGGACACTATTCTTCAACAGATTTGTTCTCTTCTAAGTTTGTTCTGAATCTGTAGTGTGTGTCATTTCACGGTGTTTTAAAGAGGAAAAGGCCTTGCTTCAGTTGAGAAGGCTTTGATTTTTCCACCTACACAAATACCCTGGCATTCAGGGAATCTGGCTAATTTAAAAAATTATCTCTTATAATGCCTAGTTACTACCCCAGTTCGTGTTGGAGGTGGAGTATACAAAGGAATTACAACCCCCACTTTATAATCGGGATAAGAGAGGTTGACAGACTTACCTTGCCTGGCCCAGTGCCAAGTGCCACGTGGTATAGACTAAGAATAGTTGCTTCTCACGAGGAGCTTATTTAGTTTGGGGGAGATTGTGTGCAATCAATAATTAGGAAACAGGATAGCCTGTGAGAAGATGCTGATCTGATGTGCAGGTAGGAAATGTCACAGGAGGCTGAGCAGCACGGATGGCTGTGGTGGGCAGCAAAGTCTCAGGAGAGAGGAGAAACTTGAGCCCCGCTGTGAAAGGCAGGGAGGATATAAATAGCTGGTGGGCAGAGTGACCCAAGGCTGAAGGATGTGAATAGTGGCCATCTTAAGTAAGAGCCTCAGGTCACAGAGATAACAGTTCCCTGTATAAAGACCTTAGTGGAAACCAGGTGAGTCTCAGGAAGTTTGGAATCAAGAAGACTTTAAAAGAGTTGCACAGTGTTTCCAAGATTAAAATCTGCAATGTGACATAGTATAGCTAATAATACAATGTGTTCTTAGTCACAGGGTATATTTCTTTTTTTTTTTCTTTCTTTTTTTTTTTTTTTGAGACGGAGTTTCACTCTTGTTGCCCAGGCTGGAGTGTAATGGCGCAATCTCGGCTCACTGCAACCTCTGCCTCCCGGGTTCAAGCGATTTTCCTGCCTCAGCCTCCCTGGTAGCTGGGATTACAGGCATGTGCCACCACGCCCAGCTAATTTTGTATTTTTAGTGGAGAGGGGGGTTTCTCTATGTTGGTCAGGCTGGTCTCGAACTCCCGACCTCAGGTGATCCGCCCCCCTCAGCCTTCCAAAGTGCTGGGATTACAGGCATGAGCCACCGCGCCTGGTCTTAAGTGGTATATTTCTTTGAGAAATACTTTTTATCAAGAGCAAATCTCTAAAATTAGAGCTCTGTCGATCCAAACAAGCTAATTAGGTGAGAAAAATGAACTTTTCAAAATCCTTTAACCATCTGGTTGGCATGTTTAAAAACTACAACCAATCATACTGATAAAAGGGTAGTCTCTACATTTGTGGCCTACCCTTGAAAGCTCCAACACTGGGTCGTTTTTGTAGACAGAGTATATAAAATTTTCATTCTAAGTAAGCTGACCAAACAGCTGAGTCTGCCTAGGAAGTCCTGGATTATGCTACTTGTCCCAGTAAAATTATTAATAGCTTCCCCTTTCAGAATCAAAAGTGTCCTGGTTTAGATGATAAATTATATGGCTACCCTAATTTTAAATGATGCACTTTAGTCTTTTTTGTTTACTCTGTGAGTTGTCAGTGGCCAAAAAAGATGTTTCCAGCTTAAGAGTATTTGCCCACATGTGAATCCTGTCTTTATGAAATAGTTGTATTTTTTCCCTTGCGCAGAAAGCAATCGTTGCAAAAAACTCAGAAGGAATTGAAAGGCATAAATAAGAGTTATAAGCCTATAAATAAGTGTTAATATTTTGATATATATATATAATGCCACGCATTATCAATAATATATTTATATACCTTTAGATCCCCAATCTCCAAACCAAGCCACCTTATATATATTAAATATCTAGAACTATATGATAACACAGCCAATATAGATCAATATAATCACTTTTTAAATAGTTGCTTTTAGAGACTATAATATTCTAGTGATTGGTTCTTAAACTATAATATTTTTAACTAATCCCCAGTTTTGGCTTTTAGGTTTTTCTAATATTTCTATATGTTATTGACAGTGCTGCAGTAAATGTTGTGTGTAGCTAAATCTTTTTGCACATCTACGATTATTTCTTTCTCTTTCTTTTCTTTCTTTTTTTTTTTTTTTTTTTAGATGGAGTCTTGTTCTGTTGCCCAGGCTCACTGCAACCTCCGCTTCCTGGGTTCAAGCTGTTCCCCTGCCTCAGCCTCCCAAGTAGCTGGGACTACAAGTGCCTGCCACCACGTCTGGCTAATTTTTTATTTTTTATTTTTTTGTAATTTTAGTAGAGACAGGGTTTCACCATGTTGGCCAGGCTAGCCTCTAACTCCTGACCCCAGGTAATCCACCTACCTCAGCCTCCCAAAGTGCTGGGATTACAGGTTTGAGCCACAGTGCCCAGCCTATGATTATTTCTTTAGGATGCTTTTCTGTAAATGGAATTGCCAAGTCAAAGTGGATGCACATTTACAATTTTGAAATTGCCAAACTTTGCCAGGGTGTATGAGAATTCCCATTTCCTCATGGCCTCATAGGTGCTGTATGGATGATTCTTTTTCATCTTTCAGTCTGAGGAGAGAATTTCATCTCCAGCTTGTTTCAGTTGTATCTCTGCTTATTGATGATTTGTATTTCATTTTTTTGTAAATTGCCTACCTTTCTTTTAGAGTGTTCACCTTTCTCTTAATGAATTGTGAAAGCTCTTTATATTTTAAATAAAATACCCCTTTATGTTATAAATTGCAAGATTTTTCCCTGACTTGCTATTTGTCTTTTAACTTTATTTATGGTAGATTTATGTGTATACAGATAAGGTAGATTTATGTAGATTCAGAAGTCTTTACTTTTTATACAGTTATATCTATCAGTCTCTTCCTTTATAGAGTTTTGTACTTTTTAAAAGGACCAGGTTTGCAACAAAATTAACCTGTGAAACTTTTACAGTCTTATCTGATGCTCTAAAACCCTTGATCTCCTTGTTTCAAACTTTATAGTATGGGCATTGCACATAGGTGAGATAATTTTTGTTTCCATTTCCGTGGTTCATTATATCCTTCAGAAGGGGTTTAGGCACTTTAGAAATTCACAGATAAGTCACTGCAAGTAAGAACTAGCGATGAGCATTCTTTTCCTCAACCACAAACCACACGTGCCTCTATTTGTATAATAGAAGGCTATAATGGGAGTCAAAGGGACTAGTTTGTTGAGAATGTTGCTGAATATATCATGTTGTCCCATTGATGTGCTTTATAATTGCACTGATGTGTTTTCCAGAAAACTGTGGCACCAACCCAGGATTCTAATACATAGTCAAGAAAATGCTACAGCCTGTTGTAGCTCCCCCAAAGCAAGCAGCTCTCCATGGAATGGCGTCCCCAGGCTTCACACCATGGTCAGGAGGGCCTGCCCCACAAGTGCACATCCTGCTCTAGCTAGGACCATTGTGCCTGAGTTTGCATCTGGGTTCCTATGCTGGTGTGCTGGCTTGAACCACATGTGAATCTCAACCCCTTCTTTGTCTTTGAAGGTAGATACATCAAGAGAACTCCATCATGGGTGGGGTGTCTTGGGGATGAGCACCAAGGAGTGAATGTTTGGTTTTGATAAGGAATTATGAAAGAGCAATAAATATGCTAACTGTAGAATAACCTGCTCCAACAGCAGAGAACCAGGTTTCTGATCCAACTCTGGGGTCCAGACCAGGGGCTTGAGAATAGTTTTTATTATGAAATGACCCTGTTAGGGGTTTAATTGGCCTCCTCCCAAGATGCTGTACTTTTATGTGAAGTGCATCAGGGGTCCCTTCTATTTGGAGAAGATAAACTAATTTCCTTCTGTCTATCCAGTGCCATTTGGTCTCCCTCTCCCATCCTCCTATTCAGTAGCCAAAGAACTAATTTGGCTACAATACAACCCTCTTCAGAGTGCTGGGGAGAGAGAGAAATCAAATATGAGCAAAGCCCACACCCTCTGTAGTGGGCAAAGCTCATTTGTAAATAATTTTAGTCTTGTTGCTCATTCAGTAATTCTGTATCCCTCCCAATAGGTATTGGCAGCGTGTCAGATGGCCACCAGTTATGAAGAGCTTCCCCATTTCCGAAACCCCCTAGCTTCTCAAGGGTCTGTGAACTGGGGAAACCAGTTATGCTAAAGGAGTCATAGACCCATTCTTTTCTCTTTTTGAGGGCTGGGGTGGGGAATGGTAGAGTGGAACAACATCTTCTATTCATCTACTCATTCAAGAAGCATTTACAGAGCTCTCCTCTGTGGCAGGCCCTACCCGAGAGGTGGAAAAGAGAAATCTGGACACATCGTATGTCTCAGTTTTCCAAAGGCATTTCACAAAATGAGTAATAACCTCTGTTGGGCTGAATGGTGGCCCCTGAAGATATCAGGTCCTAATACTTGACACCTATGAATGTTACCTTATTTGGTAAAGGCTTTGTAGAGGTGATTAAGTTAAGGATCTTGAGTTGGAGAGATTATTCTGGATTAGCCAGTTAGGCCCTAAATGCCATTAAATGTATCCTTGTATAAGAAGGAGACAGAGAAATAATGACACACGCAGAGGAATAGGCGATGTAAAGATGGAGCAGGAAAGGTTTAAAGATGCTAGCGATGGAGATTGGAGTGAGGCAGCTACACACTGAGGAACACCGCAGCCAGCCGGAACTGGAAGAGGTGGGGAACAGATTCTCCCTGCAGAGCTGCTGGAGGAGTGAGGTCTTTTGGCACCTTGATTTTGGCTCACTGAAACAGGTATGGGACTTCTGGCCTCCAGAACTATGAGAGAATAAATTTGTGTTTATTGACTCCTCCAAACTTGAAGAAAATGTGTTATACAGTAGTCCCAGGACCATCCTTGCAGGTAAAATGGAGACGTGGGTCTAGAAGACAGTGCAAGTAGGTGTCAAGGTATTTGACCAACTCTGTCTGTTATTCAGTCACATGGGAAATACTGACTGACTACTCAAATCTACAGTGCTTCAGGCACTGGAGCAGTGGATAAGGCAGACAATATCCCCACTGACACTGGGGTAGGGGGAAGGAGCAGCTAATAAATAGGTAAATGAAAAATATGAACAAGGTAACTTTAGCAATTGACAAGTGCCTTAAAGAAAACAAAACAGGATAATGTGGAATGGCGGACGGGGATCCTTTTAGACTAGGTAGTAGGAAGCCCTTTCTGGTGAGAAAGCCTTGGAGCTGAGTCCTGAAGATCATGAAGGAGCTACCATCTGGAGGGAGAGCATTCCAAGTGGAATGAGTGGCAAACACAGAGGCTTTGAGATGGGAATGAGCTTCCTGTGTGTGAGAAGCAAACAGAAGGCCCAGACCCCTCTAAGTCAACAGGGATATCATTGCTCAGGGAGGGCTGTGGGATTCTGTCCTAGGCTCTGCCCTGTACAATTTTCATTTTTTATAATTAAATTGGAAGAAAACGTAATGCATCATAAATGTGCAGGCAATATAAAGCTTGTAGGATGTGTACTGGGTTAGAGTCAGGGGTTGAGTTTCAAAATACCTTGACAGGCATGAACAAAACAATGAACTTCAGCAGGGACAAACTGTGAAGTCCTGACTTGGGTCTGAGAACAAGTATTTGCCTAAGTCAAGAATGGGAACCTGATTTGAGTGCGGTACTGGTGTGAAGTCCCTGAAGCTGAGTGTCAGCACGTAGCATGATGTGACTGCCATAAAAAAGTCAAGCACTTTTACAACTTTTTTAAACTGTGGGGTACAACTCCAGGGAGGAAGTAGCCAGGGGTCTGTTTGTGGAGGACTGAGTGGGTATCACATTTTATGGGGTCACAGAAACAGCTCATTATTTGTTTATTCATTCAATTAATAAATGCTTAATGAGCACATATTATGTGCCTGGCACTGACTAGGCTTTGGGGTAAATAACAGTGAATAGGATGGAAACATTTGATGACTTCATAGAGCTGACATTCTAGGGAGAAGATAGACATGGCAGATTTAATTATACACATATCTTTTTCACTGTATTAGATTTTTTCAGATTATAAAATTATAGTAATAAAATAGCAATATCAAATATTACTGAAATACATAACATAGGAAAAAATATGCCCTGTCAATTCATCCTCCCTCCCCAGACGTAGCCACTGTCAACCAGTTTGTGCACGTTTTTGTAACTTTTAAAAATATACATGCAATGTATTTTTAAAGCATAAAAGGGGAATCATACACGTCTGAATTTTGTTTTTTAGCTTCATATATCTGGGATATCCTCTCACATGAACACAAGGAAATCTACCTCATTCTTTTTAATGTCTGAATAATATTTCATGCTATGGATGCATTATAGTTTATTTGACTAATATCTTGTTGAAATGCATACCGTTTCCATTTTCACTATTATAAGGATTTGCAAACAATTGTTCTACATACCTTTTTATATAGCCTGTGGTCATATTTCTAAAGCACAGATTCAGAGAAGTGGGAATACTGGCTGGGCGTGGTGGCTCACGCTGGCTCACTATGACATCTGTAATCCCAGCACTTCGGGAGGGTGAGATGGGCGGATCACCTGAGATCAGGAGTTTGAGACCAGCCTAGCCAACAGAGCAAAACCCCGTCTCTACTAAAAGTATAAAAATCAGCTGGGCGTGGTGGTGTGTACCTGTAATCCCAGCTACTCAGGAGGCAGAGGCAGGAGAATTGCTTGGACTTAGGAGGTGGAGGTTGCGGTGGGCCGAGATCAAGCCACTGCACTCCAGCCTGGGCCACAGAGCGAGACTCTGTCTTGCAAAAAAAAGGAAAAAAAAAGAAGTGGAAATACTGTATCAAAAGGTATGGAAAATTTAAATGATAGATACCACGTTTCTTACCATTCAGGATGTACCTCAGTGAGAGTGCAGATGAGATCACATGTTTTCTTGCAGCCTCAACATTCCAGGCAGTGTAGACAGTGCAAAGGTCCTGTGGTAGAGGGAACCTGGTGTATCAGCAGGACTGAACAGATTCCCTAGGGGCAGAGAGCAGAGAGCCAGGTGGGGAGTGAAGAGGGAGGCATGGGCCAGACCTTGCAGGGCCTTGCGATTCATCTTGAGGGTTTTGGTCCTTATCCCAAGAGAAAGGAGAAGCCAAAGGGAATTTCATGCAAGCTGACATGATGAGATAGGCATTTTGAACAGGTACCTCTGGCTGCTGTACAGGCAATGGACTGGGAAGATGGAAAAGTAGATGTGAAGAGCACCTGGGGTAGCTATTTTGGGAGTCCAGGTGAGAGATGATGGTAGCCTGGACTCGGGTGGAGGCTGGCCATGGAGAGGAGTGGCTACATTTAACCGTTTTTTAGGCCACAGAACTGATGGAAGCTGATGCCTAAGTGGGCTTAGGTGGGGACTGAGGAAGAAGGCAGTGTCCTGGAAGAAAGATGGAATGGGAGTTATCATTGGGATGATGAGATGTCAAAGGAGCAGGTGATGATTGGCCAAAAAAGTGAAGATCCAGAGGAGATACCTGCTTTAGAGAGCAGCCTTTGCACCCTTGTCTCTCATGCCCGCAGCTCTATCAAAGGCAGGCTGACCATGGGATTCTGCCACCCTGGCCACAGCTGATTGGAGTGGGAAAGTACCTGAGCCGTGGCCATAACGTGGTCTGGAGTGAAAGCCTGCCCATGAAGGGGCAGTGCCAAATGGAGCTGATGAGATGTCCTTCATGGAGTTTGAAGGAGAACCCAAGTGAGTGGCAATGTTTGGAGCTGGGGAGTCAGAAGAAAGGCCACACAAGGAGAGGGCAGGAAATGGAAGTCGTAAGTTAAAGTCACAAGGAAACAAGGAGAGAAGAGAGAAGCAGGTGCAGGAGAAGGGGCTGAAGACCCATATAGCGCTAGAGAGGGATGGATGACCTCTGTTCCCAGTATGGCTGAATGCTTAAGAGCCAGTCTTTCAAGCTGAGCAGATCTGAGTTTGATTTCCCACCTCTTGTGCTAACTAGCTCAGTGACCTTGAACAAGCCACCCAACTTCTCTAAGATTGTTCTGTTCATAGACATTAAAGTATTTATTTCTCGGAGTTGTTGTGAGCTTTAAAGAGATGTGCGTGAATACCAAAGAAGATATTCACAACACAAAACCACCAGAGAACTGGTCTCCAGACTTTTTTAAAAAAACAAAAGTCTCTTACAAATCAGTAAGAAAAAGGCAGGCAGCCCAGTAGATAAACAGGCAAAATACTTGAACAGACACTTAACAAAAGAGGATAGTAAAATGGTCAAAAAAAATGAAAAGATGATCAACATCATTAATAAAGAGAAACACAGTGAGATTCCATATGCAACAATGTGGACGAATCCTATGAACACAACGTTGAGCTAAAGAAGCAAGATAGAGATGAATGCATAAAGTGATTCAATGTATTTAAAGTTTAAAAGAACCAGGCATTAAAACTCCAATTAAATATTTTATACTCTCATCAGAGAGGCATATGTGAAAAATCGGATGATACCAACTGTCGGTGAGGATACAGTACAACAGGAAATCTGTATGCTGCTGATGGAATGTAGGTTAGTATAACCATTTTGGAAAACACCTTGGCATTATTGAATAAAACTAAAAACATGCATGGTACACAACCCAGTAATTTTGTTCTTGGGTGTATGTATATAAGAGGAACTTTTCATATATACCACGTATACATATACATATATGTGTATGTATGTGTATATACATATACACACATACAAGCATGTCCATAATTTTATTGCTATCATGGCCTCAGAAACAGTGCAAATACCCATCAACTGTAGAATGAGTAAGTAGATTGTGATATATTCACATAATGGAGTACTATACGGCACTGAGGGAATTAACTATGCTATAGAGAACAATATGAATGAATCTTATAAACACGATGTTGAACAAAAGAAATAATATGTATTATTTTACTTTAGAATTCAAAAATAAGCAAAACTAAACTATAAATTATATAATATAGTTATATATTGATATTATATAGCATAGACTGTTGAGGAAACTATAAAAAAAAGTAAGGAAACAATGATCACAAACATCAGAGTAGTGGTTACATCTAGGAAGGGAGGGGCCCTGGGGCCTGAAGGGAGTGCTCAGAGTGAGAGGACTCTGCAGTGCTTGAGCATTTTCTGTTTCTTGACAGACCAGGTAGTTACACAAGTGTTTGCTTTGTGATTGTTCATTATACTGTATATTTGTTTTGAACACTCTAAGAGTATTTTATTCCACAATTTAAGCAGGTTTTTTAAAAAAAAAAAAAAAGATAGCTAACACTTGTAAAATGCTTGGCATAGTGCCTGGCCCATATTAAGAGCTCAACAGATGGCAATTTTATTTACTGGTATAACCCAGTTGTTAGAGCCACATTGTATCCTAAGCAACCTTCCAGCTCCTGAACCAGCTCTAGTCTCCATGCGGTCTGGCTTTGAGGTTGAGATTCCAGATCCCTCTGTTTCCCAGGCTGGCCCCAAATAAACCCTATTACTTAAGGCAGTGCTTTTCAATGGATATGTGATGGTTTATTTTATTGCCTTAAATGCTTCCCAAGTGAGCTGCAATGTGTAAGATGTTTTTTGGGAGCATTTCTGTTGTTATACAGTTCTGGAAAGCTAGATTGCTAATTGAGCACCGCATGATGTGGGATAGAGTCAGAGTCTAGCCTGCTGCAGGTCAGAGTTCAGGCAGCAGAGGTGGAACCTGATGGCAATGTAGTGCCAAAGAAAAAAGACCTGGGTTTCAAAGACAGAGGCTATGAGGGAAGTAAAGACACACTCAAATAGCAGTCATGTGGATGGGGACCAGAGGAATCCCAGGACAATTGTGGATACCATTTTAAGCCTTCAAGTGTGTAACCCCAAATTCTAGCATTCCACAGAAAGAGTGACAATCACTGATTTAAGGTAATCTGAGAATGTCTATTCCTTGCAAGCCTAATAAAGAAGTTTCCATTTCATAGTCATCAGAAGGATTGTTGTATGCAATAGCTAATGATAATACTAGCTAATAATTATTGGGTGCTCAACAGAAGCCAGGCACTGTGCTAATATTTCATTCTTACCTCAACCCTAGGAGGTAGGTACTGTTATCTCCCTTTCAGTAGATACAGCTGAGGCACAGGGGAGTTCAGTAACTTGCTGAAGGTCACGCAGCTGGTAAATGCTAGAGCCAGGAAGAAGGATCATTCTTAGTCTCTAGTTCTAGAAGCAAGGGTGTGGCCCAGGGTTTAGGAGTTAGATGGAATGACATTTTGCTAACAGTAAGCAAAAACATGCCAACAGGCCAATCCAACATTGGAATGGGGAGTTTTAGAAAACAGCAAATTCTCTCTAAGCAGCATGACTATCAAATATGTTTTAGAAGAGATTTTTGCATTGGGTAGCAGGTTGGACTAAATGCCTTTCAAGGTCCTTCAAAGAACCCAAGATTAAAAGTTTAGATCTTGGTAGAGCTTCAGATTGGGAGCTGGACTGTATGCTTTTTATTTTTTTTTTAATTTGAACTTCCAAACTCCAATGCATACCCTGATGCATAAACTATGTACACTTTTTATTTTGATGTTCATGAACTTCTCAGAACTCTTGAGGCATGGTAAAATTATTTTCCCTATGTGGTTTTTTTTTTTAAGTCTTTTAGCTGACGGTAGTTGTGTAGCATCTTTCTGACCAGCAAGAAAATGCCTTTCTAATCTCTAGAAGAGAAATTGTTTGCATAAGGTGTTCTCCCACATTTATGTCTTTAATTTCAGACGAGAGGCACTGATCTTTTCATAAGGACTTTCCTGCTACACCTCCCACAAATGGTGTGTGTCTTGTGAACTCTATAGGTGTGGCATTGATAATGGTGTTTGATAGTGTTTGGGCTGTTCAGAATCTGCCCTTTATACTGAAATGGTATGTCTAGCTTTGTTTCCAGGATTACAGAAACTTCTTTGGTCTATTTCCGTGACTGCATTCAGTGGAGACACATTACTTTCTGCTTTTCAGAGCCTGAGACCACCTTCCAGGACAATGGAGGCATATGGTGGCATTTCTAGTTGGAGTTGGCGCTGATTGAGCCTTTGCCATTACTTGGCAAAATTAATTTGGTTGTGGTTGGTTGTTTGACCCGGGGGTGGCATTTTTCTGTGGGCAGAATAGTAGAGCTGAGTTGCATATAGTTGTTTTTAAGGTCTTTGGATAATAACCATTTTAACCAAATGTGTAGAGGCTTTGAAATTGCCATATGTGCAACTTAAGTTATCATTTCACATACAAGTAGTTCATTAAATATATTAATTGAGTTTATTGAACATATGCTTTTAAAAATAGACTTTGTATTTTAGAGCAGATTTAGGTTCACAGCAAAACTGAGCAGATAGTACAGAGATTTCTCATATACCCACCCACTTGCATAGACTCCCAACTAACAACATCCCCCACCAGAGGTGGTACATTTGTTAGAGTTGATGAAGCAACACTGACACCTCATTATCCCCCAAAGTCCACCATTTATATTAGGGTTCACTCTTGGTGTTGTACATTCAGTGGGTTTGGACACATTTTTAATGACATGTATCCATCATTATAGTATCATACAGAGTAGTTTACTGCCCTACAAATAGTTTGTGTTCCACCTAGGCATTCCTCCCACCGTTCTAATCCCTGGCAACCTTTTTTTTGTTTTGTTTTACCTTCTCCATGGTTTTGCCGTTTCCAAAATGTTGCAAAGTTGAAATTAACAGTATGTAGTCTTTTCCAATTGGCTTTTTCACTTAGCAATATACACTTAAGTTTCCTCAATGTCTTTCTGTAGCTTGAGACAGCTCATTTCTTTTTAGAGCTGAATAATATTCCATTGTCTGGATGTACGGCAGTTTACTTATCTGTTCACCTACTGAAGGATGTCTTGGTTGCTTCCAAGTTTGGGCAGTTATGAATAAAGCTGCTATAAACATCCACATCCAGGTTTTCGTACGGACATAAGTTTTCAACTCTTTTGGGTAAACACCAAGGAGCATGCTTGTTGGATCGTATGGTAAGAATCTATTTATTTTTGTGACAAATTGCCAATCTGTCTTCCAAAGTGACTGTGCCATTTTGCATCTGCACCGCAGTCAGTGAGAGTTCCTGTTGCTCCACATCCTTACCAGCATTTGCCATTGTTGGTGTTTTGGATTTTGGCTTTTCTAATAGGTGTGTAGGGGTATCTCATTGTTTTAATTTGCATTTCCCTAATGACATATGCTATGGAGCATTTTTATATGCTTTTTTGCTAGCTATATATCTATATATAGCTATATAAATATATATTTTTTATTTCAATAGTTTTTGGGGTTCAGTTGGTTTTTGGTTAAATGGATGAATTGTATAGTGGTGAAATCTGAGATTTTATTTTACCTGTCACCCAAGTAGTGTACCCAATATGTAGTTTTTCATTGCTCTCCCACCTCCCCCTTACCTCCTTCTGAGTCTCCAGAGTTCATTACACCACTGTGTATACCTTTGCATAGCCATAGCTTAGCCCCTAATTATAAGTGAGAACATATGGTATTTGGCTTTCCATTTCTGAGTTACTTCACTTAGAATAAATGGCCTCCAGCTGCATCCAAGTTGCTGCAAAAGACATTATTTTATTCTTTTTTATGGCTGAGTAGTGTTCCATGGGGTGCACCTGTGGATAGCCTTTCCTGAACACTTCAGCGGGGCTGCCTCTCCACAGGCAGCGTGCCCTCCAGTTGCAGGCTTGCGCGAGGGGTAGAGTCACAATCCATCTCAACATGGAACATCAGCCTTCCTGCAGATGAAAAGAGGTGTCTGTCTGATCTGAATAGCTGGGACACTGGGTCAGGAGTGTGACTAGGAGGTGGATCACTTTCAGGGGAGCTGAGGTGTCCGTCCCTTCCTTCTGAGAAGACCTCCGTGCATTTCACTGAGAGCTCCCTCAGCTGCCTCTATTAGGGCTGGGACCTCTACCCATCATTGGGTATTGCATTTACCCACTTTGCTTTAGCCACCAATTTTTTTTTTTTTTTTTTGAGACAGGGCCTCACTCTCTCACCCAGGCTGGAGTGCAGTGGTACAGTCTCAGCTCATTGCAACCTCTGCCTCCCAAGTAGCTGGGATTACAGGTCTGTACCACCATGCCTGGCTAATTTTTGTACTTTTGGTAGAGACAGGGTTTCACCATGTTGCCTAGGTTGGTCTCGAACTTCTGAGCTCAAGCAATCTGCATATCTCAGCCTCCCAAAGTGCTGGGATTACAGGCGTGAGCCATTGTGCCCGGACACCACAATCGGTTTTTACCTGTGGACACCTCCCCTTCTGGCTGGAAGCTCAACCTGTTCAACCCAGTAAATAAAGTGCTAGGGAAAAAATTAAAAAATGCATACTACTGGAGAACAAGATAAGCTTTGAGAGACCTCTGCCATTCTGACCCCACAGGAGACAGTGAGCACATTGCTGCTACAACCAGCAGCTGAGAAAGCCACCATACAAAGACTCTCTATAACCAAGGAACTCACACAGAGTCTTCACCCCTGAAAGCACCAGGAGCAGAATTAGGTGACAATAAACTGTGTCTTTTTTTATAAGGTGTCTATTCAGATCTTTTGCCAGTTTTTCAACTGGGTTGTTCGTATTCTTATTGTTGAGTTTTTAAGAGTTCTCTGTATGTGTTAGGTAAAATTCTTCATCAGATGTCTTTTGTAAATATTTTCTCCCAGTCTGTAGCTTGTCTTCTCATTCTCTCGAATATACACTCCTCTGACGGTGCTCTGTTAGATGTTTTATGGGCACAGAAATTATATTTAGCACGGAATTTCTCCCTTTCAAGTTGCTCTCATTCTTATTGGCAAATACCTATTTCCTGGGTGCAGAAAGATCCCCATTGCTGTTTCCTATTGGCTACTCATGAAGCTGTTAAGTGGATCGTGGGAGCAGTAAACACTCCAGATAATTTGTTTATTTGGGAAACTTGCTTGGATAGTGTTTTATGTCAGAATTCTATGACAAACTGTGCTTTGGTGACTTATGTATTCAGACTCTGACTTATCTGGGAAGACAAAATGTCATTAGCATTCTAAGAAATATTAATGACTGCTATTTATATACCCCATCCACACCACTTTCACTGGCATCTGGCATTGATGATTGTGAAGTATTGATGACTTTTCCAAATAAGATGGAATATGGCAATTTGGTAAAGAGCAAACATTTTTATTTTATTTATCTGGGGTTAATTTTTTGTATTTTGAAATATTCAAAAATACTTAGTAGAAGGGATCATTTCTTTTTTCTTTTCTTTTTTTTTTTTTTTTTTTTTTGAGATGGAGTCTCCAGGCTGGAGTGCAGTGGCATGATCTCGGCTCACTGCAAGCTCCGCCTCCCGGGTTCATGCCATTCTCCTGCCTCAGCCTCCCAAGTAGCTGGGACTACAGGCGCCTGCCATCACGCCCAGCTAATTTTTTGTATTTTTTAGTAGAGATGGGATTTCACCGTGTTAGCCAGGATGGTCTTGATCTCCTGATCTTGCGATCCACCCGCCTTGGCCTCCCAGAGTGCTGGGATTACAGGCATGAGCCACCACACCCGGCCACAGAAGGGATCATTTCTAAATAGCATAGAATCACAGGGAGTACACCTCATGTGACTTCACGTTTAGAGTCAGCATTTGCTCATAATGAATTACATATCAGTAAATGAACATGACATGCTTCAACTTCAATAATATTAAACAAAACTCTTTCAGTGTGCTTATTCATAGATGAAAAACAGGGCCTGAAAACCCAGTGTGACTTGGGTGTCATATATCTTCAGTTTGGATGCACTATATCAGTGCTAATCAATAAAGGCCAGGAATGATTTTGGAGTATAATGTCCAGCCTTAAATCTTAAATGAAAGTGAAATTCAAACACTTAGCCCAGCAGTAGAAGAACAAACACTAGTGAGACAGTATAATTTGTTAAGACGAACATGGGCCAGATCCATTATCTAATATATGTGTCCTCGACAGTATGTACCGTCTCGAAGAGGAAGAAATAGTCAAGGTACCCAAATGAGCCATTCCTCAGAGACAGCCAAAGAGCTCTGAGAGAGAGCAAGTGTGGGCAAGAAAGAGGGGACATTTGTGTCTCTGACCATGAACATATGCTGAGTCACCCAACTGCAGGTCCATTTTTTTGGTGAGACTGATATAAATGTTCTTCCAAACTGGCCAAGCTGCAAGGTTTCCAAAAGCAAAGCTTAAGGCTGGACGCAGTGGCTCCCACCTGTAATCCCAGCACTTTGAGAGGCTGAAGTGGGAGGGGTTTGAGACCAGCCTGGGCAATGTAGCGAGACCCCATCTCTACAAAAAAAATGCAAAAAACAAAACAAAACAAAAACCCAAAACAAGCAGGCACAGTGGCTCACACCTGTAATGGCAGCACTTTGGGAGTCTGAGGCAGGTGGATCACTTGAAGTCAGGAGTTTAAGACCAGCCTGACCAACATGGTGAAACCTGTCTCTACTAAAAATACAAAAATTAGCCAGGCATGGTGGTGTGCACCTGTAATCCCGGCTACTTGGGAGGCTGAGGCACGAGAGTCACTTGAACCTGGGTGGTGGAGGTTGCAGTGAGCTGAGATCATGCCACTGCACTCCAGCCTGGGCAATAGAGCAAGACTCTGTCTAAAAAAAACCCAAAAAACAAACCAAAACCAAAACAAAAACAGAGCTTAAAAAGCAAGACTTGCAGAACATTAGGACTAGGAGGTAGCTGTGGCCAGGGCTCTGTGTAATGCAAAGATTATGTCTATAGGACCTCTGCAGGCCTGGGTTTTACTCCTAGCTGTGTCCTTACTAGTTATATCATCTTGGGCAACTTATGTAAACCCCTGAGCCTCAGTTTCTTCCTTTGTAAAATGGGAATAACAATTTCTGCCATTCAGTACTGTTGCCTAGATGAGTGATAATTTGTGTCAAATACCTGGCACATACTAGGGACTCAATAAATTTTAAGTACAGTAATGTCACTTAACAATGGAGATATGTTCTGAGAAATGTGTCATTAGGTGATTCCATCATTGAGCAAACATCATAGAGTGTACCTACACGAACCTAGATGCCTACTACCCACCTAGGATACAAATCTGTACAGCATATTACTGTACTGAATACTGTAGCAACTGTAACACAGTGTTAAATATTGATGTATCTAAACATGTAAACATAGAAATGTTACAGTAAAAATATGGTATTATAATCTTATGGGACCACTGTTGTCTTTGTGGCCTATCACTGATTGAAATGTTATGTGGCGCATAATTATAATTTTAAAAAATCACTCAGACCTAATGTATGCATTTAATGACTCCACTCTAAGGAAAGCCCAGATGCACTTAAATATACTTCTGTTTATACTGCTTTCATTGGAAATGAAATGCCATGTCAACTATGATGCTTTCAGTTGTAAGTAGCAAAACTGCCAACTCAAACTAGCTTAAAAAATAAAGTGAATTTATTGGTTCATGTAACTGGAAAGTCTCATGAAAATGTCAGCTTCAGGAGAAGCTTGACCCAGCAGCTTCATGATGTATGGAAATACCTGGGTTTTTTGTTTCTGCTCTGCTACTGTGGTATCAGCTTTATTCCAAGTCTGGCTTCCTTTGTTGTTGCAAAATGCTTGTCAGAAGAAGCCTGGGTCCATCTGTTAGGATTAAGTTTACTCTGTATGCTGTAGTAGTGGCTATGACAAGATAGAAGTGTATTTCTCCTCCATATAAAAGAAATCCAGAGATAGGCAGTCCAGGGATGGTATGTGGCTCCACTATGTCATGGACCCAGACATTTAACTTGATGCTCCACGTCCTAAGGTATGGCTCCTTTTCTCAAGTTCACCTCAAGGTCCAAAATGACTGCTAGAGTTCCAGCCATTACATCTGCATTCTAGGCAGGAGGAAGGGGCAGAAGAAAGGCTTGCCTCTTCTCTTTTAAGGAGACTCATTGGAAGTGCCACACAATCCTTTGCTTACAGCTTATTGGCTGGCACATAGGGTAGTTGCCAGGGAGACTAGGAAATAAAGTCTTTTGTTCCCCCTCCCATCCTCAGTTCCTTTTGCACTGTGCTAAACAATTCTAGGACTTTTAACAGAACTCTTCATAAAAGTCTTGAATTTTATTGTATTTATTTATTTTTGAGATGGAGTCTTACTCTGTTACCCAGGCTAGGGTGCAATGGTGCTATCTTAGCCCATTGCAACCTCCACCTCCCACATTCAAGTGACTGTCCTGCCTCAGCCTCCTGAGTAGCTGGGACTCCAGGCGCGCACCACCACACCTGGCTAATTTTTCTTTTTTTTTTCGTAGAGACAGGTTTCACCATGTTGGCCATGGCTGGTCTCAAACTCCTGACCTCAGGTGATCTGCCTGTCTCGGCCTCCCAAAGTGCTGGAATTACCAGTGTGAGCTACCATGCCTGGCCAAAAATCTTGGGTTTTAGATCCCTTCTTTATTTTTTTGGATCTTTTCTGAATCTTCTCCAGTCTTTCCTGATTCACAAGGGGCACAGTCATAAGCCAGGAAATCCCTAAACCTTTATATACTTTAGTTTCCCCATCTATAAAAAGATAAAAGATAATTGTAGCTACCCTTTTTCCTCCAGAGATTAAATAAGATGCATGCATGCTTGATGCAGTGAACATTTAATGAATGTTAAGTAATAAATGTAATACTTTGTGATTCACGGGTCCTGTCTCCTATTTGTGTTTTTATCTATCATGCTTGTTTCTTTACCTGAAACCTCCAAATCTCTTCTTGCTCAACCGCAGCTTCTGCTTCTGTAATTTGTTTTTCTCCCTTTAGAAATGCTTCTTAATAAACGCCTTTGAGTCTATTTCTGACTTCATCTCGAATTTGCCAAGGTAGTTTTTTCAGTGTCTGAAAATATGACAATAAGAGAAAATGATTCAGGAGGGCAAAGAGCAGAAAAGCAGCTATAAAGAGTGGGCAGAGGGGAAGGGGAGCGTTGGCCTCTCCCTGGGAGCTCCAGGCTCCATGTGCACACACAGGCTCATCCCCGCTTCTGTCAAGCTCTTGTTCCCAGGCTGAGTTACTTAGAAAAGGAAGAAGAATGTTTCCTATTTGTTCATGTGAATTCACTTAAGAAACACATCCTCAGTGATTAGGCGTTAGAGCTAATTTGTCTACATGCAGCTTAAAGTTAAGCTTGGGAATTTATTTTATTTGAAATTCAAAGGATGAAGCCCTCTTTGTCTTAAGGGCTGAGAAACGCAGCTCAGCTGCGTCTAAGATGGTTTGTACTCACTCTCTTCCTCCCTTCTTGCTTCGGCAAGGATGGAAGGGCTGGGAGGATTTGCATTCAGTTTCTCATGCAAAGAGCTCCTCACGGAATTCCTGCCCTTTGCATATGCTGGACAAGACCAAGATTTTCCAGGTCGCTGCTTGCAGTTGTATTCATAACTGTGGGGGGAGATAATAGCTAACATCAATTGACGGTCACTAGAAGCATTTTGCATGTATAATAACAGTAACAGCCAACACATAAAACGGTGCCTACTATGTGCCAGGCATAGTTTAAATTATTTTGTATACCTCAACCAATTTTATTCTTTCATATTCCTCTGAAGTAGTAATTACCATTACCTACATTTTACAGAAAGGTTAAATGTGGGCTCAGAAAGGTTAAATCACTTGCTGAGGGTTATATTCAGCTAGTGTCAGAGCCTGGATTCAAACTGATCATATGGCTCTGTGCTCTTTTTCTTTCTTTTTTTTTTTTTTTGTTTTGAGACAGAGTCTCGCTCTGTGCTCTTAACTGGTACATTCTACCATCTTCCTAGGAGGGGGTTTTAGTATTAATATTCTTATAAAAAGGAGACTGAGGCAGGGAGAGAGGAAGGAATCCTGGATTCCAGCGTACGCAGGAGACTCCAGAGCCCGGGTCTTCTTTGCTACCTCCTCCAGGGACATGCGGAGACATCTCCACATCCAGCACTTCACATAGGAAGTACCCTGAGGACCACGTGGGATGACATAACCCATCTGGAGTAACTAGTGGCATGGTGCAGGGTGCAGAGCTGTGCTTGAGGTGCTCCCTAAACCCTATCAGTCCTGATACTGCTTCTGGGGCCTGGAGGGGAGTAAGGGAGGCCAGTGTTTGGGGGACAGAAGGCGGCAGCCCTGTGATAAACAAAATCATGTTTCTGGCACCAGGAGCAGAATTCATGTGTGCTTTTACTGCTTCCTGTGCTCTTCCTCATTTTACCCCAGGGCCATTGGTCATGGTGTCCTGGGACCCTCTGGGGGCTTGGAGCATCGATACCACAACCATAGTCCCACCTGTTAAGTAAGAGAACTAGCCAGGGAAGACATCATTTAAAGTGTAATTTATTTATTTGTATCTTGCCTTGCTCCCCAAAGCTTTTATGACAGGATACAGAAATGCTTCACATACTGGAAGAGTGCCTCAGTTAGGTGTGTGTGTGACAGTGTGGCTGCAATCCCAGCTCTCCTTCTCTCCTTCCCAGGAGCCATGGACAAGTGCCAGCATCTTTCTGGCACCGGATTTTTCTGCCTCTAATGTGGGAATGATGTCTTCCCAGTAGAATTAG
The DNA here is from genome assembly GCF_000001405.40 of Homo sapiens. Lineage (NCBI taxonomy): Eukaryota > Metazoa > Chordata > Mammalia > Primates > Hominidae > Homo > Homo sapiens. The sequence goes on from NC_000007.14 coordinate 105,906,980, forward strand.
GGTAGACATTAATACCAGTTCATGTAAATTTCTAGCACTAGCCTGGACCACAGAGGTGCTCAGTGGATAATTATTATTATTACAAGGCATAGAATTATTTAACGGAAAGAAATCAAGGGGTGGGGTCATAAAATAGAGCCAAGAATGAGGTCCATACAAAAATACCTACTATGAAGTCATACGCACTTTGTCAGGGCCAGTGTGATGAGAGAAACCTGATTATTAAATCACTCACGATGTTCACAAGAGGAAAACAGTGGGCTCAGGAGAGGCAACCGCTCAGAAAGAGCTCTTTAGAGGCCTTCTGAGAAGGGCACTGTGCAACGTTATAAACTGTTCTCAACAACTTCCTCAGAATAAACCCAGTGATAAGTGCCACCGGCTTCCCTTTAATAGAGGCTAATGGCAACAAGCCACAGCATCAGCCAATAGAAACCATTCCTGAGAGCCAGCATCATAGAGTCCAGGCACAGTGCTTGCAGGGGCTGTGATTTAACCAGGGGCAACAACAGCGAGTGCTTACTGAGCGTCAGGAGGGCCAGTGAGAGCTCTGAGCCCTCTGCATGGATCACCTCGCTTAAGTCTTACAACACCCATATGAGATTGTAATATGGTCATCCCCATTTTACAGATGAGTAAACTGAGGCCCAGAAAAGCTAAGAAAGCTTCCCAAGGTCACTGAGCTCATTATCCCTAAGCAGCGTTCAAACCCAGGCAGTCAGGCAGGCAGGCAGGCAGGCTGGCTCTGGAGCCTGTGCCACTGCCCTCTCTGGTAACTGATTAGGACCAAATATCCCTGTGATAGTCCTTCATAAAGGCTGTCCTTGACAGCTGAGCCTTTGACAAATCTTGGGCAGCAGTGAGTTTAAGGAAATGTGTGAATCCTGATGAGTTCCTGAGGGGCCAACATTCTGGAGGGCTAGTTACTGTGGAGCCGTATGCTTTACCCGTGGGCTGAGATGGAATAGGACCAACAGATTTCCGCTCAGGGTCCCAGTATGGGCTCTGGCTTGAACTGAAGGTGATCCATGAGCTGGGTTCAGAAAAGGGGGTAGGCAAATAGGGAAGCAAGGCCAAAGTGCACCTAGAAAGTAAGCTCCAGTCCACTCCAGTGCACAGACAAATGGATGATTGAGAACCCACAGTTCATGTATCAGGGCTGCCATAATTTTAATCGGAAAAATTCTTTAAGGCAGTTAAGTTTCTGTTCTGGCTATTTTGAAAAAAATAATGAATAGGGCCAGGGGCACTGGTTCACACCTGTAATCCCAGCACTTTGGGAGGCCGAGGTGGGCAGATCACTTGAGGCCAGGAGTTCGAGACCAGCCTGGTCAGCATGGCAAAACCCCATCTCTGCTAAAAATACAAAAATTAACTGGGTGTGGTGGTGGGTGCCTGTAGTCCCAGCTACTTGGGAGGCTGAGGCAGGAGAATCGCTTGAACCCGGGAGGCGGAGGTTGCAGTGAGCCGAAATCGCACCACCACACTCCAGCCTGGGCAACAGAGCAAGACTCTGTCTCAAAAACAAAAAATAATTTTATATGTGTGTGTGTGTGTGTATATATATATATACATATATAAGTGTATATATATATACACACATATGTATATATATGTACGTATATATGTAGGTATATATATATACATATATATGTATCCTATATAGGTATACATATATGTATATATACATATATATGTATCCTATATATGTATACATATATGTATATATACATATATATGTATATATGTATCCTATATATATATCCTATGTATATATATGTGTATATATGTATGTATATATATGTGTATATATGTGTGTGTATATATATATGTATGTATATAGTATCCATAGGATACTTAGTGCACATCTCTTTTATTGTGATTTCTGCCTAGTATATTGGACCCCCAAACTGTCAGACAAAAAACACTTCCAAAGTCTTCTCCACCCCATAATCACCATCCCAGCAGAATTTTCCAGAAAGGCAAATACAGTATTGTGCTATTTCTGCATGGTAGACATTGCATACTTATAATTCTGACACAGCAGGACTCTAAGCCATCCAGTCTTCTGGGCTCCTCTTCTTGTGTACCAAGATTAACGAGCAGAGTCCCACTCCTCTTCTGTGAAAGCCGAGTCCTCCTCAAGATGTCCTGAGACTGTCTCTGAGGACTCACAGACTCCTGGTCCAGGGTTGTCAGCATCCTGGCAGTGACTGCCCTTTCCCTGACATGTCACCCTGCTGTACAGGGCCCCAGTTTCTCTATCCTTTCTGCCTTAGGCTGCATTTGCCTGAATGCCAAGGAATTGGAGCACAGCATCATAGGGGCAATCGCAGAAGGCCTAATGTTCTGCCCTTTAGCCAAACCACTTGCCATGTCCCCTTAAGGCCTTGCCTTGCCATTACCTTCTTGGGCTTTGCTCTTCTCCAGAAGTGGCTGTCTACTCAACTAACAGCTTCCTGCAATCCCCAAATTCTGGTTACTTCCCACCGGAACACAACACAGCTTGTTCTTCATTTTTCTTTGTTACTTCCCAGGCTATACCCAGAGCTTGCATTTCTCACCTACAAGTCCCATCAAGGCTCATGGTATTATTTCTTCCCTATAAGAGAATGTATGTCCTATTACGTGAAAGTGGCTACAGTCATGGCTTTAAATAGCATTCTCCCACTGCTACAATATGTGTATTGAAGCTTACAGAATAGTTGATAGTTAGGAATTAAGCCTAAAAAAGTAAGGACCAAATAACAATATAACAAAAATGACCCCAAACAAGAGATGCCCAAGCAGTATGATCAAGCAAAGAATGGTGGTACCAAAAATAAGGGCAAAGAAGAGGAGATGGCTGATGGCGGGGATGGCCCCATTGGGCTCTCACGAGAGAGGTGAAGGTGGATTGAGTATGAGGGATGGAGGATGTGATGAGCGGGGAGAGACTAGGAGGGTGTCTCAGGGAGGAGAAACCACTTGAGCAGAGGCAGGGAGGTGGCCTGACACGTGACCCACTGGCTTGGAGGAGTGAGTAGGAGTAATCCAGGCTGGCGGGGAAGAGCAGGATCTTTACCAGGCCAGAAGGAGAAGCAGAAACCAGACGATGGAGACCCTGCCAATTGTCTTCTGATAGCAGTTCTGAAGTGAACAAGTTGATTGCGGTTCTCTGAGTGTAAGACACTCAACAATGTAAACTGCTAGGATGCAGCTCTCTAATTAAGACTATTTTCTTACAACATGTGTTTGTTTATTACAGAGAGCTGTGATCACTTGAGGGTGTCATGTCAACCTTGTCTCATGCACCAGCTGAATTCAGTGACACTAACATCCTGGATCCTGCAGATGAGAGTATTATGACTGCACTACCAGGGAGGCTGCCCAGGGCTGGAGATTGCTCTGCTCCAGAGGTGCTTGGTTTGCAGTGTGGGCGGACTCAACCTGAGCGAAAGCCACACAAAAGCGCCTTGAGCTGGAGCCCCATGCTAGTGTTGGTTCCACCAGTGGTTCTTTTTTTTTTTTTTTCTGAGATGGAGTTTCTCTCTTTTTGCCCAGGCTGGCGTGCAATGGTGTGATCTCGGCTTACCACAACCTCCACCTCCCAGGTTCAAGTGATTCTCCTGCCTCAGCCTCCCGAGTAGCTGGGATTATAGGCATGTGCCACCACGCCTAGCTAATTTTGTATTTTTATTAGAGACGGGGTTTTACCATGTTGGCCAGGCTGGTCTCGAACTCCCGACCTCAGGTGATCCTCCTGGCTTGACCTCCCAAAGTGCTGGGATTACAGGCATGAGCCACCGTGACCAGCCAACACCAGTGGTTCTTAAACTTCAGCCTGGGTCTGAGTCACCTGGAGGGCTATGAAAACACAGAGTGCTGGGCCCCATCCCCAGAGTTTGTGCCTTCAGTAGGTCTGTGGGGGGCCTAAGGATTTGCGTTTGTAACAAGTCCCCAAGTAATACGGGTGCTGCTGGTTGGGAGATCCCACTTTCGAATCGCAGGTTCACTCTACAGTCCCATTGTTAACTTATAAAACTCTTCCTCTCTAGTTCTTCTTTTTGTAAAGGTGTGTCCTGAGGAACCTCAGATTTGAAAGAAGAGTGAATGGAAGTCAAATGTGGAAACCACTCAAATGTCCATCAACTGATGAATGAATAAACAAATCATGGTATATCCATACAAGGAATATTATTCACCCATAAAAAGGAATGAAGTCTTAATACACCTACAACTGGATGAACATTGAAAACATTATGCTATCCATTCTGCTTCAGGTTGGAAAAAAAAATACGATCCTTACCTAAAGAAGCCATCTACAAAAGGCCACATATTGTGTGATTATATCATATGACCAGAATACGCAAATTCATAGAGACAGAAAGCAGATTAATGGTTGCCAGGAACTGGGGGAAGGGGAGGAATGAGGAGTGACTAACTGTGTTTTTCCCATTGTGATTAAAAAAAAAGTTCTGGAACCAGATAGTGGTGATGGTTGCACAACATTGTGAATGTACTCAGTACCACTGAATTGTACACTTTAAAATGGTCAGTTTTGGCTGGGCACGGTGGCTCACGCCTGTAATCCCAGCACTTTGGGAGGCTGAGGCAGGGGAATCACCTGAGTTCAGGAGTTCAAGACCAGCCTGGCCAACATGGTGAAACCCCGTCTCTACTAAAAATACAAAAATTAGCTGGGCGTGGTGGCACACGCCTGTAGTCCCAGCTACTCAGGAGGCTGAGGCAGGAGAATCACTTGAATCTGGAAGGCGGAGATTGCAGTGAGCTGAGATTGTGTCACTGTACTCCAGCCTGGGCAACAAAGTGAGACTCTGTCTCAAAAAAAAGAAAAGAAAAGTTAGTTTTATGTAATGCCTATTTTATCACAATAAAAAATTAAAAGAGTGAATGGAGTGTTGTTTTAACTCCCATCATGGGACCAGTTGAAAGGTTTATAGGATAGAGGTTGGAAATGCAAAGGGCCTAAACCAGTGGTTTTCAGCCCTGATTGAGCCATCCTATCCTTGGAGAGTTTTATGTCTTATCCTTGTCTTAGCTGCGCCCGAGACCAATTAAATCAAAATCTCTGGAGGTAAGGCCCAGGCATCAAAAAAATTTTCAATACATCCCCAGATGATTCTAACATACCATCAGTATTTCAAACAGTGGCCTGAAACCTCAAGGGTCAAATGAGTTAATGACTTTGGTGCAAACTGACTTGACCCATATCATAAACAATGTGCCTTCATCTTCTCCCATACTTGCTTGGGAGGGGATGTAGAGTAGAATGAGGAGGCTTTCAGAATCAGATCTGCCCAGGATTTGAAAACTGGCTCCATTACCAACTAGCTGTGTCTCCTTGGGCAAACCACATAACCCTTGTGGGCATGTTTTCTCCTAAGTGAAGAACACCATTTCAGAGGGTTTTTGTGAGGCACACATGAAGCAGCCAATTTCCCAGCTTTACCAGTGTCAGACCCTGTTTAGTCATCATTCCTTTCTTTCCATCTCATTCTAGACCGGAAAGGAGAAACAGTCTAAACTGCATGAAAGTCCTGGTACTGCTGTATCTCGTACTATAAGTTCAGTTTTCTCCCTTCACCTGAGGGTAAGTTGAAGAATAACTTCATAAGCCAGGGAGAGATACGTTTGGATCAGGAGTTAGTGATAACAGGTGAGCCCAATAATAATCCTTTTTGCGCTCATGCTCAGATGTTTTTTATGCACCAAGCTTTATAATGATGTAGATATACTCTAAGACAAAAACAGATAAAACTCACCTATAATTTTGAATCATAAAATAGTTTGGATTTTTCCATGTTTCTGGGTAGTCCTTACTCTTTGATAATATAAGGAATATATTTTTATTCAACTACAGTTAAGGCATAGATATAATTTTATACTCTGCATTTTCTTTATCTTCAGCATTCGTTATGTTTCTATAGTTCATTATTGACATTTTAATGACTACATAGTATTTGATTGAATAGCCTTACTGTAATTTATTTTGATATTCCTCTATTAAGCCTTTTGACTGCTAAGTTTTCAATATTAGAAATTGTACATAGTAAAAATATTTCTGCACGTAACTTTTAATTTCCTTTGACTTCTTTTCTTTTTTTTTTTTTTTTGAGATGGAGTCTCGCCCTGATGCCCAGGCTGGAGCGCAATACCACAATCTCGTCTCACTGCAACCTCCGCCTCCCGGGTTCAAGCGATTCTCCTATCTCAGCCTCCCGAGTAGCTAGGATTACAGGCGCCTGCCACCATGCCCAGCTAATTTTTCTATTTTTAGTAAAGATGGGGTTTCACCGTGTCGGTCAGGCTGGTCTCAAATTCCTGACCTCGTGATCCACCCACCTTGGCCTCCCAAAGTACTGGGATTACAGGCATGAGCCACCACACCCGGCCTTGACTTATTTTCTTAAAATATATTTCCTTTAAGTTACTGGATCAAGGGGTGTGAACATTTTAAGGTTCTTGAGTGCAGTATCAAATTGCTCTGGTAAAGGATTGTACCAATTTACACTGCTACCAGCAGGGTGTGGGTGTACATTTTCAACAACTTGCCAGCACCGAATTTCATCATTTAAAAAGGGTTTACAGATTGTACATAATTTAATTTAATATAAACTAATAAATTACTGTGTCCAACTTTTGAGCATGCTTAAAATTTTTTCCCCATTTCTTTTTTGGTGGCATCCCTACTATTTCGTAAACTGCTTGAGGGCAGTTTACAAACCTTGCACATTGTAGAAAATCAATAATTGCTTTTTGAAACAATGAATAATTCAGGGAATCCCTGTTCCCAATAATTCTTCAGTTTTGATAATAGCAGTGGGTTTTGGGTTGTTTTGGTTTCAAGATAAACTAAATTACACTTTATTTCACTGATGTTGGCAGCCCCAGAGGACTCTGTTTGCAGGAAAAAAAATGTATGAAGATTTTCCTAGGTGGGAAGTAGACCTCTCCCACACAACGAGAAGAGCAGCTAAATCATTGCTCTTTTCTCCCAGTCTCTCCCTGCACTCCCATCTGATTTCCTGTCTGCTCCTGAAAAGCCAGCTCAATATGAACTAAGGAAAAGCTATTTGTAGTGCTCATGGGAGGACAAAGAACACAAATAGGCTCTTCCTAAACTATTGAGCTTAGCTTTCACTCTTTCCAGCAGGAAAAGGGTCATGCATGTCCAGGTGATACTACTTGTACTTTGGTACCCATTGATTGGGACAGTGTGTGCCGATGAAAAGGTGCTGTGAATTCAGTAATGCTTTTTAAATACGTATTTTAATTTCAATAATGTCTACATAAATTTCAAAAACAGCAATTAAAAAATATGCTTGAGACCAATTTATCCGGCTACACCTATTTGGTGCATATTTGCATTCTTAGATTCCTTAAATGTCCTCTGCACAAAGGTTAGGAAACTGTGCCCTGACAATAAAGCAGTATCTTATTAGAACTAAGAGATTAACCAGTAAAGAGGACTAGAGAAGTCGTTGTTAACTGATACTTTATTAGTATTTAATACAGTAACCTGCCTCTGCTAGAAGTAAGGACTCCTCCTCAACTTTTAAAGATAGCTAATTTTATAACTCTGCTTCCTACCTGTTCACCTTTTTCTCATTGGTGACAGCAACAAACAATTAATGGCTTTCTTAAATGTCTTGCTGTCTGAAATAAGATCTTTTTCCAATTAAAAAGTAACAAAGGCTGCATCTCTCCTCTGTTTCCTTCTTTGGCTGTAACATCTTGACATCTCTCTCTCTGTCTCCTGTTTTATCCAAGACCGAGTTACATGAAAACAAAATGGGTCATAGGCTTCCATTGTGGGGGCGGGGCGGGGGGGCAGATTATTTGTGACTTTGGTTTTAAAGAAAATTTATGCTGGTGGTTTGCAGAAAGTTGACATATATCCTAGGGTTTCCTTGTCAGAGGGCAGCAGGGTCCCCATGGGTTCACATCGTTGCCTGGACAAGGAGTCTTTGTACCCTAGTGGTGCCTGGGTTGTCGCAGGGATGGGGTAACTCATTTATTCACACTCTTTCTCCTTTCCTGTTTCCTTCAAAGATACCCTGGTCCTAGTTGACTCTACTTTACTGTTCAAAATTCAGCTCAACATATGTCAAGCTGTACGTTCTTAAACTCAAGGAAACAGAAAGGTTATAACCCCGTGGTTTCCAAGCCTGGCTTTTCATCAGAGTCTCTTGGTGAACTTTTAGAAAATCCATATTCTTGCCCCCACAGCCATTCTGATTCATTAGGACTGCTTGGGGCCATGGAACTTATATTTGAAAAAGCTCTCCTTGTGTTTCTGATGATCAGTCCAGTTTCAGAACACCAAGCTAGCCAGGCTCCCAGGGTAAGACCTCCTTGAGTATCATCTCTGGCAGGTGGTTCTATAACCTCCACTGTAAAACCTCCAGCCATGGGACGCTCACCACTTTTTATGAGTGGCCTGAGTTGAGACATTCTTCCTTGTGCTGAGTGGAAAGGCATTTCCACCACAATAATTTCTACCTGTTGATTTCAATTATGCCTGTTGGAGCAATACCAAAAAAAGTTATTCTTCCCCATAATAAACTTTCAAATATTTCAACCTCTCAAGCAGTTATTGTTTCCTTCTCAGGATCTCTCTTCCCTTTTCCAGACTCTTAGTCCAGGGTCCTTCTCTGATTATGGTTGGAGTGAGAGTGTTGATTATGTGCCAAGTGCTTTAGACCTGTCTTTTAGATAAAGTCTTGAGGGAAATTTATGGTGTCACTATCTTCCCAGTATTTGGGATGAGAAGACCAAGGGCTAGAGAAGTCATATGACCTGCCCCAGCTCCCACAGCTAAGTAGCTAAATTGAAATTTGAACACTCTATCTGACTCCAAATTCTACATCCTCAACTAACATGTTATGCTTCAGAATTTTTCTTTCTTTGTTTTTAAATGCGAAATAACAAATGCTAAATGTGCATTAAATCAAGGTATGTAAAAGTAAAACCGTCCAGTTTAAAATTCTACTCTAGAGGCTGCCACTGCCAAATTTGAGAAGGCCCTCTGCAGCCCACCACCACAAGCTGGAAGTTATAGTCACAGCAGAGGGGAGCCTTCGCCTCCTTTGCTCTGGACACCATCTGCAGTGACTGCGGCCTCCAACTGCACTGTGGGCTTGGAGCAGTGAGTAGGTTTCTTTTGACCTTGAAGCAACTAGACCCTGAGTTTTTTGTTTGCTTTAAATAAACTTGTTCAGATGGCACTCATTTTATATCCTTGCAAATGTGTTTCTTGGTCTTAGAAGGACTTTATATCTATCTCCATTATTTTTCTTGTTGGTTGTGATCCATTATATCAACTTATATAGATCTTTCAGTTCTTTCAATTTGATCACCGATTAAATTATCTCGCTCAATGTCATTCTCAGATCTTAATACATGTGATGCCTCTCTTTGTCCAAATAATTGATAAGAGCTTTGTTAAAGGTAGGACCAAGGACAGAGTCTTTGAGCACTTGTAGGGGAATTAATCAATTAATACTCCTGGGCTACAGTTTTTCAACCAAATATGAACACACCTGATTGTATTATCATTCAGTCTTGTCTATAAGGGCATGAAAAATTTGGTCAAATGCCTTTCTGGCCACAGCATTTTCCTGATTAATCCAGTAAGTTTATTCAAAAAAGGAAGTATTCAATTTTATTCTTGGCAAACCTATGTGAGTTCCTACATACCATCACCTTTTCTTCTTAGGGTTCAGAAAATATTTCTTTTATGGTCTGTGCAAGAACTTTGCTGTGGATTGATACCAAACTTACATTTTGGCTGGGCTTCAAGTGACTCAGAAAGGGGCTGGGTTCAGGCTGGGATGTCTGGAGCCTGTAGTGGTGGCAAGGCAAAGGCCAGCAGGGATAGTGAATAGAGGCCTCAGTGATGAGGTGGGTGCGTTGGTTAATTGCACAGGTGATAGGGCTGGCTAATTAGGGTAGGGAATTGACTAGCTGTCAGTGAGGTGAACTGAAGAATCCACCCTATGAAGGTGTCAAGGGGCAGGGAAAGAACAAGAATGGAATCAAGGTAGATGTCTCTTCAGAGAGCAGCCAACTGGGCAGAGAAAGGCTGGAGGCTGAAGCTTGATTAATGTACACTATGGTAGAAACCATGAAAGCCCAAGGATCCAGGAGGTGAAGCTGATGTAAGTCAAGGGTGAGAAACGGTCTTGGGGAACTGAGGCCTCATCGGGGCTTGTGATGAGACAACTGTATTCCCTGTCTCAGCAAATGATGCCAACTACCCAGTTGTCCAAACCAGAAACCTGGTGTCCTCCTGGAGTCCTACTGCTCCCTCAGTCTCCCCATAGCCACTTGAATTATCAAGCCCTATCATTCCTACCTCCCTCTAATAGTTCTCAGTGCCCATTTCTCTACATTGTTCTACCACCCTTGCCACTGTCATCTCTTCCCTGACCCCCCATTTTTTTATTGTGGTAAAATATAAATAATATAAAATTTACCATCTTAAGAATTTTTTTTTTTTCTTTTCAGACAGGGTCTCACTCTGTCACCCAGGCTGGAGTGCAGTGGTGCTATCTTGGCTCATTGCAACCTCTGCCTCCCGGGTTCAAGCGATTCTCCTGCCTCAGCCTCCTGAGTAGCTGGGATTACAGGCATGCGTGCCACAATGCTCAGCTAATTTTTGTGTTTTTAGTAGAGATGGGGTTTTACCATGTTGGCCAGGCTGGTCTTGAACTCCTGACCTCAGGTGATCTGCCCGCCTCAGCCTCCCAAAGAATTTTTAAGTGTACAGTTCAGTGGAATTAAATACATTTACCATGTTGTGCAACTATTACCATCATCTGTCTCTGGAACTCTTTTCATCTCATAAAACTGGAACTCTGTGCCCATTAAACAGTTATTGCCCAGTTTCCTCTTCCTCAACCTCTGGCAACCAACACTCCACTATCTCTATGATTGTGACTAATTCTAAGTACTTCATATAAGTGCGTTCATATAGTATTTTTCTTTTTGTGACTGGCTTATTTCACTTAACTTGTCACAACATATCTTGTAACATGTTACTTAACATTTCACTTAACATGTTCATCCATGTTATAGCATATGTCAGAATTTCCTTCCTTTTTAAGGCTAAATAATATTCTAGTTTATGTATATATCACATTTTGTTTATCCAATTATTCGTTGATGGATGCTTGGGTTAGTTCCATTTTTTAGCTATTGTGAATAATGCTGCTATAAATGTGGACATAAAAATAGCTCTTTGAAAAGTGGGATTAATGGATCATATAGCAATTCTATTTTTAATTTTTTGAGGAACAATAATACTGTTTCCACAGTGGCTGCACCATGTGACATTCCCACCAACAGTGCACAAGAGTTTCAATTCTCCATATCCTCACCAACACTTGTTATTTTCCAATTTTTTGATAGTAGCCATCCTAGTGGGTGTGAAGTGGTATCTCATTGTAGTTTTGATTTACATTTCCCTAATGATTAGTGATGTTGAGCATCTTTTCATGTGATTATTGGTTATTTGCATATATTTTAGGAGAAATGTCTATTCAAGTCCTTTGCCCATTTTTTAATTGGGTGGTTTTGTTGTTGAGTTTTAGGGCTTTATATATTCTGCATTTGAATCCCTCTTGAGATACAGGATTTGCAAATATTTTCTCCCACTCTGTGAGTTGCCATTTTACTCTTAATAGTGTCTTTTGATGCACAAAATTTTTGAATTTTCATGATGTCTAACATGTCTATTTAAAAATTTTTGTTGCCTATGTCTTTGGTGTCACATCCAAAAAAGTCATTGCCAAATCCGATGTTGTAAAGCTTTGCCCCGTGTTTTCTTTGAAGAGTTTTATCATTTTTAGCTCTTGTGTTTAAGTCTTTGATGCATTTTCAGTTAATTTTTGCATATGTTGTTAGTTAAGGATCCAACTTCATTATTTTGCATGTGGATATTCAGATTTTCTAGCACTATTTGTTTAAAAGACTGTCTTTTCCCCCATTGAATGGTCTTGCATTCTTGTCAAAAATAATTTGACTCTTGTCATCTCACTCTTGAATCACAAGTCCTCTAGCCTCCAGATGTGGCTTCCCATTCAGTCTGTGTATTGTAGTTACAGCCCTTATTTTGAAATAAACTTGATCATATCTCTCTCGGGCTTAAAAAGTCTTCAGTGGTTTTCCTGGCACCTTCAGAATAAAATAAAGCCCTTCAGCATGGGATACCTGCCCCTTCCTAGGGAGGCCTCACTTCTCACGCCCCCCTGCTTCATCTTGCATGCCTCAGACTCTGGTGGTCCGTCTACTGGTTGATCATAGTGCTCTTTTATGCTATTGGACATGTTACTCCTGCTGCCAGAAATATCTGCCTCCCACCTAACTCCCGTTCACCTAACTCCCATTCACCTACTTGCTGCTCTACTCAGTATGTCTCCTCTGTCTACCACAACCTGCTCCCCATTATGAGAAATGTGCCCTTCTTTGAATGCCCTTATCTTATTTCTTTCATAGAACATAATTGCTCTGTGTTGGAATGATAGATTTATCTGCTTGTCTCCTCTCTAGATTGTGAGATCCATGAGAGCCCAGAAAATATCTTAGGATCCCTAGTGCTTAGCACAGAGCTTGGCATATGGAGGTAAGCAAAAAGATTTTTTAAATCCAGTTGTCCATCCACTCATCCATTCAATATGAATGAGAGAACAGCCCTTTTTTAAAGAGGGATGGCCTTTTCTTAAAAGACCTCTATCTTGAGGCATTATTTTCCCTTATTCAAGTCCCAGTTTATTAGGTCCTGGTACTTAATGGTGATAAAAGGGCATTATTATTGAAAGGTTGGGTATGTCAGGGGCACAATATTAGTTCAAACAGTGAACTGAAGCTTTTTTGCCTGGAATCCATTGGCTTCTTTGATGGGGATAGGAAGCAGCCTGGGACTATTGCTGTGACATGACATCAATCTTGGTGGCTAACGGGAAGGGGTTATGAAGAAGGGGGTGGACTTGGGGGATGAAGAGGACCTGTGGCTCCAGTCCACCAGAATGAATGACCTAGGCCATGGGAAGTAAGACTGGGAAGTGTTTTTCATCTTCTTAGAGTTTGGGATATATGGATGAATTGAGTGAAATGAGGATTTTAGTGAGTATCTCTACTAGGTTCCTGACAGGGATGGTTTCTCCAGGGATTCAACTGAATCTTATAGGTAGATCTGATCTGGTGAAAGATAAGGTATAAATTGGCCTGTCAACAGGACATTCGTACTGGTAGTTATTACTACCATGATGGCTTTAAGAGATTTTGGGGGCTGGCAAGAAGTAGAGTAAATGTAGCAGAACAGATGGATGTTATAGGGAAAATATAGCTGTAAGGAACAGTGAGAGCTTAGTGATGGTGGCAGTAGAGCATAAAAGACAAATTATCTTTAACTTTGGCTTTGCAAAAATTGGGGTATAAAGTGGGGCTATATTACTGAAGCAGTCCGATTAGGAGGATTCATAAAAATGAAATGCATTTCATATGCACATCTGGGCAGCTATAGCCACTGTAGGTTTCTTGTAGGTCTGATAGAAAATGAGCCCTGTTGGTGAATACCTTAGCCAATATGATGAATACCTTAGCCAATATGATGAATAGTAGTGAAAGGCTGTACCTTGGGAGGCTCAGGATTATACTGATGCACCCATCACTCACAGTTACTAGACATGTGGCAGAGACTGAATAAAGGGTTGACCCAGGGACACTCCTTGAATATGTCCCCTTTTTTTGATCAGCATATCCTTCTAACCTCCTAGAAGTTCCAATTTACAAAATGTAATGGTGGGAATGAACAAAGAAGTAAGGCACAATTACTCTATCTGGGTGTTAGGGGTACTTGGCCTCTGTGGTTGACACAGCAAGGCTGAGTTGTGGTAAATTCTTGCACATTCTTGCCCATTGATCCTGCCGCCTTGAGCAGGGCCAGGTAGCCAGTCCTGTGGTCTAGAACATAACCCCCGTGGTTTTGGACGCTCAGGGTGCTGTGTGTGTTGATGTTGAATGAGTAGGCTTGGTTCTTAGTTGAGCTTTCAGAACTCTGGAAATGCTTGAGTTTGCAGTGACTCGTGCACAGTAGAATGGAATGCCTAGTATTCCATGGTGTATATGTGCCACATTTTCTTAATCCAGTCTATCATTGTTGGACATTTGGGTTGGTTCCAAGTCTTTGCTATTGTGAATAGTGCCGCAATAAACATACATGTGCACGTGTCTTTATAGCAGCATGATTTATAATCCTTTGGGTATATAGCCATAAAAAATGATGAGTTCATGTCCTTTATAGGGACATGGATGAAGCTGGAAACCATCATTCTCAGCAAACTATCGCAAGGACAAAAAACCAAACACTGCATGTTCTCACTCATAGGTGGGAATTGAGCAATGAGAACACATGGACACAGGAAGGGGAACATCACACCCCGGGGCCTGTTGTGGGTTGAGGGGAGGGAGGAGGGATAGCATTAGGAGATATACCTAATGTTAAATGACGAGTTAATGGGTGCAGCACACCAACATGGCACATGTATATATATGTAACAAACCTGCACGTTGTGCACATGTACCGTAAAACTTAAAATATAGTAAAAAGAAAAAAAAAAAGAATGGAATGCCTGATTCTGCATCCCTCTAGATGGGATCAACAGGATCAAAACATGACCTTGATGGCCAAGCCAAGTTCTCTTTTTCCCAAAGGGTTTAAATCTGCCCTATTTAATATGGTAGCCGTAGCCATATGTATTTATATTAAATTCAAATTAATCAAAATTTAAAAATTAGTTACTTAGTCACACTAGCTACATTTTACATGCTCAGTAGCCACATAAAGCCAGTGGCTGCTGTATTGAACAGTGCTGATTATGGAATATTTCCATCACTGCAAAAGGTTCTGTTGGACAGCAGTAATCCAGATCTCCTTTGTAGAAGAATTGGCACCTGGGGCTGCCTGATCTTCAAGGGGCACATCACAGAGCATGGTGTTGACCCATCTGGATACCATGTTTGAAGTTGACATGGCCCAGAAATTTGACTTCCACCAGTTAAAAATGTACTTCGACAGTTTTGTATTTAACCTGTAAATCCAGAAGCATGTCAGGGCCTTCTGGATGGAGCACTGTGAAATTAGCATACACTTCAAACCCTCTTCCCTAAAAGATCATGCACTACTGTGCTGTACATGGTAGACCTATCTCATAGTGTAGGCTTCAGCAAATACTCTTTGACAAATAATTGGTTCTGTGCTGATGATAAGCCTAATAGGTGAAAGATGGTCTTTCCCTTAAAAAATTGAGATATATGATACCAGTCTCATAAACTCTAATTCACAAGCCCTGGCATTATGAGAGGCACTTAAAGTATGAATGGTGTTAAGATTATCCTTTAATTTTGCAGTAGGCAAATGACCTCCCAAAGATATTCACTTCCTAATCCCCGGAATTTGGGAATACATTACCTTACATGACAAAGGGGATTTGCAGATGTGAATAAGTGAAGGATTTTGAGATGGGGAGACTATCCTGGATAATCCCAGTGGGACTCATGTAATCACACAAGTTCTTAAAAGTGGAGAACTTTTCCCTGCTGTGGTCACAGAGAAAAACGCAACCAATGTAAGAACGGTCAGAGAGATTCAACATTGTTGGCTTTGAAGATAGAGGAAGAGACCACAAGCCGAAGAATGCAGGCAGGCTCTAGAAGCTGGGAAAGAGAAGGAAACGTATTCTCTGCAGAGCTACCAAAATGCATACATCCCTGTCTACACCTTGATTTTAACCTGGTGAGACCTGTATTGGGCTTCTGACCTATAGAACTCTAAGATAATAACTATATGTTGTTGAACATGCTAAGTTTGTGGGAATTGTAACAGTAGCAATGGGAAATGAATACACCTTTTATACAGTGGAGGATGACTAAATAATTTATTTTGAAAATACAACTGTCACAAGGATGAAATATTCATGATCACAAATTGGTGCATTCTTAACTGTGGATAATTATGTATGAAGCCAAATTGTAATAAAACTGTTATTTGCCAAACATAGAAACCTTGCTTCGTGACTAGGCTGAGCCCAGAGTGTTATTCTCTTCTTCTGCCTGTTATGTATCTGGGCAATTGTAGGGCCTTTGCAGGTGAATCCAGTAGAGAACATGCTAAGAATGAGCAGCAGTCATGCATGACTGTATCATTGAAAGCCTTCTAGCCATTTTACAGCTTCACCTCCGTGGTTTTATTTTTTCAGAGGGGACTGAAGGAGATGAATGGATAATAAACTATGGCTAAAAACTTGGTCTGGATGAACTCTTTGATGCGGGGCATCAGGGGGGTGGGGGTGATGGGTGCGTACCATGGGATCAGTAGCCCTGCACCAGCTCAGAGGTATAATTGTGAGGCTGGTGGAAATGCTCATCGGGGAGAAGGAAATCAGGATCACAGCTTCTGAGGACTGAACATGCTCTCAAATATAGAATCATTAATGGCCTTGGCATTCATGGTGTTAGCCTTGACTCAAATGAGAATGCCTCGACCCTTCCCAGGTTCTCCGAGGCCCCTAAGTAGACTGTCACTGGGACTTGGGGACATGGAGCTCAGTTAATGGCCTCTTATTTTTACTATGCCATAGCATCCACCTGATTTCTGGAAGGCATTGCTTCACTTTCATAGACAGAAGATGTAACGACTGCCACGAAGATCCCTGGAGCTCTGCCTGGCGATTCTCACTCCCACTGGGTAGCTGACAAATTTTCCCTGAGAAGACATGGTTTCCTCCAGCAGCAGCAGAAGGAGTCATGGGTTTTTCTGTTTCATGGCTCAAACTGTTGTGACTCGGAATTATACTAGGACAGGGCCCTGACTTATTCTTCTGGGCTGGGCTGAGTAAGGCCTGGCTGAGTGTAGCTGGGTACACAGGTAGGGGTGGAATCAAAGCTGGAGGTACCCATAATGCTGGTTAGGAGGATAACTAGCTAGAATAAGGTTGGCAAGAACTGGGTGAGCAGGGATAGGAATTAAGACTGAGGACTGGGCTGAGGGTAGGTCAGGGGTTCTGGCAGCAACACAGCTGGAATGAATGGAGAAGCACACAAACAAAACCAAGCTAAGAAGAGCCTAGATCAAGCTTGTCCAACCCATGGCCCACAGGCTCCATGTGGCCCAGGATGGCTTTGAATGTGGCCCAGCACAAATTTGTAAACTTTCTTAAAACATTATGAGATTTTTTGGTGATTTTTTTAGCTCATAACTATTGTTATCATCTCCAGAAGGTGTTCAATTTACCTTGTCTAGATCCATTAGAGGAATCACTGTCTATGACAGCTGTAGCTTTATGAAATGTATTATATTTCTTAAATAGTAAAACTTGAAAGTTGAAATTATATATTGATCCATGGGCTGCAGAATGAATGTTGTGTTAGCAAGTATGAAAACATCATTAATCTCCTTACACATCTCCATCAGAGCTCTTACGTAACCAGTGCATTGTCAATGAACAGTAATATTTTGAAAGGAATCTTTTTTTCTGAGTAGGTCTCAACAGTGGACTTAAAATATTCAGTAAAACCATGCTGTAAAAAGGTGTGCTGTCATCTAGGCTTTGTTATTCCATTTATAGAGCACAAAGCAGATTTAGCCTAATTCTGAAGATCCCTAGGATTTTTTAAATAGTGAATGAACATTGGCGTCAACTTAAAGTCACCAGTTGCCTTAGCCTATAACAAGAGAGTCAGTCTGTTCTTTGAAGTCTGAAGCCAGGTATTGACTTCTCCTTTCTAGCTATACAAGTTCTAGGTGGCATCTAGATGGCATCTTCTCCCAATAGAAAGCTGTTTTGTCTAAGTTGAAAATCTGTTGTTTAATGTAACCACCTTCATCAATGATCTTAGCTAGATATTCTGGATCTTGCACTTTTATGTGCACAAAGATGTCTTTTATGTTAACTAGATGACTTCTTTCCTTAAACCTCATGAACCACCCTCTGGTGGCTTTAAACTTCTCTTCTGCAGCTTCCTCACCTCTCTCAGTCTTCATTGTACTGAAGAGACTTGCTCTGAATTAGGCTTTGGGCTTAAGAGAATGTCGTGGCTTGTTTGATCTATTTAGACCACTAAAACTTTCTTCATGTCAACAACAAGGCTGTTTCACTTTCTTATGATTTGTGTGGTTACTGGAGTAGCAATTTTAATTTCCTTTAAGAACTTTTCTTTTGCATTTACAACTTGGTTAACAGGAGCAAGAGGCCCTGCTTTTGGCCTGTTTCAGCTTTGGGCATGCCTTCCTCAACTAAGCTTAGTCATTTCTAGCTTTTGATTGAAAGTGAGAGATGTGTGATTCTTCCTTCCACTTGAACAGTTAGAGGCCATTATAGGGTTATTAATTGGCCTAATTTCAATATTTTTGTGTCTCAGGGCATGGGGAGGCCTGAGGAGAGGAAAGAGATGGGAAAATGGCTGGTTTCTGGAGCAGGAAGCACACACATATATTTATTTATTAGGTTTGACACTTTATATGGGTGCAGTTTGTGTCACCCCCAAACAATTACAATAGTAACATCAAAGACCACTGATCACAGATCACCATAGCAGATATAATATTGAAATATTGCAAGAATTACAAAAATGTGAGCCAGAGACATGAAGTGAGCACATGCTGTTGGAAAAATTGCACTGATAGGTCTTGCTCAACACAAGGTTGCCACAAACCTTCATTAAAGAAAAAATGCAATATCTGCAAAGGGAAATAAAGTGAAGTGCAATAAAACAAGGTGTATCTGTAGTTGTGCTGCTGCAAAAATTATCTGTGCTCTGTCTATTCATCCTTTCCCCCTCCCAATCCCTGGCAACCACTGATCTTTTTCCTGTCTCCATCGTTTTGCCTTTTCCAGAATGTCATACAGTTGGGATAATAAAGACAGTACGTAGCCTTTCAGATTGGCTTCTTTCACTTAGTAGTACACATTTAAGCTTCTTTCATGTCTTTTCATGTCTTTTCATGGCTTGGCAACTCATTTCTTTCTAGTACTGAATGATACTCTATTGTCCGGATGTATCGCAGTTTTTAAAATCCGCTTACCAACTCTTAACTTTTAATCCAGTGATTTTCAAACTGGGGCCTTTGGAGATCTGGGCTGAATGTGTATTCTTGAGGACTCAAGAGTTTTAGAATTTGAGAGATAACTAGCCAAGCATATAGTATGTGCTCAATAAGTATAATCATTAGTGACAGAATTACGACTATTGTAAAAGAAGCTACAAGTGTTGTGAAGCAGGGCTGGGTGGGGCATGTGTTCACAAGCGTTATCCCAGAGAGGAGAGGCATGTCAACGGGATTTGTAGTCAATGCTGTTTATTTGCAGCTGGAGAGGGTTTGAACTTCCTGGACAGCTGCCTGGGGCTGCCCAGGCTTCAAGGGCCACATTCCTGGGGCAGATGCTGGACACTGCTGTGGCCTGACAGTTTCTGACAGCCCCATTTTAAAAACCTGGAACATTTTCTTACCTTGAGTTTTCTGGCACTGTTCCCTTGCTCAGTGATTTTCAGAGATTACGGTGTGATTCCTCAATTACCTCTGAAAGGTCTTCCTGTTCCCTGGGCTGTAATTCATGGGGCCTGGAGACCTGAACTCATTTGGGCTGCTCGGGGCTCCCTAAATCTCTGTCCATCCATCTTTAGCTTCTGTTCTCTCTTAACCATCTGTGTTCTGCTCCACTAATATTGGAGATTTTGCTTCCAGATGGCAAGGCTAGAGTAAAATTGCAGCTGGGCAGTGTCATCATCTGTTCCACCATCTACCCCAGGCCATCACCTTCCTTTGTTCATCTTCTTACCTGAAACACAATTTTACAAGGTCCATGTTTTGCTATCTGAGCACTGCACAGGCCTGAGGTCAGAGCTGTGACCATGACCCAGCCTCTCCTGTACTGTCCTTTGTCTGTGCTCCCCTCTACCTGCATAGTGAAATGCTCCCTGCACTGACACACAGCTCAGGAGTTTAAGTACCTCCTCCCTTGTGTTCATCTGGATTATGCCTTACTGTATTTCCAGAATTTCATTTTTTTAGAGCCCTCTGCTTCTTAAGTCATATTTTGTTTTAGGGACGGGGTTCTCAACCCTGGCTGCACATTAAAATGGAGAAATCAAACCTCTAGGGTATGGTTTTCCAGTTAATCATAAAAAAATCTCTCATGTTTATGTTCTCCATATAATCATAAAAGAAAAAAGTATTAAAATGAGCTTCATCAAAATTAAACATTCCTGTTCATCAAAAGCTACTGTTAAGAAAAAGAAACAAATCACAGACTGGCAGAAAATATTTGCTACACATATATCTGACAAAGGACTTATAACCAGTATAGATTAGCAATTGCTACAATTGAGTAATAAAAAGAAGAAATTGATCAAAAAGCTTGAACAGGCACTTCACAAAGGAAAATTTGTAAATGATCAGTAAATACATAAAAAGGCATTTAACATCAGTAGTCATAAGGGAAATGTGAATTAAAACCTACTAACATGGCTAAAATTTAAAAATGACAACACCAAATGTTGGCAAGGATGCAGACCAACTGGAACTCTCATTTGTTTCTGGTAGGAGTATAAAGTGGTACAACCACTTTGGATACTGTTCTGGCAGTTTCTCATAAAGTGAAACATACACCTACCCAATGACCAAAAACACTACTTCTAGGTGTCTACCCAAGATAAATGAAAATAGACACAAACTAGTAGACTTAAAAGCTTTATTAATAATAGCCCAAACTGGAAACCATCCAAATGTTCCTCAACTAGAAAACTAATAAACAAATTGTGGTATATCTCTACCATAAAATACTGCTCAGTAATAGAGAAGGAGCAAACTACTGGTTCCCATGACAACACAGATGAACCTGGAAAACATGATGCTGAGGGGAAGAGATCACACACAAAAGGGTACCTACTACATAATTTCACTTATATAAAGTTCTAGAACAAGTAAACTAAAATACAGAGAACCAGAGCGGAGGTTGTTTCTAAGACAGGGCATCTATGAGTGTCTGGAAACTGCCAGAGAGAACTTTCTGGAATGTGTCTGATGTCTTGATAATGGTGGGTTGTTACAAGGCATAGGCATTTATCAAAACCCATTTTCAAATGATGTCTTAAGTGTTGTATATTTATTATCTATACATGCAATTTACAAATTATATATCAGTAAGGAGAATGAAATTTTCAAAACGTTCCCTAGATGATTTTGCTACACAGTAAGGGTTGATTCAATGCTACGCTGGCTCAGTTCATAAAATGTCTCTGTCTTTTCCCTTCAGTTTGAAACCTTCTTTCCTAACATCCAGGTCCTTTGTCTGCCAGCACCATATTTCAGTCTCTTGTAATTAGGAACCCAATAACACCATGAACACTCACCAATGATGTCTTTTTTTCAACACACCAACCTTACCTCTCTGTTGGACAAAATGAAATCTAAAACACCAGGTCTCCTTTCTGAGCAAGGGAGTTATCAGTTGGATAATGGGAAAAATGACTGCCATTCCAGGTGGATAACTGGAAGAATCACTTCTTGTAGGAGAACGAAATGTGTAGTAGCTGCCGAGGAGGTGATGTCCTTTGGCCCTACCCTCTTATCTGTATGCAGAAATGGGTGTGTTCATATTATGTTTTGGGAAAGCATTTTAGATTCACTTCATCAGATGAGCATCTTTTTGCTCCTAGGCTTACTGATTTCGATGTAGTTGAATAAGTTCTTATTTAACGTGAAGTTCTGTTTCTTTTTGTTAGACGTACTTCTTTTGAATAAAACATAGTTTTAAAAATTACTATTTCCATTCTAACTTCTCTCTTGCCAAGACCCAAGGATATCTGGGAGAATTTTTTTTTTTTTTTTACCGTGATGTGTTTATATGTTTGGACTACTTATTACCCATCTTTGCCATATTTTCTTATCTGTGGAGATGCTGAGACCTAATTTAGCTTATTTTCTGAAAAGCCAGTGTCAAATACCTGTGAGCAACACAGAAGAAATAGATCACCTACTCAGCAGCTTTAACTGTCTAGGACTCAGCTAATAACTGAAAAGTAAGCCACAAAGAGACCCTGAAGACACAAAATAGATGTCATAAAATCCACACACTTTCCTCAGAGGCCAGCCCATCGGAGTCTCACTCACAGTCAGTTTCCTCTCACCTGGGACACAGGTGTAACATCTTCACAGCTTGGTTAGATGCACCAAGTTAGAAGACAGAACAAAGATGGCCTTTACAGTCAGGTATATTGATAGCTATAAAAAGGGACAACTGACAGGAGAGAAGAGAGAATCCTTTTCATCCTCACTTTATCCTATTAAAATCAAAATGAGCCTGGGCACGGTAGGTCATGCCTGTAATCCCAGTGCTTTGGGAGGCCGAGGAGGGAGGATTGCTTGAGCCTAAGAGTTCGAGACCAGCCTGGACAACATGGTGAAAGCCCGTCTCTACAAAAAATACAAAAATTTGCCTGGTGTGGTAGCACATGTGTATAGTCCCAGCTACGAGGGAGGCTGAGGAGGGAGGATCACTTGAGCCCAGGAGTTCAAGGCTACAGTGAGCTATGATGGTGCCACTGCACCCCTAGCATGGGCAGCAGAGTGACACCCTGTCTCTAAAAAGAAAAAAAGAAAGAAAGAAAAATAAATAATGGGCAACAGAGTGACACCCTGTCTCTAAAAAGAAAAAAAGAAAGAAAGAAAAATAAATAGAAAGATCTAGCAGCTATTTGTTTCTGGAGCACCCATGTAAAATCACTCTCAAGGAGCTCTAGAGGCATGACCACATTTGAGGTCAATGCAAAACAGTCATTGATGGTAATGCCTTTAAGCCACCAAGAAAAGGCCGAATGTTCCATGCAGTAATCTTTGAAAAAGGCAGAGAAGTGTGTAATATGGTTTAGAAAGGTCTCTATCAAATTGGGCGGAAATAAAAGTTTTGACTGTTTAAGTGAGTAAGGTGCAGTATCTCAAACCTTCACTGTCCTGGCATAGTGGCCTTGAGGACAGTTCTGGGGTAATGACAATTATGGAGGCAGAACCAGACCCTCTCTGCTATCTTCCATAACCAGCCCATTCCCCCTTTCTGGATGGGGGAGTGCCCTCCTCTAACTGCAGCCATTGCTGTGTGGGCCTCAGCTCCAGTCCGCCACTCCTTGTTCATGCAGCACTTGCTACCCTTCTTCCTTGAAGCCTCTGCCACCTGCCACCCCATCTCCTCCTTGGACCTCCAAATCCAACAGACTCTGGTTATCTCTGGGTGGACTCTTCACTCTCCAAATCCATCAGAGGCTCATCTCTTAATCCCATGAATCTGAAATAAAAAGTAGCAATGCATAAAGAAGTTCTACAGATGAAATGTTAATGACACTTGGAATTTGTTTTAAAACAATCCAGCAGGAGTGGGGATAGGAAAGGTGTAGGCAAAACAAGATGGCTATTGACAACTGTCGGGTTTGGGTGATGGTGTCATGGGGCACACTGCCTCTCTTTGTGTATATTTTTAAACATGTCCATTTAAAAAGGAGGTTGGCCACAGTGGCTTACACCTGTCATCCTAGCACTCTGGGAAGCCAAGGTGGGAGGATCATTTGAGGCCAGGAGTTCTTGACCAGCCTGAGCAATATAATGAGATCCCATCTCTACAAAAAATTTTTTTTAAAGTAGCTGAGCATAGTGGTGGACCCCTGTAGTCCCAGCTACTTGGGAGGCTGAGAAAGAAGGATCGCTTGAGCCCAGGAGGTCGAGGCTGCAGGGAGCCATGTTGTGCTACTGCACTCCAGCCTGGGTGAGAGAGTGAGACTCTATCTTTAAAACAATGAAAATTAAAAATTAAAAAAATTTAAAATTTTTTAAAAAGTTACAAGGACGATATAGGATGTCATAACGCCTAATCAATTCTCATATCTTCATGGGTTTCTGGACAGAGAATGTACCTTCACTTTACCATTAGCCTAAGATCACTCAAAACATCTGGAAGTTATTATTTTAAAAAGAATCTCAGAAGTATGCCTGCCTCTCACTGTTAAATATATGTGATGGTGCAGATTATTCAGAGCAGTGTTAAGGCATCAACATAAGTGCAGCCCCATGGAGTCAGGGACAGAGGTCAAGGTGAAGTGTTTCTTTACCTTTGAAGACTTCTGGCACCCAGGCTTACACCTACACTTCAGCTCGGCAATCCGGATGTCAGGGAAGTGAGAGGCGAAGTTTGAACCCATGTGAACTGTACATTTTGGGACTTGAGTATTCAGGAACTTGGCTCTCTTTGATGAGAAATTACTTCCCTCCTCCATCGGCTCAGCTTTTCTTCTTCCACCTTCCCTTTCCTCCCTCTCTCCCTCCTCTTTCCCCTTCCTCTCTTCTTCCTCTTTCCCTTCCTCTCTTCCTCCTTCCTTTCTTCCTTCCTCCTTTTAAGTCATCACCACCACCAGCACTACAAAAACCTATAGCATGTTCATGTCAGAACTTCTAAAGAGTTGTTGTAAAGATTAAGATACAAGTGGGGAAGAAAGAAATTTAAATTCATTAGAATAATTTTGATCATCATAATTAAAACAATTTTTCTTTATTATGGACACTTTCAAGCATATAAACATCTGACTAATCCAATGAACCCCTTGTACTAATCACTCACCTTCAGTAAAGTTGGCCAATCTCTATTTCATCCTTTCATCTTTCTCCCCAATCATGTCCACCCTCCTCCTGACCCCACCTGAGATTACTTCAGAACAAATCCAAGGCATCATATTGTTTCATCTGTAAATAATTCAGCAGTATTTATAAGAGATAATCTCTCTTATTTTAAACATAATCACAATACTATCATATCTAAAAAAAATAATTTGTTAATATTATAAAATATTCAGTCAGTTCTCAAATTTCCCTGATTATCTCCTTTTTATTCTTGGTTTGTTCAAATGAGGACCCAAATAAGACGCACTCATTGCATGCTGCTGAAATAGCTCTTGTCGCTCATAGTCTGTAGGCTTCCTTGCCCTCCTGTTTTCTTGCCGTTTATTTATTGAAGAAACTGAGCTATTTGTTTTGCAGAATTTTTACCATTCTGCATTTTGCTGATTGCATCTTCATGGTATCATTTAACATGTTCTTGTAATTCCTGTAATTACCTAGAATTCCTGTAATTACCTGTAATTCCTATCAGCTGATAGTTATACCTAGAAGCTTGTCATTATTAGTAGCAATATCAAAAACTTCACTTTTGAGACTGGCAATTTCTACGTCTGACATCTTACCACAGTGAACAAGGCAGCATCCCAAACTCTTCTGAGTCAATAAGAAAAGGGTAACTCTTGCAGTAATGCCAAGTTCAGTTTCTGTTCACTTTGCAAAAAATGTATGCCCACTACTAGACCCATGACTGTCAACTAGAATGTGCTGGGCCTCCTCTCCTGTCTGTGCATGGGAATGGGCACAACCAGGTGGAAAGAACATGAACTTGGGAGTCAGATAGCTCTAGATGTGAATTCTGACTTCAGGTTTTATGAAGTACATAGCTTGTCTAGTGAATTCATATCTCCACTTCTCAGATTCCTTGTATACAAGGATAATGTCTGTCTTACCAGGCTGCCAAGATGTACCTGACATGTAGTATGTGTTCAATAATTGTTTCTTTTCCAGCTTAGGTTAAAAATGGGAATTTTCAAGAAACCACAAACCCACAGAGTTTGTTTAGATCCAAACACAGATATGGCATTTGCCAGCCTCATAAACAATAGAGGAGGCTTTCAGGCAAGCCCCAAGAAAGCATGTTCAGAAAGGGGAAGGAACGTGGGGACAGGAACTATTGCTCCCCTTCTCTCTTTGTACTCAGAAAATCCAGGAAATTCTTCCTCAAGAAAGCATGACCCATTTCAGCCTAAAAGCGTGCTTTTCTCTGGACTGTGCTGGCTTGAGAACATATTTCTTTTACCAAAAAATGAGTTCACAGTAAGTGACTCAGAAGCATATGGATGAAATTTCCTTTAAGCCACTCAAGGGATTAGAAATTAAGGGAAAGAGTGCCTGGCAAAATGCATTTGGGGTTTTGCCAAGCCCAAACCAACTGAGAAATAGTTAAGACACAAGGCAGATCTCAAATGCTGCCAAGTTTACCCATCTTAGCAGGACAGGGATTTATAATTAGAGCTGCTCAGAAAAGCACTGCCTTACGGGTGGCAAAGGACAAAAAAGGCTTTGTCCCCAACATCTCCACAGGCTGCGGTTTCCCAGATGGGCCCTTAACAGTGTACACACCCTCTCCATCGCCAGGGTCCTCAAAGCCACCGCCTCTACCAAGCAAGGTTCGACTTCTACACCACGCCCCTGACATTCTCTCCAGGCCTCTTTTGTTTCTGGCCCAGGCTGGATGCATCACACTGTGAATTCCTGGATGAGGAAGAACAAATCTTGCGGAGTGTTCTGGAATTACAGAGGAGAGCCATAATGGGAAAATGTGACAAAGCAATTCCCTTCTCTGACATACACATTTTACCCCTGTCTCTCACCTTTGTCACGTTTCCCCATTTTTTCACCTTCTGTGGGT
Organism: Homo sapiens; assembly: GCF_000001405.40. Lineage (NCBI taxonomy): Eukaryota > Metazoa > Chordata > Mammalia > Primates > Hominidae > Homo > Homo sapiens. Next base: position 105,933,553 of record NC_000007.14, read on the forward strand.
TTCTTTTTCTGTAAAATGAAGGGATTGGATCTGCTGGTTTCAAACTGTGCTACCTGGAGCCACTTGCGGGCCTGGCGGGGCCCAGTGGAAGTGGATGGGGAGATGGTGAGAAGGGCTCTCTTCAAAAAAAGCAGGAGGGGGCTCCAACATAGCATTTCAAGGAAATCAAGGGATCCAAAGTTAAACAATTTGAAAATCACAAGTCTGGACGAAGTCTCATTGTTCTTTCCAACTGAACACTGCCGGTGTGGTGTGCCTCACTTCTCAGTCTCCATTCACTAACCCAAATATCCCCAAAGATGTGCACCAATTTTTCTGTCTAGCATTCATCAGAGTGCTCCTGTGTGCCAGGCCCTCTGCTAAGCACTGGGCATACAGCAGTGAACAGAAACCCCAGGGGGCTCATAGACCAGTTGGGAAGATTGGCATTAAACAAATGAATATGTAAATCCAAATCAAGAGGTATGAACACCATGAAAGACAAAATCATGGTTGAAAGTTGAGTGGGCCTGGGGTTGGAGAGATACTGCCCTAAGCATCTCCCCTCCCCACCTGGCTTGCCACTTGCCCCTTTATAGAATAACTAATCGTTGTTCAGTCTTTGATAGTTTCCACTGAAAACATCCCTCTTCTACCTGACAGAGGAGGGTCAAGACACCCAGAGCACAAAGGAGCTGATGGGTTTAGTTAGCTGTTACTGCGGAAAGCCAAGAGGATGAGCTTGAGAGAACAGACTGAGGGCTTTAGATGGGTGAATGTGAGAAAGTCTACAGTGCTTGCTGTGCTGAGGAAAAAATCCAGGTGGATCACCTGGAGGTGACCCAAAGTGCCAATGAAGTGCATGTCAATGGCCCTCTTCACATACTTCACTACTGTATCTGGAGCTCTCCTGAACATCTTTCTCCCATTCCTCACTGAGTTTTGCTAGACATGGCAAATGTTAACTCATTACCAACTCTTAATTGTATTGCTGTTTCTTTGCCCCTGTCTAGCTCTTTCTATTTGTACATTTTGTAAAGAGAAAAGGAATTTAAAAAATAAAACCAAAACAATCTCTGGAGACATTTCTGTGGTTTCCGCTATAGGTAAGGGGCAAACTCACCGTTTCTGGCCTGCAGCGTGTCTGGCCTCTTACCTGGGAGGGAGATGGGGGAGCTAAGCAGAGGGAGACTGGCTTGGCTGCTTGAACAGTGAAGACTCCTGTGGGGCACTAGATGGCAACATTTCTCCAAATCTAAACTTGGCAAGGCCCTGTGGACACAAGGTCAACAGTGCACAGTTGCTAATCCCAACACATTTTATGAAACTCAAGCTTGTGTGGAGGAGAAGACTGAAGCTAGATCTGGTGGACGAGAGGTCCTAACAGTCTCTCTCTCAGAGCTCGGCCCATAGTAAGAGGCTAGTGGTGCTATTTCTACCACTACCACCAACACCACTGCTACAACCATGGCCATCGTCACCACCACCACTATCACCACCACCACTACCACAATTGACTCACTCATGTGGGTATTGTTTTCATTGGTGCTGAAAATTAAACCCTCATTCAGACTAATTCTGGGAGGAGAGATCTAGTTAGCGATATACATCCTTTCAATGTTTTTTCAAATATATGCTACAGCTAGATTAACAAACTGCTGCCCAGTATAGAAACTCAGGAGAATTGCTTTAATGAATAGATAAGAATGGTTTGTATCCGCATATCACTGCTTTTGGTAGATAAGTAGTTGCTTCTTATCTACTTAAGCAATATTTGAAAATAGTATTGTTCTATGTGAACTGAAAATCTACTCCGGAGTTGTGTTTGCATTGTCAATTGATTTAGCATGCGCTTTCTGCTTAGTAACCAGCCCCACTCCCAGGCCCTGCCCTTTTAATTAGTCACCTGTCATCATATTGAAGTGTTCCTCTTGAGGCACCAGTGACCCATGGAGAGTCAAAACCTGGCACTTGACACAGAAACAAACATTTGCTGAACTTATGTAATCGGGCTGGTCAGATGAACTGTTTCTTGGTGATCATGAATTGAACTTACGTGAAAGAACAGGAATCAAGGTGGTCAAGAGGGTGGGAATGTCAAGGGGAAGAGGGCCACCAAGCAGAGTTATAGGACCCAAATTTGACTGCTGGCCACTTCTGTAGATGCCTTAAAGCCCCAGTGCTCCATAGCTGCCACTTGACAGAGGTAGATTTTTTTGCATAGTTGCATTCATGTACTCAATCAACAGATAACAATTAACTTCTGACATGTGTCCAGCATGCTTTCAGGCTCTAGGAATACAGCACTGCACAAGGTACCTGCCCTTATAAGGCTTACATGCTGGTGGAGGAAAGAAACAGAAACAAATAAACAAATTAATAAATATAACTTAGGTTTGATAATACAAAAAGTAAAGCAGGATTCAGGCACAGTGACAAGTAATGGTGTGTGTGTGTGTGTGTGTGTGTGTGTGTGTGTGTGTGTGTGTCCTTTGATTAGTTAGATTCATTAGGGAAGGCTGCTTGGAAGAGATGACATTTGAACAGACAGACTCGAATGAGATGAGGGGGTGAGTCACGTAAGAGTCCCTCAGCTAAAACTAAACCACGTATCACCATTATAGTGAACTGACCTAAGTCAACTTGGTCATGATGCACCACTCTTAAGTTCTTTTTAGTTGAAAATCATTGTTGAAAGATTGAGATAAATAATTTCTATGGTTTGAATGTATGTATGTGTGCCTCCAAAATTTGTAAGTTAAAATTTACACTCCAAGGTGATGGTATTAAGAGGTGGGCCTTTGGGGAAGTGATTAAGTCCTGATGGCTCCACCCTTGTGAACTGAATTAATGCCCTTATAAAAGAGGCTTCAGAGAGCTGCTGACCCATCCTCCATCCCTTCCACCATGTGAGCACAGAGGAAGAGGCACCATCTTGGAAACATAGATCAGCCTTCTCCAGGTACTGAATCTGCTGGTGCCTTAATCTTGGACTTCCCAGCCACTTAGGTTCTCTGGAAGCAGATACTGAGACAGATACTAAGATGGAGAAACCTCATCTCTACTAAAAATACAAAATTAGCCGGGAGTGGTGGCGCATGCCTGTAGTCCCAGCTACTCAGGAGGCTGAGGCAGGAGAATCACTTGAACCCAGGAGGCGGAGGTTGCGGTGAGCCGAGATCGTGCCATTGGACTCCAGCCTGGACAACAAGAGCGAAATTCTGTCTCAAAAACACAAAACAAAAAAACATATATGGCCAGCTAGTTCTGCTTTTAAAAAAAAACTCAAAATAATTGAATATCACAAAGAGTACAGACCATCTTTAAACTTCATTTATACTCTTTACACTTATTTTCTCTTGCTAGTTTATCAAAAGTACGACATGATTAGGAGTTTATTTCCATGTTGATGGAGCTTTATAATCTACAAATTGAAGGGAATTATTAATGGTAAATAACTGCTCTGAGTTTTTTTGTTTGTTTGTTTTTACTGGTCTGTTTGAATTCTCTTCTGTTAGCAGAATTTAAGTTCAATAAAGTTTAAGGTAAGTTAAAAAAAAGAAAAAGGGAAGGAATCTAGATTGGGCAGAGGGAAAAGTTGAACCATAATGCACATCCAACAAAGCCTCAACCAACCCAATGTTGAGTTTTAGAGTGAATATTGTAATGAGAAAAACCTTCCCCCAAACTGGGAGGGAGTGGAGAGACCAAAAAATGACTTAAACAAGTCCAGCCTAGCAAATAAATGAGTTTATTAGGACTTACATACAAGGAACTCTTGGACGGCAGCAGGACAGCTTTAGAGATCCACCCTGCCCCCCATCCCTAAGCTGCTTTTAAGCTAATTTTCTGGCTCTTTGCTCTGTGTGTGTGTGTGTGTGTGTGTGTGATGGGATTGCTTTCCCTGGTAGGTTTGCAGATACTCTCTGGGATGTTTGGTTTCTCAGGGATACCTGCTCCTCAGCTGGGTACCATGGGCTTGGCTCATGGCCTGGCCTTCGGGGTTCAGGAAGCAGACACACATCCCTCAGCAACCTGGCAGGGGACACATCACACTACAAATATTAGCCATCAGGGTTATCTTGCACTGGGTCAAATAGCTGCGTCTTTATCCCTGACCTGGCTCAGGCAGCAGATAAGGGCTGTGGGTGAGGAGGCTCTCTGCATCTGAAGCAGACCCCGAAGGAGCAGGCAGCTGCAGCTGTCCCCTGATGGTACTCCCCACAGCTGGGTAGCAAGTCCTTCCTTGAAGGAGGACTCTGGGCCACACATTTATGTATCTACCACACTGTCAGAGGTGTTTGAATCAGAGCAACTCCATCTTGAATAGGGACTGGGTAAAATAAGGCTAAGACCTACTGGGCTGCATTCCCAGATGGTTAAGGCATTCTAAGTCATGGGATGAGATAGGAGGTCAGCACAAGATACAGGTCATAAAGACCTTGCTGATAAAACAGGTTGCAGTAAAGGAGCCAGTCAAAACTCCCCAAAACCAAGATGGTGACAAGAGTGATCTCTGGTCATCCTCACTGCTACAGTCCCACCAGCACCATGACAGTTTACAAATGCCATGGCAATGTCAGGCAGTTACCCTATAAGGTCTGAAAATGGGAGACATGAATAGTCCACCCCTTGTTTTCATATAATCAAGAAATAACCATAAAAATGGGCAACTGGCAGCTCTTGGGCCTGCTCTGCCTATGGAGTAGCCATTCTTTTATTCCTTTACTTTCTTAATAAACGTCCTTTCACTTTACTGTATGGATTCACCTGAAATTCTTTCTTGTGCAAGATCCAAGAACCCTCTCTTGGGGTCTGGATTGGGACCCCTTTCCATTGCAGTGGAGAATGTAACATCTAAAATACGTTGGCCCATCCACACATCTTGAATACCTTTAATTTCACAAAGGAGAGTCCACTTCTAATATTCATTGTACTTATTAACGATGAACTAATTTAAACAATAAAAATCCATTTCTGACATTCACGATGCTAATTAACAAAGCCTCAGGTATTCAGGGAGACATCGATCAAAGAAGCACTTAAAGTGGCTGCCTCTGGAATGTGTCCTTTCTGATAAAATACTAGCTCACTACCCTGGAGTAGAATTTTCCATTAGAGCAACTGACTGCCCTTAGAGTAAAAGCAGAAACGAACCAGCACACACATAATATCCCTGTCTCTACCTCACTGGAGTATTTAAAGTAAATTGGAGACGTCTAAACGGCTCTCATTTAGATATGCTTGTCTTTGGGGTCTTAGATGCTTACTCTCTGATCTTGTCCAATCATGCTGTCTTATGGATTATTTGGTTGCAAGGGACAGAAACATACCTGGACTAGTTGGAGTTTAATGGGGGTTACTGTATGGATCCAAGGATTTGACAGGCAACCTCCAGATACCAAGGTTGACAATGAAGGCTCAGAGTGGAACGAGGATGTTGGGATCCCAAACGTTCCCTGCCTCTCTCATGAGGCCACAGTCTTCTCTTCTCTCTGCTTGTCTGTGTGTCTGCTCCTGTCTTCCTCTTCTCTCTGCCTTTTCCATTTCCTCATTGGCACACTTCTCCACTCCTGAGTCTATATAACCATTGAGTTGGAGCACTCTTCATCACTGAAACATCACCATGTCTCTTAGGTCAATGTCTTGAAAGAGAAAAAAAACAAAGAGAAAGTGTGACAGGCACAGCACTGCCCATGGCCTGAGGTCTTTTGGGTTAGAGTGTTCAGTCATCAGTGGACAGGGTGTGATAAGAGCAGGGTAAATGAGGCCGGGCAGGGTGATACATGCTTATAATCCCAGCGCTTTGGGAGGCTGAGGTGGGCGGATCGCTTGAGGTCAGGAGTTTGAGACCAGCCTGGCTGACATGGTGAAGCCATCTCTACTAAAAATACAAAAATTAGCCAGCGTGGTAGTGCATGCCTGTAGTCCCAGCTACTCCTCGGGAGGCTGAGACAGGAGGATTGCTTGAACCTGGGAGGCAGAGACTGCAGTGAGCTGAGATCACGCCACTGCACTCCAGCCTGGGTGACAGAGTGAGACTCTATCTCAAAAAAGATAAAAAAATGAGCAGGGTAAATGAGAGTCCTCCTTGGAGCTGTAGAAGGACAGATTACCCCAGAAAAGGATGAAGATAGGGAGGCTGTAATCACCATCACGCAGCAGTCCTACTTACTGGGAGTACAGCATCTTTCTAGAAAATTCCTTGATTTGCACAGGTACACACATGTACACCATGCATAGTCAAACCAACCTAAGAATTACTCCGAAGGCTATATATTTAAATTATGATTTTTAAACTTATGATATTCAAATGTACACATAAGGTGGTTTCCTAGACTCAGCTCATAAAGAAATGTCTTCTTGTTATCTCTCTCTGAGACTCCCTTTGCTACAAATACCACCTTCTCGGTTGTAATTCAAGGAGGTCGGAATTGACTTTCCTGGTCATGGCCACTTCCACCAATCTGGGTACCACCCAATAGCCATGGCTAGAATGGCACAGTCCATCCCTCATAGACATTGTCAAAGGCTGTGAGTCAAGTAACTCATGACCAAATCTAGTCTACAGTGAATTCTCCAAGGAAACTCCGGCCTCTATCCCAACTGTAGCAACTGGACCACAGCATAGGCTATCAGCCCAGGGATTTGATTCATGAAAGCAAAGCTGTCCTCCAGCCTGAGTACATAGAAACCTCATATTGTTCTCAATGTTTCCTGTCACGCTTGTTTGCATCACTTACAATTTCCCAGGGACACTGGTGTGTCAACTAATCTTATCAGCCAGGCATCTGTAAGCAGGCATGGCAATAAAGCAAACAGAGCCCTGTGTCCAGTTTGTAGGAGCCGGTCCCTTCTGCCCAGGGCAGCGACAGGACTCTGTCCAGGCCTGGGGGAGGCTCTCTCCTGTCAATGGAGTCCTTTCCCTCTGGCTTCCTATCCCTTTAACAGGGGCAAAGCCTTTATCCCCAGTCAGAGGAAATGCAGAAACTGGAGATGCCTCAGGCAGATAGGATTTTGCCTAATGAAAAACCTCAGAAATGCTTGAAGAGAAAAGTCTTGTTGCTCCTACTCAGACCCCACCCCACACCTTGTTAGGGGTAGGAACAAGCAAGACCTGAGTGCCCTGGGCAAGTATCCTTAGGCCAGTAGTACTGCCCCTGCCCCATGGCTGGCCCCATTGACAAATAAGTCCCAGACATTTTTGCCCTGTTCATGGCCTCCACCCAAACCCAAACTCACCCCACTCTCCATTTTCTCTCCTATTTCCAGTTGGTGCTGAACCCCAGTTACCTGTTACTAAGAGCCTCATTCTTCTCCTTCAGCTCTGTAGGTCTCTCCAGCTCTCACTCTGCTGTTTCCCCTTAATTCAGATTTACAGTCTCCCTTTGGGTCCTGTACTTCTCTTCTTCCCCAATCCTGACCTGCTCCTGGAACCCTAACTCTAAGATGGGACTCTGTGGCTGGCAACCCCCCCCAGGTCTCCCACAGACCCTCAGATCAGGAGCCTCTGAAACACAGAAAAGTAAATTGGAGTGGAATTCGTGCTACACCATGGTGAAGAAGAGGAACTCTAGCAAAATCTGTAAGCAGCATATTTTCTTGTCTCCATGGAGCACCCTAAGTGCAGAACCAGAATGCTCTGAAATGAGAGTTTGACAGTAGTGCTTTCTAATCTCCTCTCACTCAGGTAGACTGGAAAAATGAAACGTTTCTGTACTTGGCCTGACAGGGCTCCCTGGGGACATCAGAGGCAGCCCCCAGTTGATGAGACAAACATGGTGGGCGTGGACTGTAGGTTCCTGGTTTGGCCCTTCTACTGAAGTGGGAGAGCTGGAAAGTCCACCATTTGCACCACTTGGGTTCCAGGTGTGAGTATCTCCGTAATACTCGGGCACGATAATGTCACCTAGAACTGGCTTGAGCCCTTTCCTGCAAGACAGGTGAAACATTTACACTCTTGCTGCTCACCCCACCTCCCCGATCATCAGCCATTTTCCTTAGGGGTCCTCTCGCCTCAGAGGCACTGGTCAGGGCTGATTTAGGAGTCTGCCTTCACGATCCCCCTTCCCAGGCCTTTCCCTAGAAATCCCCTGGGGGTTGGGGCTTTTTTATTCTCCCCAAACAAAGCCCCTAAAAGAGACCCCTGAGCTTAAAACACCAAAGATCCTTTCCCCCATCTCTGACAGCCAAGAGCACCCAGGCCCCATTCCTTCCTGATGACCAAACCCCTCCCACCTGCTCAGTGATTGACAGTGGGATTTCTTGTTATAGCAGCAAACAAATGAACCAAAGGAGGAACAAAATGGAACCAGATTGAATTCTCAGTTCTGTGGGTTCTTCTCCTCCACCTCTGCCACACACAAACACCTTTGTCCAGTTACTTTTCTTTCCAGTGATTATGGGGGAAGGAATAAGAAGCAACACCAGGAGATGGGATCACCATTCTATTTAAGAGGACAAATGTGCTGTTTACTATTTATTTATTTATTTATTTTTGAGATGGAGTCTTGCTCTGTCACCAGGCTGGAGTGCAGTGGCATGATCTCGGCTCACTGCAATCTCTGCCTCCTGGGTTTAAGTGATTCTCCTGCCTCAGCCTCCCGAGTAGCTGGGACTACAGGCACCCACCACCACACCCAGCTAATTTTTGTGTTCTTAGTAGAGACAGGGTTTTACCATGTTGGCCAGGATGGTCTCCATCTCTTGACCTTGTGATTCACCCACCTTGGCCTCCCAAAGTACTGGGATTACAGACATGAGCCACCACGCCCGGCCTATTTATCTATTTTAAATTTATTCTTAATTGACAAAATTTGGTATGTATTTATTGTGTACAATATAGACAAATGTGCTATTTATGTATGTAAGTGCTCTGAATAGTGCAATAATTGAGGACAGAGGGGCTGCCAGAATCCAGACTGGAGCCAGATTGCCTGGGATTGAATCCTGTCTCTATCACTTCCTAGATTTGTAAACTTAGGCAAGTTACTGAACTTCTCTGTGCCTCAGTTTCCCCACCTGTAAAATGGGGGATGTAGATATTAGTACAACTGTCTCACAGTGTTGTTGTGAGGATTAAAGAGTTATTCTATATTAAGCACGTAGAACAGTATCTGGCAATGGAAAGCACTGTATAAATCCTTGCTCTTACTATAGATAGCTGTGATACAATATTTCTGTTTCTGTCACTATATACTTGGTCATCATAGTTTGTATTATAAGTGGGGAGCAAGTCTAATTTATAGTTTATTTATAATGAATGCCCAGCTACTTCCAAAAGATATTTAAAGTAGTTGAACAATGACAGTCACTGGAAAATTCATCAATTAGGGTCTTATTTGTAGTTCTTTTATAGAAGATTATAATTTTTTATCTCAAGGGAAAAACTGCCCTTTTTGTTTGTATGTTTACACTTGTGGGGTAGTGGAAAGCATCTTAAACCATAAACAAGGAGACCTTGATTATAATAATGAGAATGCTGGAGGCGCCCTGTAACTTTTTGTGGAATGTGAGAATACCGTTTTGAGCACCTACCATGTGCCAGGACTCACTACTTCACCCAGATGATCCTCTTTGATTCTCACAATCTGTTCTGCAATGGAGAAGCACTCTTGCCCCCACTTTTCGATGAGGAAGCAGGATCAGGGAGCTTAAGTAACCTGCCCAGAGTCACAAAGCAAGTGCTTGGAGGAGCGGGGTTCAAGGCCAAGTCCAATGCCAAAGTCCACATGCTTCCTGCTCTGCAACTGCCTACCCTATGATTGGACAAAACTCTGGACCACCTCCTCCAGACCACCTAAGCCTCAGGTTCTGTGGAGTAAAAATGAGAGTAACTGGTACCTTCTGACGCTTCACATCTGGATGAGGAAAGATAAGCCCCATTGCCCAGATAGCAAGCAATTTAACCTGGATACCAAGCCTTTTCAGCACGGAATTCATATCCATTTTTGACAGGCAATAGAGGCTATAAACAATGAGCCTGACCTTAATTCAAATGCTAACTGATTATGTTTGACAAAAAACAATGTAAACAGGGCTTTAATTGATTCATGTGCTTACAACTGGTGTTTCGTTTATTATTGTCTTCTCTGTAATAGCCTCCATCTGGGATTTAGGAACTGGGTTGCTAGGCAGAATCTCTGCCACCAGTTTGAGTTCAGAGCCAACATGCCTTCGTTGATTCATTCATTTATTTAACAAGTTAATGGCACTGTGGCTTGCACTGGGCTACAGTCATGCACAAAACACATATGGTCCCTGCCCTCACAGAGCTCACAATCTGATGGGCTATAAACAGATAACTTCATGAAGAAATACACAGTAAAAACATGTGGTACAAATCATGACTAGGCCTAGCCCGGTGGCTCACACATGTAATCCCAGTGCTTTGAGAAGCCAAGGCGGGAGAATCGCTTGAGCCCAGGAGTTAGGAACCAGCCCGAGCAACAGTGAGACCCTGTCTCTACATAAAATTGTTAAACATTTAGCCGGGCATGGTGGCATGTGCCTGTAGTCCCAGCTACTTGAGAGGCTGAGGTGGAAGGATTGCTTGAGCCCAGGAATTCGAGGCTGCAGTGAGTGAGCTATGATTGCACCACAGCACTCCAGGTCTGGGTGACAGAGAGAGATCCTGTCTCAATAAATAAATCAATAAAATCATGAATCAAGGGAAGGAGGTACTCGGAGGGAGGATGATCAGGAGTGGGGTCAAGGGAGGTCCCTCTAAAGCAGGATCTGTGAGTTGAAAAGGAGCCAGATGGGGGACGCTGAGGGAAGGATGTTCCAGACAGAGGAAACCATGCAGCAAAATCCCTGGGCCTGCAAGGCTTGGTGTCCTTGAGGAGACAGAGGCCGCTGTGGCTGGAAAGAGTTGGGGGTGGGGTAAGTTGCTTGGGATGGGATAGTTAACAGGAAAGACAGGGAAAATAGAAACATTTTAAACAATACATGGGAACATACTTATTAAAATACAGACTGTGGGAATAGTTTCACAACACATAATTTACAAAGACCCAGTTTCACAAGACATAATTTACAAAGGAAAAAAAGTAGAGGGGAAACCTACAGATGAAGAGACTTAAGAAGCCATACCAAAACTGTGGAGCAATGTACAGAGCCCTCATGCATGGTCGGAGGGATTGTACAATGGTGCTTGTTGGCAGTGGTGGCAATCCTGGACTTTGGGGTAGCCGTGTTGTGTCAAAGAACATGCCCCCATCCTCATGCACCTCATTCACTTGTGTGCTGAATAGTGTCTGTTATACAGTGAATTGCGTCCCCCTAAAAGTTATGTTGGAGTCCTAACCCTCAGAATATATCTGTATTAGCATTCTCCAGAAAAAGAGAACCAATGGGAAGATAGATGATAGATAGATAGATAGATAGATAGACAGACAGATAGAGATTTATTTTAAGGATTTGTTTCATATGATTATGGAGGCTCAGCAAGTCCACAATCTGCAGGGCAGGCCAACAGGCTGGAGACCCAAGGAAAAGGCCGATGTTGCCATTTGGGTCCAAAGGCAGTCTGCTGGCAGAATTCCTTCTTGCTCAGGGAAGGTCAATCTTTGTTTTATTGAGGCCTTCAACTGATTGAATAAGACCTATGCACATTATAGAGGCAAATCTGTTTTAAAGACCACTGGCTTAAATATTAATTTCTTGTAAAAATTGACTTCACAGAAGCGTGCTGAACAACATTTGACCACATATCTGAGTACCATGGCCTAGCCAAGTTGATACACAAAATTAATCATCACATGGAATTAGTTAAGTCTGAGTGCAGTTGTTAAGGTGGGCACTAAGCCAATATGACTGGTGTCCTTACAAAAGGGGAGATTTGGATACAGAGACAGAAACACACACAGGGAGAAGCATGCCATGTCTTCGATGAAGGTTGAGACCAGGGTGAGGACAGCAAACCACCAGGAGCTAGGAAAGAGGTGTGCCCAGATTCTCTGCACAGCCTTGAAAAAGAATCAACACTACCAACACCTTGATCTCAGACCTCAAGCCTCAAGAACTATGGGACAATAAATTTCTGTTGTTTAAGCCATCCAGTTTGTGGCACTTTGTTCACTCTAGTGAACGAATATAGCTTTCCATAATCCAAACAGTACAGAAACAGAGAACAAGACACCAAACTCCTAGGCTCCAGAAGGCATTAGCCGGGCATAGACAGAAGAAAAATCTGAAAGAAGATGTGAGCAGGCAATGCCCATTTCTACCTGCGTGCTCTCCATCCACATCCTCCCTGGCTTCTGGACAAACAGATAAAGCCCTCAGACTGAGTGGAGAGAGGAGAGTTGAAGAGGGAGTAAGAGAGTTGGATGCAATGTGGAAGGCGTACATCCTCCCTATCCTCTGACAATAGCGAACTCACAGAGGCGGGCATGTCTGGGGAGCACCTTTAAATGTGAGGATAAACTCCAGGGAGACTACATCTGATCCATTGTTGTGTGTCAGCAGTGGGTAGAAATGACGTCACCGCACATGGGGCCAGAGGCTATCCTGAGTTTTCCATATCCCTAAAGGGGTGTGTCAGCCATTAGAAAACACCCAAGGCTCCTGCGTGAGGACACACAGAAGATACTTGGGAGACAGCAAGCCTGTGAGGCCTGGAAACCAGGATGAAGGGACCCTATGTGGGGAAGGCGCAGTTCACCGTCAGGACTGCAGGAAGCCTGGGAGGACGCCATGGAGACCTGCAGGTCTCTGAGGCAGGGTGATGGTGTGTCAGAAGCAGCAGGCCAGCAGAGCACCAAGAAGGGGGTGCCCTCTCCCCACGCCCTCACGCAGCCCTCAACACTGTGTGGGCAAGTGGGAATTCAGCCAGACATCAGTGTCAATCTCAGAGATACAAGGAAAGAGGATGAAGAAAATCTGAACTGTAACTCAGTTCTAAAACCAGATGCCCGGGAAGTTGCTGGATCTGACTCGGTCTACCTGAAAATAGCGAATTTGAGCTTTCCGCAATGGTCTGAGAAAGCTCAAGATGAAAAGTAAGGCTGGAAACAGGAAAAATAAAGTTATCTTTTGCCCACATAAGTCTGTGTTTTATGAAATTAATGCTTGTTATAATAGCTATTATTGAATGCCAACTTTATACCAAGAACTTTATAGATACCACCTCATTTAATTGATATGATTTTATGTGTATGTATTACTATTCACATTATATAAAATTAGAGAGATTAAGTTACCTGCCTAAAGTCACCCTCCTAATCATCAGTGCAGCCAAGATTTGTGTCTATACCTATACAACACTAAAACATATTCTTGGGATTAGTGGGAAGCCTTTGCCTAGTACAGTATTTGCCCCATTGAATTTTAAGCCACATGTCAAGAGCATAGCACTGGGTTCCTTGCAGAAGATGGACTCAGACACCTTCCTGGGTCTTTCCTTCCCCAGGTGGATGGTGTTTGCATCATTACTTTCATTACTTTGCTTTCTCACTGTCATTTCTATAGTCTTGGCTTCACTTTCTCCTTCATCAGTCTATTCAGCTCTTTCTGGCTGGAAGATTTTTCTTGGAAGAGAAGACTGAAGCACAGTTGGTCCTCACCTGAGATGCAGCAGTCTGGCTTTTCCTTTCTAGTTTCCCTATTTTGTATTGCTACCATTTCTGGGTCAAAATATCTGCTTACCTCATCCATCCATTTCCGCTTTACTCCATCAGTTATTTTTTCAAGAAAAACAATAAGTTTGGGAAAATACTAAGCTTCAAAACAAGTATAAACTGATTTCCCACAGTCAAGATTAGCTTTCTCTGATGCCCACAGGTCAATTTTTCCTTCTGTGTTGGACAAGATGTATCTTGGACATGGGTGAGATAGAAGTTGGCCCCATTTTCTTTCTTTTTACTAGGAAGAGGCTAAGTAACACTCATACAAGCACATAGCCAGTAGTTTGTGGAGTCAGGATTCAAACTTGGGTTCACTTAACTGCAAAGTTAGTACTGCTCCTTTTCGACCACCCCACTTTTCCAAAGGGTTTCCCTACTTCCAACTATATCCACAAGCAAAAAGTCATGTATAGGGCATCTCCTCTGTAGAAGAATATTCAAAGAGGTGTACAAATTTAAAAATCAGTCTCATTAGATGATGATACCTTCACACATGTGTAGATCCACGCACAGATATATTTGAGGGGCCACTTTAAGCATGGTTGGCAGAGCTTTCACTTTCTGTCTATCATCTTCCAGATCAGAGCTCCCCAAAGCAGAGGACCTCAGGAAAGCCACCTATGTACTGTGCCCTTGGGAGTTCTGTGATGACAATGATGATCATGTCCACATAGGTAGTGGCCATCCACCTCCACTCCTCAGGCCCTTCCTCAGGACTGTCCAGCCATGGTGATTTGCCTGTTCAGTAGCCACTGTCCTCCACAACCAGATTTTTGTCAGAAAATATCTATATTCTCACATTGTCTGTTGAGGGACAGAGGTGGCAGTTTGGAAGATTGATTGGCAAGTTCTAAGAGATGGTCAATGAAGCAATTATAGCGGAAGATGTTGTCTGCATGTGAAAGTGCTTTCTGTAAAGCAGTACATGCAGATCAGCCATTGGCTGCTGCTTCTATGTTCCTCCTATTATTATTAACCACACTTTTAGAGTAGGAGAAAGATAGCAGAGCTGAAGAGCCAGAGGACTGGCATCCGTTCTTGAAACTCTGCTAACTGGTTTGTGAGTTGGGCACGTCATTTAAACTGTCTTCTTATCTAGAAAATGCAAAGCTCGTGTAGCTTTGCATTTAGAAGATCTCTGTGGTCCTTCCTTGCTTTTATCTAGTTGCTTGAGGAAACCCCATGAGTATAATCAACTAGATGTCCAGAAAACTTCTAATTACTGGCAGCTCTATTAGGAGCCCAGAGGACAAAGAGTTTTCTTATTTTTAATATAGTAGAGACTTTAAATCCAGGGTATGGAGGGCCCACAGGAGCACAAAGAGCTGTTTAAAAGTCCAACTGCTTGAGTTGGAACTTATTTGAGAATGCAGGTTTAAATGTACAAACACTCATACACATACACACATACACAAACAGAAGAATCTCATAGTAAGATATAATAAGCTTCTGAAAAGATGGATATTAAGTTAAATTTTTTTGAATTGAAATATTTTGATTGCATGAAGAGAGTATACCAGTTTTTTTAAAAAGTGAAGAAACTCTTTTTTTTATTATACTTTAAGTTCTAGGGTACATGTGCTCAACGTGCAGGTTTGTTACATATGTATACATGCGCCATATTGGTGTGCTGCACTCATTAACTCGTCATTTACATTAGGTATATCTCCTAATGCTATCCCTCACCCCTCCCCCCACCCCACGACAGGCCCCGGTGTGTGATGTTCCCCTTCCTGTGTCCAAGTGTTCTCATTGTTCAATTCCCACCTATGAGTGAGAACATGCGGTGTTTGATTTTTTTGTCCTTGCGATAGTTTGCTGAGAATGATGGCTTCCAGCTTCATCCATGTCCCTACAAAGGACATGAACTCATCCTTTTTTATGGCTGCATAGTATTCCATGGTGTATATGTGCCACATTTTCTTAATCCAGTCTATCATTGATGGACATTTGGGTTGGTTCCAAGTCTTTGCTATTGTGAATAGTGCCGCAATAAACATACGTGTGCATGTGTCTTTATAGCAGCATGATTTATAATCCTTTGGGTATAACCCAGTAATGAGATGGCTGGGTCAAATGGTATTTCTAGTTCTAGATCCTTAAGGAATCGCCACACTGCCTTCCACAATGGTTGAACTAGGTTACAGTCCCACCAACAGTGTGAAAGCGTTCCTATTTCTCCACATCCTCTCCAGCATCTGTTGTTTCCTGACTTTTTAATGATCGCCATTCTAACTGGTGTGAGATGGTATCTCATTGTGGTTTTGATTGGCATTTCTCTGATGGCCAGTGATGATGAGCATTTTTTCATGTGTCTGTTGGCTGCATAAATGTCTTCTTTTGAGAAGTGTCTGTTCATATCCTTCGCCCACTTTTTGATGGGGTTGTTTGTTTTTTTCTTGTGTCTTTGTTTGAGTTCTTTGTAGATTCTGGATATTAGCCCTTTGTCAGATAAGCAGATTGCAAAAATTTTCTCCCATTCTGTAGGTTGCCTGTTCACACTGATGGTAGTTTCTTTTGCTGTGCAGAAGCTCTTTAGTTCAATTAGATTCCATTTGTCAATTTTGGCTTTTGTTGCCATTGCTTTTGGTATTTTAGACATGAAGTCCTTGCCCATGCCTATGTCCTGAATGGTATTGCCTAGGTTTTCTTCTAGGGTTTTTATGGTTTTAGGTCTAACATTTAAGTCTTTAATCCATCTTGAATTAATTTTTGTATAAGGTGTAAGGAACGGATCCAGTTTCAGCTTTCCACATATGGCTAGCCAGTTTTCCCAGCACCATTTATTAAATAGGGAATCCTTTCCCCATTTCTTGTTTTTGTCAGGTTTGTCAAAGATCAGATGGTTGTAGACGTGTGGTATTATTTCTGAGGGCTCTGTTCTGTTCCATTGGTCTATATCTCTGTTTTGGTACTGGTACCATGCTGTTTTGGTTACTGTAGCCTTGTAGTATAGTTTGAAGTCAGGTAGTGTGATGCCTCCATCTTTGTTCTTTTGGCTTAGGATTGTCTTGGCAATGCGGGCTCTTTTTTGGTTCCATATGAACTTTAAAGTAGTTTTTTCCAATTCTGTGAAGAAAGTCATTGGTAGCTTGATGGGGATGGCATTGAATCTATAAATTACTTTGGGCAGTATGGCCATTTTCATGATATTGATTTTTCCTATCGATAAGCATGGAATGTTCTTCCATTTGTTTGTGTCCTCTTTTATCTCGTTGAGCAGTGGTTTGTAGTTCTCCTTGAAGAGGTCCTTCACATCCCTTGTAAGTTGAATTCCTAAGTATTTTATTCTCTTTGAAGCAATTGTGAATGGGAGTTCACTCAGGATTTGGCTCTCTGTTTGTCTGTTATTGGTGTATAAGAATGCTTGTGATTTTTGCACATTGATTTTGTATCCTGAGACTTTGCTGAAGTTGCTTATCAGCTTAAGGAGATTTTGGGCTGAGACAATGGGGTTTTCTAAATATATAATCATGTCATCTGCAAACAGGGACAATTTGACTTCCTCTTTTCCTAATTGAATACCCTTTATTTCTTTCTCCTGCCTGATTGCCCTGGCCAGAATTTCCAACACTATGTTGAATAGGAGTGGTGGGAGAGGGCATCCCTGTCTTGTGCCAGTTTTCAAAGGGAATGCTTCCAGTTTTTGCCCATTCAATATGATATTGGCTGTGGGTTTGTCATAAATAGCTCTTATTATTTTGAGATACATCCCATGAATACCTAATTTATTGAGAGTTTTTAGCATGAAGGGTTGTTGAATTTTGTCAAAGGCCTTTTCTGCATCTATTGGGATAATCATGTGGTTTTTGTCTTTGGTTCTGTTTATATGCTGGATTACTTTTATTGATTTGCATATGTTGAACCAGCCTTGCATCCCAGGGATGAAGCAAAAAGGGAAGAAACTCTTTAAGTCATCAAAGCTAAGCAAAACCAAATCAAATAAATGCAACTCTAAATTTTTGTCTTGCAAGAACTCATATTATTATTTGCTTTGAAAATTAAGATTATTTTCCTCTGAAGATCAGTTTTAATTCAACATACCTGTAAAGGATTATGATGAAATAATAAAAATGATTTGTTATGTGTCAAATGTTATCTGTGAAATGTTTGTTATTTTAATGTTATGTTTCATATACAGTAAGACTGTGGTTATCTGACATTACTCAGCAGAAGTCCTGATTTATAGGCACTTTTATCAAATCTATTTAGACTTATGGTTTTGAAAACATAACAAAGCAATACTTTGATACTAATACCATCTACTCAATGAATTTGTTTTTCAATTGGTAACAAATCAGTTGAGCTTTAAAAACAGTTATAAACTTGTTCTCCTTTCAAAGATAGAAAGTTACAAGAGGAATTCAAGAACAGCTAACCTCATAGTCTCAAAGTAAAATTAGAATTTTAAAATTGTAAGACATTAGGGATAAATAAAAGGCTTAATTAAGAACTACCAAAAAGAAAAGACAGCTTTCTGAAACCAAATACCAAAAACAATGTTAGGCCAACAGCAAAAATTAGCCAAAAAAACTATTATCTATTTCATGGGTAGAAATAGATATTAGAAGACAGGGAGAACATGTCTTCAAGAAATGAAGAGAAAAATAACTGTCGACCTAGACTTCTATACCCAGCTAAACTATTATATACACGCCAGGATGAAATAAAGATTTCCAGACACACACAACTAAAAGTACTTACTGACTACACACTCTGAATGAATGAACTACTAAAGGGTGTAAGAAAGAAGAAAAACCTAGAAAAAAGAATTGAAAGAAGAAAAGCTGCATAAAGAAAGCTATAAAATATTTTGATGAATATAAAAGCATTGACAATATTGATGGTTAAATAAACACCCCTCATTTGTGTGTAAAAACAAGGAGATATTTAATTCTAAATGACATAGAAAACCTAGAAAATGGGAAGAAGGGTTTCAGAGGAAAGTTAAAAACTGGCTAAGTTCTTTCTTTTGGGAGGAGGAAAATACAAATAAATAAATAAATCAAAATAGAATCGCTAACTAGAAGACTGCGAGGTCAAAAGGACCTGCTGCCTGTCATGAGGCTCTCTCTGGTGTTGTTACATGAGCTGAGGTGAGTAAAGACATAACTTCCAGTTTAGGCAAAGGCATGGAGGGAGGGAGAACACTGAGTACTTTAGCCTGAAGAATCAGACTTGCTTTTGGCACCCACGTTAAGATGTATTTCACCCACTGCTTTGTGCAGGATGGGATTACTACGTACAAAGCAGAGGGCTGATATGCACTGAACACTGGGTCACCCACATCTATGCAAATGAGGGGACTGAGGCCAGGAAAAGCAAGTCTTGGATTGATTATTTCACACAGACGGAAAGTTCCAACTTTCTCTGGAATGACATGCTATGAGCTAAGAGAAATTTTGCTCCTTTTTTCTTCCAGGTGCTGTGTGAAACAGGCTAGAGGCACATTTCCTCTGCTTGACAGTTCTATCCTAAGCTTAACTACTCTTTGAATGTGAAGGGGAAAGTATTCCCATATCCCCAGCTCTTTGAGCAGATGATTAGCACTCTGGCTAAGTTGGCTAAAGTGCAATTTTGGAAAGAGAAGTTCCCATTGGATCCTACCTCACACCTTAAGGAACTGATATGGAAGGAAGTACTGGGAAAGGCATGGTCCCTTTAAATGATATGGAAGGAGGCAGGGAAGTGCTGAGTAGAGAAGGGCGTGGTCCCTGGCTAGGGCTCCACAGTGGGGCCTGTGCCCATGGACCTAGGTGAAGACAGGCATTTTTGTTTTTCTGCCCAAATGTTGCATTTCCCAAGACCACCCTGACCTGCCATGCCCCTGTCCTATGCCTATAAAAACGCTGAGACCCTAGCAGGCAGACACACAAGCAGCTGGATGTCGAGAGGAGCATATCAGCGGAGGAACACACGGGCAGCTGGACGTCCAGAGGAATGCACTGACAGAAACTGGCATGCTGGCAGAACACGTGGAATTTGGCTGGGGCAGTTGGAGGAGAGGTCAGGCCTCCGAGCCACCTAACTCCAGGGGAAAACTGTCTCCCTTCTGGCTCCCCCATCTGCAGAGAGCTACTTCCACTCAATAAAACCTTGCACTCATTCTCCAAGCCCACATGTGATCTGATTCTTCCGGTACACCAAGGCCAGAACCCCGGGAAACAGAAAGCCATCTGCCCTTGTGATAAGGCAGGGGTCTAAGTGAGCTAACACAGGCCACCTACGGATGGCTAAACTAAAAGTGCACACTATATCACACTTTGCCTGGGGCTTCAGCTGTAAACATTCACCCCTAGACACTGTCGTGGCGTTGGAGCCCCACAGCCTGCACATCTGGTCTATATGCTCCCCTAGAGGTTTGAGCAGCAGGGCACTGAAGAAGTGAGCCGCACCCTCATCGCACGCCCTGCAATGGGGACAAGGAACTTTTCCCATTTCAGAATAATTCCAAGAAAATCAGAAGCTTATATTTGAAAACAAAACCATAAAAGTATTAGAAGAAAATATGAAAGTATTTATTATTATCTCAGAGAGAATCCTTTCTAAGCAGTGAGCAAAAAGTAGAGCCATAGAACACAAGGTGATACATTTGACTATATAAAAATGTTTTAAAAATTTTATGGCAGAAATCCCTAGAAACAAAGTCAAAAATCAAATGATAAAGAGGAAATAATATTTGCACTGCATATTACAGATAAAGTACTAAATTCCTCAACATACCAAGATTTCCTACAAACCAGTAGAAAATATACCAACAACCCAGAAGAAAAATGGTAGAAATGCCCAATTTTACTCATGAGAAGGAAATGCAGATTGAAATGAGATACAATATTTTTAACCTAACAGATTGGCAAAAAGTAAAATGTTTGATAACACTATATTGGTGAGGATTTGGGGGATTCTCCCACATTCTCACATGTCAATCGTAGGAGTATAAATTGGCACAACTTCTTTGAGGAGTATTTTGGCAATGTCTGTCAAAAAGTTAATGTTTTCTCCCATTCAAGTCCATTTTTAAAAATTTAGTCTACAAATATACTCTTGTATGATATTATATAGATTCAAAGACGTTTATTGCAGCATTACTTGTAATAGGAAAAAATTGATAACAAAGCAAACCCCCATCAATAGCAGACTTGATAAATACGTGGCACATCAATACAATGGATATTATGCAGTTACTAAAAAGAATGGTGCTATGTATGCGCTGATATGTTACAATGTCCCAACTATAGTAAGAGGAAAAACCAAGTAAAGTAGAGAGGATATAATATGCTTCCATCAGTATCATGAAGCACAGACTATGTTTCCATAAAGCAGAGACTATGCTATTTAGTATATGTTTGTATGCACATAGACTGTTTCTAGAAGGATCACAAGGCTGTAACAATAATGGCTGTCTCCGAGGAGGGAAACAGCTTCTGGGGAAAGGAGATAGGAAGACATGTTTTTCATTGTTTACTCTTTTGAATATTTAGAATTTTGCATTGTGTACATGTATTACCTATTCAAAAAATAAATTTTTTTTTCTTAAAAACTGAGCTTCCCTAAAGATAAATCAGCTGGCATAATGCCATTGGATGAACTATACTATTTCATACCTCTACATTGTTAACTGCTTTTGCCTTTACCCTTCATTTCTTCAGCTCACTCCTGCCCTTAGAAACCTTCCCTGACAGCTTCACTCTTGACCTACATTTGATTCTTTCTCTCCACTCTCTCATACCCCACAGCCTCAGGCATGCCTGGAGTTCAGTGGAGGCATGCCTAGATTACTTGGTTATAATCCTGGGCTTACTGGTTTGTCTCTGGGCTAGGGCCCGAGTTCCTTGATGGGAGAACCATGTCATAGCAGACCTTCCATCCTGATGCAAGTACAGTGGTGTGTCCAGAATTGGTGGGTTCTTGGTCTCACTGACTTCAAGAATGAAACCGTGGACCCTCGTGGTGAGTGTTACAGTTCTTAAAGGCGGTGTGCC
This sequence comes from Homo sapiens, assembly GCF_000001405.40. Lineage (NCBI taxonomy): Eukaryota > Metazoa > Chordata > Mammalia > Primates > Hominidae > Homo > Homo sapiens. Next base: position 105,955,142 of record NC_000007.14, read on the forward strand.
CACAGTTTGTTCCTCCAGATGTTCAGATGTGTTCGGAGTTTCTTTCTTCTGGTGGGTTCGTGGTCTCGCTGGCTCAGGAGCGAAGCTGCAGACCTTCACGGTGAGTGTTACAGCTCATAAAGGTAGCAAGGACCAAAAAAGTGAGCAGAAGCAAGACTAATTGCAAAAAGCAAAAGAACAAACCATCCACAACGTGGAAGGCGACCCAAGCGAGTTACCACTGCTGGCTCCAGCAGCCTGCTTTTATTCTCTTATCTGTCCCCGCCCACCCCCCCACATCCTGCTGATTGGTCTATTTTACAGAGAGCTGATTGGTCCATTTTACAGAGAGCTGATTGGTCCGTTTTGACAGGGTGCTGATTGGTGCATTTACAATCCCTGAGCTACACACAAAAGTTCTCCACGTCCCCACTAGATTAGCTAGATACAGAGTGTCCACACAAAGGTTCTCCAAGTCCCCACCAGAGTAACTAGATACAGTGTCGATTGGTGTATTCACAAACCCTGAGCTAGACACAGGGTGCTGACTGGTGTATTTACAATCCCCTAGCTAGACATAAAGATTCTCCAAGTCCCCACCAGACTCAGGAGTCCAGCTGGCTTCACCCAGTGGATCCAGCACCCGGCCGCAGGTGGAGCTGCCTGCCAGTCCCGCGCTGTGCGCCCGCACGCTTCAGCCGTTGGGTGGTCGATGGGACTGGGCGCCGTGGAGCAGGGGGTGGCGCTGGTCGGGGAGGCTCAGGCTGCGCAGGAGCCCACGGCGGCGGGGTAGGCTCAGGCATGGCAGGCTGCAGGTCCTGAGCCCTGCCCCGCAGGGAGGCAGCTAAGGCCCGGCGAGAAGTCGAGCACAGCAGCCGCTGGCCCAGGTGCTAAGCCGCTCACTGCCCGGAGCCGGCGGACTGCTCCGAGTGCGGGGCCCGCCGAGCCCACACCCACCTGGAACTAGCGCTGGCCCGCAAGCGCCACGCGCCGTCCCGGTTCCCGCCGGCGTCTCTCCCTCCACACTTCCCCTCAAGCTGAGGGAGCCGGCTCTGGCCTCAGCCAGCCCAGGAAGGGGCTCCCACAGTGCAGCGGCAGGCTGAAGCGCTCCTCAAGTGCCGCCAGAGTGGGCGTCCAGGCAGAGGAGGCGCCGAGAGCGAGCGAGCGAGGGATGCCAGCATGCTGTCACCTCTCAGTGCTGCCATGCGGTGAGCTTCAACCAGAGCCACAGCTGGCTGACTGGATGGATGGAAGGAGGGGTGCTTCTACAGAATCTGTTGCTTGTGGCCAGGCATTTTCTTCAGAGAACAAAACAGTTCTCTGCGATAACCTTAGCATGCACAACAGGGCTTGACACACAGTAGGTATTCAATATTTCTTGAGTGAATAAATAAATGCCACCTAAAGGGAGAAGGGGGAAGAAGGAATCAGCTGGCATGAAGATGTTTGAACAAAGTGGCAGAGAGGGTAAGTAGGAGGAGACCCATAGCTTGGGGTAGGGGGCTCCAGGAAGCCAATGAAGGATGCTGGAGAAGGAGCTGGCTTCAAAGCAGTTAGACAATTGCCCACAAGAATGACCTGGTAGAATCACCATATGACCTGGTAATTACACTTCTAGGTATTTCCCTAAGAGAAATAAAAACCTATGTCGTGCAAAAACTTGTACACAAATGTTCATAGCAGCATTATTTTAATAGCCAAAATGTTGAAATAACCCACATGTCCATCAACTGATTAATAAGAAAATTAAATTGTGGTCTATCCATACAACGGAATAATATTGGGTTGGTGCAAAAGTAATTAAAAGTAATGGCAAAAACCGCAATGACTTTTGCACCAACCCAATATTATTCAGCAATAAAAAGGAATGAAGTATTGAGCCATACAACAAAATACACGAACCCAAAGAACATTATGCAAGTAAAAGAAGCCAGTACAAAAGGCCACATATTGCTGGGTGCACTGGCTCCTGCCTCTAATCCCAGCACTTTGGGAGGCCAAGGCAGGCGGATCACCTGAGGTCAGGAGTTCGAGACCAGCCTGGCCAACATGGCAAAACCCTGCCTCTACTGATAATACAAAAATTAGCCTGGCATGGTCGCACGCGCCTGTAATCCCACCTATTTGGTAGGCTGAGGCAGGAAAATCACTTGAACCTGGGAGGCAGAGGTTGCAATGAGCTGAGATCACGCCACTGCACTCCAGCCTGGGTGATGGAGTGAGACTCCATCTCAAAAAAAAAAAAAAAATTTTAAAAAGGCCACATATTGTATGATTCTATTCATATGAAATGCCCAGAATAAGGAAATCTATAGAGATAGAAAGTAGATTAGTGGTTGCTAGGGTTGGGGGCGAGAGTTAGAGGAAAATTGAGAGTAACTGCTAAGGATTGAAGAGGTTTTTCTTTGGGGGGGATGAAAATGTTATAAAATTGATTATGGTGATGGTTGCACAACTCTATGAATATACTAAAAATCACTGAATTGTACACTTTAACTGGGTGCATTGTAAGGTATGTGAATTATATCACAAACTGTTTAAAGAAAAAAAAAAGAATTATCTGGGGACGTGAGCCCAGAGAGCAGGCAGCCTAGCCCACAGTCACAGCAGGTGCCCTGGAGTCAGGTGGGGCTGAGCCCCAAGGACGTCTTCTCAGTCACTCTTCCACCTGTGAAGCCAGGAAAAGGACCCTACCAGTGGGTCCTGAGAGCCTTGGCTTCAGAGGAGCCCCTCCCATGGTCCTCAAGGCCAGTCAGGGGATGCAGCTCCGGGGTTCTAGAAGTGAGAAGGGCTGTGGCACTTCTTTATTTCTATCCCTGCAAGAGCTGGCGGGGGCGGGGGGGGCTCTCACTGGGTCGATGTTTGGGGTGGGTGTGAGAGGAGAGCATGGCACGAGGCAAGGAAGTATAAAGTAAGATCAGTAATTCCATGTTTTTTGAGCACTTACTATGCATCTGGCACAGTGTTAAATGTGAAGCAATTGGAGTGCAAAGAAGCATAAGAGCTTCTCTGTCCTGGAAAACTTGCCAAGGCTGCATGGAGACAGATGTATAAAAGATCCATGAGATGTGGTGCTAAAGCAGTGCGTGTGCTAGGACAGTGGCCCACAAAGAAGACACGGGGAGGGATGTGTTTCTATTCTTGCAAGCAGCTTTGTGCATCTGCATGGCACCATTGCTGTGAGCATGGGTCTACCCTGAGTGCCTTTCCTGAGGGAGGCCTGAGATGGGGGAGGTGCTTGAATGATGGAACCTGGGTGTTCTGTTCTAGGTTTTGGATTCCTGGAAGCCCATAGTTCCAGTCCTGAACAAACGGACCATGAACAGAACTGCCCCGCAGATATAAAGGTGATGAGGCTTGCAGGCCAGCCCACCAATGCTCGTGGAGCTGCTAACAGAGCCCAGCCATTGCACAGTACTTCTGTGTCTCATCTTAAGGCTGTAATATTTAAAATACAGACAAGTACAGTTAGTTAATGATGGGGATACATTCTGAGAAATGCAATACTAGGCAATTTCATCATTGTGCGAACATCATAGAGTGCACTTACACAAACCTCGATGGTATAGCCTATTACACACCTGGGCTGTATGGTATAGTTTATTGCTCCTGGGCTACAAACCTGTACAGCATGTTACTGTACTGAATACTGTAGGCAATTGTAACTCGATGGTATGTATTTGTATATGTAAACATAGAAAAAGTACATTAAAAAATACTGCATAAGGCCGGGCACGATGGCTCACGTCTGTAATCCCAGCACTTTGGGAGGCCGAGGTGGGTGGATCACGAGGTCAGGAGTTTGAGACCAGCCTGGCCAACATAGTGAAATCCCCTCTCTACTAAAAATACAAAAAACTAGCTGGACATGGTGGCGGGTGCCTGTAATCCCAGCTACTTGGGAGGCTGAGGCAGGAGAATAGCTTGAACCCAGGAGGCGGAGGTTGCAGTGAGCTGAGATCGTGCCATTGCACTCCAGTCCAGGTGACAGTGCGAGACTCCGTCAAAAAAAAAAAACAACAACAAAAAACTGCATAAATGATTTTTTAAAATGGTACACCTCTATAGGACACTTAACATGAATGGAGCTTGCAGGACTGGAAGTTGCTGTAGGTGAGTGAGTGAGTGGTGAGTGAATGTAAGGCCTAGGACATTACTGTACACTACTGTAGAGTTTGTAAACTTAGTCCACTCCATTTATTTTTCAATTTTTCTTTCTTCAATAATAAATTAACCTTATCTTACTGTAACATTTTTACAAACTTTTATATTTTTAAAACTTTTGACTCTGTTGTAATAACAGCTTAAAATACATTGCACAGCTGTACAAAAATATTTTCTTTCTTTATAGCCTTAATCTATACTATTTTTCTATTTTTTTTTAACTTGCAAACCTTTTTTGTTAAAAATGAAGACACAAACACACACATTAGTCTAGACCTGCACAGGGTCAGGATCATCAATGTCATGTCTTCCACCTCCACATCTTGTCCCACTGGAAGGTCTTCAGGGGCAATAACACACATGGAGCTGCCATCTTCTATGATAACAATGCCTTCCTCTGGATACCTCCTAAGGGCCTGCCAGAGGCTGTTCTACAATTAGCTTTTTTTTTTTTTTTTTTTTTTTTTTTTGAGATGGAGTCTCACTCTGTCACCAAGGCTAGAGTGCAATGGCGCGATCTCGGCTCACTACAACCTCTGCCTCCCTAGTTCAAGAGATTCTCCTGCCTCAGCCTCCCAAGTAGCTGGGACTACAGGTGCTCACCACCATGCCCAGCTAACTTATATTTTTAGTAGAGACGGGGTTTCACCATGTTGGCCAGGTGGGTCTTGAACTCCTGATCTTGTGATCCACCCGCCTCAGCCTCCCAAAGTGCTGGGATTACAGGCGTGAGCCACGGTGCCTGTCCAGCTTTATTTTTTTAAATAAGTAGGAGTATACTCTAAAATGACAGCATACATTTATTATCATTATAAGTATTATGTACTGTACATAACCGTATGCGCTAGACTTTTGCATAACTATCAGTGCAGTAGGTTTGTTCCACCAGTATCTCCCCAGACACATGAGTAACATGTTGCACTATGATGTTACAACAGCTACAACGTCACTAGTTGATAGTAATGTTTCAGCTCCATTATCATCTATGGGACCACCATTGTGTACGAAGTCCATGGTTGATGGAAATGTTGTCATTATGCGGTGCATGACTATATGTTATAGATTATGTAAGGGTAATTGAGTTCCAAGTTCCAAGTCAAAAAATGTTTGGAACACAACTCCTTTGCTAGCAAATTAGACACTTACAGTAGCTAGTTCCCAGGGAAGTCCCCTGAAATACTTTAAGGGCCTGAATCACTGCTGAGCCAGACAGCATGTAGGAGAAGGCTCCTGGGTCTCATGTGAAGCTGGAGGGGTGCCTGCCCTAGAGATTCCGACCCTGCCTGAGGAACCCATTCATCCCATCTGGCTGAGACCTTGGTGGATCCAGGACAGCTCAGCATGCTGGCAGTCAGGGACAGGAGAGCCAAGGACCGCAAGGTCCCATTCAGCCTTGGTGCGATTCAGGCCCAGTTGGGTGTCTGGTGCTAGGACTAGGTGCTTTCGGAGGGAGATGGGAATTGACACATGGGCAGCAGCCCGCGGCAATGGCAGAAACAACCTCGGGGCTGGAAACAGAAGCTGTAATTACAGGAGAAAACACCCACAATGAATTCCAAAAGATGACCCTTTTGCTCCCTAGAACCAGGGAGGGAAAGGAAGGGGAGGCACGATCTCCTGGTAAAAACAGGGTAACATGAAAAATGCTGTGCAGTCAGGCTGAAAACTAAACAGATGTGAGTTTCTTTAATACAAAAGTTTAATCATTCTGACGTTTTCCATAACTTAATCTGAGCCATCGCTTCAGCTTGAATTATGCATAATGAAATGGATTATTTACAGTATCTCACATGACAGGAAAAACTGAGAGGTGAGAATTGGTAGCTTGGCAACTGTTGTTTATTTTTCTTTTTATTTGGCCAATATATATTGAGTACCTACTATGTTTCAGCCCTTGCCAGGGTCCTATTAGGAAAAAATAGTGTGGCACATGCCTGTAATATCAACACTTCGGGAGGCGGAGGTGGGAGAATCGCTTGAGCCCAGAAGTTTGAGACCAGTTTGGGCAACATAGGGAGACGTCCTCTCTAAAAAAAAAATTTTTTTAATTAGCCTGGTGTGGTGGTGCACGCCTGTGGTCCCAGCTGCTCCAGAGGCTGAGGTGGGCGGATTGCTTGAGTCCAGGAGATTGAGGCTGTAATGAGCTATGATCGCGCTGCTACACTCTAGCCTGGGAGACAGAGTGACAGTGAGATCCTGTCTCCAAAAAAAAAAAAAAAAAAAAAAAAAGTATTTTTAAAACACATAGTATGGGCCAGTTTCTTTCACTTCTTTCTCTTGTGTATCGCTTGCGATGATACTGTGTAGCAGGTATTATTTTCCCTGATTTACAGAAGTGAGTGGAACTGAGATTCTGAAAGGTTAGGTAAATTGCCAAAGGTGACACAGCAACACTCCCTTTTGTTTTGTTGTTGTTGTTACTATCTATGTGCTTCGAACAGAGACCTATCGACTAGCTTTCCTAATCTTACTACCTTTCCTTCATGCTTTACACAAGAAAAGTCAACTTTTCTTAAGGGAAAGGTTCTTGTTATTTTGAGCAGGAAAGTAAATGACCAAAATTGTACTTTGGGGAAATTAACCTAAGTTTCTGTAGGATGTGCTGCGGGCCAGAGCCCAGGCCAGAGGCAAGGACCTTAAGCCAGGGCAGTAGCAACAAGCATGGGAAGGGGCCCGGCAGCAGGCCCTGGAGGCTGGAAAGGGCTTGTCAAATGTTTGGATGTGGTGGAAGGGAAGGGCAGCCTTGCCACCCTAGGTTTGGGACGCAGGGGACACAGGGGACACTGGCAGGTGGCGCAGCCTGGGTCAAACCCCTCACTCTCTGAGCCCTTCTTGCTTGGCACCCTTGCAAATAAATGCCTTCCTTTCTATTGCTGCAAAAACCTCGGTGTGGATATCCGGTTTTACTGCACAGGGTGAGTGGACCCAGTTTGGTTCCATAACACTGTCTCCCTCTATCCCTCGTTGGTGACCTCCGTGTAGCAGGTGCTAAAAGCTGGTTCACCTGTGGGGCATGTGTAGTTTTCAGAGCGCCTGTGGGGTCTCGTCCAGACTGGGAGGCTCTGACTCAACTCCCCACCTTCTTCACTGCATTCCTGCCCCCAGCCTTGGGCTGCTGGCCTCTCCTCCCCTAGCTGGCAGAGGAATGGGAGAGGTGGTCCAAGCCCAGCTGCCTTCCACTGTGCCCACTACTTCTCTTACTGCACCATGTCAAGGGGACAGGCCACTGCTCGGCCGTTCTCTCTCTGCTCTGCTGTTGCTCCTTCTCAGTGGAGACTAGACCCCAGCCCGCGTTTGTTCACATGCCACATCTTGTGCCCTGGCACAGGGCTGTGTGGAACAGAAAGGCATCGTGAAGGGCAAGACCTGCATCACTCCCCAGTGGGCAGAAGCCTCACCACTCCAGTAACCTTCCTTCACAGCCTTCTTCGAGGGCTGGAGGGGCGGTGGTGGGGGGTGGAGTCAGAGGGCAGTCTTCCACCTCAAGTCAGCCTCGAGGAGGGGTCTGCTCCCAGCTCTCAGATCTTGTCTTTAGAACGAGTGCCAGTTAATTCCCAAGTCTGAATCCTACTCATTGATTCAGGACAGCAGAAAAACTCCCACTTCCCACCCCTGTTTCTGGAAATGACCACAAGCCTGGCTACAGGGCGACCGAGACCATCATGGGTGGACTACGCACGTCCAGCTCTTAGTGTGGTCTCCGTGTCTCGGTTTTCTCTTTTGACTTCTCTTTTGGAGCTCTTGGTTGAGACACTTGGTGAGTGTGGACTTTTAAGGTAAACTCTGAGCTGACCAGGACTGGCTGGTTGGTCTCTTGGGTGCTATGCAGTCACAGAAGCAGGTAATCAAAGAACAAACAGTCCTGTGGTGTTTGGAGTCTCCCTTGGCTACCGCCAAAGCCTCTGTTTGATTTCTTGCATGGCAACAAAACCAGGAGGGGAAGCTGAGTGGCTTCTGGAATAAACTTTGGGTGTGAGACGGGATTCAGGCTGTGGCTAATGTGCTGGAAGCACGCACAGTTGTGACCATCAAGTATGCAGGAAGCAATCATTCTCCTGGCTCTCCTGGGTGCCATGTCAGGTAGGAACTCAATTTTGCTTTGGAACCTTGCTTGCCTACTTGGTCTGCATAATACCATTGAATGACAATGTCCCCCAGAAAGGAAATTGCCCCTGGGAGGCTTGTTCAATTGAGGGCTTAGCTGCAGTAATGAATGAGGTGATGCCGCTCCAGGGAGCCCTGGGGGACCAGGTAGGAGCCCTGGAAAAGAGAGATGCTTAAAGAGCCTAATCTAATCTATGTTGGTGTAGACTTCACTTTCCCTCTTGGGTTAACTGGCCTGCATTTGGTAGTCCTCCTGAGATTTAAGGTTGGGAAAATAGTGTTCATAGCAGAGCTTTGTGAGTATGTCAAGTGAGTCTTTGTGGAGATTCTGGCCCTTTTCTGGAGGCTCGTAGGGCAACTTGAGGTTGACAAGTGATCCTTTGAGGAAAGTGAGTTACTGAGGGGGTGTCTTCCTCTTGAGCAAAGAAAACACCTTCTGATAGAAGGGTCAAAGACTCAAGCTAGTGATCATTTTACTCTCTCTTCCTCATTCAAGGGCATCAAGAATCTTAGATGATCTTTTTAATGTCAGCTTGGATTATTGAAATTGAGATTTTAAAATTAAATTTTATTTCTGAATAGGTAGTATATGCATAATATATTGAATTTATGTTAAATTTGCAAATTAATTTAGGGATAATTTACATCTTTGACAAGTTATGTAGTAAAATACTTAGAAGAGTGTCTGAGTACATAGTAAATGCTTAGTAAATGTTAGTGAGTATTATTTATGATCTTGAGTCTTCCTAATCCAAGAACAGGGTTCTAGATACTTGTTTGAGTCTTCATTTGTTTTTCTTAGGAGTATTTTGAGGTTTCCTTCATATAGATTTGGTACATTCTTATTATGGTTATTTCTAGTTCTTTTACTTTTTCTTTTTTTACATTTGTAAATGGAATCTCTTCTTCCCTACATCTTTCAACTGATTATTGTATGATGTATGGAAATCTGTTAACAAATTATCTTATTATTTGGCATGGTTTTTCAGGTGATTCTCATGAATTTTCCACGTTTGAAAAAATGAACATTTATATTCTTCTTCTCCTATGTCTATAGCTCCTATTTTTTTCTTATCTAACTGCCAGGCCTGGACATTCTGACCATTATTAAATAATGACAAGAGTGTAAATTCCTGTCTTGTTTCCCATTAAGCATGATGTTAACTTTTGGTGTGAGAGAGAAATGTTTTATATGTTAAGGAGGTGGCTTTTATTCTTATTAATATAAGAATATTACAGTATTTATTTCTAAATAAAAATATAATAAAACTAAATGTAAGAATATTCAAGTACTTATTTCTAAATAAAAATGGATTTTTAAATCAAACGCTTTTTCAAGATCTATGAAAATGACCATTTAATTTTCCTCTTCGATCTGCTAATAAGATAAATAAATAACTGGGTTTCCTAATATTGAGCCCTCTTCTATCTTGGGCTTTTCAACTCAGCAGAGGGCAGGATGACCTGTGAATGTGAAGTGGGCCATGAGCAGTTCAGACTGTCACTTGAAGTAAACATTTCAGATTTCCCCCAGAAATATGGGCTTTTAGGGCCACAATCATTTGAGTCGAGGTGACTTTTATTGTCACTGGGGAAAGAGTGAGGTTAGGAAGAACCCAATTTCTTATACTGAACACTATCATTTGGAATTTTATCAGAAGTGTGAAAGGGATAGATCACAAAGGTTTGCAAGAAATACTTGAGATTTCTTATTTAAAACACACAATAGAATCCCTTAGGTCAAATCTTGTTTTTGGAAGGGCTACTGTGACACAAACTGTTTCTTTTGTGAGTCTGAGAACCTGGTCATTACCCTCACACTCCAACACCTGGGCTACAGAGGCTTCTAGCGGGGCAGCCACATCAGCACCCCTTCAGGCTGTTGGAAGCAGGCATCACTATAATAATCTCAAATAAAGTAACATACAGTAAAAAATTAGCAGAGCATGAAGACGGGTGCCTATAATCCTAGCTACTCAGGAGGCTGAGGCAGGAGAATCGCTTGAACCCAGGAGGCGGAGGTTGCAGTGAGCTGAGATTGCGCCATTGCACTCCAGCCTGGGCGACAGAGTGAGACTCCATCTCAAAATAAGTAAATAAATAAAGTAACATAGAGTATCCTCTTTCCTTTCATGTGTTCTAACTCCTATGCTTCCTTCAAGGCCCAACTCAAGCCCCACCCCCCCCCATGGAGTCTTCCTGGATTGACCTAGCTCCTGGGGAGTGCTCCTGCTGTTGCACCCTGGAGCTCCTCTTGCCTGCACATGGACTGCCTGCAAAGAGTTCAGTCCAGCACCTAATGCAGATTCAGTGCTCAGCCAAAAGTAGCATGAGCTATCATACTGTAATTCATCTGTTATATGGCCATTTCTGCCTCCTCAACTAGAATGTCAGCCCTGCAATAACAGATTTCATATATCTTATTGCTCATTGTCCCTGTGTGCCACATATATAGAGGATATCCAATACATATTTGCTGTTTTTATTTTTATACTTTTTGAGTCTGGTATGGTTTTTTCCCCACATTTACTGATACACCCCAAATGTAGAGCTTTAGATCTTCTTCCTGCTTGATATTGACATTTAAATTCACTTCTGTCCTTTCCACCTCCTATGAAGATGAGTTTCCCTTTGTGAAGCTATAGTGCCTATTCCACCAACAGCTTACAAAGGGAGGCTCTACAAGAATATAAACTAGACAAAACTTTCAACTGCCCCAGTGGAAAGAGTTGAGACAAAGCAGTCATCTGGCTCCATCAGTCCCAAAGGATCACATGTGAGTCCCAGAAGATGAAGGACATAGAGAAGGACCCTTGGTATTTTTAAATCCACTGCACATGGAAGCTGTCTATGTTTTGAAGAAGCATCCAAGGAACCAGCTTTTGTATTACCCTCCTGGAAATGAAAAATGCCAGGGTATTTAATGAAAGAAGGGATCCTTGGGAGCCAGAAGATTCACATGGACATGAAAAGGTACCAAACCCATCCAACTGAGTTTGTCCGCAAGCTCTGGGCAAGAGGCAATCACAGCTTTCTTCAGCCCATCATCTGTGCGTGGTTCTCTGCTAGCCAGTGTTGGCAAATCAAACAAAGGCCCAAGACTGAGTTTCTTATTCTCCTTGGTAATTAAAATGTAAATGCTTCTTAATGCTCTCATCATATGAAAAGGCTGGAAGATGCAATCCATTTCTAGAAAGTCTTTCTGTCAGCCAATTAACCCTATGTATCAGGCCCAAAGAGTGTTGCAAGAGGTTTCTACTTTTTCCGTCATGTCACTTTCCTGTTCAGAGTCACCTCAGAAGAACAAAAGACAGTCCCTTCTCTCAGCTCTTCCTTGCCCATGGCAACCTCACCCCCAGTGCAAGCAGTCAGGCAGTCACTGGAATCCATCCACTTTCGCCTCCATGTAGTTGGAAGAGATTTGAAAGAAACAAGCCTTTCTCAGGCCCACCCCATAGTGATGCTCTAAGATAAACACGTCTGTTTCTTGCCAGTTATGACCTAGCTGGTGCAAAATTAATCTTGGTTTTTGCCATTGAAAGTAATGGTAAAAACCACAATTACTTTTTTTTTTTTATTATTATACTTTAAGTCCTAGGGTACAGGTGCACAATGTTCAGGTTTGTTACATATGTATACATGTGCCATGTTGGTGTGCTGCACTCATTAACTCATCATTTACATTAGGTATATCTCCTAATGCTATCCCTCCTCCTTCCCCTCACCCCATGACAGGCCCCAGTGTGTGATGTTCCCCTTCCTGTGTCCAAGTGTTCTCATTGTTCACTTCCCACTTATGAGTGAGAACGTGCAGTGTTTGGTTTTTTTGTCCTTGCGATAGTTTGCTAAGAATGATGGTTTCCAGCTTCATCCATGTCCCTGCAAAGGACATGAACTCATCCTTTTTTATGGCTGCATAGTATTCCATGGTGTATATGTGCCACATTTTCTTAATCCAGTCTATCATTGATGGACATTTGGGTTGGTTCCAAGTCTTTGCTATTGTGAATAGTGCCACAATAAACATACATGTGTATGTGTCTTTATAGCAGCATGATTTATAATCCTTTGGGTATAACCCAGTAATGGGATGGCTGGGTCCAATGGTATTTCTAGTTCTAGATCCTTGAGGAATCGCCACACTGACTTCCACAATGGTTGAACTAGTTTACAGTCCCACCAACAGCGTAAAAGCGTTCCTATTTCTCTGCATCCTCTCCAGCACCTGTTGTTTCCTGACTTTTTAATGATCACCATTCTAACTGGTGTAAGATGGTATCTCATTGTGGTTTTGATTTGCATTTCTCTGATGGCCAGTGATAATGAGCATTTTTTCATGTGTCTGTTGGCTGCATAAATGTCTTCTTTTGAGAAGTGTCTGTTCATATCCTTCACCCACTTTTTGATGGAGTTGTTTGATTTTTTCTTGTAAATTTGTTTTAGTTCTTTGTAGATTCTGGATATTAGCCCTTTGTCAGATGGGTAGATTGCAAAATTTTTCTCCTATTCTGTAGGTTGCCTGTTGACTCTGATGGTAGTTTCTTTTGCTGTGCAGAAGCTCTTTAGTTTAATTAGAACCGATTTGACAATTTTGCCTTATGTTGCCATTGCTTTTGGTGTTTTAGACATGAAGTCCTTGCCCATGCCTATGTCCTGAATGGTATTGCCTAGGTTTTCTTCTAGGGAAAAACCACAATTACTTTTACACCGACCTAATATAATGTACAGAATCACTAGTTGAATCACCTTTCCTTCTGTGTCCTATAAAGGGCTCTTTTCTGTTAATCTTGCTTGGCCTGGATTGTTCCTTGTTCCTCCCAAAAAAGGGGGTGGGTGAACATCTCATTCAGGAAGAGGTATATATTGTGGAAATTAAAGAAATAGGAAAAAGTTGCATATGTTGAAACAACATTTGACAATGCTTTATAGTTTACTGAGCATATGCATTTTCTTTTCTTTCTTTCTTTCTTTTTTTTATTTTTTATTTTTTTGAGATGGAGTCTTGCTTTGTTGCCCAGGCTGGAGTGCAGTGGCGTGATCTGGGCTCACTACAACCTCCACCTCCCAGTTCAAGTGATTCTCCTGCCTCAGCCTCCCAAGTAGCTGGGATTACAGGCAGCTGCCACCACACACTGCTAATTTTTGTATTTTTAATAGAGGTGGGGTTTCACCATGTCGGCCAGGCTAGTCTCAAACTCCGGACCTCAGGTGATCCACCTGGTTCGGCCTCCCAGAGTGCTGGGATTACAGGTTGAGCCACTGTGCCTGGCCGAGCATATGCATTTTCTTATGTGGCATCTGTGCTGTGAGAATAAGTTTCCATAGGCCTGATATTAGCCTGAATTTTTCTGCTGAAGTTCGTGAACCACACTGACCCCTAGTCAAGGCATGAAGCATGCTGATTAATAGTGTTGCTTTGGCTAGGTGCGGTGGCTCACGCCTGTAATCCCAGCACTTTGGGAGGCTGAGACGGGCAGATCATGAGGTCAGGAAATTGAGATCATCCTGGCTAACACGGTGAAACCCAGTCTCTACTAAAAATACAAAAAGTTAGCCAGGCGTGGTGGCGGGCACCTGTAGTCCCAGCTACTAGGGAGGCTGAGGCAGGAGAATGGCATGTACCCGGGAGGCGGAGCTTGCAGTGAGCAGAGATCGCGCCACTGCACTCCAGCCCGGGGGACAGAGCGAGACTCCGTCTCAAAATAAAAATAAAAATAAAAAAAGTGGGCCGGGCGTGGTGGCTCACGCCTGTAATCCCAGCACTTTGGGAGGCCGAGGCGGGCGGATCACGAGGTCAGGAGATCGAGACCATCCTGGCTAACACGGTGAAACCCCGTCTCTACTAAAAATACAAAAAAAAATTAGCCGGGCGAGGTGGCGGGCGCCTGTAGTCCCAGCTACTCGGGAGGCTGAGGCAGGAGAATGGCGTGAACCCCAGGGGGCGGAGCCTGCAGTGAGCCGAGATTGCGCCACTGCACTCCAGCCTGGGCGACAGCGAGACTCCGTCTCAAAAAAAAAAAAAAAAAAAAAAAGTGTTTCGTTGTAACCGTGGGTCCTAGGAGTTTCTGAATGGTTTGTAGCAGCTTGTAAGCGTTGTTTATTGATAACAGTGGGATTGATTATTTGCACCTGGTCTCAACGAGGACCTTCTGTGGGTTCTGCCGTTGAGGCCAGTTATAGAACAAGAATATGCCTACAGCAAAATAGAAAAAAATCCCAGTAAAGACTCCATAATTCCAAGATATTTGTGCATACATTGGCTGTTCCTGATCCAAGACAGTGCATTCTTCCGTCCCATAGAGAAAAGACAACAGTAAGAGCCTAGCCTGCACCTGGCCTCTGTGGATCTCCTGCTGAGGCAGCCTTCAGCTGTAGTGCATATCCTTACTTTCATGTTGTTGCTATGCTGTATCCGTTTTCTGTAATAAAACTGTAGATTTATAAGCATTGTCACTTGGGTCCCATGAGTCTTCTTTAGCAAAGGAACCCTGTTTAGTGGCTACTGTTAATGTAGCACCATAGCCCTGAGAGACAGAGTTGACAGGAACCCCCAGAGAAGTCAAGGGACCAGCCTAAGGTCACACAGTCAAGCAGTGGCAAAGCTAAGACTTGAAGCCAGGGGTCTGATTCCAAATCTCTCGTTCTTTTCACAGAACTGATTTTGTTCACTGCTGTTTGATTAGGTACTAGAGAGAATGAAGAGGTAGCTATTGAGTGATGGTCTCAGGGAGTCCTGCTCTGTGTATTGAAAGCAGAGCTCTAAGTTAGAGCAGCTACACCCCAAGAAGAAGATGGCATCACCCCACATTCTTGACCCGCATCTCCACTTTCAGTGTCAAAGGTCCAGGGTGGCCAACTTCCTCCTCTCTGAGACTGTGGAAGGCTTAATTATCCCAACATAGGCTCCCAGGGAAGCCCCATTGGTCCATTTCTGGAGAGGCAGTGATTCAAGGGAGACAAGTGAGCACATCCTGCATCCAGATCTTAGCCACAAGCAAGATGTTTCAGTGGGCGCCATGGCTGACAATAAATCTTTTGCATGCTCTTTCTTTTCCAAAGTACGTGCTTCAAGCAATTCTAATTTGATTCTTAATTAAGATGCATGTGTAAGTCAAATTCCATTAGAGCCTCCTTCTTGCTCTCTAGCACTCAGACCACCAAAGAAAGCCTGGAAGACCAGCCATGGAAGGAAAGTATGCGGTGTTTTAGGGAGAGCTGGCACCTGGCCTCTAATCTTCCCTCTGCCATTGACCAGATGGGTGCCTTTGGATACATCACTTAAGCTTACCTGTATAACAGATGGGTTTAACATTTTGTGAATATTGTATCTTATTCATTACTCTATTTTTAGGGTATGGACCCTAGTCACTTATTATCCTTGCTATTGCTATTATTACTACTACTACTTCTTTTACAAATAGCAATAGAGCTGGAGAAACCGGATTTTGAATTAAGGTCAGGAGAACCCAGCTTGGCTATCTTTTTAAAAAAATCAGTATCCCCAGCACTTTGGGAGGCCGAGGCAGGTGGATCACAAGGTCAGGAGATCAAGACCATCCTGGCTAACACGGTGAAACTCCGTCTCTACTAAAAATACAAAAAAATAGCCAGGCATGGTGGCAGGTGCCTGTGGTCCCAGCTGCTCAGGAGGCTGAGGCAGGAGAATGGCGTGAACCCGGGAGGCAGAGCTTGCAGTGAGCCAAGATCGCGCCACTGCATTCCAGCCTGGGAGACAGAGCGAGACTCCATTTCAAAAAAAAAAAAAAAAATCAGTATCCCTAGGACTGCCTAGGTCTGCCTCAAAGGACTGCCTAGGACTGCTAGGTCTGCCTAGGTCTGCCTCAAAGTTTTAAGGATTCATTTGCATGACCCTGGCACACACGGCCTTGCCCTGGGAAGAGAGGCCACCTGAAAAAATGTAGATCATTTCTAGCAAGAATATCGGCAGAAAGGGCATATCCAAGGACAGTCTGGCTTTCACCATACATGGGACAGGCGGTTCCCAATAAAAATTGCTTGAGAGTCACTGGCTATATCCACTTCTTCAAAAATATCTCTCACTGCCATTCAAAATATGACCATTCAAGGAGGACGATAAAAAACACTCTGATTTAAGGAGACATCATGGAGCTGTCCTTGGAGTCAGATGCCTAGGATTGGAATGCTGGATCTTTCATGGAATTAGTCTCTCAGACCCAGGAATTATCAAAGTTATGATCAATTCAAGAAAATCAGTGGATATACTTCTAGCAAAGCAAACCAGGAGCTATCAGCAGGCAATATTTGGGGAGCATGGCTTCTCTACAGTCCCCAGCTCCCCAAAGGAGCTGCACTAAGGTTGGGAGGCACAGTGATCTCTCCACTCGGGGTGAGGCTGTGGAGAGCCCTGAGTGGAGCTTAGCAAGTCCCTTCTACCTGAGCTCACACCACGCTCACACTCCAGCACAATTCTTCGTGTTGTTCCAGAAACAGCCTCTTACAAATCACATCATCAAGATCTAACATCCAGGTTAAAGGTCAATTTCTTACCAGCCCCCACAGCCATGTTGTTGCAGTGTCCCAGGGTGACTGAATAACTATGATGCATCCTATGTGCATGGTCATGTGACAGGCATGGAGTGACCGACTGTCTGTAGTAGGTATGTGTAGTCTGTTAGGTACAAGATCCAGATACCATGAGCCAGGGCCCTCCATGACTGTTCCCTGAGTGGTATAATCTCAGATGTGTGCAATGGTGACAGCAGTATAATCTCAGATGTGTGCAATGGTGACAGCAGTATAATCTCAGATGTGTACAATGGTGACAGCAATACCTATGTCGGAGGATTGTGCTGGGATTAAGGGGATCAGGCAGTCAAGGAGCTAGCATGATGCCAGCTGAGCAGGTGCTTGATAAATGAAATGGGTACTTATTTTAGTCTATTCGTTTGGGCTAGGCACGATCTTACCCTAGGCTATTATTGAGAAAAACATAGCAAGTTCTAACTTTGCTTGTTGCCTGGAGGGGCACGAGTCACTGGAGAGGGTTGGAGGGGGCAAGGGAAGAATATGGGTGAGAATGTGGGCATCCCATGAGACAGATTGCCAACTTTCCATTTCCTGTACAGCTGTCCTTGTCTTGCTAAACAGTGAGGGAACACTCTCATGAACAGCTCAGAGAGGTATGCATTTGCGAGAAAAGAGAATGGGAGGGAATTATGCCCCAAATACCCAACCCATCAAAGCAATAGAGTATTTTGCTCATTTTGAAAAACTGTTTTTGAGAGCTTTGTCTCTAAATACTCCAACCATACTCTTTCACTCCTGGTTTTTACCATAAGAATGCTATAATATCAAAGTCAATTGTAATAGATTTTTAAAAATCTATTCATATTCGCATCACCCTAAACTTCAGCTGTTTTGATATTTCTGAGTCCTTGCACAGTCCTTGTCCATAAAACTTGATAATTCTGCGAGCGACAATAACTTATGCATTATGCATTTTAGCCTCTAAACTAAATAAGATGACTTTAGATTTTAAAAGCTTGTATCAGTGAATGTGCTTATATTTCAATTTTTTCCTCTTTTCCATTTACTCCTCTGCACTCACCCCACCCCGCACCAACTGAAATAAAACATCCTGGTTTGTTTGTTCCTAGAACATTTATACCTTTCAGTGGGACAGAACCTTCTACTGTCCCTACCCACTCCGTGCCTCCTACTTGTTCAGGGTTTTCTTCTCAGGGTCTGATGGTGGCTGAGATTGGGAAGCTGGCTGGGAAGGGGGACCTGTGTAAATCTTGGCTCTGTTATTTATTATTTGCTGTGTGGATTTCAGCTCAGTTTCCCCATCTGTAAAATGACATTAATACCTGTCTGAGAGGAGTGTTTGAGGAGTAAGTGAAATACAGGATTTTACATTTTGCACTTATTTGTAACATTGGATAAATGATCATTGTATTCGTTTCCTAGGGCTGCTGTAACAAACTATCACACAACAGAAATTTATTCTGTCACAGCTCAGAAGACCAAAAGTCTGCAATCAAGGTGTTGGCAGTGTTGGTTCCTGCTGGGGGCTCTGAGGGAATATCTGCTCCATGCCTACCTCCTAGCTTCTGCGTTTGCTTTCCATTCCCGGGCTTGTAGCTGCATCACTCGTCTCTGCCTCCATTATATCATGGCCTTTTCCCCTCTGTGCGTGTCCTGTCTTCTTATGAGGACACTGACCACTGGATTTAGGACCCACCCTCATGCAATATGACTGCCTCTCAACTAATTACACCCATGAAGACTCTATTTCCAAATAAGATCATTCTTGGCTGGGCATGGTGGCTCACGCCTGTAATCCCAGTATTTTGGGAGGCTGAGGCAGGTGGATCACTTGAGGCCAGGAGTTCAAGACCAACCTGGCCAACATGGTGAAACCTCGTCTCTACTAAAAATACAAAAATTAGCCAGGCATGGTGGAGCACACCTGTAATCACAGCTGCTTGGGAGGCTGAGGCATGAGAATCGCTTGAACCCAGGAGGCAGAGGTTGCAGTGAGCCAAGATCTCACCAGCCTGGGTGACAGAGTAAGACTGTCTCAAAAAAACAAAAACAAATAAGGTCATTCTGCAGTTCTGGGTGGACATGAATCTTTTGGGGACACTGTTCAACCCACAACAGTAATTATCATTATGGAAGGCTGAGAGAATACAGCTTGTTCCTTTTCTCTGCACTGGCAAAGTCTTGTAGTGTTGTGCACCTTAGAATGGTCCCAAGGCTTTCCTGGAAGAAATGTGCTTTCTATTAAATTGTAAAATTCCCTGCCTGTAAGGCAGCCCAAGGCAATTCACATGCCATCCCTGAGCCTCTTGTTTCCTCCTCTGTGGAATGGTTGTTAATCTACCAACCAAGAGGTACTGCTTGGCCCTCTGCATGATGCCTACAGAGTCCAATAATAACCAAAAATTGTCCTTGAGATTACTAATGGACTTGGAGAGATTTACCATGATTTTGGTGTTCTCCAGTCATGCACACTCAATTCTCAGATGACCTCTAGATTGCTGACGCAGAGAAGGAAAACAAACTCTTGTAAGCTACAGGGCCCTGGCAAGAGAGAAGATGACATTATGAGGCAAGTTTCTTTAGGCGGATGTCTGTCTCCTAAGGTGTCACAGTTCTCTTTCCCTGCTCTTCCCAAAGGCTGGGAGAAAAGAGAAGGGAAGCAGGGAGACAAGAGAAAAGCAGCAGCTTTATTTACTGAGTGACAGAAGCAGATTTCTTGGTTGTTTGGTGGTGGTTGTTTTCTTGGCTCCCAGAAGATCTCACATATACATTGCCAGCACTTGGCAAGAGCGTTTGTTCTCGGGGAGTGACCAGCTCTCATCGTCACCCTGAGCTACGAATTGAAGCCACAAACCAAGCTGTTAAGTCCCTGTTCCCAGCAAAAGGCTTTGTGTTCATGTCATCCTGCACCCTTTTTACTCCACAGGGGGAGAAGCACTACACCTAATCCTCTTACCTGCTACAGGCAATGTGGCAGAGAATTCTCCACCTGGGACTTCAGTGCACAAGTTTTCTGTGAAGTTATCAGCATCATTGTCACCTGTGATCCCAGGATTTCCCCAGATAGTCAACTCAAATCCCCTCACTGAAGCTTTTAGGGTGAATTGGCTGTCAGGCACCTACTTTGAGGTAAGTAACAACTTACCAACATGAGTGTTGCCTGCAAAGAGGTGATCCTGAAAATGAGGGTGGATGGGATGCCAGATCAGTGATTAATTCCTCCATCTGGTTTAATCTTCCCTCTTGTAAGGTCCAGGAGTCCTGTCTGAGGCATCCCAGGGCCTTCTGTGCTAAGATGCTCGTGTAGCCTTTGGACCTTCCCCACTCCATACAGTTTACATAAGCATTATGCTCAATGTGTTGCAAATAGAGAGCTGCTTCTTATGGCCTCCATCCCTCACATGACATCAGGTGTTTGGTGTGCCTACAGTATCTAAATTCTTTCGGTGGAGTAGTTTGGATATTGATCTCCCTAAAAGCCATGCCCTGATGTACTTGTGTCTAGTGATTCTGCTTTCCTATGAGTCTGATTTTTTCAGAAGATAATCTAAGAGGAGACTTATTTAATTAAAAAGCCATACACCCTTTAACAAAAATATAAGTCTAAATGTCCAGCCCTACCATGTGAATGTTTCCTCTTGGATAATTCAGAGCCAACCATTGACATTCAAGAGGCATGCCTCTGCTGCTCTGTTTTCTAGTTTGTCATTTGAATCTTTTCCAAAGCTGTCACTTCCCTAAAGTGGGGACAAGCCTGCTTCTTGCATGCTTTCCACTGGTAACCGCAGAGGCCTTCTAAGGTGTCTTTAGGGTCCCATGTCTGGATCTGCCTATGTTTCAGTATTCCCTGCCCCCACCTCCTTCCTCAACTGTCCTGGGAACTTCCTGCTGTTATCATCAGCTCTGCCATTGGTCCAACCTGCCATTCCTCTGGGTCCTGAGTCAGGGTTGCTTCCCTGAGGTTCCCATTACGTGTTCTTAAACTCAGCTTATCATTAGTCACTAGGAGAGCTTTGAAAAAGCATGCATATTGGGGCCCTGTAGCAGACCTGCGGAACCCATGACTGGAGGCCAGAGCCCAGATTTCCGGTATTCTCATCACCCTGGGGGAGCCCTCGGGGAGGTAAGGAGCACACATTCAGTCAGTCTACATTGCAGCATGCGGTTTACATTCCTGGGTCCCAGATGCTGGTTCTGTGACTGAACTGCCCTGTCTACTGACTCCCTAGACATTCAGCTTGTCTTTAACAGCTGCTGCTGCTCCTTGGTTCCTGTAAGCCTTGTCAATTGCTTACCCTTATAGAGCACGTTGTGTACACTGGGTACTGTTGACAGTGCTTTGCGTGTGTTTGCTTTTCTAGTCTCAAAACATAAGGATTGTATCCATCTTATTACCTCCTTTTCACAGATGGGGAAAATGACGCACAGAGAGATTAGGTAATTTGCCCTGGGTTGTACAGCTAGTAGGTAACTAAGCTGAGAATGGAAGCCAGGCAGTCTGGCTCCAGTGCTCTCATTTTAAAAAACAGCTTTATTGAGTATAATTCACAGAGCATATACTCCAGCCATTTAAATTGTACAATTCGGTAGTTTTTAGTATATTCACAGTCATGCAAGCATCACCACAATCTAATTTTAGATTATTTTCATCACCCCAAAACAAAACCCTGTACCCATTAGCAGTCACTCAGCTATTCCCTTATCCCTCCAATCCCTGGCAACCACTAATCTACTTTGTCTTTATGGATTTTCCTATTCTGGACATTTCCTATGAATGGAATCATTATAGTATGTGGTCTTTAATGACTGACTTCTTTCCCTTAGCATAAGGTTCCAAGGGTCACCCATGTTGTAGCCTGGATCAGTACTTCATTGCTTTTTATGGCTGAATTATATTATGTTCCATATTTTGTTTTTTCATTCATCAATTGACAGACATTTGGGTTGTCTCCACGTGGGAGTTCTCATCCTTAGCATTTATGGTCTACAGCATTTAGTGATGAAGATGATCATGTTCCTTTGAATTTGCATAGAGGCTCCAAGGCACATTCACATACCTGATCTCTTTTTTTTTTTTTTTTTTGAGATGGGGTCTCACTATGCTGCCCAGGCTGCACTTGCATTCCTGGGCTCAAGTGATCCTCTCGCCTCAGCCTCCCCAGTAGCTGAGACTACAGGCACTGCACCACCACACGTGGTTTCATCTCTTGATTGTTACAACATTAATATCACTATTTAGAAATGTTTTATTCCTGTTTTAGATATAACAGAGACCCAGCAAGTTTAAATGATTTATCTGAGATCACATAGCCGTAAAAGGTGAAATAAGAACTTCATTCAGTCTCCTGATTTCCAGTTCCAGGCTTTCTGTCATATTGCCATGTATGTCTATCGCTGTTTGTGTGAGCTCTCAACTCTTTCTTCAAGGGACCTGCTCTTCCCACATTCTGTGGGATTCAAGCAGGGCTGTTAATCAAGGAAGAATTCCATCCTGTTCCTAACCTCTAGAAATGGCAGATTGCTTAGCACCTCAACTCATCTAGGCTCAAGTGTTTGGTGTATTGTCCTAGTCCTGTGCCCTCCTTGCATCACATCCCGCAGCTGCGTACAACCCTGTGTTGGTACTAAGATGGGCCACAGTTTCACAAGTCATGAAGCTGTTCTTAAGAACTGATTGCTTCTCCCCAGAAACTACCCAACGTCCTCTACCATCCCTCCAAGAAGATCCTACTCTCCAACCGAAATTGCTCACAAGAGTTACTCCTGCAGCCTTCCAGACATGAAAATCTCCATGGCAGAATCTGGCCCCTCCTTGGATAGCCTTGACATTCTGGAGGATGGCGAGTCTGGGTCACCATTTCTTGTGACTCATTTGTACTTTCTGGGGGTAAACTCCAAATCATGCAAGAGGCCAAGCCTCCCTGCTTTGGGACACAGCTATTGAGACTTCTGGTGGTGCAGGGGGTGGTGAGGAGGAGTAATGATAATAATGAGGAGGAGGATGCTAACATTTCATTTACGGGGCATTTACCATATGCCAGGAATTTCCCTAAATATTTTGTGAATGCATTTATTTAATCCTCATAAGAATGCTATGAAGTGGTGTACTGTTGCTTGCACACTGAAGGTGGGAAAACTGAGGCATAGAGAGGTTGAGCAACTTGCCCAAGTTCACATAACTAGGAGATGGCAGGCTTGAGATTTGCAATCAGGTAGGCTGCCCCAAGAATTATTGTTCATAGCCCTCATGCTGCGCTGGTTTGCTACTGCCCAGCAAGAGGGATGTCCTCATTCAGCCACTTGTAGCTAATCATAGGTCAAGGGTGTTTTCCTGGAGCAGCACCAGAAGCATAGCTTAAGAGGCCAGGGAAGAGTGACTGCCAGCTGGCTGCGGAGAGAGGGGCTCTCTGAAGTCCTGTGGAGGCCAGCACCTGCCCCTCTTTCATTTGTCCATCTCTGAGCTTGACTCCCCTCTTTTCCCATCTACTGTCGTGAGCACTGTGGCCTACAAATGTGCTCGGCCTTATCCAGAACAACCTCAAATTTAACATGCCTAAAGTGAAACTTACTGTCTTTCACTAAAACTCTGTAGCAAGGTTGCCCACAACCAAATCGAGGGTCCACCACTCCCAGCTATGACCTTAGGAGAGCTCCTTCCCCTCCCTCTCCTAGCTAATCTCCTTAAATGTGAAATGGAGGAAGTTTTACCAACCTATGGTCATTGTGACAATCAAATGAAATACTCCACAGAATGACTTGGCAAGTCTGGCACATAAATGCTCAATAAATGCTGGTAACAACAACAACGAGAACAGTTTTTCCATTTGTGTTGAGAGCAACCCCATTCTTTTGGTTCCAAGATACAACATTTTTGGACCATTTTTTGACTGTTCTATTTCCTTCCTCTGGGGTGTGAGAGCTACTCCCCAAGGAGAAGAGGCTGGCAATAGGTAATACTGAGGTCAAGGATCTATCCAAGCTTGGCATGCAGGAGGAGGCTCCAGGCTTAGCAGGGAGCCAGGTTGTAAATCAGGAAGCCAGGGTGTAAATCATGAGAGGGGATCATCTCAACAGAAGTCCACCTGCTCTGGTGGACATATATTCCTTGAACAGTTTTTGACTACTTAATGATTAGAAAAGTCACCATTTGCAGAGTGTTTGCTCAGTGCCAGACAGTCTTCTAAGTACTTCCCATAGATTAGCTCATCGAATCCTCATGATAACCCAAAAAGTAGGTGTTATTATCCCCATTTTACAGATGGGAAAACTAAGGCACAGGAAGGTTAAGCAATGGGAAGGCTGGGCTTTCAAGCCAGTCAGTCTGGCTCCAGCATCTGTGTGTTTGACCCCTGTGCTGCCCCTCACTACCATGTGCCCAGCATAGAGACCAGTTCATCTACACTTACGTGGCTCCTAGGTTGCCTCTGTTCACCAGTAGACACAAGAATACCTCTTTTTCCCCCCTCGACAATCTTCCATACCCTCTCCTTTCACCACAAGTACTCATTCACATCTGTGGCCCTGTTCTCTTAACCAACCTAGAACTTGCAATGTCCAACATAATACCTACCAACTCCTCTACGAAGCCTTCCCCAGCTAAACACAGCTCACAGTGAAGTTTTCTCTCCTTCAGTTTCCATAGTAGCTTGACCTAGCTTTTTAATACCTTGTATCATTCTTCAGCTGTTTAACTAGGGCAATGATTATTTCCCTAGTTACAATCACATGGAAACAAAATCAAGGAAAGGGAAGGTGATTTTCCCAAGGCCACCCAGAAGTTCAGTGGTGGAGATGGAGTTGGAGCCAAGTTCTGTCTTCACAGCAAGATGCTGAGTGTCTCATCACCTGGCCCTAGTCATATTAATAACCGAAAGGTTCTACTGACATAATTAAGGACATACATGGAATTTAGTCCTCAATGTCCCCAGGGGCTCCGGGCCTTCTGGGAGTTCAAGGCTCTAAGTTGGTGGGAGTCTGTGCCTATAGATACGAGCAATCACAGGCTGGTCTCCAGTTGGTTTCAGCAGGACCCTCCCAACACAGACCGCCAGAGTTCCTGCTGGCAATAGCTCTAGATTCTGGTGATGTCTCTCTGGCCCTGTTCCTCGCATCCCTCCCACATCTACAAAATACTGATAGTGCAGACAACAAAAGCTCCTGACAATGGAAGAATGTGTGGAAAGGCACAAAGAAAGTGAACAGTCTGTTGATTAAGTAAATATCATTACTTACGCAGATGTATCTTTCATCTCTTGTTTATTTTTGGATGTGGCTTTGGGAAAATTAGAATGAAGTGATGAGTCAAGATATAACTTAACGGCAATCCCAGGAAAGCTTAGTATTCTTTTTTTAAATTTTTTATTTATCATGTTTAATGATGAGGTTTGTTGCACAATGGACCTGCAGCAACCTTACGCGTAATATAAGATGTGCATGGTCTTAGACCCTTGAACATCAGCATATAGATGTGCATGTATACAAGTTATGGTTCTATTTTTATTTTTTATTTATTTTTGTAATTATACTTTAAGTTTTAGGGTACATGTGCACAACGTGCAGGTTTGTTACATATGTATACAGGTGCCATGTTCTTAACAATGAGGAAATCTAACTATATTCAGGGTAGTTAAAGGATTTTTCTAGGAGCCTACCCCCAAGTAGTGGAAGGTTTTTTTTTTTTTTTTTTTTAATTTTTTTTTTTTTTAATTTTTTTTTTTTTTTATTATACTCTAAGTTTTAGTGTACATGTGCACATTGTGCAGGTTAGTTACATAAGGCTTTCCATCTCCAGTCAATTGCATCAGAAGGTCTCCTGACTATTTTTCTTTCCTAGGAAACGCAGCATCACATGCAGGAGTCCCTTTAGTGAAGTATCATAGGGCTTATGTTGGAAGGACTAAGGCAAAACAACTGGTTCCTCTGACAGTGAATGAATGCTGGTTTCCGGGATGCCAGATGCTTCCTTCCTAGGAATATCCCTTTGCAAAGTGCATGCATGCAAAACAGATCTTCTTTCACATGGTTACTAAGAATTTTGCATTTTGTTTTAGGTTGTCACCACTGGGATGGAACAACTAGATTTTGAAACAGGACCAAACATATTTGATTTGCAGATTTATGTGAAGGATGAGGTTGGTGTCACAGACCTGCAAGTCCTGACTGTCCAGGTAACAGATGTGAACGAGCCACCTCAGTTTCAAGGCAACTTGGCAGAAGGTAGGATACACCAGGATGTGCACTGCAGCCCAGACAGTGGCATCAGGGAGGGCCCTGGGGGACAGAGAGAAACAGAAAAAGTAAATAAACAAGCAGCTGTTTCCCTGGAAAAGGCAGCTGCTTAATGAGCAGGGAATAAATGAAATGTCCTCCAGCTCAACACTCCCAATAATAATGTCCAACAGTTTGCAAAGCCCTTCACAGGCAGGGTTTCTCCTGGTCCCCTCCCAGTCCCAGGGAGGAAACTGAAGCTCAGAGAGAGACCTCGAGTGGATCATTGTGGAGGAACCTGGCTGAGCTGCCCCTAGGCTCATCCCTGTGTACCCTGGTCATTGACTGGCTTGTTCATTCTCCCCATGGACTCTGACTTCTTGAGGGCAGCGTGTTTCTGCTACAATAGGGACAATGTAAGGGACCAGAGCACACAGTAACTAATGTCTTACAGGATCTCCCCCAAGCTCATGGCTTTGAGCATCATCCCTATTCTGACAACTTTCAAGTCTGTCATTTCAGTTCAGGTTCTGCCCTGAGCTGTGGCGGTCGTAACACAAACATCCACCTTTCTCACCCAGCATCTCCACTTGGATGTTTGACAGGTCAAACTTAATGTGCTTCTGAACCAAACTCCTGGCTTCCTCTCCACCCTCCACCCCCACCCAAATCTGCTTCTCCTATATCTTTCCCATTTTGGTTAGCAGTAACTCCATCCTTCCTGTTGCTTGGACCAAGCCTTGAGTCATCCTTGACTCCTCTCTCTTTCACACTTGACATGAAATCCTTTAGGAAATCTTGCCAGCTTCTAAATATACCCAGAACCTGGCCCCACCCTAGTGTCTGCATCACTACCACCATGGTCCAAGCCACTCATCCCATCTCACCTGGATTGTTGCAATGGCTGGCAGCTGGCCTCCCAGCCCCCCTGCAGTCTGTTTTCCATACTGCAGTCAGAGGGATCCTATTAAAACGTCAGTTAAATCAAGGCACTCCTCTGCTTAAAACCCTACAAGAAATTCCCGTCTCACTCAAAGGGAGTCTCCTTAAGAACCAATTAAAGGCCGGGCGCGGTGGCTCACGCCTGTAATCTCAGCACTTTGGGAGGCCGAGGCAGGTGGATCACGAGGTCAGGAGATTGAGACCATCCTGGCTAACATGGTGAAACCCCATCTCTACTAAAAAATACAAAAAATTAGCTGGATGTAGTGGCGGGTGCCTGTAGTCCCAGCTACTCAGGAGGCTGAGGCAGGAGAATGGCATGAACCCGGGAGGTGGAGCTTGCAGTGAGCTGAGATTGCTCCACTGCACTCCAGCCTGGGTGATAGAGCGAGACTCTGTCTCAAAAAAAAAAAAGAAAAAAAAAAAAAAGAACCAATTAAATCTGGCAAGCTGCCTACATTCCTTACCCTCCTACCCCTCCTCCTTTCCCCTTCTCCCCCTCAGTCCCTGTGACCCAGCCTCTGGCCCCCTTACTGATCTGCAAATGCCTCAAACATGACCCTACCTCAGCATTTTGCATTTGCTGATTCCTCTGCCTCCCCTCCTATCTCCTGGCTCTTCCTCATTTCTTTAGGGACAGGTGCAGTGGCTCATACCTGTAATCACAGCACTTTGGGAGGCTGAGGTGGGAGTATAGCTTAAGGTCAGGAGTTCAAGACCAGCCTGGGCAACAGGGCAAAACCCTATCTCTACAAAAAATACCAATATTAGCCAGATGTGGTGGCAGGTACCTGTAGTTCCAGCTACTCAGGAGGCTGAGGTGGGAGGATCACTTGAACCTGGGAGGTCGAGGCTGCAGTGAGCTATGTTTGTGCCACTGCACTCCAACCTGGGTTACAAAGCAAGACCCTATCTCAAAAAAAAAAAAAAAAAAAAATCTTGACAAGTGTCATGTCCTTCCCCGCTACAGTTAACCTTCCATAGCCACTTTATTAAAATTGTAACCCAACTCACACTTCCTTCCCCAATTTTTCTCATAATGTTTCTCACTAATATACACACATTTTCCTCAATTATTTTGCTATCCATATCTTCCCATGGAAACGGAAGTTGCATGAGAGTAAGGTTCTGTTTTGTGAGCTGCTGTATTCCCAGTGTGTAGATCACTGTTTGGACAGAGCGCTCAGTAGATATTTTTTTGAACGAAGCATGAGAGTGATAAAAAGTGAATGAAAGCTCAAGCTCAGATGTAAGGCATCTGGATTTTAATTTCGATTCTATCATTTACTAGCTAGGACAACTTCATAACTTCCCTGAGTCTCAGTGTTCTCATTTGAAAAGCACTAATTACGCTAAAAGAATAAATACAATACCTGCTTTATATTAATAGAACTGTTATGAAGATGAAAATAGAAAATGTATGTTAAGTCCTCAGCACGGTGCCCCCCAATAGAGTGAGTTACTTTTCATATTGTCCATCATCACTGGGAAGGAAAAAATGCCCGAGTGAGAGCTCTGTGGCCCCTTGGTCAGTGCTGGTACCGCCTGCTCCTCCCTCCTCCCCCATCACTGTGAAAAACTCTGAAACAGATGAAATCAGTTTTTGGTTCCTCCCTTGAGCCTCTGTAGCCCTCCCCTACTTATTCTATTTATCTCTGTTCCACTGTAAGATCCCTCATTTCAACGGCTCATTTCTGCGGAGTTGCCAAGTGTCCTTCAAGGGGTAACAGCACAGTTGAGGAGAGATTTGCACATTAAAATGGATTCAGCACATGGGGATCCTCACACCGGAGGTTCCTACCTGGGTTTACTTCCCAACTCTCTGCCCTATCACCTCCTTCTTCCCCCACCTCAAACAGCATCACCCTGGGGCACCTCTCAACAGAGGACATGAATGAAGACTTGGTACCAGCTTGGCCAACCCTAGCACTTTATGAATTACCCTAAATGGATCCATGCAGGAAAGTTGGCCAGTGGTCTTGCTCATGGATTTTTTTATTGCATTCTTGGTCCCACGATGCCAACACCCTTGGTTCCCTTGGTTGTGTACAGCTGCCTTGATTTTGGAATTCCCCATTTTTGCTTTAATAAGATGTTTCTTATTCCACTTTGGACACTGGTCTAGGTCTACACCTCTACATAGTAGAAAGAGCAAACCCTGGATTCATTTACCAGGTTGAGGCCTTCGATCCAGAAGACACAAGCCGAAACATTCCCCTCAGTGTAAGTGTCCTTATATGGAAGAGGTGGTGTTTGTCCGTGTTGGGTTAGACACAGGAGCCTGCTGTCCTGAGTCTTGGCGGGGTGAGTTTGGGCAGTGGCAGTCAGGGGAATGTGCGTCCACTTCCAAACACAGTGTATGCAGGATGGTTGGAATGAATAAAGGGGCTCTGGGGCCAGACACTCTGGAGTGGATTTGTGGCTCTGTGTGATCTAGGCCCATTTGTTACCTCTCTAAGTTTCAATTTCTTCATCTGTAAACAAAGAAGAGTACCAGCAGCTACTGCAGTAGAGAAGCTGTGAGTATTACATAGACAATGCATGTAAAACCACTTAGTGCAGTGCCGGGTGTATCAAAACTGCTCAATATTTTAAAAATCTAAGCTCATAAAAACCAGCTCTATTTTAAAAGCATAAAATGTACACCCCAAATCCAAGCATTTACCTACCTTTCCCAAGAGATGAAGCCAAGCTGCTTAGAGCCAAGTTTAAAAAATTAAAAAAGAGGCCAGATGCAGCGGCTCATGCCTGTAATCCCAAGATAGGAGGATGGCTTGAACCCAGGAGTTTGAGACCAGCCTAGGCAACATAGTGAGACCTCGTCTCTACAAAAAATAAAAAAATTAGCTGGGCATGATGGTGCGTGCTTGTAATTCCAGCTACTCGGGAGGCTGAGGTGGAAGGATCGCTTGAGCCTAGGAGTTTGAGACTACAGTGAGCTATGATCACGTCACTACACTCCAGCCTGGGCAATAGAGCAAGACCCTGTCTCAAAAAAAAAAAAAAAAAATTAAGGAGTCCCCAGAATTCTAGGTTGTAGAGCAGGAGATTGGGTCCTGGGAATTGCCTCATGATTCAGTCTGAGACAGCGGATGTCTCTTCTCTCCCTTCTTAATCAGTTTTCTTAATGTAGCTGCTAGTGGGGCAAGTATAACCACCAATCCTCAGGTGAAGCCTCTTAGTTGTTCCCTGGGAGTGGACGCCTCAGCTCCTGGCTCTGCCCACTAATGTGGCCTGTGCACACACTGCAGCTGAGCAGTCCAGGTTGGAGAGAAAAAAGAAAAAACAAAGCGAATCCCACCCCACTAACCTTGGAGCAGGAAACACTCCTGCAGACCCTGCCTTACAGAGAAGAGAATACTTGAAATATGACACTCGGGGAATTGGTAACACCAGGAGGCTGTTTCTACTGTTTGCTGCATGATTTGCAGCTTCAATTGGACTACTTTTTCTAACAGGAAGAAATGAGCCTTGGGAATACCAGGACGAATATATATAGTCTACAGACTCTGAAACAAAGCTGTTATAAAATTATTGGATACAACTTAAAGTAAGGGAATAGTCTGTTTTTATTAGAAGATGATCCTTCTGTGTAAAAAAAAAAAATCACCCATTCATTCATTAACTCATTCATTCATGTTAATATTTGCATGAATAAATGAATATGCAAACATTTAATGGGTGTCTATGTGTTAAGAGCAATACTAGGTGCTTGAAATGCATACTTCTTAATAACATACTTCTCATACTAGTTAGGAATGTGTTTGTCTGCAAATAACAAAACTTAACCATGGGCGTGTACATGGGAACTTTTTTTCTTCTCTAATAAGTCTAGAGGCAGGCAGGCAGTTCAGCACTGGTGCATCTGCTACCATCAGGAGCCTGGGCTCTTCCTATGCTTCTATTTTTCTAACCAGAGCTTGTTTGTTGGCACTGTCCTCTTTTTCTCACCTCATGATTGCCAGATGGCTGCTGCACCTCCCGGATTTACCTCAGAGTTCCATGCAAGAAAAAGAAAGAAGCAACCAGGGAGGGATACAGGATAGAGCAGGCAGGCCCAATCTGTCCCTTTTTTTATCAGGAAAACAAAAACTCTCTTGGAAGCCCTACCCAGAGGACTTCTGCTATATCTCACTGGCCAGAACTGTGCCCTATGGCCACTTTTGCTTACTGATGACCAGGGATTCTTAATGGAGATAAGGTCAGAAACCCAAAGTATAGCACCTCACTTACATATTTAGTTCATTTCAACATTTACAAAGAACTCTCTATGTGCCAGGCATCCTATTAGATACTTTGGAAACAGAGATGAGTAGGACACATTGACCTCAGGAAGCGTAAACTGAATGGCAGACATTCATGCGTAGGGGAGAAGGAACAGCTTTTCCTCACTTGTCAAAAGGTTTACAGCTGACACTCCTATAACAAAGAAGAGATTAACAAGAAGAGTAAATTAACAAATTTATTTAACCAAAGTTTTACATGACGTGGGAGGGCTTCAGAAATGAAGACCCAAAGACCCCCAGGGAAAACTGTATTTTTATGCTGAAGTTCAATGAAGAATGGGCAGTCGTGTAGAATCGTAACTGGACAAAAAGGGGTATGACATAAAGGTAATAAACTGGGGAAACTTAGCAAGGCCCTGTTTGTTCAGATTCTTCTTGGTCTCTGGTTGTAGGGTCTGGAATCCTCTAGAATCAGGTTCTTATGACCTACTTTTAGGGGTGGTAGGTCAGAGAATTCCTTTATGATCATGCTTCAGGGGAGAAAGTTGGGAGAAAGAGTGGGCTTCCTGCTTCTGAGAAGGTTTTCTTCAATTGCCAAGATGTCATATTTTGGGGTATCGTGTTCTGATTTCTGATACATGCATACACTAATTATAATCCAATATGACAATTACTATAACGTTTGTATAAGAACCAGTGGGGGAAAAGTGGAAAGAATTTCAGTTGTGAAGACAAACATATATTTGTTTTTAAATCTCCACTTTAAATGTATCTCTCCAAATTATGCAGACAGAATAAGGTCATGGCCCCTTTAAAAACACCTCCTAGATCAGGTAGCTACCCTTTCAGAGGAAGGAAAGCTGCCCAGGTAGGAAACAACTGCAGCAGGTGTTGCTCCCTTCAGAAAAAAAAATGTAGTGCCATCAAAAGCATTCTGAGAGCAGCTGCGGGGGCTTGTGGCTTCTGCAGTGAGTTGAGGAGTTGTTTGGGGAGGGGGTACTCAGAGTTGCAGCAGAAATTGTTAATGAAATATTTAACACCTGTGCTGGAACTAACAGCTGTACAGAAAGTCAACAGCCAGCCTGCAGGAGCGGTGGACATAATCTGGAAGAAAACTTTCTCAGATTAGGAAAAGGTAATAACAGTTTAGGACATAACATATTATGGCCTTTGTACTTAGACGTTTTATTCTGGGTGCTTGGGGGTACTAAGTAGAAGCAAATGACATCGTTAGGTTCGTAAAAGTAGAAGGGAGGTGGGTTAATTTGCTACTGACCAACCTGTGCTTCTCAACCTTGGCTGTAAATTGAAACCACTGGGGGAGCTTTAAAGAACACGGATGTCTGTGTCCCACCCTGTGAAAGTCTGATGTGATTGGACTTGGATATGGCCTGGGCATTAGGACTATAAAGCCCCCAGGGAATCTAATGTATGGCCAGGGGTGAGAACTGCTGGTTTGCCACATCATCTCCCAAAATTTCCAAGTCCCACTCCTGGAGTTTTCGAGTCTGAGTCTGCATTTCTGCATTGTCTGAGAACAATTTTGCATATTTGGCAAATATCTTAGGCAATTATTCTGGACGAAAAGGCTGGGAACACTGGTTTGTTTATTTTTGAGACAGGGTCTTACCTCTATCACCCAGGCTAGAGTACACTGGTGCAATCACAGCTCACTGCAGCCTCAACTTTCCTGGCTCAGGTGATCCTTCCACC
Source organism: Homo sapiens (assembly GCF_000001405.40). Lineage (NCBI taxonomy): Eukaryota > Metazoa > Chordata > Mammalia > Primates > Hominidae > Homo > Homo sapiens. Next base: position 105,988,006 of record NC_000007.14, read on the forward strand.
TCAGCCTTCCAAGTAGCTGGGACTACAGGTGCCCGCCATCACACCCAGCTAATTTTTGTATTTTTTATAGATAGGGTTTCGCTATGTTGCCCAGGCTGGTCTCAAACTCTTGGGGTCAAGCCATCCACCTGCCTTGGCCTCCCAAAGTGCTAGGATTACAGACATGAGCCACCACACCCAGTGGAAACACCGGTTTATAAGTGTTTTGCAGGCTTTAGAAGTGTGTTCAGGCATTAGAACATACTTAGGCTGATTTTAAAAATGCAGATTCCTGGACATTGCCTGAGAATGCTGAGTTTGAATACAAACCTCCCCGGTGATTCTGATGTACCATGTACTTCAAGAACCACTGGACTGAACAAACAAGGACAGAGTTTAACAAAACACTAAAGCACATGCCTGAAGCGACCTAGGCTTGGTTTGTGTCTGTCATCTTAACCTGGTGGGGTCCACGAGTCACCCTGCTGGTGGCAGCAACTAGAGAATGAATAATGGATTTTTAAAAATAGCTATAGGATGCATTTTGAAACCTCAACCCCTTTAAAATGACAAATCTTACAACTCTTCTCCAGCTTAATAAAGTGAAACTGTATCACAGTTAATGAAAAACAGGTACTAATCTGGAAGCCACTTGTATTTGCTCCCTTCTTTTTAGTGAAACTTAAAAAGCATGTGCTGGTACATTGTTTGGACCAACACTGATCAATATTGGACCGGCTCTGTCCAATAAAGCTATACTGTGAGCCAGAAATGAGTCCTGCACATGTAATTTTAAATGTTCTAGTAGCCACATTGAAAGTAAAACAAAATAAATGAAATTAATTTTAATAGCTTATTTAACTCAGTATACTCAAAATATTTCAGCATAGTCAACATAAAATGATTAATGAGATATTTTGCCTTCTTTTTCCATACTCGGTGTCCAAACTCAGTGTGCATTTTACACTTACAGATCATCTCCGTGCAGACCAGCCACATTTCAATGCTCATAGTCACACGTACGTGAGGGTAGTGGCTACTGCATTGGCCAGGCACAGGCTTAGATCTAGCATTGGTTCCCCCTTCCTGGGCACCTTCTGTGTTGTGGTGGGCATGCAGGTAGAGCCGGGGCTTGGCTTGGAGGTATGCATTAATAATGGGCTCAGAACATAGAGAAGGATGATCTGCATGTGAATAATTATTTTTACTGGCATTTCTTCTTTGGGTACCCACCCCCCCACCTCTTCTCCACTTTCTGAAGGAGGCTCTTTGAGACCACCCTCCTCCCATTCAACTCCCACACTCTCTGCTTCCCCCTCTGCTTGGAAATGGCCACCGTGACTGCAGAAGAGCCTCCTTGGAGACTCCCAGGATGTTAATCAATCTCTCAGCTGGAGGCAAAATGATCTAGTACAGCAATTTCTCCATTAAGGGGCTTTCTTTTGGCCTTTCCATTGAGGAAGGGCTTTTGCATAAAATGAAATGTGCTTTGTCTTCACCAAGGCAGACAAAGGATTAAATTAAGAGAGCAATAACCTAGCTACTACCTGGACTTTTGGGAGCGCAGCAGGGGCCATCCTTCTCTTTCTGTCTTTATCTTGCTCATAGCTCTAGGAAGTGGCAGCCAGTTGTGAGTTTTGGTTTTCCTGTGTATAAAGTGGTCATCATATGCCAGACCTGGCCCTATCAAGGGTCCCAGCTGGATGGGATCTTTCAGGTCCATTGGGCAGTCCTTGATTTCTGGATGAGGGAGGGAACTGAGGGGTCAGGTAACTCCAGTGAGAACCCAGGTCTCCTGACCCACCTCCCTTCTACTCTGTTCTGGCAAGTTCTGCCACTGGCTTCCTACCCCTTGCTTTTCTGAGTGACAGCATCCCTGTCCCCACCATACACCCCCACCTGCCCCAGTCATTCAGCTCCCCTGGTGTCTGCCTGCCAACTCAGGAGTCAGGAGTCACCACCTGAAGTCTTAGCAAAAGGCATTCTTCATTCTACTCCAGGTTCTTGTTCAAAGGCTCATAAAAGGAAAAAGCAAAGGTACTGGACAATTCCCACTCCAAATATGTGGTCACTGCTGGCTGTTTGCATGTGGGGTGGGACACTCTCAAATAGATGGGGATCATTGTTATTAAGATTAGCAAAGCCTGAATCTTGCAGCACAGAACCCAGGCCAATTATGGAAAAAGAATGACAGAATGTGAGGGCATAGGATCTGCAGCTTTATCGGTGAAGGATTACATTAATAATAGCATTTTGCATTTGTCATCGTGTCTCTTCTTAAAAACATTCAAGTACTTGCCTGTAACCCACTTAGCTCATCCTCAGAACAATGAACCACGAGCAGGAGCCACGTTAAGGACTTGCAGTGGGTAGTTTTTTAACGATAGTTTTTTTTCTTCTAGGCACTCTTCCTCCTTCCTCCTCCACGTCCCACCTCTGAGCTGAGACGAGGGTGGAATAGGGGAAAACAAAGAGAGGAATTGAGGCTTTTACAAAATATTCAGCTTCCATTGAAAAATATAGGAATGTGGCAACATATTTGTAACTTGCCACAGTCCTGAGTGCTCTGGCCCTCTGGGGTGGGTTTGGGGCCATGTACTCAGTGGCTTGTGGAGCCATTGACACTCCCTGGATGTGGGCCGAATAAGGGTCTTTCCTTCTGGAAACTCAGCCTGCGGTGGCCTGGTAGTTGACTGCTCTATTCTATAAAAGACAAGAAGCTGAATTCTTGTTGTTTGTTTCTACTGAAAGCAACTGATAGCTGCAAAGTGGCACAGGTTGAATCATTGGTCGGTGACTCCTACTGCAGTGGGGAAGCAAGCCTGGAGGTGGCGTTCCCCTCGTACCCCAGGGAGCTGACATTTCTGGAAACTGGGCCAGCTCCCTCTCACCTTCCTTTCTCCCTACACCAAGGCACAATCAAGGGTGAATGGGGCAGGAAGGATGGGCTTCTTGTCTTCCAAACTAAAGCTTTTGTGTCTGAGAGCAAACCTAGCTGCAAAGGGGCGGCAAATAGAGAAACCTGGGGTGGTGGTAAAGAAATATTCCCAGCAGGAAAACCAGAGAGCTTGTCTGACAAGCATTTGTTAACTGAATTGATCTGATTACTCAGGACTTTTCTTAGCCAGGACTGGGGGCAGAGAGGGGCTGCAGTTGCTTTTCATTCTATTTAATTTCTGTTTTCCAAGAATGAATATCAAGGGAGCAGCTTTGATTAAACAAGCCTTTAAAAAGGGGGAGAAAATGCCAGGTTTTACAGAGAGCCTTGCTGAGTCGCTGGCAAATGGCCACATGACACAATATTTTTAGTCTTTGGATATTATCTCCTCTCTAAGTACAAAACTGCTATTCCCATTAACACAGCTCTTAGGTTCAGAGAAAAAAGAAATTAGCCTGGTGTTAAAAAGAAAAAAAAAATCAAGATTCCAGGAAATCATCCTCTTCATAGAAATTAAAAAGAAAATTCTCATGTGCCTAGTTCTACAGTTCTCCACATCCTTTTTATCTGCTGCTGTTTTTCTTTTTTCCTTTCTTTCCTTTCTGCATAAGTTGTTGAGACTGTGGGCCCAACTGGAGAAGATTTTAAAGCCAAGTCTAGCATTATTACATTCAAATATTTTTAAAAAATGTTTTACAGGATGGTTTTTTGTTGTTGCTTTTTTGTTTTAAGATTCTCTAAGGTGGGAATGTTGGTCTTACTAAGATGGGAAATGAACAAGAAGAAAACCCCAATATTTAACATCGAACAAATATTTATTGAGCATCTATTATGTGCTAGTCACTAAGGATATAGCAGTGAATAAAATGAAGCCCTTTCCCTCATGGATCCCTTCTAATGGGACAGCAGTAGTTAACATTTATTGAGGGCTTGCCATGTACCAGGCATTGTTCTAGCACTTTATATGATAACCCGTGGGGCATGCCCTAGTATTATTACTCTTTGCAGGCACTCACATGGCTACAAAGTGATGAACCAGGGTTCACATCCAGGTATTCTGGCTCCAGAGTCACCAAACTTAATTTATTACCCTAATTTGTGACTCTTGTATTCCAGATGAGTCTAAGAGTCCTTCTTCTCAGTTCCCGTCATATCCTGTATGTATCCCCTTTGGAGCACCTCCCCAAACCTTTGTTCCCTCGGTTGACCATAAGATTTTGGAGTGTAGGGCCTGTCTGCATTCTCTGTATCCCAAGGCCTTACAGTGCTTGGGACCAACCAGAATTGGAGATCCAGCTCCTAGAGCATTTCAAAACACATGTGGAAGGACGCCCTGATTCAGGTACATACAGTAAATCTCCTCCCCAACCCATGAGTCTCTAAAACCCTGTCATTCTATCATATGTAGCTTAAGGTGCTGATTTATGGATATGCGAGGATTCTCTGCAGGGAAGGCTCTGCTCAAAGACAGAGGACTGCTCTGTGTGTGGGCAACTTCAGGCCTAGGCAATTGCTGTCAGGCCGTGAGCTGGAGTGTTAATGGGGGGCTTGGGATTTAAACCCCACACCTGGGAGTACTGCCAAGGTGCTTGCACAATCTGTGGGGCTGGGAGAAGGGTGCTCTGTGGCATCACCCAAATATTTCCCCTTAAAAATGAGCAGAAAACACCTAAATGATCAGCAAGAAAGATTTAGTAAAATAAACCCCTGTGGTAGGATGCTGTGCCATCGTTAACTAACCAGGCTATAAAATAAGACTTAAGAATAGGGGTAAATGCTCAAGATATAAACACAATGAACAGATATTATAATTTTGATGATAACATCATTGCTATTTTTGGAGGGTATACGTTTGCATAGAAAAGAACAGAAGGCTAATCACCAAAATGAGATTTAATAGGTGGCATATTTCATTTCTTTTTTATACTTTTCTGTCTTCCTCAGTTTTGTATAAAATATGGTCAATACAACTAGAAAAACATTATTAAATAATAAACAAAAGGAAACTTTAAAAATGGCTTAAAAACGTTATATTGGCCTCAAAGGAGACCTTTAATCTATTTTCTGTGCACACTGTCTTCTTGTGCTGGGAGCTCAGCAGCGATCATAACACAGCAAATCGCTGGGTTGGAAACCTTGGCAGGTGTTTCCTTTGATTCTAGACTTCAGGGGCTGTGGCTGTGGTTGCAAAACCTCCACTGATGATCTGATCCAGAGATCTAAGGCCTTGAGGATAGAACATCCCTCATCCTAGCAGGAAATAATGAAACCTTCTAACCTTAAAGCCCTTTGGAAGAAATGAATATAAACATGTGAGTCTCTAGCGTTGCTGCGATCCTTCATATTTTACGGCACGCATTCTCATTTAATCCTCAATAACATGAAGGAGCAATTGGTCACATCAGCCCTAAGTTATAGGCAAGAAAGGCACTTGTCCCAGATCTTGTGGTGAGGACCAGAGCTTAAGCTAGACGCAGTGGCTCATGCCTGTAATCCCAGCACTCAGGGAGGCAGAGGCAGGTGGATCACTTGAGCTCAGGAGTTCAAGCCCAGCCTGGGCAACATGGTGAAACCCTGTCTCTACAAAAAAAAATATAAAAAAAATTAGCCAGGTGTGGTGGCACACACCTGTAGTCCCAGCCACTCGTGAGGATGAGATGCAAGTATCACTTGAGCCCGGGAGGCGGAGGCTGCAGTGAGCCATGATAGCACCACTGCACTGCAGCCTGGGTGACAGAGCCAGACTCTGTCTCACAAAAAAAAAAAAAAAAAAAAAAAAAAAAGAAGAAGAAGAACTTGGACCTTGAACCAAGCTCTTCTGATCCAGGCTCTTCCCCTGTTTTCTTGACTCCATTGTGGAAGAAACAGAGCAATCCTGATGGGCTGCCATGGGTGGCACGGGCATGGTCTTCCTATGGGCTCACCCTCAGCGGGCTGTACACATAAACCTGTCTCTTCCTATCAGATCAAGGAGATCTGGGCAGGGTGTCATCAAGAGAGCTGGGCTGGAAGCCTATGATGACAAAGACTCTCAACTACCCAAAGATGTAGGAAGGACTTTCCTTATGCCACGTGCCAGGGATTAGATTTCAAAACAGCTCTTCTGAATCCCTAAACTGGCTTCCAACCTGGACTGTAAGCCCTGTTATGTTTCATTCTCAGCTCACCCTTGTCCCTTGTTCCTTCAGGCATTTCAATAACTGATGCTCATGCATTTTGCGCCCTGCTATATTGTAAGTTGTTTTTAAGGGTAGTGACCAGATCCTACTCACTTTGGTATAGTCCTATTACCTAGTGGGTAGTAGCTGTATTAAATAGGTAATAGGTATAGTCCTATTACCTAGTGGGTAGTAGCTGTATTAAATAGGTATAGTAGCTGTATTAAATAGGTAATAGGTATAGTCCTATTACCTAGTGGGTAGTAGCTGTATTAAATACACTGTATTTAAATACAGTGTTGGTTAAAGCCAAGGCATAGAATCAAAGCCAGAAGTTGTCCAGGAGTGAGAACACAGTGATAGGGATAAGAAGATTGGACTCAGAAGCAGAGCCTGCCTTGACAGGGGCCTTTTATATGCTTTCTGTAGTTAGAACAAGATCCACTCACCAGCTTTTCAGGGTGTGGTCAACCAGGGCTCAGACCAACAGAGCCAGAAGTTTCTGTATTCAAGAGCGATTAAATTGGATAACTGCTCTTTGAACCGCATCCTGATGCATCGAGAACGTTCCATGGGCTAAGAACATAAAATAGGAAATGAGCACACACATCTTCTGGGGAAGGGTGGGCAGGTGGGCTGATTTCATCAATTTTTTTCCCTTGTTTTTTAGTATTTCCTGATTTCTCCCCCAAAGAGCTTCAGAATGTCTGCTAATGGCACCCTCTTCTCCACAACAGAATTGGACTTTGAAGCAGGACACAGAAGGTAGTCTTGCTATTGACCTTGCATGAAGTACTGTTTATCTGAGGGTCAAGGAAAACATGAGGGATAGGTCACAGTGCAACCTGAGGGCAGCTGGGGGGAGCCCCTTGAGCAGTCTACAGCGTCATTGTAAGTTCAGATGGTAGTGAACCCCAGAGAGGGATGGGGAATAAGGCAATTGTCTGGGAGGCCTCTTTTGGTCTCCAGAGAACAAGAATGACAGTATGGGAGAGGGTGCCCAAGTACAAGAGTGTCATGAGCAGTGCAAGGTCAGACATAACCAGGTCCATGCACATTTGTGTCTTTCCATAAGGTCAGGTTTTCACTGATGCTACTTCAATCCTAAAAGCCATGAGCTACATGGAATTCCCAAGGAGGCAACTCTCCTTAGACCTCTTGCTAACTCAGTAGTCAGAGCACATAGGCTCAAGCCACTCCACAGGTCAGTCAGTATTGTAAACCATACATAGTATACTTCATCAGCACATAAATGTTATAAATTAAACATTCCACATCAAACAAAGTAACATTTAACATCATGAGAAAAGAGGTTAATAAACCAGACCAAGGACGGTGATGTGGACACGGAGAGTGTCTTGGCCACATCCAGATGGTCATCAATGTCTTGCAAGGAAGAGTCTTTGATTTGGGCAGATGCTGGGTGCTGATTACAAGTGACAGCAAGACAGGGTCTGTCAAGATGGCCTTGTCGAGCCGGTGAAGTCCTGCTCGTTTTATGGCCCTTGAGTCCACTGGCGAAGACTGGTAGTAAAGGATTATGCCCTTATCTGGTTGAGTGTTGTCTTTATTGATTAGGTGACCATCTGGACCCTGTTGGCTTGATGCCTTTTGAAATGGAAGATGGCATTTTTTTTCTAAGATGTAGTCATTAATGTCAAGGGTGATCTATACAAGATTTCTCAGACCCCATCTTGTTTGGGAAAGGCAGCCATCCAAGCAAAGGGGCTGATGAGGGGAAGTGGATGACAACACATTGGCCTTGGGGTGAAGCAGGTGAGGCTCCTGGCTCTGCGTCGGGTGTGGGAACAAGAGCTAGCCATGTGAGCCATGGGGGCCTCACTCCCTCCAGTGGGAGTGATATGCACTTTCCAGAGATCTTGTGAAAAACACCGGGATAGATGTGCAGCATGGCGCTTGAGCAGATGCTGGCCTGGTGGGACAATGGTGGTGAATAGCCCCTGCAGAATGAGAAGCAGCCAGCGGGTTTGGAGACGGGGGGAGAAAGGTCACCCTGCAGGCCCTGAGACTGTGGGGGCATTACGGAGAGGCTCACCACCAAAGGGGCAGGGTCTGCTCTCACTCCTCCCACCCCATGATTTTCCCCATCCTATTTTGAAGTAGTGCCAGCAAAGCTTGATTCTCTCACGTGGAATGTTTCCCTGGCAGTTTCCATCTCATCGTGGAGGTGAGGGACAGTGGAGGCCTCAAAGCCTCCACAGAGCTCCAGGTGAACATCGTGAACCTCAACGACGAAGTCCCTCGCTTTACCAGGTAGGCCTGAGGGCATGCAGGACTCCCTGGGCCGCAGGTGCGTCCTTCTTAGGCGGCCTCGTCTCCTCCGGCACATTTAATACAAGGCAGAGGGATGCCCTTTGCTGTGGCCTGCAGGAAAGATTAGAGGCACGTGCTCTTCAGAGTCTTTATCTGGGCCTCTGGACTGCTGTTTTCCACCTTTGCTGCCTCTGCCTCCTGTACCCACACATTCACATGCACCATGGGATTTTGGATATGGTGGGGAGAAGGGGTGGACACATGCCCCGGGGTGTGGCCTGCACTGTGCACATGCAGAGGGTGCTTTTAAAATAAAGTGCCGCGCTTTAGTAACAGCAGAGTCCCAGAGCATGCATCATCACTCACGACTCCCTAACGCCCGCTCCTAGTATGTTATCCTCACACCGAGGAGAGGGCTATTTTCACGGTGCCTGCCTGTTACTGGCTGCTCTAAAGTTTCTTCCTGCCATGGTGGATCCAGAAAAGTGATCCGGCTGTGTCTGGCAGCTCCTCTGTCCAGCAGAGGTGGGAAGGGTAAATGCATCGGGTGGAGGGTAGTTTGTGGAAATGTGCCTGGCACTATCCCAGGCACAAAATGAAGATCTGAGCCTATTGTAGATGGGGATTTAGGAGGAAAAGATGGGATTCTGAGCTAGTAGATGGCACTGCAAACAGCCTGGCATACTGCTTACAGAGCCTCTGCCTGCCCCAGTCCCTGAGATGGGCATAGAAGCCAGCCACAAGGAAAGGCAAAATCACCTTTAACAGCATGAACGGTTATGAATAGATTCAGCACAGGATACTCCACCAATAAAAGACCATTAGGCCTCAGAGCTGGGTAGAGGACTTGCAAAACTACTCCAAGATTGCGAGGTATTTAAGGCAACCTCACTCCCAGACTAACCTGGTGCCACTTGGCAAACACCACAATTGCACAACTTCTGGATGTTAACATAGTCTACAGTCCAGTTGCAGGTGTCAAAGAATGCGTCTGCTCCAGCCCTGCAGCCTGGGCTGCAGTTCCTTTTTCAATCCTTGACCCTCAATTTATCTGCTGCTATTAAATGGCTATGTAATGCTTTCCATCAGCACCTGATGCTGGGTTAGGTTCAGAAGGAGAGCTCAGTGCCTTTGGGCTGACAGGTGGCTCCTGGAGCAAAGTCTAGGCAGCTTATTAACAGTTATGACATCCCAGCCCGGACTCAGGCTCAGGTATGGGCCCACACAGCTCTGCAGATTCTTCAAGAACCCCCAGAGGAAGGTGATGGCTGCAGGGCTGGAGCAGATGCATTCTTTGACACCTTCCCCACAAGTCCCATCTGGGAGGAGGGGAGGAAGGTTAATGGGGTTTCAAAGGGGAAAATAATAAGTCCTCCCCAGGGGCAGAGCTTGTAAACCATCTGGTTTGGATCACATCTTCCAAAATACAGAAACTGACTTTTAGCAGAGAGAGAGAGAGAACATGACCCTCGCTGGCGTGGGATGCACCCAGAGGTCAGCCTGGAACTCTCTGGTTCTCATTTTAGGTTTGAAAGAGGAACATATTGGGCTCCATCCCCAAGCAGATAGCATGATCTGTGTGACGGTCTTTTTTTTTTTAAGTCAGTCGACTTTATTTCAAACAGCATTCCTTGGATGAAGGTGAGGGTGTGTCTGCCAGAGCCTCACTCCAAAAGAAGGAGTGGGGGCAGGGTGGCTGCCCAGGCTTGGCTCAGGCAGTCAATGAGGGTCAACCTCATCCCTCAGCCATCAAAATTTGAAAGGATTTGCTTGGTTTCAAACTACGTGCTGACTTGGAGGGCTTTCATGGTTCCCTTGAGCTTCTCAGCCTCCTTTTCCTGTAAATCAGTGCTAGCACTAACGATAACTTCTTTAATTCAGGATTAACAAAATTAAATCTTCAAACAGACTCAAGTGTACTGAGTTTGAGCCTGAAATACAAATGTAAAATGTACAGACAGCCTTTCTATCTTTACTATTTGTTAAACGCATGCAATTAACACAACCAAAGCAAGTCCTATGTCTGTTCTTGAAAATGTCTCCCCATTTTACCCCTGGTGGTGACAAATGTCAGAAAGCTTTATAGATTCAGGATGCATGCTCCAGGAGTCTGCCATTATTGAAGTTGAACATTTTATTATAAAAGCACCTGACACACCGGGTGCAGTGGCTCACGCCTGTAATCCCAGCACTTTGGGAGGCTGAGGCGGGTGGATCACCTGAGGTCAGGAGTTCGAGACCAGCCTGACCAACATGGTGAAACCCTGTTTCTACTAAAAGTACCAAAGTAGCCAGGCATGGTGGCTGTAATCCCAGCTACTCAGGAAGCTGAGACAGGAGAATCGCTTGAACCCAGGAGGCAGAGGTTGCAGTGAGCTGAGATCATGCCATTGCACTCCAACCTGGGCAACAAGACCAGAACTCCATCTCAAACAAAAAAGAAAAAGAAAAAGAAAAAAAAAAAGCACCTGACATATTTACTGTTTCCCTGTGCACAGAGCTTGCTGTGTGTGCACAGCACTTTATTTTAGAGTTGGGTAGGTAGGTCTTTCTCCCCTCCTGCCCATTTCTTTTGTATTTACTCAGTCCTTTTCCACCTGGTGCTTGGCAGTGTCATGCACACCTTGGGCACTTACTGAATACTCATTCATAGTGGTGAAGCCATCCATGGCTTCCCAGCATTCACACCCTTCCCTGTGAGTGTGGCCACTGGCCCAAGCTCTGGGGGTCAGGTGTTACGGGGAAGAAGGATGTGGGAATACAAGTGGTAGCAGAGCTTTACTGTGTCAGGGTAGCTGCATGGCACCTAGCTTCACTGTGCTTTGAATAGCTCTTAACTGTGGTCTCCGTTGAATGATATTTTATACATACCTGTATCTTGGATTCAAAAATCAAATAGACTAAAGATTTTATCTCCTGCCAGGCTTAATGTCAGGTTAGCCAAGGAGAGAATATTTCGCCTGAGGAGCTGCATCGTGGCCAGTAGCCTGACCAGTTCCCTTCGTGGGGATCTGGGTTCCTGGAGCACCCAGCATGGACTAGATGAGCCTTCAGAGCAGAGTTTCTTAAACAGCGGAACTGCTGGCATTGAGCCAGGTACCCCATTGTAGAGGGGTTGTCCTGTGCATTGGAGGATGTGTAGCAGCATCTCCAGCTTCTATCCCCTAAACATCAATAGTAGCTGTCTCCCCTAGTTGTGAAAATCAAACATGTTCAGACACCACCCCCGGCCCCCCAGCTGAGAACCACTGCCTGAGAAGGAAGGAGGGATGATGGGAAGAAGGGGCTTTTCCTCCCCAGGTGTCCTCTCTCTGTCCCGTGGGGAGGCTGGGAGCCTGTGGTTGCCACCTCTGGCATCACCTTATAATCATCCTTCCGAAACATTAAAGTCTATGCAGATTAGCTGGGCATCTTGTGAAAAAGCCAGTCCTGGTTCAGAGGGCTGGGGTGGGTGGGCCTGAGGTCTGCATGTCTAACCAGCTCCCTGGTGATGCTTTTACTAGGAGCATGCTTGGAGCAGTAGCTCATGGCTGTGTGATTAGCACAGGCATCTTAGTGGCCTCTTTTTTGGAAGTTAACAGAACCCGCTCATGATGACCAAAGCAAAAACATACTACATTAGCAACAGGGGCATTCACAGAAGGGACCGAGGGGCTTGGCCCAGCCTGGGGGCGCTGGGGCCATATCCTTCCCTCCTGGCTCTGGTTTTGGCTCCTGCCATCCCACCTCTTTGGCCCCATTCCACTTTGTCTATTCCTAGATCCATCAGGGGCAGCATTACAGATTGCCTGAGAAGGGGATATGTCAAGTAAGGGAAAGGATGAATGGGCCTGTTTCAGTGGGACACTGGGGTGACCTTAGGCTGAACATGATTACTCTCCTCCAGCAATGGAGTATACCCACAGAAGTCCACCTTGTGAATAGATGTGGGGGGACCCTGGATCCAGGGAGGAGCTCTGGTAGGGAGGGTTGGGGTGAAGCCCTGGTTCCTGCCTTTCTCTGACTGCCCCTGACTTAGCTATTGATTCCCTGCCATTTCTCCTTCCTCTGGCCCTACCTACCTTATAGGGATGGTGAGATAGCACAGCAGAAATATTCTGAGCTCACGAAAGGAATGCCGTCACTTAGATCTGAGAGGTACTATACCCCTTTCAAAGAAGATCCCACATGGGAAGACCTCCACTTGGGTAACTGGGAAATTAGAGGTGACTACTTGCCCCACTGAAATGATTTTCCCTCAGCAAAAGGACTTCCTGCAGAGTTGTTTTAAACAATAAGCCTCCCTTAGAGCATTCAAAATTACTCAATGTATAGTTAGTTAAAACTCCCAACCTATCAGTCTCATTACTGGCCTGTTCCAAAGGCATTGGTGAAGGTCTGAGGAAGATGGGTAAGTTGGTGATTTGGGGTTATCTTGCAAGAAGGACAGTGATGGGGCCTGGTCTTCTTCAGGGGACCTATTTCTCAGTTCAGAGAGCTGACCTCATGATTAATGCAACTTGGAAAGGTGCACGAGTTCTGTGCATAAATTCTATATCCTCAGGCAAAAAAAAAAAAAAAAAAGACAAGGAAGAAAAAAAAGTGAGCAAACACATGAGAATAGAGAAGCTTTACAATTTTTCTGGCTTCTGGTGGCAGCCATGGGATGGGAGTCAGGAACAAGGGAGGGAACCCGCAGCTCTGGACATGACCCTGGCATGTAACTCTGGACACAGTGATATCTAAAAGAATCCAGGGACATCTGCACAAAACGTGGGAAAATGAGAAAAGATAGCTGGATAGGCCACCTGTCCTTATTTCAAAAGACGTTAATGCCAAGGCTGATCTGAAATGACATCAGGCAGAGGTGCATAGAGTCAGAGACTGTGGCCCATGTAAATTGTTGCAATGACAGCGTGGTACTTTCTTCACATCCACAGGGATGTGGTCTTTGGGGATACAAAAGCCAGCCACCCCTCCTTTCCACTGCTGTGCTCTCCCTCTGAGCATGTTGATGCAACTTGAACAGCTCTGCACTATATTTAGCACTAACCAAAATACCAATCGCCTAGATGCTACCTTCCCGTGCCCCTGGAAATTAGCTGTGTCTGCTGTATCTCTGTTCCAGCCCGACACGAGTGTACACAGTCCTGGAGGAACTGAGTCCAGGAACCATCGTGGCCAATATCACAGCGGAGGATCCTGATGATGAAGGTTTTCCCAGCCACCTCCTCTACAGCATTACCACTGTTAGCAAATATTTCATGATAAATCAGTGTAAGCCACTCACTTCCATCCTTAAGTGCATCCTCTAATTCAGCCATGTGGATTGTCTTACAATGTAGTTGTCCCTCGTTACCCATGAGAATTGGTTCTAGGATGCACCGTGGATACCAAAATCCACGTATGCTCAAGTTTCTTCTATAAAATGGCTTAGTATTTGCATATAACCTATGCATGTCCCCCTGTATATTTTATATTATCTCTAGATTCCTTATAATACCAAATGCTATGTAGATAGTTGTTGTATTGTTTAGGGAATAATGACAAGAAAAAAATGTCTGTATATGTTTAGTGCAAATGCAGCCAGCCATTTATTTTTCCTGAATATTTTAAATCCTCAGTTGGTTGAATCTGAGGATGCAGAACCCATGGATACAAAGGGCCAATTGTATTTTTCTTATCTTCTGGTATTGGGCATGTCTTTCTGTCTGGGGTCATCATTGGTTACCAAGGTAATAGATGTATTATAAGCAGCTGGCATGGGGGTTGGGCAAACTAAACAGGGTTGACAGCTATGTCACCCTTCACCTTTGTGGGGGATGGGTGGGGGGCAGTGAAGAGATTTATTTTCTTACCCATTGTTAGGCTTGTGACTGAGACCTCTATAAAAAAAGACAGATTAACAAGAGAAAAGCATACGAATTCATTTAATGTTAAGTTTATGTCACACCAGAGCCTTCAGAAATGAAGACTCAAAGAAACAGGGAAACCCATGTGTTTTTATGCTCAGTTTGATGAAGTGAGTAATTATGGAGAAGTATGATTGGAGGACAAAAGGGTGTGATAAACCTGGGAGAATTTAGCAAGGTCCGTTTGTTCAGATTCTTCCTGGCATCTCTGTCTTCCAGAATAGGATGTTCCTTTCCTCCAGTTATAGGTAGGTTACCTCTGGAATGAAGCTCTTATGACTGCTTCAAAACTGCTGTTTTCTCAAATGCCAAGGTGCCATATTTTGGGGTAATATGTCCTGAATCCCATCACCTTTTTCTCAAAGGCAGGTGTGTAAGGATGGATGGGTTACTTATCCTGAGGGTTCCCTGAAGTCTTCTGAAGAGAGGGGCTATATTAGCACTGTCCAATAGGAATAGAATGAAGCCACTTACGTAATTTCAAAGTCTCTAGTAGTCACATTTTTAACAAGTAAAAAGAAATAGGAGAAATTAATTTTAATTAGGTATTTTTAACATGTATAAAATATTGTTTCAACATGTTATCAATACTTAAAGGTCATTCATGGCCAGGCATGGTGGCTCATGTCTGTAATCCCAACACTTTGGGAGGCTGAGGCCAAAGGATTGCTTGAGCCCAGGAGTTTGAGACCAGCCTGGGCAACGTAGTGAAACCCTGTCTCTACTAAAAGTTTAAAAATTAGCTGAGTGTCATGATACACACCTATAGTCCCAGCTACTCAGGAAGTTGAGGCAGGAGGATCCCTTGAGCCCAGGAGTTTAAGGCTGCAGTGAGCTATGATCATTCCACTCTACTCCAGCCTGGGTGACAGAGCAAAAACCTGTCTCAAAAAAAAAAAAAAAAAAAGTGATTCATGAGATATTTCATATCATTTTCTTTGGTACCGAGTCTTGGAAGACTGTTGTATGTTTTGTACTTACAGTACATCTCAATTTGGATTAGCACCATTTAATTGCTCAATAACTCTCATGTGACTAGTGGTAACTGTATGGGACAGTGTCATCTTGGTCAATCTGCCAGACTGATGGGAGTTATTTTTCCATCTGAATATCTCTGAAGGGGACTTCTCTGCTCTTCTATAACCATCTTTTTCTGGGGCCTTAGTACACACCAGGCATTATGCTGAGTGATTATTCACATACATCTCATCTCAAGTACTCAAGATAGCAACTCAATGAACTATCATCATTCACATTTTACAGATGAGGAAACTGAGGCCTAGGGAGAGCCTCAGGCAGGTCAAACAATTTGTTCAAGGTCTTACAGCTTGTAGGTCATGAAGCAGAAGTACCAACCTAAGCTGCCTGATTCCTCGGGCCTGTCCTCTTAACCACTACCGGACTGTCCCACCTTTATAAGTCCTGATTGCATCACCAAAAAGGACGTCCAGCCTTAGACAATGCCAGAAAAACAATGTCCTGTTGGCTCCTTAGGCTTTCGGGCAAAAGACACCTATTCCCAGGAGAGCCAGGCAAAGGCAATAATTGTGCACTGCCTCTGAAAACATCCTGATGCCCTGTCAGCTGATAGTGTAGGGACAACCATGGTTGAGAATTCTGTTCACTCTAGTGTTGCGAAATTCAACTTTTAACAAGTAGAGTGAGGTTTTTGGTTTTTTTCTGAGCATATTTATTAAGATTTTTTGGTTGCAGGTAACAGAAACTAAGGTAAACCAACCTAACCAAAAAAAAAAAAAAAAAAAAAAGAAAGAAAAAAAAGGCAGGCACATCTATCAACAGGATTCTGTGCATCTCTTAAGAAAATGTAAAAAGATGGGGACATAGAAAGGATGTGACCCAGTGCTGCTCCAGGGACCTTGGTTCTGTAGCTCCACTATTAGCCTGACTGATCCTCCAATGTGTGCCTTTCAGTTATAAATTCTCCAATAAGAGAGCCCTCTGGGTCAAGCTGGAGTCAGTTATTCACCAGTCCAGTCCACTCTGGGCAAGGGCCGCCACCAGGGACCCAACTCTGAAGTACAGTGTGAAAAATCCTAGAAGGGTCAGGCCAGATACCCCAATGAATGTCTAACACAGGAACTTAATGGGTTTTCAAAAATGTATTTGTATAGAGATTATGCTCTGCATAAGCTCTTCCTCATGTTCGAATGGTCTTTTCCAGTTTTCTCCAAGTTTCTGTATTCCTTTTCATTTCTCTTCAAAGGGTCACGTTCTAACCTTTGCTTTCTCAGTGACTGGTACAATCCAAGTGGCCCAAAGGATAGACCGAGATGCAGGTGAATTGAGACAAAATCCCACCATTTCCCTGGAAGTTCTAGTGAAGGACAGACCATATGGGGGTCAGGAGAATCGCATCCAGATAACCTTCATTGTGGAAGACGTCAACGACAATCCTGCCACATGCCAAAAGTTCACCTTCAGGTATGCACACTTTGAAAGTTGGGCTGGACATTCTATCTCTTTGGTGGCCCTCTGCCCTTCTGCTTCTCTGGTATATTCTCAGGAGAATTATAAGCATTTGGAGAAACAGCTCAGTAGAATAAATCGATGTGAACTGTTCACTGTTGTCCACAGGTTTCCTTGTTATCGTCCTTTTTTCTTCCCTCTCTTTCATTTTCCTTCTTCATTATCTCCCTTGTTCACTTTCTTACTCTTAAGAATTATTTTTTATTTTGCTCCCTTCTATATCTGGCTCATCTCTGTTGGTGAAAAGGACCACAGGGACTTGTTAGGCCCTCCCTGGACTGTGCCTGTTCTTTGTTTATTGCCACGGGTGGCAAGATGGGGCTGTTAGTTAGCAGTTATAATAGACGTTTGAGACTTAGGATCAGTGAATAGGAACTCCCAGGAAAACATACCACCAGCCAGATGAATAAATCAAACCAAGTACTTAGGTAAAACCAAACAAAGCATCGAATTCACCTTACACAACTTAATTGAATATAAACAAAAGACATCCGAAAGGGAAAAAATGCAGATACAAGTGGGATACAAGTGATCTTGTATATTTTGACTCATTCTTTGTCCTACAATCTATTTGCTATTATTTTACAATAAAGTCCCTTGTGATTCTGGGTTAATAAGCTTTTTGAAAACAATATTGTCTTTCTACTATTTTGTCAAAAAGCCACATGATTAGTACTTGCCCATATTAGCCTCGTCTCTGAGGTTTTGTTCCAGCCAGTCTCTGGTCTCCTGAGAGGCTGAAGAGGGCTCTTTGGGAGGAATTGGGGTTGTGGGGAGCAACTCCACAGCAGCCCTTGCTAAGAGACAGCCCTGTATCTGGAGCAAGGCTGAAGATCAGGGTGAGTCTCAGCTCCAGATGTCCCCATGGGGAGAGTCTCCTGAGTTTATCTTTGAGTGGTTTTGTAAGTTTTCTCCAGGCGACTCTGGACATAGACCCAATACATGCAGAGGACAAAGGACCCTAGACCAGGATTGCCTAGGAGAAGCAGGAGAAATAGAAATTCCTTTATTATACTCATGAATGTCTCCCTGTTGTCCCAAATGGCATGCCCAGTATAATGTTAAAGGATCCATGTGACCTCGAGTCTGATATCAAAACGGTTAAACTCTGTTCTGGATGCACCCCTGACTTATCCCTTTAGATCCAGTCTCCACCCTGCTCTGTGCTCCAAGACGCTGACCTGGATGGATACCGTATTAGACTGTTTTCATGCTGCTGATAAAGATATACCTGTGACTGGGCGATTTACAAAAGAAAGAGGTTTAATTGGACTTACAGTTCCACATGGCTGGGGAAGCCTCACAATCATGGCAGAAGGCAAGGAGGAGCAAGTCACATCTTACATGGATGGCAGCAGGCAAAGAGATAGAGCTTGTGTAGGGAAACTCCTCCTTATAAAGCCATCAGATCTCATGAGACTTAGTCACTATCACGAGAACAACTCAGGAAAGACTTGCCCCCATGATTCCATTTCCTCCTACCAGGTCCCTCCCACAACATGTAGGAATTCAAGGTGAGACTTTGGTGGAGACACAGCCAAACCATATCATCCTGCCCCAGCCCTTCCCAAATCTCACGTTCTCACATTTCAAAACCAATCATGCCTTCCCAACAGTCATCCAAAGTCTTTACTCATTTCAGCATTAACTCAAAAGTCCACAGTCCAAAGTCTCATCCGAGACAAGGCAAATCCCTTCTGCCTATGAGCCTGTAAAATCAAAAGCAAGTTAGTTACTTCCTAGATACAATGGGGGTATAGGCATTGGGTAAATACAGCTGTTCCAATGGGATAAATTGGCCAAAATGCAGGTGCTACAGGCCCCATGCAAGTCTGAAATCCAGCAGGGTAGTCAAATCTTAAAACTCCAAAATGATCTCCTTTGACTCCATGTCTCACATCCAGGTCACGCTCATGCAAGAGGTGGGTTCCCATGATCTTGGGCAGCTCCATTCCTGTGGCTTTGCAGGGTACAGCTTCCATCCTGGATGCTTTCATGGGCTGGCATTGAGTGCCTGTGGCTTTTCCAGGTGCATGGTGCTAGCTGTCAGTGGATTTACCATTCTGGGGTCTGGAGGACAGTGGCCCTCTTCTCACAGCTCCACTAGGCAGTGCCCTACTAGGGACTTCGTGTGGGGACTCCAATCTCACATTTCCCTTCTGCACTGCCCTAGCAGAGGTTCTCCATGAGGGGCCACCCCTGCAACAAACTTCTGCCTGGGCATCCAGGCATTTCCATACATCCTCTCAAATCTAAGCGGAGGTTCTCAAACCTCAATTCTTGACTTCTGTGCAGCCGCAGGCTCAACACCACATGAAAGCTGGCAAGGCTTGGGGCTTCCACTCTCTGAAGCAATAGCCCGAGCTGTACCTTGGCCCCTTTTAATCAAAGCTAGAGCGGCTGGGATGCAGGGCACCAAGTCCCTAGGCTG
Source organism: Homo sapiens (assembly GCF_000001405.40). Lineage (NCBI taxonomy): Eukaryota > Metazoa > Chordata > Mammalia > Primates > Hominidae > Homo > Homo sapiens. The sequence goes on from NC_000007.14 coordinate 106,007,164, forward strand.
CACACAAGAGAGGGACCCAGGGCCTGGCCCATGAAGCCGTTTCTTCCTCCTAAACCTCTGGGCCTGTGATGGGAGTGGCTTCCACAGAGGTCTCTGACATGCCCTGGTGACATTTACCCCATTGTCTTGGTGATTAACATTCAGCTCCTTGTTACTTATGTAAATTTCTGCAGCTGTCTTGAATTTCTCCTCAGAAAATGGGATTTTCCTTTCTATCGCATTGTCAGGCTGCAAAATTTCCAAACTTTTAAGCTCTGCTTCCCTCATAAAACTGAATGCCTTTAACAGCACCCAAGTCACATCTTGAATGCTTTGCTGCTTAAAAATTTCTTCTACCAGATACTCTAAATCATCTCTCTCAAGTTCAAAGTTCTACAAGTCTCTAGGGCAGGGGCAAAATGCCACCAGTCTCTTTGCTAAAACATAACAAGAGTCACCTTTGCTCCAGTTCCCAACAAGTTCCTCATCTCCATCTGAGACCACCTCAGCCTGGATTTAATTGTCCATATCATGAACAGCATTTTGGTCAAAGCCATTCAACAAGTCTCTAGGGAGTTCCAAACTTTCCCACATTTTCCTGTCTTCTTTTAAGCCCACCAAACTGTTCCAACCCCTGCCTGTTACCCAGTTCCAAAGTTGCTTCCACATTTTCAGGTATCTACAGCAGAGCCCCACTCTATTGGTACCAATTTACTGGATTAGTCCATTTTCATACTGCTAATAAAGACATACCCGAGACTGGGCAATTTACAACAGAAAGAGGTTTAATGGGCTTACAGTTCCACGTGGCTGGGGAAGCCTCACAATCATGGCAGAAGGCAAGGAGGAGCAAGTCATGTCTTACGTGGATGGCAGCAGGCAAAGAGAGAGCTTGTGCAGGGAAACTCCCCCTTATAAAGCCATCAGATCTCATGGGACTTAGTCACTATCACAAGAACAGCACAGGAAAGACTTGCCACCATGATTCAATTTCCTCCTACTGGGTCCCTCTCACAACATGTGGGAGTTCAAGATGAGATTTGGGTGGGGACACAGCCAAACCATATCAGATACCAACCAACTCCCTTGCCTTCCAGCTTCTAGTTGGCCAATGGGGAGTCCTGGAAAGAGAAGGAGAGGAGGGTCAGGCTCTCTCTTTGTGAGCTGGGTGCATCCCTTCCCTGCCTGAAGATCTCCATTCCCAAAAGCAGCTCTCTGTCGCAGGACCTGCTTCCTCCACTGGCTTCCCTGGGCCTAGTGGTGGTAAGGGTGCTTCACTCTCACGAGCCCTGAGATATTGCACCATCTGATGAGATTTCCATATACTCTGTGAGCACCTTCTTCATAGTCCCTTTACTGACCCCTCCTAGAATGATCCTAATTCACCAGCTGCTTCCTGCTGACACCCCAATAACGTCAGTCACAATCTTAAGCATGTAGTAGGTTCCTATCCCAACCTAAGCCCTACAAGTCCATTAGATGGGTGGGGACAGCTGCATGGGTAGTTAGGATTGTGACTTCCACACCTTTACGTGCATAAATTGAGAGATGTCTGGGCCCAGGGGATGGAGTGGAGACAATTTGCAGCATCACACTTACACTTTCTTTGACATTTTAAATCTGTGCTAGAACTCTTGGGTGGTTCCAGTACATCCTGGGAAGCTCCTGCCCTCTTCTGCCCTCCTGCTCTTCCTTGTTCCTCTGCCCTAAGAGGTAGGGGGTGAAGGTTAAGAAGTGAGAATGCCTGGAGAGGGCTGTGCTGTCTCAAATCTTCCTTGTCCATTTTCTCTCTTCAGTGCATATCTGTTAATTGTATATTTGGCTTCCTGCAGTCCAGAGTCCCCTGGAGTATGGGAGGACAGTTTGCAGACTGTGTTCCATATTAGCTGGTGAAACTGCAATTCGAATATCCTAGACTGTCCAGGCAAGACCAAACAGAGTCCTGCACTTGATAATCTTCCCTCCAGATTAGCCCTGAAGGCCAATGTGAAATCCGTAGCTGGACTAACTGCATTTATTACTGAAGATAATCTAACCAAGGCTCAAGTTCCCTCTTTGGGCTCTTCTAGCGGGAGGAACTCTCAGCCACCCTATGAACGCCAAGATGTGAGGAAGGGCAACGAAAGGGACCCCTCCTCTGCAGTTCCAGGGGCGGAGGTCTTCAGCCTAAAGCCCAGCCTCGCGTCCCAAGGCTGCATAAGGGCGGGTGCGGAGAGGGCTGAGAAGCCCTGACCTGCAGCACCCGCCATCCTCCCAGCCTTATACCTTCTCCAGTCCAACTATGTCAAAGCCAAGCACGCAAGCAGGTCAAAACAGAACAAAGTGACAATGGCATGGTTCTGCCACAGTCTCTGACACTTGCTCTTGAATGTTTGTTCCTTCCTTGGAGGCTGTGGGCGCGGTCTCTGCTGTGGAGTTCTTGAGAGCAGGTGGCAGAGCGGGTGAGGTCAGCGCGGCTGCTGGAGGCGGTGTGCTGTGCTCCCGCAGGGAGGAGGGCGGCGTGGAGGAGGCGGGCGCCCCCTGCTGCCCGCGCGGGCTCCTGCAGGCTCCCAGCCTTTCGTACCGTGGCCCCTGAGGCTTTCCCAGGCTGATGATGAATGAGCCCAGGGCCCGACGGAGGCATCCGAGGCACGTGACAACCCCCGCTCTGGTTGTAAATTGTCAGGCGATTCAGTGAAAGCGCTTTGCAAGCTGTTTGTGAGCAAGAGGCGGAGCAGTTTGGCTGATTCAGAATGGGCTGGACACAGTCAACTTTGCATGGGGAGAGAAACATGGTCTGATGGCTGGGAGCGAGGGCAGCTCGCTTTTGAGGCAGGGATTGCTGAATGAGGGGAGTGGCTTTCCAAGTTAGGCGTTTAGGGGAAGAATACCAACTGTCAGGGACGAATGAGAGAACAGGCCAAGCAGCCCTGGAGGGCCAAGTGAGGAGGCCTCTGTTGGAGTGCCTGAAATGTCTGGCTTCGGGACCTTGGATTCTTTAAATGATGCAATCTCCTGGCTTCTGCAGAGTTGAAATCAAGGCTTAGATCCCCAAACCATCTGTGAGCCTGGATACTTATGCATGGAAGTTAAAGTTTACAGTGACTCTAACACTGCAGAGGATCAAGTCTGGATACATCCACTTTCCTGGACAGGCCTTGAAAATGCTCGGAACCACTCTTTCTTCCCCTGTGCAGTGGGGACAAGAATACAAACCTCTCTGAGATGAGGAAATTAGAGATAGTGTTTTTAAAGTGCTTGGTATGATACAGCATGCAGTTGGTGTTTAATAAGTGGTGTCTCTTCTAAGTCCCTATGAATGAAACCATGACATTGTGCAATCAAGGCAGGAATGTTCAGACTCCAATCCTGCTGAAATACAGAGGTGATCTTTGCCAATGAGGCATCGTGGAGACTCCATTACACGCTCCAGCAAGCAAACCTGTTATCCTCAGTGGCCCATGACCATTCTTGCTGTCAGACTTTGCTCCGTATGCACTGAGCCCAGAGCTGATTTTATCTGCCATGAAAAGAGGATGTGGAACAAAGAAGGGAACAGAGTTTGGTTGCAGAGAGAAGTGTATGCTCCAAGAACCAGATGCTAAGATGGGATTAAATGTGCAAGGCTATTATTAGGGGAGATGCCTGTGGCAGAAAATGGGGAGAGAGATGGACAAGGCTGGGCAAGTCATCAGATCATGATGCAAGGCTGATCTGAGTGAAGGAAAGAGGGAGAAAAGGTAGTTGGACATATTCTAGGCTGCCATGCAGTTAAGGAGTGTTCAGCTAGGGCATTGGGGGTCCTGGAGCCAGTGTCAACTGACATAGGACAGGAATGAGCCTTAGTATCTTTGCCATGACCAGTTGTTGGTACGTGGCCTCACCACAAACACAGTGATGGATTTCAGAGCCCAGCAGCTGAGGCCGATGGTCAGTTATGCTCTCATGGTTAAAGGTCTTCCAGGCACATTCTCATGACAGCCACGATATATTTTTGTAAGAAATTCTACCAAGGCAAAATATGATTAAGATAGGTAGCCAAAACAAACAAAAAAGAAAGAAAAGCCGCAAATTCCTCCCTGCTTGCTCTTTATGCATGCTCCTTTGCAATGTGATTTTGCTATTAGCTCCATCAAGAGATGGGTCTCCTTGAATCTGAGCTTGACCACGTGAATTGCTTTGACCACTGGAGCATTCACAAACATGGCACAACGGAGGCTTGAAAAATGCATGTGCCTTGGGACTTGCCCTCTCTTGTTACTTTTGGAACCAGAGACCTCCATGCAATGAGCCTAGACTAGCCTCCTAGAAGATGAGGACAAGAAGAAGCAGAAATCAAGCACCTTCCCACCACCAGGCATGTGAGTGAGGCCATCCTAGACTGTCCAGCCCCAGCCAAGCTGTCAGTGACCACAGAGACCAGCTAAGCCAAACTAAAACCGAAAGGACTGTGGGAAAACCTATAGTACTGTGAGAAACCATAAATGCTTGTTGTTTTAATTCACTCAGTTTTGGGACAGTGTGTTATGTAGTAAAAACTAATTGATATCATTTATGTCCATTTTATAGATGGAGGAACTGAAACCTGGAGACATGAGAAAGCCCCTCAATGAATGGAAGTCTCAAGGTGTTCATTGGTCTTCCTCAGAGCCTCCTACAGCAAGCTGGGCTTGATCGGAAGGCTCTGAGTTTGGGGGTAGCTTTACTCATTTGTGTTATTTGCCTAAACCCTGGAGTCTACTGAGATCAAGACCCCCGAATTTGATCATTAATAAATCTCTTTTGGATGAATAATATAAAGGTGTTAGGAGGCCCTTCTAGGCCATTGAAGCCACTAGAACAGAAGTCAAGGAATTCTCAATCTTCAAAGCATGGGAAATGAGGGGTACAGGGATTCTCCCTAGCCCAGTTAGAAACTCCTTCAGGCAGGACGTAAAATTTATATTTCTCTTCTATTCTTCTTCACTACTGTGCTAGTCTTATAAGTCTATTGTTCATTCATTCAACAAATACTTATTGAGTGTGCCAAGAAAAAAGCAAAGATCTTTGCCCTCATAGAGTTTACTTTCTAGGAGGGAAATAGAAAATAAGCAGAATAAATAAGAGAAATATATGGTGTACCAGATAATGATGTGTGCTAGGAATTAAAAATAAAGAGGGGAATAGGAGAGGAAGTACCGGGCAGGGAACATTGCCATTCTAGATAGGGTAGCCTCACTGATAAGGTGACATTTGATTAGATAGATGAAAGAAAGTGAAAGTGGGAGTCACGTGAGTATTTGTGGGGAGAGGATTCCACAGCTAGTGCAGGGAAGCTGAGGCCAGAGCCTCATGAAGAGCTCAGGGAGCACCAGAAGGCCAGAGTGGCAGGAGGAGAGTGAACAAGGAGAAGAGCTAGTGGGAGACGAGTTCAGAGAGGAAAAGGAGGGCACGTCATGAAGCGTCCTGCAGATCAAAGGTGGGACTTTGAGTGAAATGAGGAGCCATTTGGGACTTAGGAGCAGAGGAGTGACGTGATCTGACAACATGTTAGCAGGATCCCTCTGGCCGCTGTGTTTAAAATAGCCCAAAAGGTAGCAAGGGCAGAATCAGGGAGACCAGTTAGGAGGTGACTGCAATGACCATGGACTTACTTTGAATTGCAGTTAAAGTAGAGGTGTCTAGCCCAGGGCCCATGTGAGAAGGAACAGTCGATTACCATTTATTGGGGGAAATACTGGATTGTGTCTTTTCACCAGCATTATGGTGCCGGAAAGAACAGCCAAGGGGACGTTGCTTCTTGACCTAAACAAGTTCTGCTTTGATGATGACAGTGAGGCACCAAACAACAGATTCAACTTCACCATGCCATCTGGAGTGGGGAGCGGCAGCAGATTTTTACAGGATCCAGCTGGCTCTGGGAAGATTGTGGTCAGTTAATGGTCATTGCATCATTAAAAGGGCATCGGGAATTGGTCCAACATGCATCATGCTTTTGCTGCCCCATAGAGAGAAATTTCCAAGGTAACCCCCTCTCAGAGCGACTGTAACTGACAGGCTTAATAGTGAGTCTGTGTTCCCCATTCGCTCTTTATTTTACCCTGGTTCCAGGAATCATTTGTTACACATAGTTGTGCCTGGGCTGCTGAGGACTGGATTCTTCCTTGCATAGCATGCAGTTTGTGTGCCTGCTTAGCGTGCCTTCACAGACACGTCAGTGCCCTCTGTGCTCAGGCACTTTTGTTTATTTGAATGCTCATTCCCGGCCCATAGAGCTGTGAGGTGAGAGAAAGCAGGGCCAGGACCTTGAGTATGTCTGGGTAAATTCCACACCGTAGAACCACTGGAGACCAGAGGAGAGTGAGACAGTGAGGATGTGTAGGAAGCCCCCTCCCTGGCAACTTCAAGGGACAAAAGCTGCATTGGAAGAAGGATGGGCATGAAAAGTGGGTCCCAATGATTTGAGTTAGACCTTTCCTTACAGAGCTACTGCTGGAAGGTGGTGGGGAAGGAGAAGAGAAAAATGAAAGGGCTGGGAAAGCAGCAGCCTCAGGGAGGGAAGCCAGCAACCCGCTACCCTTCCCCTCACCCAGCTTTCTTCTCCACCTCCCATCCCAAGCCCTTCTTCAATCCCCAAGAACATCTCACCCAGTTTATTCATAGTACCATCTTAAAAATAATTTCTATTTTTTTCTGTTTAGGAAATTAATACATGTTCTCTGTAGAAAATATAGAAAGCACAGAAAAGCATCACCATTCACTGATAACCAGTGTTAGTAGTTTGGTACATGTCCTTCTTTTCTTTTTTCTATAGATATATTTTATGTGTATTTTATACATATATGCATAGGTATTTTTTATTTTTATTATTTTTTTAAGAGACCATGTCTCGCTCTGTCACCCAGGCTGGAGTGCAGTGGTTCAATCATAGCTCACCACAGCCTTGAACTCCTAGGCCCAAGTGATCCTCACATTTCAGCCTCCCTAGCAGCTGGGACTACAGGAGTGCGCCACTGTGCCTGGCTTATTTTTTAGCTTTTTCTAGAGCTTTTCTCAAGCTCCTGGTCTCAGGCAATCCTCCCACCTCCACCTCCCCAAGTGCTGGGATTATAGGCATGAGCTACTGTGCCTAGCCTGCATATGAATTTTAGATACAGTAGTGCTCCCTTATCCACCGGGGATATGTTCCAAGACCCCTAGTGAATGCTCGAAACCACAGATAGTACCAGACCCTACATATGTTATGTTTTTTCCTTCTATACATAGATACCTATGGTAAGTTTAATTTATAAATTAGGTACGGTAAGTATTGACAATAATAGTGAATAATAAAATAGAAAAAGTATAACAAAATACTATAACAAAAGTTATGTGACACTGGGCATGGTGGTGCACACCCATAGTCCCAACTACTTGAGGCTGAGATGGGAGGATCATTTGAGGCCACGAGTTTGAGGCTGCAGTGAGCTATGATTACACCTGTGAATAGCCACTGCACACCAGCCTGGGCAACAAAGGGGACCCCTATCTCTAAAAAACAATAAAGAAAACCAGTTATGTGAATATGGCTTCTCTCTCTCAAAATATATTATAGTACTGTACTCACTATTTTCAGACTGTGGTTGACTCCAAGTAACTGAAACTGTCAAAAGCAAAACCACAGATAATAAGGGGGGACTACTATAATGAAACAGCCCTGCATATAAGATTCAATTTTGTGCTTTTCTTCAACGAATCTGAAGTTGTGATCCTGTGCTGTTGAGCAATAGTGCTTAATGAACATCTTTGTACATAGATTCTGTCTCCTGGTAAATTATTTCCATAAGTTCACTAGCAGTGAGCAAAGGTATGGTCATAACTTTTTAAAGCTCCTAATTTTTATGGGCAAAGTGTTTGCCAAAAGCGTTTTGCCAATTTATATATCCACTAGCAGTATATGAAAATGTCTCTCGCAGCCCAATAAATAGGATTGTTTAATCTGTATAATCTACTATCTCTGTTTTAATCTAGCTGATTGGTGATCTAGACTACGAAAATCCAAGTAACCTAGCAGCCGGCAATAAATATACGGTGATAATCCAGGTGCAGGATGTGGCCCCCCCTTACTATAAAAGCAAGTATCATTTTGTTTTATTTCATGATTGTCTTTCTTGAGTATCAATGACCAAACTCTGCTGGGCAATACTAGGTATTGTGCTAGGTCCCCCTTCTCACTAGTACTGCCCTCATGCGGGGACCCCCTCTTTCTCGGCTGAATTACAACACTTAAGAGTCTTTGAAGGGAAATGCAAATGCCATCATATGACTTCCTTGGTTAAAGCCTTCGAGCATCTCCTGTAGCTGTCAAGTTCAAGTTCCAACTCTTTGACTTGGCATACAAGATTTTTCACCATTCGGTTGCTGCTTAATTCTCCAGCTTCACCTCCTGTCACTTGCTTCCAAGCCCCCATTTTTTTCCAACTGGGCAAACAGCTTGAAGTTTTCCAGAGTGAATTATGTGGTTTTATACCTTGGCATTTTTGCATATGCCTACAACACCCCCCAATCTCCTCCCTGCCCCATTTGTCTAATTCTATCCTTATAAGGCTCAGCTTGTTCATTCTCCTGGAAGCTGTTCCTACTCTGGGTTCTGTAGTGCTCTGTGTGCTCATGCGCTTATCAAAGGGTGAACACCCTCGGCATCTAAAAGGCAGGAGCTCCCATGTCTTAGCCACCTGGTATCCCCTATGCGCAAAGCCTGTACACAGGAGATTCTTTAAAGATGTTGAATAAACAAATGGATGAGTATGGATTTGTGATTAAATGTGTTTCTATTTCCATTTTTAGATAACGTCTACGTTTATATCCTAACAAGCCCAGAAAATGAGTTTCCTCTCATTTTTGATAGGCCATCCTATGTATTTGATGTGTCAGAAAGAAGGCCCGGTAAGTAACAGATAAGACACAGACCAGAGTGCTGTCAATGGACTCCATCCAAACGTGTGTTCTGTGGAGTGGAAAACTCCCTTCTGGAGGCCTCGCATGCTGTTTTGCACAGTGATTCACAGCTGATTAGTATTTATTGCACCTCTTATTTCTTTTAAATTTTCCTCGCTGCTGAGGAGCCCTTCAGGTGAAACTTGGACTTTTGAAAACTGTTGGTTAAACTGCATTTCTCAGAAGCCTCTGATTGCTTCCTTGCCTGTTTGCCTGATTCCGCTAATCCTCCCTTTTCCAGGTTTAAGTTTTCTCTTGGTCTCCACTGTGAGTTTTATCCAGCTCACTCAGAGAATTAAAATTTAAAAACAGAAAAGGTTTCCCATTTCTATATTTCCTTCATTTACAAACAAAATAAAGGCATTTTCTCTCTCCCCTACTAAGATTCCCTGAAGGCCTTCTTTTCTGCCCTTTACAACACCCTGCTTTTTGCAGGCTCCTCCCCCTTTAAGGAAAAGACTCACTCCCCACTTCCAGCTTCACTTTCTGCCTCCCTCTCGCTCTCTCAGTTTGAAGGTAATACTATAAATGCTCTAGTGTAATAGACTCCCCACAGCCGTTCATCTTTAGATCATGGATACTTTTTCCATATTAAAAACAACAACAACAAATGAAACCAAAACCAAAACGCTCCCTCTAAAATGATCCATTCTCTTTAGGATGGTCTCCATTTCCTGACATTAAGTTTTCAAGCAAAATGCAAAATGCAAGTCCAAAGAAAATGCTTTTAATTTCTTATACCTTATCCAGTGAATAACAAATTCGAAAGGAATAGGCTTTCTGGGAATTCACAGATCTTACTGCAGTTCTTTTTGATCACCTACTTTGGGTTACAAACTTAGTGCTGGGATACAGAATTGAAAAAGAGAAGGTTCTGCCCTTGAGGAGTGTAATTTATGAGAAGGAACTCCTACAAAACAAGCCAGAATGCTAGCAGACCCACCAACAATATTTGTAAAAATTGCAAAATGGAAGAGGATTTAAAAATCTATAATCTGTAATCATCAATTACTAAATTCTTTAACAATTATTTATTTTTAAAAGAGCAATTCATGCTCATTATAGAAAATTGAAAAACACGGGACTTTTAGACAATACTGCTGCAAAGAGATGTATGTGTGAGGTTGTATGTTCTTTGTACTATTGTTTCTGATAGCAAAATGATTAGTGTCCCTGGAGCCTATATAAAGGCATAAATTGCTGGGCATGGTGGCTGACGACTATAATCCTAGCACTTTGGGAGGCCGAGCTGGGCGGATCACTTGAGGTCAGGAGATCGAAACCAGCCTGGCCGACATGGTGAAACCCCATCTCTTCTAAAAATACAAAAAGATTAGCCAGGTGTGGTCGTGGGCACCTGTAATCCCAGCTACTTGGGAGGCTGAGGCAGGAGAATTGCTTGAACCCAGGAAGTGGAGGTTGCAATGAGCCGAGATCGCACCACTGCACTCCAGCCTGGGCGACAGAGTGAGACTCCGTCACACACAGACACACACACACACACACACACACACACACACACACACACACACAAAGATATAAATTGTCTATTACACCTCACAGGACTGCTTGGATCATAGGGTCAGTTACCTAGCGGGTGTTGGTTAGCATTATTTCAATTTAGTAGAATTGAAGCTATAAAACAGAGTTTGGACAGCAAGGAGGCCTCCAGAAGTCCTTCTTACCATGGCAGTTAGGACATCTGTTCCTGAATCATCCTTCTCTACCCCTTAAAAGCAGGACTTATTGCAGGTACTTTATTCCTCCAGCCAGAACCCGAGTGGGACAGGTGCGAGCCACTGATAAAGACCTCCCCCAGAGCAGCCTCCTGTACTCCATCTCCACTGGAGGGGCCAGCCTCCAGTATCCAAATGTATTTTGGATTAATCCCAAGACAGGAGAACTCCAGCTGGTAACTAAAGTGGACTGTGAAACAACCCCCATCTATATTCTCAGAATCCAGGCCACCAACAACGAAGACACAAGCTCTGTCACTGTGAGTGGTGCTGCTTGGTATAGTGCCGGTAACCCAACTGGTTGACTTAGGGTCTCTCTGGCACCCCCAGAGTGTGGATGTGGCAATGAGGAAACTTCCCAGGGTACATCCTGCGGATGTGGTGAGAAACAAGTAAAGGTGCCCTGGGAAATAAAGATCCACATTTTTCTTTTTTCGTTTTTGAGGCAGGGTCTCGCTCTGTTGCCCAGGATGGAGTACAGTGGTGTAACCTTGGCTCACTGCAACTTCCACCTCCTGGGCTTAAGCGATTCTCGTGCCTCAGCCTCTCAAGTAGCTGGGATTGCAAGTGTGCACCACCGTGCGCAGCTAATTTTTGTATTTTTAGTAGAGACGGGTTTCTCCATGTTGGCCAGGCTGGTCTCGAACTCCTGACCTCAAGTAATCCACTCGCCTCAGCCTCTCAAAGTGCTAGGATTATAGGCGTGAGCCACTGCACCCAGCCCCATATTTTTTTGAGGCCCAAGTTTGCGGGTGACTGACAAAAGCACTAAAGTTGTTGGCCAGATATTAGAATGTCTGGTGGACCCACAAAGCCACTTTGTGGGACAAGGTTCCTCTTGTGGCCCTGTAAATCTTGCTTTGCCTTCACTGAAGGCTGTTGGTGAAATGCACACTTCCTAGAAGTTGAGTGTGGTTTTGGAGTTATGCATTTCCTCCCCAGGAGCAGTTATGCCGTGTTCCTACCCTGCCTCTATGCATACCAGATGGGGTAGATCTTAAAACGATGCTGTGCTGCTATCTTGCTTCCCAACCTTTGAGGCTGAGAATGTTGTTACAGGCAGATTCTGAGTCAGAGGGTCTGGGGCCTGAGATTCTGCATTTCTGACGTGCTTCCAAGTGGGGCGGCGCTGCTGGTCCCCTGCCACACCTCGAGTTGCAGGGACCTAATAGGTCCATGTTGTCAGTGGTTTGGATTATCCAAGGGCAACATGATAGCCACAAAGACCAAACTATTCCCTGGTCCTTCCCATTAGTAAAGTAAAAAAGCGTGAAGGCAAAATGAACTCTCAGTTAGCAGCAGGCAGCCATAGACAAAGATTGGTTCAGAGTCAGGAGACCGAGTTCATTTTTCAACTTTGATCCCAATTTTCCGAGGGAGTCTGAGCAATGCTTATCTCCGTGTCCATATTTCTCTATCTCTTAAACGGAGAGTCACCTGATAACCCCAATGCCTGAATAGTCCGCTTCCTCCGATAACTTGCTTTGAATTAATGGGATGATGTTTTTAATGATGTGCAAGGTTTGGCATTGCTACCCAAGGAAAGTTGGAGATAATTGCAGTGTTTGTTAGGCTGTTTTTTTTTTTTTTTAAAGAAAATGAATGGACTCCACTCTGGGGGCTAACTAGAGTGAACATTTCAATTTATTCCCGGGCTCAGAAATAGCTGAAATCCCAAATTTCAAAGGTAGTATGAATATGACTCAAAATTCATAAGCTTTTTAAAAGGGGTGATGAACTAAACGATCACACAAGTCCCTTTCAGGGCTGACATTCTATGATTCTGTGCTGGCAGGCATCCCAGGCTATATTCCAATTTACCAGGCATAAAAGACAGCGATGAAAGAGAATAGGCTGGCCCCTGCTTATGGCAGGTTAGCTCTAGGGCTTAGTACAGTGCTAATAGCCCAGGTTACAGATGAGATCCCAGCTTAACCAGGCCTGCTTGTTCTGTCCCAGTGAGTCTTAGCCCTGGCTGCATATTAGAATCAGCTAGGGAACATCAATGAGGGCCCTGACCCCCACCCTCCAATCTATTGGTTCTGAAGTGGGCCCAAGAAAGCAGAGCCAGGGCTGAGAACCATTTCTGCATATGCCAGAGTTAAAGAAGTTCCATTTACAAGGGGCAGCAGGCAAGGTGGCACATGGAGACACCGTAAATCCACACCTTCCTGGAAAAACAACTCGGTGTCATCTGCAGGTGAGCCTATGTGTCCAGGTGCATGTGTGTGTGTGTGGGGGGGGGGCAAGGTATACATACACTAAATGTGCACACACACATGCATATGGTGTAGAAGTTAATAGCATAGGATTTGGAGTAGGACAGACCTGAATTCAAATCCCAACTCTGCCATTCACTAGCTGAATGATCTTAGATCAATTACCTAGTCTCTCTAAACTTCCATTTTCTCACCATAAAATGGGAATAATCATGTTAGCTATCTCATGTGAGTTTAAATGAGCTAATTTATGAAAAGTGCTTAGCCTGAAAACTGCCTACACACAGTAAGCACTCAATGAGTTTTAGCTATTGAGAATGACCACCTTCTTGCTACTCTAGGTTACTGTGAACATCCTTGAAGAAAATGATGAAAAGCCAATTTGTACTCCAAACTCTTATTTCCTGGCCCTCCCAGTGGATCTGAAAGTTGGCACAAATATTCAGAATTTCAAGCTGACATGTACCGACCTTGATTCCAGCCCCAGATCTTTCCGTTATTCCATTGGCCCAGGTATAGTACTTGGTGTCGACAATCCTGGCCCTGTCTCTGAGGACCCTGAAGTTGTCTAGGGTAGGGGTCTGTGCTCACACACTGATCTGGGCAAAGTGGGATGGGAGTTGGGAGGGCATTATTTTTTTGAGATAGGGTCTTGCTATGCTGCCTAGGCTAGTTTTGAACCCCTGGGCTCAAGTAATCCTCCTGCTCAGCCTCCCAAGTAGCTGAGACTACAGGCATGCCTCATTGCACCCAGCTTGCTGGGGAAGTATTTGAATGAGGAAAGCAGAGACACAAAATCTAGCAGCCCCTATGCTTCCTGGCACTCCTCTCAGTTTCCCCTTCTTGTCTTACTCCTCCCAGACCCCATACGTGACTGCCCAAAGGCCCAAGAAAAGGGTGAACCCCCCAATTCCTGACTACAGTATGAGTCATAAAGCATATTAGTGTTGTTAGAAAAAATGCAGTCCAACTTTTCGACCACCTCTTTTCCTGAAAGCTGGTAGTGGGGGCAGGGAATCCCAGTCCTCTCTCTGGATAATAATAGATTAAATAGATTAAGTGCGTTTTGAAACGTGTCCTCAGGAATTCTCTTCTGCTCCATTCATCTTCTGTCTTTAAAAATATACCATCGTAGGGAAAAAAGAGCACCCCTCAATGGAAATTAGACCAAAATAGCTCATCTAATGAAGTGCTGGGGCCAGAGATTTAAACCCAAACAAGCAGAACAATTCCACGTGAGAGAGTAAAAATCCATCCCTGCTGCCTGCTGTGCCCTTGGCCGAGCAGGAACTTGAACAGTAGGAAGCCTCTCGAGCTGGCTGTGTCACAAAACCCAGGGGCAGAAACTGCCTCGAGACTGCAGTTGCCGAAGATGGAAACAATCCATACTGAGAGCCCTAAGGCCTTTATGGAGCATTTTGCTGTTAAGGGAGCAAAAATTGCATCATCTCCTGCTCCATTTACTGGTGTTCAGTCGGTAATGAGTCTGGAGCCAGTGGAGGAATGAGCGGGCATGTGCTTGGGCTGGCAGCCTCTCTGCCCCAGGCTCCCTGAGCTGAGCCATGAGCCCCAGCAGAGCTGTGTGTGTGTTTGGGGGTGTGATGGGGTGGGTTCAGGAGGACCTGGGACTGCAATTCCCGCAAAGCCAGGAGGCACCTTCCTTTGGAGGACTCCAGGGACAGCCATAACCAGTGTGACCCACTGGGTCCTGTGAAAAGCATGCAGTGAACTTGGCCTATGGCTAGGGATGTGACCTATTCTACCCTCTTGAAACCCACTCATTTGTTTGAGTGTGAATTACACGTGTTGTTACCAAATAATTGCCGGATGAGAAATCAGAAGGGGCTGCACCAGGGTTACAAAGTCTCTGCTTAATACTCAGCAAGATGGCACCTAGGCTAAGGGTGTTGTACTATTGTCCTTTTCTACTCAGCCTTGTTTGCAGCCACACTGGTTGTGAGCAAGAGTTTCTTTGTACTAATGCCATCTCTGGTGCAGTTAAAGCCTGTAGCATATAACTAATCCAGCTCTGGTGTATCAGAGACACAGTCTACACTTGAGGTGTGGACATTTGAGAAAAAGATTGAATGCAGTTTTCTTCTAAACCTTTATTTCTTACTCTCTTTTCTTCCTTTTACCAACACCCCTGCATCAAATCTCATTTAGGTAACGTCAACAATCATTTCACCTTCTCTCCCAATGCTGGTTCCAATGTCACACGCCTGCTGCTTACATCTCGCTTTGACTATGCTGGTGGGTTTGATAAGATCTGGGACTACAAGCTACTTGTCTACGTAACTGATGACAACTTGATGTCTGACAGGAAGAAAGCGGAGGCTCTTGTTGAGACAGGAACAGTGACACTGAGTATTAAAGTCATTCCCCACCCAACCACTATCATCACCACGACCCCCAGGGTAAGGGCTTTAGGACCTGGAATCCCCAGGCACATTCCCTTGTGAGTTATGTTGATGGACTTCTTTCCCCGGCCTGGAGGTATGTGGGGTGGACTGAAGAGTTGAGGTATTAGGATGTTGCCAAAAATGGCAACCATGGGCTGGACTGGAGTAGCTGCAGGGTGGCAAAAATCTGGTGAGACCTCAGACTCATAACCGCTAACTCAACCACTAACATTTCCTGTTCTGGTAGAGAAGAGTGTGTTGTTTGTGCAGAGACTTGTGAGAGATCAGACCTCAACCATCTGTGTGGCTTGTGGCACAGGAGCTGATTTCCATGGGCATGCTGCCAGTTGCTACCTTCACAACCCCTCTCTGCTTGTTCAGAAGAGTCTTTGCAAGTCAATATCCATGAAATTAGGTTGCTTGCTTACTGCTGGGTGCTCTTTCCCACATCTTTTGAAGAATCACCAGGTACCAATCTGTACCCTACACCCCACCTCCGCTCCAAAAAAATTCATCCAATCTACAAATATCGATTTAATGCCTATAGTGTGCCAGTCACTTTAGCAAACAAGCCAAAAATGATCCCTGCTCTCAGAAAGCTTATTGTATAGGCGAGTGATTCTCTAAGTGCGGTCCCTAGACCATCAGAATCAGCACCACCTGGAAACTGGTTGGAAATGCAAATTCTCAGGCCCAGCCTAGATTATTAAAGTTATAGGTTACCCAACCATGATCATCACCATGACCTCCAGGGAAGGATGCTGGAACCTGGAATCCCCAACTCTATCCCCTAACCTAATGAATCCGAAGCTCTGGAGGTGGGGTCCAGTGAGCTGTGTTTTCAATCAGCCTTTCAGGGAATTCTAATGTGCATTAAAGTCTGAGAGCCACTGATCTAGAGGGGGAGATAGATTACAAACAAGTATTCAAATTGACAAAGTAAATACAGACTGTGGGAAAGGGTAGGAAGAAAATGACCAGGTGCTATCACAGAATTGGCCTGGAGAAGGAAGGGAGAGCCTTGAATCTGACAACAGGATTATCTTCCCTGCCCCTTGGAGGAACTGGCTTGCATCTATGCTGACTCATCTGTCCCCTTTCTTCCTCCTCCTCTTCCTCCTCCTCCTCCTCCTCCTAGTAGAAGCTGCACCCCTGGTCAGCAGCCTGATACCTGCAGCATGCCAGAAGGAAGATAATCAGAACCTTAGAGAACCCACTATGGAGGTGGCCAGCTTCTTCTCAGAGTCTTGCCAGGAGCTGGTTCATGCTTCTCTCTCCCATGCTCGAGTCAATATGACCCCAGTGAATGGAGGCATATGGCAACCCTAGGACTTTCCTTGTGGGAGGAGCTGGTAGGCTCTCCTGAGTGAGGAGTTCCCACCTTTCTTGGGCTCAGAGCATGACCTGATTGTGACATCTCCAATCCTGAAACCTCCGTAACTTGTTTGTTATCTGTCTCCAGCTCTAGGAAGCAGATGCTGAACTTGAGGCTTTGCTGTGATATCAGCCCACTGCTCTGGCAGTGGCAGCTTGTAGTTGAGAAAACACTGAAAAGCCTACAAGGCATTTAAAAAAACAACTTTCGTGGCTTATGCTGTCTCGGTGAGAGACAATGGCTATATTCGTCCCTGGGTTATGCCCAGATATGGCAGAAAAAAAGCCAATGGAGTTTTTTTTAGCTTTGGGGAAGGGGAAGACAGAGAATAAAATAAGGCCTAGAGTTGTTTTTCAGTTCCCTAAAATTTCTGGGTTTTGATCTAATGGATGTCTGCAAAGACTATAAATAAGGTGATGGGTTGAAGCAGCAAGAACTGTGAGCACACAGATGTCCAACTTATAGAGCAATAACAATAACAAAGAGTGGAATAAACACTCAACACGAGAGAGTGCTGAATGTCAAAATCACTACCACCCTCTACTCACCCTCCCTGCTCTCTGTTGTTCAAGCCCAGGGTCACCTATCAGGTCCTGAGGAAAAACGTTTACTCTCCATCTGCATGGTACGTGCCGTTTGTCATCACTTTGGGCTCCATATTGCTTCTGGGTCTCCTCGTGTACCTGGTCGTCCTATTGGCCAAAGCCATCCACAGACACTGCCCCTGCAAGACTGGGAAGAACAAGGAACCTCTGTAAGTTGCCAGTGGGCTGGGCCCTCTTCCCCACCTCCTTTAGGACACTGTTTCTGGTGACATCAGGAGAAGGAAAAATGGAGAATCAGGATTTCTCTACAAGGCAGGTTGCCTGGAGTGAAGGCAGGAAAAGGAGATACGGGGGAAGGAATCCCAGCTCCCCTCGGTCCTGGTGCACTTTCTTTGTCACCTGCTAGGCCAGGAAACCATCCTTTTGGCTTTCCCTGGCAACCTACTCTGTCCTTGAGGCTCTTAATAAGACTGGGGCATCAACCTTCTGATGACCTTGCCCTGGATAAAATCTTCAGCAAAGCCCTGTTGTAAATAGCGATAGAATATGCCGTGCTCTTATTTGTAGAATATTTAAAGGATAGTATGGAATTAAGGCAAGCACACAAAACCAATAAGGGAATTAAGCTTTTGTCTCCAGTGACTCAGCCGGGTTTTTGTGTGACCAAATAATTCTTGGTGTTTTGCTTGTGGTCTCAGTCTCTCACTCTTAAGGGTTGTAAACGCAGGCCTGTTTTCTCTTTTTCCAGTTTTCAGCTGCCCACTAATATGCCTCTTATTGTGCCAATCTGTGATGTGTCTTTTACTGGCTAAAGTGAGGTAGTAGAGTGACGTGAAGAGAGCACCAAAGAATCACAAACTTCTCCCAGAGCCAAGCTCCTTGATTCTCAGTAGCTCTTACAACTTACAGCTTAGATGGTTCTGAGCCTGAGTTTTGGAGTTAGATGGGCCTGAGCTCAAGTCTTAGCTCTACCATTTTCTTGGAATATGGCTTTGAGCAAGTGACCACCTCTGTGAACTTGAATTTTCTTATTTGTAAAATTAATCAACTAAATGAACAAATGTAAACAAGGCACTTAACTGTATTCCTGATATAGAGTAAATGCTTAGTACACTACCCAGCCAGTTTTTACAAATCTTGTTTCATTATTCTTCACAGATGAGTCCCAATGAGTTCAGGATTCTAGATTCCAAGTTTAGCTCTATGCCCAAGTATCTTGAGGTGTTGGAACCTCTGAGTTCTAGGATCTCTCAATGGCAAAAAGAGGGGGTGATAAGACATGTGTGCCTTTTACGGGTATTTTAAATATTAAATATTAACTGTCAAATAAGAAAATCTATGGATGAAAGACTGTATAAAAGTACAAGGCATTAGAATAAAGATGTGCGTTGCATTTTGCCATATTTATTGCGGAAGTTTGTTGCTATTGGCAACCTTGACTTCAAGGTAAGAAATCCTCGAGCATCTGCTGAAATTAAAAAAGGCATTTTTGTTTGAACTCTATTCACAAATTGATTTTTTTAAAAAAAAACAGCTCTAAAAGAGTAATTGCTTGTAAGGATGGTGGTGTACTGTACTGGGATTTGGATAGAAGTTCTTGAAGAAACAAATCCAATAGACACTGCAACTCTCATGTAATTTATGGCTAAACGTTAAATATGCACCTTGAACCTGGTTCTTTTAACTTATGTTGTAAATATTAATTGTTTTCAACATGGTTGACTTAAAAAAGAAAAACTAGCTAGAAAACCAGACTCAGACTCAACCTCTCTGGAAATTAGTTATACCATATGACAGCCAACTTTGTCAAATAGCAAAGAAGAAAATTAGGGTTACAGAGCTATAGAATCCAAGGTGATCATGGGAAATCTCGTAGGGTCTGAGTCCAGCTCTTCATGTGACAGGAAACCAAAATGTAACTGCCAGCTCTCAAACCTCCCTGTTGTGAGCCAAGCCTTCTGCTCTGCTGGCTCTTGGGGAGAAAGGGATAGGGCAAGAAGACTCGCTGGACAGTCTGACTAGGGCAGGCATGTCCTCACCAGGTTTTCTCATCAGAAACAATGTATTCCCTGAAGTTTATAAGGTGATACTTTTCAACTCATCAAATTCCCAGAACCTCCCTAGTCCAAAGCCAATAGTGATGAAGCTGCTTTGTTCGAAGCAGGCGTGGTGATCTAGTTTTCTTTCTGGCCCCTATCCCTGGCACCTCTTTCAGTCAACCCCTGTATCTCAAAGGGCATAGTTGCCCAAAGAACCCCATGGTGTCATGTGTGTGCCAGTGCAGCATACTTTCAAGTGAATTAATAGCCATTCTTTTTCCCCCCATAGGACAAAGAAAGGAGGTATGTACAGTACCTGTTTCCCTTGTCTGTTGTTTTTTGCTTGCTCTGTTGTGCTACGTAAAAAGGTTCCTACTCGGCAAAGAATCAGGCCGCGATCACATCTTGGAGCATTTTCAGCTGCATCTTCTGTGGCTGGAAGGAAGCGGAGGTCGGTTGCAGCTGGAGAATGGGAAGGGTGGGGGGACAGTGCCTTGGCCTGCCTGGATATCTCAATTTGGTCCTGCCTATGCCCTACCTAGAGCCCTCGCCAATCAGCTCAGCTGAACACCTAGGTCTGTCCCTTGCTGCATGGCACAGGAAGAAAGAACTCTCCGTGTGTTAAATGTAGACAGGACCTGCTTACTGCAGCCCATGGAGGGTGTCCTGAGGACAGCTAATGCTTTGTGCTGGACACAGGCCTCTTTTGAAAGAACAGATAAGGCTGGGCGCAGTGACTCACGCCTGTAATCCCAGCACTTTGAGAGGACGAGGTGGGTGGATCACAAGGTCAGGAGTTTGAGACCAGCCTGGCCAGCATGGTGAAACCCCCGTCTCTACTAAAAATACAAAAAATTAGCCGGGCATGGTGGCACGCACCTGTAGTCCCAGCTACTCGGGAGGCTGAGGCAGGAGAATTGCTTGAACCCAGCAGGTGGAGGTTGCTGTCAGCCAAGATCACGCCACTGCACTCCAGACTGGGCGACATAGTGAGACTCTGTCTCAAAAAAAAAAAAAAGAACAGATAATATTTGATTCCCAGATTCTAATGGATTTGATCATTTCCACAAATTATTTAGGTTAGACTAGTGAGAAGGGGGAGATGAGGGTGGTGAGATGGGCTGAGAGCTGACTGACTTCAGAGAAGTGGGTAAATTGGGAAGGTCCATCTGAGCAGCTCCAGGTCTGAGGAGGTGTCCTGGCTTGGCCTCAAGTAGACTCCAGAGTGTGGGGGAGACAGGACAAAGAATTGGACAGTGTTTTAATTAAAAAAAAAAAAAGTTTGCTTTAATCACTCCATCTACAGGCATGTGTCTGACATGCTTAAGGCATGTCTCAACAGGGTTAGAAATTTGATTATAGTGGTTATTGATCATATTGACAGAGATGATTTTAATAAATGAGATTTTCACAAACTGTCTCTAATCCCACTTTTTAAAAAGGGGATGGGGGCTGGGCATGGTGGCTCACACTTATAATCCCAGCACTCTGGGAGGCCAAGGCTAGAGGATCACTTGAGCCCAGAAGTTCGAGACCAGCTTGGGCAAGATAGTGAAACCCTGTCTGTAGAAAAAAAATTTTTAAATTAGCTGGGTGTGGTAGTGTACGCCTGTAGTCTTAGCTACTGGGGAGATAGCTGAGAGGATCACTTGAGCTCAAGAGGTCAAGGCTGCAGCGAGTTGTGACCGCACTCTAGCCTGGACGACAAGAGTGAGACCCTGTCTTAAAATAAAATAAAATAAAATAAAATAAAATAAAATAAAATAAAATAAAATAAAATAAAATAAAAGGGCTTGGGAATTAATGCACAAAACCCACACCTTATGAACAGAGGTATCCAATCCCATCTTTCTTTCTTATCTTAAAAGCCATGTAAAAGCCAGTTTTCTAGGTCCACTGATAATAAGCTAGAAAAAGAATAAAAAACAACTAAATTGTTCGTATG
This sequence comes from Homo sapiens, assembly GCF_000001405.40. Classification (NCBI taxonomy): domain Eukaryota; kingdom Metazoa; phylum Chordata; class Mammalia; order Primates; family Hominidae; genus Homo; species Homo sapiens. Next base: position 106,028,338 of record NC_000007.14, read on the forward strand.
TTATTGTGTGTGTGTGTATACATATGTGTACGTATTTTTTTCTGAGAAGATGGAAAGTTGTCAAGAAACATATCTATAGACAGAACAATTCTTTGCTGTGTCTGCAAGACTGAGATCGAAGCCTATTTAGGGGAAATACCGTTGTGGAGGTGGAATTTTAAGGTCAATTTACCACCCAAGAAGCTTAACTTCTGCCTGTTCTGTTCTCTGCAGAAACGAAGACTGCAGAGAGAGACGTCGTGGTGGTGAGTATGGGCAGTGTGGGGCACCAGGCATAGACGCTGGGGGATAGGGGCTCCCGTCTCCCCCGAAGGCAGGCCTGCCACAGCCTTGTGGGCATGTTTATCATTCAGGGAGGTGCTTGTGTTTGGCTACTGGAACAGATTGCTGTGTGACGAGCTCCTGATAGAATTTGTTCCCTCCACTGAACATGCCTGCTGATATATTTGCAGAAGAACAGGATTTCATAAATATTGAGTAGTGGTGTTTATTATCTATACCAGCTCTCCACGAGAGTGAGTTGAGGGAGTGAAGCTTAAAGACCAAAACTAGTGCTTCAGCCTCCAGTGAGATTTAAATTTTCTTTCTTTCTTTCTTTCTTTCTTTCTTTCTTTCTTTCTTTCTTTCTTTCTTTCTTTCTTTCTTTCTTTCTTTCTTTTTAAGACACAGTTTCACTCTGTTGCTCAGGCTGGAGTGGAGTAGCACAATCTCGGCTCACTGCAACCTCTGCCTCCTAGACTCAAGCGATTCTCATGCCTCGGCCTCCCAAGTAGCTGGGATTACAGACACGTGCCACCACGCCTGGCTAATTTTTTGTATTATTAGTAGAGATGGGGTTTCACCATGTTGGCCAGGCTGGTCTTGAACTCCTGACCTCAAGTGATCCACCCACTGTGGCCTCCCAAAGTGCTGGGATTATAGGCATGAGCCACTGCGCCCAGCTGATTTAAACTTTCTTTGCTCTTCCACTACCTTGCAGAAAAGTGACAGAGAAAGGGCCCTCCCTGGTCCGGGGTTGGCTCTACCCACTTAGCCTTATCACCTCGGGGACTTCCTTGGCCTCTCTGAGCTTTAGGTTCCTCACCTGTAAAATGGGGGTGAGGATATCTGCCCTGAGATAACAGATGGAGAAATAGTTTGAAAATTGTTAAGTGTCACACAAATGCAAAGTGTTACAGGATAGCTGGAAAGTTCCCTCTCCTCCACCTCTGTCTCTCTCTCTCTCTCTCTCTCTCTCTCTCTTTGACAGAACCTTATCTACCCCCTGGGAAGTGAAGTGAAGGAACTTGAAGGTGGCTCCCTCCAGCTCTTCCCTACCCCCACGAATAAGGCTTTGTCATGGTCCAAGCTTCATGAATTTGTTGCATAATTCAATGGCTCCTCCAATGAGGAAGTCAGTGCAGGGCACTGGAATTTTGGCTTCAGGCACATCCATCCCCTAAGTCTTCTATGTTCTGGCCAGTGTACAAACAGGAAAAGAGGCAGTCTCAGGTCTCCTGGGTCTTATTGTCTAAGGCGAGTACCCTTGGGGATGCCACTTAGCGATTGCTCTAGAACTATGTAATATTAAATTAGTCTATTAAATAAATACCTATGACCACAAACAGTGGGGCTGCTTAGCTGGTCAAATTGATGAAGGCCATATAATCCCCATTTCCTCTCTCTTCAGAGTTGGGGAGTTGTGGGGAACTAGGTAGGGGATCCTTTAAGTGATAAAAACTGGAGATTGGAAAGCTTGCTAAACTCCAAACACAATCCTTGTTACTGTGCTAGTGACCCTGACTTTGGCACCTCTAGAGGGCAGCATGTGAGGGAAGGGGGTGTTTCTATGGGGACAAGGGACAGGTGCATTAGGCAGAAGTCAGGTCCTGGAGGGTGGCACCAAGGACAGATCAGGGAAGAGAAAAGACCTGGAGCACAGGGCTTAGGTGAGGCCCAGATGCGACACTGCATTGGCCTAGGCAAGGGGAGGCCGCAGGGGAGGGCCAGAGTGCCAGGGCCAGAGGTACGGACACCTGGGAGCTCACCTGTGTCCACCTTGACAATGCCTGACAGCAATTCACTGACACAACGTAGGTCTTAGCCATGCTGTGTGGCATTTCCACTCTTCCTTCTACGCTCAGATTTTATTTACTCAGGATGCTTCCTTAACCCCCAAGTGTGGTTTAAATGTCCCCTCTACCCCTACCTGTGCCCCATAACACCCTATATCTCCCCATCATAGCCTTATTACTCTGCATTGCAGCACCTGTTTGTAATTGGCAAGCTTTGTACAGGCAGTGACTATGCCTGCCTTGTTCATCACTGTGTCCCCTGCATCTATCACAGTGCCTAATTAAAGACTTAGAAGTCAAGAAGGCTTTGGTTAAGGAACTTGGGTTGTGAGGATGTGTAGCTTTGCCTGGGGGAAGGAATGTAGGATTGTGTTTGATGCTGTCTCTGTCTTCTCCTTAGGAAACTATCCAGATGAACACTATCTTTGATGGAGAAGCCATAGATCCAGGTAATTAAGTGGCAATACCACTGTAAGAATGCTTTTTATATTCCAGACTGGTAGAAGCATGGAGGATCTTATCCAATTTCCTGCTTTTAGCTCATTTTGTCAATCCGTTTGGCTATGTTGCCTATATAGTGCTGACTCTTCTAGGCTAAATACAACGTGAGATCAGCTGTGAACCCAGCTGGCTAGCAGATGCTCAAGTACAGGGTCACACTTACGTGAGGCCTCAGTGGGTCTCCACCTAAAGGCTCACGTTCAAGGGCCATGCCTCTTTCTTGCCTCCCTTCCTAAATTACAAACCAGTTGAGGGAACTGGTGAATCCAGGAATCCACATTTTTTTTCCTGCTGTTTGGTACTGATTGCCCCCCCCAGCCCATCCACATTCTTCCTGGATGCTTCTAATAGCACTTATTAGTAGTGGAAGATACAGAGAAATGGCAAGTGTAGTTTCTTTTTTCCCTAGATCAGGGCCAAGAATTTCCTCTTGGTCGGCAAGATGAACATAAGGTAGAGCTGGCCTCCAGAGCTCTCATCACCCCCGTGAAATCAGCTCCAAATTTAGCTCCTTTACACTCATCCCTCTGCTTACAAAGGCTCAATTATAGACGTGAATAAAGGGAAGGAAACCAAATTCAGGAGGCAAGTGTGTTGGCTTCCTGCCACCCTCATATGCAAACGGCACCGGTCCTCCTCCTAAGGAGGATGGCTCCTCTCCAGTGAGAGGCTGCCGCCGCCGCTGCTGCTGCTGCTGGAATTAAATTTCCCTCTATTATTAGGTGCTTGTTACCATAATGTGCCCACATTAGCATAAGTGCTGGTGGGATCCTGAGCTGAGAGGCCACTCATGCTGTATGGAAAAGACAAGGAGCAAGGGCTTGCCTTAAACCTGATCTTCCAGAGCAAAAGGCTCTTCCAGAGCAAAAGGGGGGATTTTTGTGTTTTTGTGTAGTTGAGAGAAAAAAAAAAAAAGAAAGACATGAGCCAACTGGCCTAAGTCAATTAGTGTCTGCTGGCTCGGACACAATAAAAATGGCTTCCTTGTATCATCTCAAGCGGGACCAGATTTTTGTATCTGTGTCTACAAATTGCTGCTAACCTAACATAAATAAAAATCAGCCTTTTCCTTCTCACTTGGTGAATTCCTTTTTATAGCAGGAATTCAGGGGTCTTTTAAAACAAACAAAATGAATCAGAAAGTAACGGGTAATCCCATTAGAGATTGAACCTAATTTATCCAAAGCTTGCATGGAGTTCAAGAGTTACATGGCCTTCTCATCCTGCAATTGAGATGTCCTTGAGACGCTCCTAAGCCTTTCTATCCAGAGAGGTTTGCTGTTTGCTACCTGTGTGGTCCGAGCAGCACGGCTTGTGGCAAGGGCAGGCTGGTGGAGATTGTGGGGCTATTCACACACCTACTGTCTGTGTCAGTGATTCACACCTTCTAGTGTGCTTCATCTTCCCTTGGGAGTCAGAACAGAGCAGGGTAGAAGTGGGGGAAGAGACAGTCATTGGAATTTTCTGGCTTATGTGATTGTTGTATTTTTTTTTCACTAGTGACCGGGGAAACATATGAATTCAACTCAAAAACTGGAGCCAGAAAGTGGAAAGATCCACTAACCCAAATGCCAAAATGGAAAGAGTCCAGCCACCAGGGAGCTGCCCCACGCAGAGTCACTGCTGGGGAAGGGATGGGGTCACTGAGAAGTGCCAACTGGGAAGAAGATGAGCTGAGTGGCAAAGCGTGGGCTGAGGATGCTGGTCTGGGTTCCAGAAATGAGGGTGGCAAGCTGGGCAACCCAAAGAACAGAAATCCAGCCTTCATGAACAGGGCTTACCCCAAACCACACCCAGGAAAGTAAACGGGGTCTAAGGAGGGGCCTGTCAATCACTGAGATGCTGCCTCACCCTAAATTCTATGGGGATGGTGTGGGCATGGTGTAGGGGGGAAAATGTGGGCTGAGGGGATTCAGACATCCAGGGTCAAACATGGGATGTTTGACAAATTTTTAAACAAATAGAAAGGGGTTTGATCACATAGTTGCGTGTTCTGAAATGATACAGGAACATTTTCTATCAGATTTCAGAACTACCTGTGCTTCTGATAAGCAAGACTGTTAACTTTGGGGTGTGGAATTGTTGTGTTTCTTCTTTGCATTGACTGCTAGGAAGCTCTATTCTGTTCACCATAGAAAGTTTGTAGGAATTCCTGACATAAATAGTGAAGACTATCCTTACATCTGGTTTCCACCTTATTTTCCTGCCCTCGTTTTAACATCACCCAGATTTCTTCAGTTATAAATATGCCATACACCTTTGTAAGTCACCTCAAATCTTCTTCAAAAGAAGCAGAACAGTGAAAAAAACAGATGAGTAAGTTAAGAGTTGGTCATCTGGAAAGAAGAAAACTCAGTAGGCACCTTCTTTTGTTTTTTCTTGTGGTGTCCGGATCAGCATCCTGCATGTGAGATTCATCCACGTTGTCCTGTCTAGCAGTAGTTCAGTTCTCTTCATGGTTATGTCTGGTTTCATTCTATGATTATATCACAATTTATCTATTCTACACTTGGGTGGCAGCTGCTTCAGATTTTTTACTTTTAAAAAATATACTTAAAAGTGAACTACAGGCAGGGCATGATGGCTCATGCCTGTAATGCCAGCACTTTGCCAAGGTGGGCAGATCACCTAAGGTCAGGAGTTCAAGATCAGCCTGGCCTAGATGGCAAAACCCTGTCTCTACTAAAAAATACAAAAATTAGCTTGGTGTGGTGGTGGGCACATGTAATCCCAGCTACTTGGGAGGCTGAGGTAGGGAGAACTGCTTAAACCTGAGAGGTGGAGGTTACAGTGAGTTGAGATTGTGCCACTGCACTCTAGCCTGGGTGACAAAGCAAGACTCCATCTCAGAAAAAAAAAATAAAAGTGAATTACAACACTATGAACTTTCTTGTACATGTCTTTTGGTGAACATAAACACTCACTTTTTTGCTCATATATCTAAGAGTGGGATTGCTGGAGCAATTGCTGGATCTGCCAAAGAGTTCCAAAGTGGTGGCTCTGATTCACATTCCAGCAGCAAACACTGAGAGTTGCAATTGCTCTCTATCCTTGCCAACACTTGGGATTGTCAATCCTTTTAACTTTAGCCATTCTGGTTAAAATTACTATTGAAGTGAAATCACTTTTTCCTCAAAGCTGAAACACCATCAGCCTTACAACCTACCTGCCTTGCTCCTTCCCACTTCCTATGATTGGAAGGAACTGCAGGACTCTGAGTGGGGACATACTGGAAGCCCCATCTAGACATAAAACTCAGACTTCCACCTGTAGGCATGAGCAATGAACTGGGAATAAATGGTATTATGATGGAATAGGAAATGTAACTTTCCAATGTGTGCCTAGCAGAGCCTGAGCAAGCTTCACTCGAGCTCTATGCCCTGCTGCCCAGCTGCTGCGACCCTAGTCCAGTAACCCTAAGAAAGGTCCAGGTGAGTGTTCATTAGGGAAGCACTCCCTTCCCAACTGGGGAGTCAGGTGAGAGCCTACCAGGTCCACAAGGTCCTGTGGGAGACAGACTGGATCCAGCAAATGTAGAGCTTCAGAGAGAGCAGCAGCTTGTTTACTGTGTGCCTAGTGCCAGTGTCACTTCTCAAGCAAAAGAAGCATTTGCAAAATGCCTGTCCTGGCCTAGATTGAGCGTGATTTATTAATAAGGGTTGGTTGCCAGGGAACTCCCTTGAATGGATTTAAACTTTGCAAAAGAAGGCAGAACTGTTCATTTATGCAGGTTAAAGTGAGTGAAGTGGCTGATTGCCCATTTAAGGCATTGCAAATCTGTGGGGCCCGGAGTCAAATGCTTTCCTTGGAAGCTCTCAGCTTCAATGCAAGTAAAATGAGGTTCTGAGAAGGCTGAAGGGGGACTTAATAACTGCTTATAAGCCCATTAAGAATGATTAAAAGGGCCGGGTGAGGTGGCTCATGCCTGTAATCCCAGCACTCTGGGAGGCTGAGGCAGGTGGATCACCTGAGGTCAGGAGTTTGAGACCAGCCTGGCCAACATGGTGAAACCCTGTCTCTACTAAAAAATAGAAAAATTAGCTGGACGTGTTAGCAGGCACCTGTAATCCCAGCTACTCAGGAGGCTGAGGCAAGAGAATCGCTTGAACCCAGGAGGCAGAAGTTGCAGTGGGCTGAGATTGCGCCACTGCACTCCAGCCTGGGTGACAAGGGCAAAACTCTGTGTCAAGAAAAAAAAAAAAAAAAGAATAATTAAAAGGAGAGAGTGGTGAGCAGCTGGTCTTTCTTCTCCAGTGATGACAGGGCAAGAGGGAATTGTGCTTAATGGCCAGAGAAGAGATTTAAGTCAGGCACCAAGAGGGACTTCCTGAAGCCTGGGGCCTCTCTGAAGAGCTCAGTGTCTTCTCTGGTGATAGGCAGGAAGAGCTGAGTGTCTTCCTAGTCGCAAGGCAAGCCTCGAGAAACTCAAGAAATAGGGGCAAGAGTGCGCCAGGAGGAGAGAACACCTGCTGCCCCGTTTCTTTTGTATATCCGGCTATTTGGTTCGGGGAAATCCAGAAGTCAAAGTGTCACCGGTGGAGGGTCTTGACTGCAAGTTGTCCAAGTTCTTGGAGTTTTGAACAAAGAATGGAACAAAATGCCCAGCAAAGCAGAGAAAGAATGAGGCAACGAAAGAATGAAAGCAGGGATTTATTGAAAACCAAAGTACACTCCACAGTGTGGGAACGGGCCTGAGCAAGTGACTCAAGGGCCCAGATACAGTCTTCTCAGTCCAAATACCCCTTGGAGGTTTCCCCTTGGCCACTTCATGCTCACCTCATGGAAATGAAGTAGTGGACCACAATTGGTCTGATTGGTTGCAGGAAGCAACCAATCAGAGACTGAAGTGGAGTTACAAAGGTCACGCTCCTGTGCAAACATCTGATTGGTTGCAAAAAGCAACCAATCAGAGGCTAAGGTGAAGTTACAACGTTGCAACGAAGACTCGGCTGGCAATCAGTCTGATTGGTTACAGACAGCCAATTTCCCAGCGTTGACCAGGTTTTGGGGGGAACAAAATTATCTGAATAAAATGAAGACAGCAACCGTCGTGGATTTGGTGAAAGTTTTCTCCCATCTCCCTCTCAAGGCCTTAAACAGGTATGAGTTGATTATAGCCAATGTTTACTTTTCTCATTCTGATTCATTATAAAACTGGGGTAAATACGTTCAGGAATTAGACCACGTAACAATTATAATTGTCGAAGACTTTGAAACTGCATAGTAGATTGTGACATTGGAGCTTTTTGTTGTGCTCATTAGAAAGCAGGGTCTGAAACTCAGCCTGTGTAGCAAGCACGGGTGGCTCACAAGCAGAACTGGGAAATGACACTTCTGCTCCCCAGAGCCCCCTTTCACATCTGGGGTTCTCATTGTTTGCCTTTTTACTTAATGTATTTTGTAATGGCTGTGAAAATTAAGCTACAAAATGAGTGAACATTGAAGACAATGATTGCTATTGAAACTTAGGATTTCTCATTTCAAACTTAGCGTGTGTTTATCCTTCGTATTCATTCAATAAATATCTGTGGAGCAACTACCATGTGCCAAGCGTTGACTCATTAGGAAACACAGCAGCTCCCATCCCTGCCCTTGAGCAGCCTCCATTCTGTTTCTACAGCTGAATGTGGCCTGCTGATAAGCTATTCCACAGAGTTCTAGTTCCAGCTGCATCCTGGCCTATTTGCTCCTTGGATCCTTGAGTGTTCGACTTGAAAGATAAATTAGCCAGGAATAAAATCCCTGGAATGTTTCCCCAGAGGAACAGATAATTCAGAACCTTAAAAAAAAAAAAAAGCAGAAAGCCCTTGTCAGAAAATAGTTGAGATGTCCAAGTAGGGCTCCCAGTTTTGCGCTATCAGGACAGTAGACTGTTAATGCACCTCCACATGGCAGCTCTGAGGCAGTGTGACCTCTGTGTGCAGAATATGAAAGAAACCTGACATCAGTGAGATATTTGATTTGGAGTTCAGGGCAAAGGTCCAAAATGGGGAGTGGGGGAGATTCCCATCACCCCTGGACCCTCCTATGTGTCACCTGCACTGGGGGCAAGGTGTGGCTCTGGCTCTCAGGGAATAACCCAACTGAGAAGATAATCAGCTCATTCAAAAAACAACCGGTTGCCACACAGGCCCTTTCTGAGAGGAGCTAAATGAGCTCCACATGCAGTGAGTGCTGGAGAAACTAGACATGGGCCCACACAGCCTCTGAAAGAATAATGGGCCTGGAACCTGCAGTGGTGTTATAGGTGGAGTTGAATTTAAAGTCGAAGAGAAATTTGGAGGAAAGGCAAAAGCATTTAGAATCCTGGTTGTCAATCCATTTTCAGCTAATACTCGTCTTGTGTAACCTGGAGTGGCCTAACACAGAACCTCCTGGATATGTAGCAAGCACTCAACAAACATTTATAGAACTGGATTGAATGAAGCAGGCTTGTGGTTGGCCTTTTTTCCACATCATGTAGCAAAATCACAACTTTTCTAACTAGAGCTAGATAAACATGATCATAATCAACAACAGATAGTTTCTGAGTACCTGCTAGGTAACTGGCACTATTCTAGGCTCTGGGGATACAACAGTAAATAAAACAGTATTCTTAGTGTTTATATTCTAATGAGGTATAAAAGACTGAACATACAACAGAACCACAGAGAGATGGCTGGACTCTATATAAAAACAGAACACTGCCCCACAGCCTGCAGCAGGGAACCTGCCCAGGAAACCCACTCCCTTATCTATAGTTATTATAGATAATTAATTATAATGAACAACGCACGAAGCCAGCCTGCTATCAGACTTGCAGGAGGCCAGACTGCTATCTCTAGTGACAATCTAGGAAGCTAAACAACCCATGTACCAATGGGCCCCAAATGGCCAGAACTTGGTTAATAACTGATAGCTTCCCTATTTTTGTCCCCGAGTCCTAATTAGGACCCATCACAGAAAGCCAAATATGCACCCTAACCAATCACATAGGCTGCCCTGCCTCTAGCCCACCTCCAGCTTCCTCCTGCCAACAGCCTGTAAGCAGGGCTCACCTGAAGCCTTCCCCGGTTTCCACCATGAAGCTCTCCCTCTCCTCTGCCTGCCTTTGGGCCTCTCGCCAAAGGCAAGTGCCAGTTGCTGACTCCCTTAATATAGCAAGCTCGGAATAAATGGCCCTCGCTTTATCATAGGGTTGGTCTTTGTTTATTCCCACTGAGATGATAGACAAACAGGTTAGATATATACATATATGATATCCTAGATATAAGTGTGTGTGTGTGTGTATATATATATATATATATATATATATATATATATATATATATATATATATGATATGTGAATGGTGTTAAGTGCCATTAAGAAAAATAAACAGGGTCAGGGGTTATGGAGGATGGCCACTTTAAACAGGTGGCCAAGGAAGGCCCCTGTGGTAAGGGGAGATTCAAGCGGTGGATGTGTGGGCAGGGGCTGTGCAGATAACTGGGAAGAACCTTCCAGGCAGTGAGTGCAAGGCAACGTGAAGTGGAGGAACAGCAGGAGGAACAGAGTGATGAGCATGAGGCTGGAGGACAGGACTTCAGAGAGGGGTCGGTGGGGAGGCAGGGGCGGATGAGTGTGTGTGTGTGGTGGTGAGTGGGGGTGTGTGGGCTGGGGGATATGTGTGGAGAGGAGTTTGCATATCACATAGGGCCTTGTAGGCCACTGTAAGGACTTCGGCTTTTACTCTGAGTATGATGGGAGCCATTGCATGGTGTTGAGCAGAGGAGTGACATAACTTACTTATGTTTTGAAAGCATCTGTCTGCTGATTTGAGAAGAGACTTAAGGAAGGGAGAGAACAAGGGTAGAAGTAGAAAGACCAGCTCTGTAGCTGTTGGATTCATCCAGATATGAGATGGTGGGGGCTGGGTCCAGGGGGGCAGAGGTGGAGGACAGTAGAAACCTTGTGGTACCTTTGTGAAGGAGTGTCCCGGATATGAATGAAGTCCTGAGTTCTCTTGAGCCCTGTTCCTGTATGAGATCAAGGCTCCCCAGCAGGCATGAGCCCCTCCCTCAGTGGAAGCTACCAGACAAAGTCATTTTAGATAATACTGAGCGGCTCTCCCGAGTGTGACTGCCCCATGCTTGGTCTGCAGCGGGGGAATGGTAGTCATGTGTGCACACATAGGTGTGTGGGGAGAGTGAAGAGACCGGTCAGTGTTCCGGCCACATCACACTTCCCGGCAAGATTCCAGTCGATGACCCAAGGAAACAGGAAACAGGCCTGCAGGGTGATTTCGAGGTCTGGACTCTATGCCCCGCTGTGAAGGTGGTTGTAGGCAGCCCTCAAGCTGAACGGTGCATTCGATTGGCTCTCAGTCTGAAAAAGTACAGTTCTGATTAAACGTCAGGAGACCTGAATTGTAGGAAACTCTAACTTCTGTCTAGGACTCCCCAGAGAGTTGAAGTTCTTAGAAAACTTGTCTGTTTGGGGGAACAGAAGGAGATGAATGTGTTCTGGAAAACCGGAGCCTTATGCCCAAATTTTTGGAGACGGATATCACTTAAAATGGTGCATCCCACTGTCCCCATGGGTACAAACCATACAATCAGTTCTGATGCCTGGTTTGGAAAACGTGATCCCCGTCAGTGTTGAAACCGAAGCAGAGCATGCTCGTAAACTCTGATTTTCCCCATGTGACTGCGAGCTGGGCTATCCGGGTGAGGCTGGCCTAGGGCCTGGAGTGAGCATTGTGGATGCTTACGCTCTAGGCCACAGCGCCCTCAGCAGCCTTTTCATTAGGGTGGTGTTCAGAGACAGACTGTGGCTGCTGCAGCCCCTTCAGAACCCGGGGCAGCTGAGGGAGAGAAGCCGCTTAATCTGATTTATAGGCAAGGCTCACAAGAGTTGCACTCCCTGCATGGCCCACCTCATTTGCTGGTCCATGGTCAAAGCACACTCCAGCTGGCAGGCTAAGGGTCCTTTTTAAAATAACAGTTTTATTGTGATTTAACTCACATGCCATAGAATTCAGTGGTTTTTAGATATTCACGGAGTTGTGCAACCACCACTGCTATGTAATTCCAAAACATTTTCATCATCCCCAAAATAAACTTCACGCACATTAACAGTCATTCCCCATCCCCAGGCACTGGCACCGCTGAACTGCTTTCTCTCTCTATGGATTTGCCTATACTGGACATTTCATAGAAATGGAATCATACAATGTTTGTCCTTTTGTGTCTGGCTTATTTCAGTTAGCATAATCTTTTCAAGATTCATCCACATGGTAGGTCCATACATTCATTTTTATGGCTGAATAATGGCCCACTGCATGGATATACCACATTTTATTTATCCATTCATCAGTTGATGATATTTGGGTTGTTTCCATCTTCTGGCTGCTATAAATAATGCTGCCATGAGCATTTGCATACAAGTTCTTCTGTGGACATTTGTTCTTATTTCCTAGGTATATACCTAGGAATGGAGTTACTGGGTGATGTGGTAACTCTATATTTACCTTGTTGACCAACTGCCAGGCTGCTTTCCACCATGGCTGCACCATTTTAAATTTCCACCAGCAATGCTCAAGGGTTTCATGAGCTTTTCAAACAGACAAGTGAGGCACCCTTTGCTCAGGTTGCAGTGTCGGGCTTTCAGCCCTTCCCAGCTTCTGTCTGCTTTGGTTTGAGGAGTCTGATCTGGCGTGCTGGCACACCTCGCTGAGGTTAGCAGCAACAGCTCCTGCTGCACCTTAGCAGCCTGCAGAGAAGTCTCTGGAAACCTCATGATTGCAGTGCGTGCCTACCACAAGCGGGCCCTCCACCTGCACCATCTATAATCCTCATGGCACGCCTCTGAGAATGGTCTGCATCTTGAAGATCATATCCACTTTACAGATGAGAAAGCTGAAGGTTGGAGAGATTAGGAGACTTGTCCAGAGGTCACAGAGCCAGGATGGCAACTGAGTGTGTCTCCTCTGAGCCTAGGCAGGAAGGGCTTAGTGATGGCCTTTGATTTGTGTTCTGATGGGAAAAGGGGTCAGGTGACTGGACCCCCAGATGGATCCTCTTGCTGAACAGCTCTCTACCCTGAAAGTCCAAGGCTGCTCATGGCTGCAGAAATCTTCACAGGTTCAGAGTCAACACCAGCCTCTGCAGGAGCAATGTGTTCTGAGCATATCCTGTCTTTTGAGGCTTGAGTTAGGGGTCTGAAACCACCCCTGGCCTCCTGCAACCCTGCCAAGCCCAGCGCACTGCTTTGGGCAATGCAGGAGGCAATGTTTATTCTTTTCTCTGTTCTTCACACACCCACTACCTATCTGCTGCTCCACAGAAGCAGCCTCATCCTGGCTATGAGTACTGAAGTGCCTTCCAAGCAGAGATCCTAATCACTCAGGAACAGCCTCTACCCAAAGGCTGAGGGGCTGCAGTGATCTATGTTGGCCAGCAGGGGCGTGGCCTCTCTATTTGCCATTTAGCGTCCAGTGAATGGTCCAGGAACACCTCTGGTAAAAGACTACTCTCCCTTCTCTCCACCTTCTCCCGAGCCTTTCAGGGTATGTGTCCTCAATGCCTGCAGAGAGCAGCCACAGGGCATCCTGGGCCAAGATTCCACCCTGTGGCCACCGCAAAAAACCACAGCAGCAATGTGGTAGCTTGAAACCAGGGAATGTGGCGGCACCAAGCCTTCTGGAGGAAGGAGTGAGTGGCTGCTCCACCCACAAGTGGCCTTTTCCCAAAGGGTCCAGGACAGCTATCCTGGCATTTTGCCAAGCAAACTATGGCCACTGACCAAGACAGCACCCAGTTGGGTTCAGAACAGGTCGATCACTGCTGACATATGTAGAGAGGGTTAGAATCCATGGGGGTTCTTGGCATCTCGGAATACACACCCCTGAATTTTGTTTCCTTGACATACCATCTTGCTACATGCTCAGGAGAGTAAAGTTCCCAAATTCTGTCTTTGGTTGAGTGTGTGTATATGTGTCTGTGTAAGTGTCCCTGTAGTCATAAGGAAAATCACTTTGCATTTATGGAATGCCGGCTACATGCCAGATCACGTGAGGTCTTCACATTTATAATTCTACTTAATGTAGAATTTATATGTGTAAATTTAGTTTACATATGAAGAATTGAGGCTCAGAAAGGGTGTGTGACCTGCCAAAGGTCACACAGCTAGTAAGTGGCAGAGGGAGGTAGGATCTGAAAGCAGATCTGACTTTTAAGCCCCTGTGTGCCAGGAGTAGATTCTGACAAGCCTAGTAAGATAGGTGACCCTTGGCCAGGTGCGCTGGCTCAAGCCTGTAATCCCAGCACTTTGGGAGGCTGAGGCAGGCAGATCACTTGAGTCCAGGAGTTTGAGACCAGCCTGGCCAACATGGCGAAACCCCAGCTCTACCAACATACACAAATTGGCTGCACATGGTGGCTCAGGCCTGTAGTCCCAGCTACTAGGGAGTCTGCAGTGGGAGGATTGCTTGAGCCCAGGAGGTCAAGGCTGCATGAAGCCGTCAGCGTGTCATTGCACTCCAGCCTGGGCAACAGAGTAAAACCCTGTGTCAAAAAAAAAAAAAAAAAGGAAACTAAAAAGATAGTTGAGCCTCTTGTTGCTCCCACCCCAACACTGCCTCAATCTTGCGGTTGCTTTGAAAGAAAGGGGCAAGGCTGGGAGCAGAGTCAGAAGGGGAGGATAAGGACAGAATTTGCAAGCTAGTTTATTTAGGAACTGGTGAAATTCAGAAGGGTTGAAGGAGGCCTCTAGGATGGCGACCTTTCCCTAAGCAGCACATCGGTGTTACCGGGCACCGAGAGAGAAAGGTAAAAAGGAGAATGAAGAGGAATAATGGGAGGTGGGGAGATAGAGAGAGGCTGGTGGCCTGAAGACGCTTGCAAGGGGACTCCCCTGCCTGGGGGGCTGGCAGGAGCAAGCACAACCTTCATTCTCTCTAGCAGGGCCAACAAAGGGCAGCTGAATCACAGTATTTCTCAAGAAATAAAAATTCCTAGCACACCCCTGGGGCCTCGGGGAGAAAAACTGACAAGGTGTTGATTGAAAACATACCGCGCTGTGTGCGCCCACAGGGTGAGGCCGCGCTTGCACAGGTTCACAGCGACACCTAGTGGTCTCCTGGGGCACCTGCCGCCTCTGCAGAAATGGCAAGGTTGGTGGGCCACAGGGTGACTGGGTTCCTGGAGGAGATTTGGGGTCCAAATCAGACATTTCCTCTTTTCCCTTGCTGTCAGCACGCATATTTTGCACAACTGTCCACCCTCCAACTGTGTGAAACATGTCGGTATTCTGAGGAGAGTCAGGGGTGGGGCCGGGGGCCATTGGTAAAAGACTGGACTTCCTGGTTGGACACGGTAGCTCACTCCTGTAATCTCAGCAATTTGGGAGGCCGAGGCGGGCGGATCACTTGAGTCCAGGAGTTTGAGACCAGCCTGGCCAACATGGTGAAACCCCGTCTCTACTAAAAATACAAAAATTAGTCGGGCGTGGTGGCACGTGCCTGTAATCCCAGCTACTCGGGAGGCTGAGCCAGGAGAATCGCTTGAACCCAGGAGGTGGAGGTTGCAGTGAACCAAGATCGCGCCACTGCACTCCAGCCTGGGCAACAGAGCGAGACTCTGTCTCAAAAAAAAAAAAAAAGAAAAAAAGAAAGACTGGACTTTCTAATGTTCACCCCAAGACTAACAAGGTATGCATATCCAACTGGCTCTGCACCATCTAGATTTTCTGAAGTGGTCACTATTTCCTCTAATTTTATTCTCTTCATTTATTCAATATAACTAAAAGTATTTAATGGTGAAATCCTCAGATGGCTTTTACACAAATGAATTCTCCAGTCACAGAAATTTCTTTGTTGTCGACCTGCTCAGAAAATAGAACAACTATACTTCTATATTAGGTCAAAGACCTTGATGTCCATAGTGAACCTGATCAATAAATCTGCTTAGAAATGAAAACAATGCATCTCTTTCTGGATAATAGCACTTGAACATTTTTGTTCCCTCCCTGGCCTCCTCTCATGCCATTTAAGCCTTGGCTAATTTCCTTGTCTGAAGGCCCCCTGGAGACAGAGCATATCCAGTGTGAGCACAATGCCTGAGACATCGTTGATACTCAAAAATGATTTCTTACTGAATGGCTTCAGCTCCTGATGGAGCAGCAGATGCCACAGGAGGAAGGTCAGAGAGTTCAGTCCTCCGTGAAGCGCTGCCAGAGGATTCCAGACTCTGAAGGGAAATGATCAGACTAGCAAGACCCTTGCTAGGGTGTCCCTACCTGCAATCCAGCTTCTTGTTAATAGCTGGGGATGACTTGTGGTTAAGTGGTAGCCCAGTGTGGCATTTGCAGAGTTCTGGAACAAGGCTATTAAATGTCTGTGGGCTGGCACTCCTGAGAGGGCTCCATGTGGCCATGCTTTCCAGACCCCCTCAAAAGCCCCACTGGAGCCTTTCCTTGTAAAGAAGCCATGAGCTTCTGTGAACCAATCCTGCTGGGATGAAAACCATTGTCTCCAAGCTAAATTTTATCCAAATTACATTGGCCAAATTGTGTTGCATTAACTGGGTTTCTTTCTGGTTGCAAAGAACAGAGAATCATAGGTTTATTGGGATATAACATGTGAAAATAAAGAGTTGGCTCCATTGCTCAGTCTGTCCAGAACCCAGAAGAAGCAGAAGACCTCACTTCTCAGGGGTGGTGTAGTATAATAGATATTAGTCATATTGGTGCCACCCCAACATCATTTGAAGAAACTTCTTAAATTTGGAAAATACGCCATGTGAGGGGTGCTACCTCACCAGGGTGGAGATCAGAACTCAGTTACTCAGACTCCTCTGCAGCTAGGACACAGGCATGTGACATAGGCTCTGTGGATTGGATGCAGTATGATGAGATTTCAGTCTGGAAGAGTGAAAAGCCAGGGAGAAGCTGCTGCATGGAATTGTTCTTGGTGATGGGGCGGAACATGGTGGAGGGACATGGAACCCCAGAGGCAGCAGAGACAGAGATGATAATAGTAACATGCACCAAAGGCAGTGGGATCAAGCCTGTGACCAGACAGGTGAGGATTTGGGTATTGTTTGTGGCTGCAGAGTGCCAACCCCTATTTCTCCGACCTTGCTGGAGAGTCTGTGAGCCACTAATATGCGTCCATAAGTTCTTTTCTGTTTAAACAAATCAGAGGGGATTTTGTTGTTTGTAGGTAAGAATCCTGATTGATAAAAGCCTAGTGAGGACTCAGGGAGACTGTGATCAGAAAGTCATTTAGCATGCAAGGCATCTGTAAGAGGTTAATGTCAGGAGTTCAAGGATCTTTGCTCCGGAGAGGTTGTGCTCAACTATTTTGTTTGGGGCTGAGGCTGTTGTTACTGCCTGTTTAACATCCCTTAAGCAATAACCATTTTCTACTATTAGGTCCTGTATTCTGGTGGGGCTGACATCATGCCCTAGCTCCAGAACTGGGCATATGACCCAGGCCAGGCCAATCAGATCACAGCTTCTCCTTGGCTCTGTTAATTGGTTCAGGGATGGATACGTGTTCCAAGGTGGACCATTGAGAACTACCCCTGGGACTTGTGCTGTAGATCTAGGGAATTATTCCTTATCTGCTGATGCTGCTAAGCTGGAAGGAGGTCAGTAGGAAGCATGAAGCCAATATTGGTTACCTTGTTGAGTGTGGGAAGAGCCTGCCAACCAAAGAATAATGCCAACTGAAGGAAAGAAAAATAAGAAGAGAGAGAGAAACAATAATTCCTGATGATGTTGGGTATTTGTATGCAGCCATCATTGAAGTCTGTTCTATCCCTAGATTTTTCAGTGACATGAACCATCAGATTCCTTTGTAAGTTAATTTTGAGTTGAGTTTCTGTTACTTGAAACCAAAAGGTCCTGACTAATACAATGGCACATGTTCAAATATCAGAATTTTTGGCAAGCCTTTAGAAGAATTAAATAACATCCTTGGTTATTATAGCGTTAACTTGGTTACTCTGCAAGCCCATGTCTTTGAGAATAACTGTTATGGCCCCAACTGTGCTCTCTTCTGTCCTCACAAGACAGTTTTCACACATTCTGGGAAACTTGGTTGTGTTGGCACACACTTATCATTATACTCTACCTCTTCCCTCCGATGTGCGTGTTTGGGATTCTCCCATTCTACAAGGAGTATTCCTCTCAACATTCTGTCCAACAAGCACTGTTGTAACAATACATATCCTCAGTTGCAACAAAAGGTGCATTTTCTACCTTGAGCACAATGTGTTAGCCACCTGTGCAAGGTATGCCGCCAGCTGCTGTGGGTGTGCAGAGATATTTGGGTTCAGAACCACTGGTCCTAGGGCTCTGGCATCAATATGACTCTCTGCCTTCGCTCTTCACTCACCTCTTCTAAGTGTTTCTTCAGGACTTTTGTTCTGCTACCAGTTGGCTCATTTTCTCTTTATCTCTAAAATCAGTTTCCTGGCCAGGCATGGTGGCTCATGCCTGCAATCCCAGCACTTTGGGAGGCCAAGGCAGGAGGATCAGTTGAGGCCAGGAGCTTGTGAACAGCCTGGCCAACACAGCGAGATCATGTTTCTATAAAAAAAATTCTCTTTAGACCCTAAAATTAGTTTTCTCAGAAGGAAAGATAATTCAATGGATCTAATTGCCAATTTGAATTCTCATTTGGGCAGAGTTGGTTGAGCTGGGCCATATCAGACAATCCCACTAGTCCCTGGATAGGAGGTCTTGGGCAAGGCATCTGCCCCTGTCCAATCACAGCTGGCCAAGAGGAGGTGTGGGTCACATGGCTAAGAACAAGGCAAATGCTGAATGAGGGACAGCTTGGGGACACTTCCCTCCTTGGGGGCTGTGACTGGGCAGTTTTTCTTAGGCGAGAATGGTGTGTACGACAGCTACCATGATCGATGTGTCTGGTACATTCTCCCATCCTATAAATAATAAGAGAAAAGCAAGATGATGGCAGGGGACGGAATGATAATAATTATCGAGGACTGGCTTCACCTTCAGCACCTCACTTCTTCCTATGTCCCACTCGTCAGCTGTCTCTGGGAAAGTGATCAGCTTCCAGGAGCCAGAGGGCTCTTTGAAGGGCTGTGAGGAAAGAGGAGCTGCTCAGCATGCATTTCAATATCCTCAGCACGGAGCACATCACCCTCGCTGTGGGCCCAATGGCCTTTAGAGATGGTGAGAGTTGAGCTGTGGGCACAGAGTTGAGAGTTCAGTATTCTCAACTCCTTCTCTGAAGCCAGACAAGGACACATTTCCCCTATAGCCTCCCCCTGTAGCTGAGGGCAGGGCTGTGGATCCACATGCTGGCTCTGTCTTGTTCTTCTGAGTTTATCCTGTGGTTTGCACCAGTGTTCTACGGCAACTCCAGAACCCTCAGCTTCAAGCCAAAGTGTTTTCCAAATAACCAGAAGAGTCCACCTGGGAGGCCTGGCTCAGGCCAGCCCCACGTACGAGGGTTGGCAGCTCTGACATTAATTAACCGTGTGGCCTTTTAGTGAACTGAAAGACACTGGAACACTGCTTTTCTTAATAAAATAAAATCTTTAACCACCAGGGTTGACAGTAGGAGGAAATCTGATAGGGGTGGGGCTGTACTAGAAGTCTCCCTTGCCTGGTTTGAATGTTCTGGCCTTGTCCCTGGTTGGGACAGCGTATTAAGCTGGGGCAGCTACATCTTCCCCTGGGCTGACTTCTGCCAAAGCCTAGAACGTTGTCACTAAAGTTTAATTCCTTTTTGTATTTAAAGGCTCCTGGAGTCCTAGAGATGCAACTCTGCAAACCTTAGCAGTTTGTTTCTCCTAAGTTGTAGGGTCTTTGCTTAGGGTTGATTTATTTAATCCATCAGGTTCTGGTGATTTATTTGATTTTCTGTGCCAAATGAGTGTCTCGAGACAAAAAAGTGGTCTCTAGACTAAGTGAACAACACCAAGGTGACCTGTTCCCACTTTGGAGAAGACACAGCTTAATGGTTAAGAGTGTAGACTTTGATACTTGATGCCCTCGGGCTCAAATTTTGGCTCTGCAATTACGAACAGCGTGACCTTGAGTAAATTATTGAATAGGTTGGAGCTGTGTTTCCTACTGTGTAAAATGGGGTTGATGATGCCATAAGTCTGCCCCATAGCGGCATGTGTACATTAAGTGAGATCACGTGCACAGTAAGCACTCAGGAAAGACTCACTGTTTTTTCCAGCTAGGTGGAATTTCTCTGGGGAGCTATCAGATTTTTTTCCTAGAGACCTGCTGGGTGGCCCACACTTTGGAGCCCTTCCAGGTGGGGGTAGCAGAAACATCATAGGGGGGCATCATGGGTTTTCCCTCCCAGCTCTATTCCTTCTGCCTCTCGGTGCTTCAGGCCAACTGTTACTAGTTGCAGAGAGACGGCCAAGGCAACAGCAGGCTTGGAAGGTGCAAGCCTGGACTGGTCGTTCACTGAGTGGAAGGTGTTTGGAATGCAGAGGGGCATGAATGAGCCACCACTCTTTAGTTGGGGTTTTCATTAAGGACATGTTGCTGTTTGATGCCACTGGGCACAGGACTTTCAGAGCAGGGGATGGGCATAGGGGAGGAGTCCCCACTTCTGGCCATTCACCCTGGTCTTTGAACATAACCTGGCTCTGAGAAAGTGGCTCGACAGTACAGGCCCCCAAGCCCAGGATTTGGGAGACCTAATCTGGGCTCAGCCAGGCTTCTGTTAAGTCATTGATCTAAGGAGCTGGCAAATCCCTTAGGAGAGTATCTGGAATTGATGGCCCAGGCAAATCCAGGCTCTGCCTCTCAGTTTTGCATATACCTTATCGAATTTAATCCTTGTAACTATTCTGAGTTGCACAGTTTAGAGAGGAGGAAAGTCCCCATGGAGTTTTAAATCTGGAAGAACTTTGAGGTCTTCTGCTTTACCCTCTTGTTATGCAGATGAAAAAAGGAAAGCCCAGCAAGGGTGAGGTCACTCAGCTAATTAGGAGCAGAGCTAGAGCCAGATCTGGAACCTTGTTCTTTTAGCCGTGCACACTGTAGCTAATGCAGGCGGACCCTGTGCTCTCTTGAAAGGCAACTGCACTGCAGGCCCCATGTGTAGATTTAGGCTGCTTTGTGCCTCAACCCACATCCCCATCACCAGTGCAGCTTCAGGAATGGTCCTTGGTGGGGCAGAGGGGATAAAACCAGCCTGACTGACAGCTCCAGCTTTCAGCTACCCGAAGGAGTCTCTTCGAGTCCTTGCCAAGACCCAAACTGGGAATCTCAGACTTCGGACAAGAATTCTCCAACTGTGGGGATGAGTGCACCTAGGCTAAGCCAAGCACTCCTTGGCCTGTCTTGCGTTACCCAGAATTCCTGAAAGTGCTGGGACTTGGCTAGGTGGAATTTGAAAGTCTGACCTCTGGTTCTAACCTGTTAAAATAGTTGAGCACAGACTGTTTTCCCAGCACTGGGCTGCCTGTGTACCACCTGAAGTCGGGGGTAGAGGCCTTTGCACAGTGTCTGGCAGGTGCTCCATAGGAAGGGAGGGGAAACTCGAAGCAGGGGCAGGTCCCAAGGAAGACGGGGTGGCATTTTCACAAGAAAATCCCCCAGAAAGGGCGGCCGCCCCATGCTCTCCCCCATGGCATTGTGCCAGGCTGGCTATGCTGTGGCTTCCCTTTGGGTTCCCCTGGGTGGAAGGGTGCTCACTGAGGTGCCTTTTGGGTGACGTTGCCCATGCAAACACATTTCCCCAGAAACACATCTGCTCAACTGCACTAAAAATGGCATCTTGATTGACTTATTTAGCGTCCATTAAGTTCATACTCAAATTAACATGCAGAATGGGAGACAGGAGGGGTTACAACACCCGTAAGGGGTTAGAGAGGCATTTAAAATGGATGAAGATCTGTGTACCAGATGTTTGTTTCACCTAAATAAAACAAAATAATAAAACAGAACAAAACACTGCACCAAAAACGTTCTTTCTGGGAGCAGGGAGAGAAAGTTCCATGTCTCTCATCCCTTTTTCGGGCTTCACCCCAAGGTCACAGGTCCCTGCTGGTGTAGTGGTGGCCTGTAGATAGGCAGGGAGCCCCATTTCATTGTTGGAGTTACACAGGAGTGACTGTGGCAATCAGCACACAACAGACTCTTCAAAATCGTGAACAACTGGGGGGACCTTGCACATGGAGGGCCCACTGTTGAAAGAGCTGTGCTGCGGCTGGCCTCAATGCTGGGGAGCATGTGGCTCTCCTTGGGTCAGCAGAGCAAAGGTAGGGGCATCCAAGAGGGACCCTGGGAGCTCCTTGCATTGCTTGGACCATGAGCCAGCTGGGGCCTGGCTGCTTCCCAGCAAGAGGGCGCCCACGTTCCCTTTTCTGTGGGGCTGGAGGATTCCTCTTCACCCTCCCCATCCCTCTTCCATGCAGGAAGCATTGCAACATCTAGACAATGTCTGTATTAACTCCTCTGCCTGGAGCCAAGTAGCCTGTGTGGTCCTGCAGCAGAATACAGGCCCGTGCTGTCGGCCCAGCTCACCCCCACCCAGGAATGATTATGGAATGGGGGATGCACACTTGCTTCACCCTTCTTGCTCTCCTTTAGCTCCGTGAGTGCCCTACCCCCAAAGCATATTGCTTTACCGGTGCTGTGTGAGATTATAGAATTCTCAAACCTGGTTCATGACAGGGGGAAGCCCAGAATGGGCCTGCCTGGCAGGACACCGGGATGAGGTGTCTGGTTCCTCCCTGGGAGCTGCCCATGTGACGTGGATCAGAGGCCCTTCTGGAACCACCACCTCTAGGACAGTAAACTGTCGGTGACTGTAAGTAGCACCCGTAATGCCACCATCAGCCCCAGAGGCACAAAGCCGAGACAGAGCAGGAGTCTTGAAGGGGAGAACATTCATGGAGGAGGACTTCTGCGGGAAAAGGGGCTAGATCTGCCTTTGCCACTGCTCCCAAGACAGTCCTTCTCATTTTTCCCTGGTAATAGCTGCTCCCAGCCCAGCCCTCCCCCACATGGCACCTCAGCTCTCAGTCCGGCACTGCCTGCTTTACTGCTTTCCAAGTCCCATGGAAATGAATCATTCTGCTGGCTTGCTGGAGTGCACTTTCCTATCTTTCAGAAGCCAGTGGCCTTCGAGAATAACTGGCATTTCTCAGTCTGTGATAGAGATGTCCCTCTGTTCACGCCAAGGTGAGCTCTTCCAAGCATGTGCACGCAGCTCATGTGCCTGGGGAAATAAGCACTTTGCTACCTGGCAAAGCAGTGGGGAGGAGAATACTTTGCCTGGAAACCTGACCAGACCCTTAATGAATGTTATGTGTAAGCTTAGGCTGGGCAGTGTAGTTGGGAGAACAGGGAATGAGTTTCAGTTCCACAATTGTGCTCTGCTCCCTCACATCTCAGGGCCTTTTTACCTACAACCCTGCTGTCTAGGATTCAGCCATTCATTCCTTCAACACACGCTTGTTGAGTACCTCTTATACTGCAGGCTTACACTCTCATCTGCAAGGTGCTGAGTGAACAAGACACAGGCAATGGGGGTGCAGACAATGAAGGTGAGGTGTGGCTTGTCCCTTCTTCATCTTTTACTGGTGTCCTGTCTGTGGCGGTCACTATGAGGGCATCTGAACAGTGGTCTTGAGGCAGGAATTTTTACGCCTTAGCTCAGCGAGATCTGGGTTCTTGTCTCACGACCAGGAAAAATTAGGCACATGGACATCAAAGAGTGAGTGGAATAGAATTTATGAAGCAAAAAGGGAAGCTCTCAGCAAAAAGAGGGGTCCTGAAAGCAGGTTACTGGCTGGCCCCCTTCATAGTTGAATACAAGGGGCTTCTATAATCCACTGATGGGGCTGGTTTCCCTATTTGTATGTGGCGTGAATTCCTGGCACCCCCATCCTTCTAGTGCACATGCGGGCCCTTAGTCTGAGCCACTCCACATTGATTTATTTCCCTTATTGCGCGTGTGTTAAGGGACAGAAGTTTTCACTGCGAGCATGTTTAGGCAAGCCACCTGTGCACAATGACCTTGGCCGGTGGGAAGTTCTCTGGGGGCCCTCCCCTATCTGCCTAGGAGAGTGCTCTGTCTCCTGCCTCTGTCAGTCTCAGGGTTGATCAGCAGAGAATCCCATAGGGGTATAGGGGTAGAGAGAGAAAGGGGAGACTCGGGGCAATTCAGGAGGGCTGGAAGTGCAAACTCTCTCTTTCCTGATATTAATCAGACCAGGGCTTCACAAACTTTTGACCATGATCTATTACAATAAATATGTTTTACATTACAACACAATATAACATAGCTATATGAACATATACACAGGAAAATACACACCTGGCAAAATGTTATGAGACATTACCAACCTTTATTGTGTGTGAGGAACTGTGATATCTTTTTATTCTATTCTATTTGTTCTATTCTATCCAAAATGATGTTCATGAATTTTGCAGCCCACTAGTGGATGGCAAATGTCATTTTGAAAAACACTGAAGGGCCAGGCGTGGTGGCTCACACTTGTAATCCCAGCACTTTGGGAGACCGAGATAGGTGGATCACTTGAGGCCAGGAGTTCAAGACCAGCCTGGCCAACATGGCAAAATCTCGTCTCTACTAAAAATACAAAAATTAGGTGGGCATTGCACACCTGTAACCCCAACTACTCGGGAGGCTGAAGCAGGAGAATCGCTTGAACCCGAGAGGTGGAGTTTGCAGTGAGCTGAGATCGTGCCACTATCCTCCAGCCTGAGTGACAAAAGTGCATCTCCATCTCAAAAAAAAAAGAAAAGAAAAACACTGAAAGTAAAAAAGGGAAGACAGCTAACACTGCAGGAAAAAGTTACAATCAAATCTTATTTTGAATGCATTCAGGGAACCCTCTATTTAGATCACCAAGGTAAATTCTTCTGTAAATCAAATCAATCTATTCTTAATTTGTATTTAAGAAGACCAAGCCTTCTACTTTGGGGCTTGTTTAAAGCAAAATCCACCTTACTTGCCAAGTCAGGTCTGTAGCCATTTTTGCATGGTCCGTGAACTAAGAATGATTTTAAATGAAAAAAAAATCAAAAGAATAATTTCACAATACATGAAAATTATATAAATTCAGATTTCAGTGTGTCTATTCATTGGATCACAGACATTCGTTTGCATATTTTCTATGGCTGTTTTTGCATTAGAGGAGAGTTGAGTCTCTGTTTTAGAGGCTAAATGGTCTGCAAAACCTAAAATGTTTACTGTCCAGCCTTTACAGAGTTTGCCAACCTCTGGGTTAAAGTGTGGTATTTCTTATGCTGAGGTTGGAGTGACCCCCAAATAAATGGTTTTGCTGGTGAGGAGCCTTCAAAGGGCTGGCTGAATGAGAATGCCTGGCCTTCCAGAGCCTTCTTTGGCCAGCAGGAGCATCTGTGTGATGCCACTGTGCAGTGAACTCATCTTAACCGCATGAATGGGCGAGCAGCTGTCCAGCAGCTGCCCAGAGACCCAGACCGGCTCTCAGGTACTGTGTGGCCTGGCTGAGGGCATCTGGGGGCGGGGCAGGGGCTCAGTGGGTGCAGCCCTTGAAAAATTCACCAGAATTAGACTCTGATGTCTCCATTTGATCTTTTCTTCCCTCCTTGTCTTGCCTTTTCAAAAGGCGACTCTTTTCTGTGGCCTTTTCTTCTTTCTTTTGGCTTATATGATCCCTGCATCATTATTTCCCAAAAAAGAATGTGGCAAAGTAACTTTTTGAAATATTAATGAACCCCCTTTTTCCTTTTTTCCCCTCCCTCCCTCTCTCTCTCCCTTGTTTCCTTCCTTCCTTCCCTCCCTCCCTCCTTCCCTCCCTCCCTCCTTCCCTTCTTTCTGGCAAGGTCTTGCTCTGTCACCCAGGCAGGAGTACAGTGGTGCAATCACAACTCATTGCAGTCTCGATCTCCCAGGCTCAAGTGATCTTCCTGCCTCATTTTAAATTTTTCTGTAGAGACAAGGTCTCAATATGTTGCCCAGGCTGGTCTCAAACTCCTGGGCTCAAGTGATCCTCCCACCTTGGCCTCCCAAAATGCTGAGATTACAGGTGTGAGCCACTGTGCCTGGCCCGTCTTTTTTTTATTTTACCTCTCCTTTCCTCAAACTCTCTGCCTCCTCAGTGAAGCAGCTAGGCTGTTCTGTCCTCCTGTTTCAGGGGAGTAAGGGGTTGGGCAGGGAGTTTTTCTGTCTTAACTTCAGGGAGGCCTGAGAATTCTCAGCAGAAATTGTTTCAGCGAACATCAAAATAGAGCAAGACTTCTCCCACCTCCTTGAGGTGGGTAGGGAAGCAGAGAGGGATGCTCAGTGCAGAGGAATCAGTGAGTGAGGGGAAAAGACATAGCATCTGAAGACACAGAGGCCAGCACTCAGGACCTCCATCAGAGGACCACGTGAAAGGCAGGTTCAAGTCCACCTTGACCACTCAGCCTCCATTGCAGTCGGTGGCATCTAGTGCCACTGGCTGGCCTTCCTTCACTGTGGTGGGGATTTCTTTCTGCAGCAGCCAGTACTTCCTTGGTGACTCCATACAGAGCATGACACCGTCCCAGCCTCCAGCTTTGGTTCTTTCCCCATCTGACATGCCCTAGGAATTCACTGCCTTTGCAGTTTCACTGGATCTGAGTTAATCCAAGAGATAGACAAAGGGGTATTGAGTGAACAAGATGACCAGCACATCCTAGGTTCCCAGAGTTCCCAAAGCTGGGTTGAGACCTCA
This sequence comes from Homo sapiens, assembly GCF_000001405.40. Classification (NCBI taxonomy): domain Eukaryota; kingdom Metazoa; phylum Chordata; class Mammalia; order Primates; family Hominidae; genus Homo; species Homo sapiens. The sequence continues at coordinate 106,054,574 of NC_000007.14, forward strand.
CAGGCCGGGCTGGTGGTAATGCCCAGGGTGTGTGTGTGTGTGTGTGTGTGTTCGTTCCTTGGCACTCACATATGTTTGTGTGTCTGTGAGGCTGTGTGATGGGATCTGGGAACTGGTGGAGGATGAGAATAAAGGATGGAGCGCTAAGGAGTCAGGCAGGCAAAAACAACCCCCACACACCATGCGGGTGTATGCCTCCCGGGTCCCATGCACCTGGGTATGTGAACCCTGCCACCCTCCTGCACAAGAGCCCAGTCTACTGTGCCTGAAGAGGCTGGACCTGACGCCGGCCTTCCCTTTGCTTCATTTGTGAGATGCCGGCTAGTCCAGTCTGACTTCAGGAGAGCATCTCTGGCTTTTCTGCTCCATTCCTAGTTTTGGTTCTTCCTTAGGAGGCCCCGCAATGGAGGGAGGAATAGAGCAGAGAAGAGGCGGCATTTCCTCATCTCCCCACACTCTGGCCTAGGACCTTGTGATGACTTTCTCTAATTTCAGAGGTGGAGACAGACTTCTTCCAGCCCCCTCCTGTGAAGGGACAGTGGGGCCAACTTCCTTTCCTCTCCTGTGCCAGGTCTTAAAAGCCTGACCTGCATTTTGCAGAAGTCAGGACCGGCTTGAGTTCAATTACAGTAGATTGCTTGATCTCATTTATTTTCTCCTGTATGCTTGAAGTTAGGACAGCTTTAATTTGAAATGGAAATTTATGCAAATACTATGTAAATTAGGTCATTCCCAGATTAACTGGGGGAAAAAATCTGGTCGCCTTAGCAGGCACCATCTGTTCCCTCCTCATTCTTTCCATATCTGAACCCCACCCCCCCTTTCCCAATCAACTTTGAAACTTGTTTTCCTGTGGCTGAGAAGAGAGATCGTTCAAGGGAAGGAAACTAATCCCCCATCAGTTTTCCAGGTGGGTCGTTCCAATGTCTGTTTTGCGGTGAGAAGAGGCTCAGGTGAGAGGCTGGGAAGACTTCAGGGTTGGCTCCGGGTTAATGGTTGCCACACTCCACACATGTGCCGCCTCCTCCTTGTTCCTCTCTTTTCTCTTGGCCTCCGCTTCTCTTAGGATTCTTTTCCTCCTTCTCTTTGCCTGAAGTCTTCTAATGGCACCCAGAAGCCTTCTTCCTCCCTCTTGTGGCAGTCGGAGTAGAAGGGCTTTGGGGTTTTGCAATACCCCCAGAGTTCTTGGGAACTTTTGGGTCCATGTGGGTATTGGTTGGGAGGCTCAGGGCCCAAGCAGGAGGCTCTGTCCCACCCCATGGCTGCAGCTCACGCCTATGGAGCAGGGACAGCTTCAGTCCTGCTCTGTGAAGGCAAGAAAGCCAGGAGCCTCAGAAAAGCTATGGATGTGAGGGAAGCAGGGGGCCCCAGCTTCGTCATTCCGCATCGTTTTCTCCTTTAAGGGGACAAAAGTGAGAAGACTTCCCAGCGATTCATTCGCTCCTCCATCCTGCAAGGAAGCAGAGCCACAGTTGCCCCACCAGGAAGAAGCAACTTGAGGCCGGGTGCGGTGGCACACACCTGTAGGTCAGGAGTTTGAGACCAGCCTGGCCAACATAATGAAACCCTGTCTCTACTAAAAATACAAAAATTAGCTGGGCGTGGTGGCGGCCACCTGTAATCCCAACTACTCGGGAGGCTGAGGCAGGAGAATCACTTGAACCCAGGAGACGGAGGTTGCAGTGAGCTGAGATTGCACCACTGTACTCCAGCCTGGGTGACAGAGCAAGACTCCATCTCAAAAAAATAATAAATAAAAATAAAGAAGCAATTTGAGGGATACTTTTGTTGCTGTTAGCCACTGAGTTTTTTTTTTTTTTTTTTTTTTTAACAGTCTCATACTGTTGCCCAGGCTGGAGTGCAGTGGCATGATCTCAGCAACCTCCACCTCCCAGGTTCAAGTGATTCTCCTTGCCTCAGCCTCCCAAGTAGTTGGGATTACAGCTGCCTGCCACCACACCCGGCTAATTTATTTAGTATTTTTAGTAGAGATAGGGTTTCACTATGTTGGCCAGGCTGGTCTTGAACTTCTGACCTCAGGTGATCCATCCATCCCAGCCTCCCAAAGTGCTGGGATTACAGGCATGAGACACCACGCCCGGCCTAGCCACTGAGATTTTTGAGGCTATTTGTTATTGCAGCAAAACTTAATGAGAGCTTACTACTACACCCTCTCATCTTCCTCAATCTCTCCTCAAAGCTGCCTCAAAATTTAAAAAATTCTTTTATATACTCATGTGATACTTTCTCGCTTTAGGCCAAGTGAAAATAAAGGCATCTTCATAAACATTTGCTTTTTTTCTTGGTTCATGATATGACTGTACAAACTGCACTTGTGTATACGGCTTTAAACCCAGACTTCAGGCAGGGGGAACAGTCAGTGCAAAGGCCCCCAAGGCAGGGACGTCAGGAGTCCATGTGGCTTGGTCAGAGTAAGAAGGTGGGAGAGTGGTAGGGAGTGAGGCTCATGGAGTGAGAGGTGGGCAGTGTGGACCTGAGCATGGGCCCCAGAGAAGGTGCAGTTTCAGGACAGAAGCACAAGGTGGCACCGTGACACTCCCCTCAGTCACTGTGGACCGCATGTGCGGTGGTAGAGAAGACACATCTTCTTATCCTCCAAAATGGCTCTGCCAGGGAATGAAAGTCCAGCCGACTCCAGCAAATTAGAAACTGTACTCTTAGGACTGGAAAAGCTTTCGAGACCTCTCAATCAGGGAGGTTTCCATGTGGGGTCCATGATGCCTATGCATGGACTCCAGGACCCAGGGGATCCCCTGAATTGCAGTGTGCTTTTCAGGAGAAACCTCCAACATTTTCACTCCAAGGGGTCTATGACCCAAAAAAGGTGAAGAACCTCTGACTACCACTGGTGCTCCCACCAAGGCCAGACTTGACAAGAACTTCCTCAGCAACAGGCAGCCCCGGCCAATTCCACATTATTACCAGGTGCCTGGAGACCTGTGAGTCCTTTGCTATCTCAGTGGAGGCACCCAGTAATGCTTGGAACCGCTGGGCCTGAGGACACTCGGGCTCTCCTTCCAGAAACTAGAGCTTTTGTGAGGGGCCAGCAAATTTGCATACGTGCACCCGTGCACACACGCACACACCCCTCTCTCCACTGTCTTTAGATTGAAGAAATCACATCTTCTGCACATGAACGTCCTGTTGGTTCTCAAAGGTGCCTGGATGTTTCTGTGATAAGTAAAATATGATTGCACAATGTGGTTACTGAATTTGCAGTCACTTTGATCATTATATAGTTTCTCACCCACTGGATGTTTTATAGAAGTCTAATATAGAATTGATCTAATTGAAGTTTAATATATATTCGACTCTATGTGTCCAATATAATGAATGGGGCAGGGAGTCTGTCAGATATTTTGAGCTAAATGAGAAACTTCATAATCAAAATGGTGGGAGCCACAGTCTGGTGAAAGGGAGGGGTCGTGAGTGATGTCTGATGGCCAACAGGTGAGCTGGGACGGCGCAGGGGGCGCGGTGGGGGCAGGACAGGAAGCTGCGTGGGCAGCAGGTGGAGGGTGTGAGCAGAAGTGAGACTGGAGCCTGTGGGGTTGCTCAAGTGGAACTGCAGAAGGAGATCAAGAATGAGGGAAGATGCAAATTTTTAATTCAGCATCTTCTAAAAAAAAGTCCCAGAAATGACTGTATTTGCTATTGGTGTTTTAAAATATCCATTAAATACCACATTTGCCAGCATCACTTCTCTTATCCCGGCTGCTCTAGCAGCCTGAATTCTGCCTTTTTCTTCCCTGAGAGCTGGGCTCAGGGAACCCGCGTATCGACCTCAGGGGGTCAGGCCTGCAGGTGGGTGGCTCCCCTGGGACTCTTTAAAACCAAACCCCGAGCAGAAAGGAGAGGCTGAGGTTTGGGGCTCCTTTAAAGGCCTCCTCTCAGCTTGTCTCCAGTTCACTGCCTAAGAATGTCCTCCAGACACAGGCTCTGAGGCCAGAGCTATTGAATATTTATCAAGGCCTCCTGGCAGACGTGGGAGACTGAGAACAGGAAAATCAGGCCCAGGCGGGCATCTGTGGAGCCTGCCTGGGTGCTAGCCAGATGCTGCAAGATTCAAGTTGCCCGTTGACTCTGCAGAGCCTGCCCCGCCCTGTCCTCCCTCCTCGGGGAGGCGTGCATGGGCCTGGCTGCTGTCAGGGTGTTTGCTTCTTGTCACCATCCTCCATACTGACTTCCATTGCAAGCCCTGCCCCACTGTGGCTCCATTGTCTGCAGTGGCCTGGGCTGACCAGCTCAGCCTGGAGCCCTGCCCTGGGACGATGCGGGCTAACACAGTGACACAAAGCCCTGCTTTGTGGCCCTGACAGGAGGATTTATCATTAGCTGTGAGATGGTCCCTGGCAGATCCTGGCATGTGGTGAGCAGACAGATCTGTGCTGATCACAGTATTTTGAGTACCCCCAGTTGAATACAGCATCTGGGGCCCTCAAATCTGCCACATGGATCTTATGGCTTCAGGCTCACTGGCACCTTTTGTGTTGGCCGAAGTACGGGTAGGGGGTAGATTAGGAGCACTAGCTTGTACCCAGTGACGTCTGGGGGCTGGTTTACAGGAAAGGCACCCTAAGGTTGTGCAGGCCCTGACATGTGGTCCTCCTGGCATCTGGGGACAGCATGTCAGGTTTGGGGTCTGCCCATCCTTGCCTTGGGCACAGGTCCCCAAACAACAGCAGCATCCCTGTGGGTGGGATATCTGACCAGCAGAAAATGGAAGTGAATATCTCTTTGATCTTGGAGTGAGGAAGAATTTCTTAAAAATAACACACCAAAAAATCACAAATCATAAAAAAGAAAGATTCATGATTTCAACCACGTTAAATTTAAGAACCTTGGTTCATCACAGGTATTTTAAAGAAACTCAGAAGATAAGCCACAAGCTGGGAAAAGATATGTGTAGCACTTAAGTGACAAAGGATTAGCTTCAAGAATATATCGAGTCCTGAATGCCTGGTGGGGTGGAGGGAGTGGGAAATAGACAGATAGTTCAGAAGAAAAATGGGAAAAAAATATGAATAGGCATTTGACAGAAGAGGCAACACATAGGGCCAGTCAACATAGGGATGTGCTAACCTAGTCAGTGTCCAGGAAATTGCAAAACAGGCAGTGAGATCCATTTCCTCCAGTCTGTTTCCTCCAGTCTCTCTCCGGGGCCTGGAGATGCTCCTTGGATGGTTCTCAGTGGCCCTGGTCCTCTCCCTGGGAAGCCTGGCCTGTCAGGCTCTGCAGAGCCCTCTGTTTTGTCCTTCCCCCAATATCCTCCCACTCAGAGCCTGAGTCTGCCCCTGCCCCTTCCCTTCCTGTCCTCACCAATGGCGAGTGTGGCAGATCCTCCAGTTTCTAGAAACACCTCCTCACTCCATCTTCATCCTTTCCTTTGATGTTTCCCCAGGTCTTATCCGGCCAGGTGGGCTTTAGGGAACATTTTTCTTCCCCCTTTGAAGCCAGGGTCTCGCTCTGTTGCCCAGGCTGGAGTGCAGTGGCACAATCTCGGCTCACTGCAGCCTCCGCCTCCCAGGTTCCAGCAATTCTTCTGCCTCAGCCTCCCAAGTAGCTGGGATTACAGGCATGCGCCACCACGCCTGGGTAATTTTTGTATTTTTAGTAGAGACGGGGTTTTGCCATGTTGGCCAGGCTGGTCTTGGACTCCTGACCTCAGGTGATCCACCCACCTCGGCCTCCCAAAGTGCTAGGATTACAGGCATGAGCCACTGCACCCGGCCTAGAGAGCATATTTTCAATCAGAAAAGTAGTTCGCTGCACCTCACAAGCCCAACACTGAGTTCCAGGAGGACCTCAGGACAGGCTATTGATGGTACGGTAAACATGGCTGACAACTAGCACGTTCTAGACCAAGTTCAGGTAGAAAGGGACTCCCTCAGCTGGCCACAAAGCTACCCTCTCCCTAGTGTGCAGCCTTATCAGGCTATTGTCCAAGGCAAAAGCTGTGTGTAACAAGCAGCCCACGCAGCCTGCAGCCAGGTCTGCCAAGGCACCTTTCCTAAGGGGCTGCCCATGTGGCCCGCTCACGCAGGATCTTGCTGGCACTCTTCCTTGGGAGCTTACCTTGTTTGGAAACCTTTCCTGGTTAGCCTTTAAGAGCCTCAACAGGCAGCTGAAAGCATGTCCTGAAATGCCTGAACTCATACTTGGAATGAGAACTAGCTACAGCTTAGTATGCCATGAACGTTTGCATCACTTGTTGTCCAATAAATCTGCGGTCCCCAACCTTTCTGGCACCAGGGACCAGTTTCATGGAAGACAATTTTTCCATGAACAAGGAGGATGGGGTGGTTTTGGGATGAAACTGTTCCACCTCAGATCATCAGGCATTAGATTCTCATAAGGAGTGCACAACCTAGATCCCTCGCATGCACCGTTCGCAGTAGGGTTTGTGCTCCTATGAGAATCTAATGCTGCCATGATCTGACAGGAGGTGGAGCTCAGGCAGCAACGCGCACTCACCCACTGCTCACCTCCTGCTGTGTGTCCCAGTTCCTAACAGGCCCTGGGGGTGAGGGATCCCTGCAATACATAACACGTGCTAAGCAGTGGGGTTTGGGTGCTACTTCCCAACTGGCCGCTCTTAGGAACTGGTGAAACCTTAAGTCAGGTGTGACTGAGCGAGCCCCTGGGTCATGGCTATTCTCCTTGCTGCTCTGCTCTCCTAAGTCTGGTTTGAGGCTCCTCTCCCTCCCTGGCGTCCCACCCTGTATGTCTCCTAAGCCAGTCCAGCTTCCAAGGGTCGCTGTTGTTTCTCATGGCCTTCATGAAAACAGCGGGCAGGGCATGTCTCTGGCCTGTGATGGCTCCCCGCTATAGTCCTTGTCATCTGTATATCAAGGAGATTTTATTTCTTTCTTTCTCAGTTCCTCTTTCTTTCTCTCTTTTTTTTTTTTTTCCTGTTTTTCCTTCACTCAACAAATCAAGCTTCCATTAGGCACAAAGAGTCTTGTAGACACTTGAGGACATACCAGTGAACAAAATAGTCTTAAATCCTTGCCCTCATGGAGATTCTATTCCGAATGGGAGACAGGAAATAAGCAAAATAAAATGTGAAACCTATGACAGGGTGAAAGCGATATGCAGTCCTGAGAATAACTTTTATTTGCATGGCACCACAGCTGCAAAAAACAGTGCATTTCACTAACCCCTTATGGTATCAACCATGGATGGGGCAATCACTACAGGCCAAGCATTGCATTTACATCACTTCAGAACCCCTGTGGGAGGTGCTGTCCTATCCCAGTATACAGATGAGGACACTGGCACACAGGGAGACTCAATGACTTCCCATGATCATCCATCTGCTAAGAAGTGGAGTCTGGATTCGAACCTGAAGCCGTGGGACTCCAACGTCTTTGTTCTTTGTCACTGTACAATATGCCTCCCAGCTTCTGTCCTGGCTGCCTCCACAATCACTCAGCAGCCTCTGTACTGCATACACCACAGCGGGAGGTAGTGCGTGGCTGCTGAACATATGGGTGACGAAAGGGGTTTTCTGGTGGGACTGAAGTGCCACTGTCCCTCTTACGTGCAGAAGGCCCTGCCTGCCCTGCATGCCACCATCTAACCTAGTCCTGCCAGCAGCTGCCTGGTGGTGGCTTTGCAGCCCTGTTACAGCCCCTGCTGGGTGCATGATTCACAGGGGTGCAGTGTTGCCTTGCCCAGGCTCAGGCCCTGGCCTGCACCAGCCTGAGACAGAGCACTGGGTCAGAGGTGCCTTCTGTGGCTCCACTGCCCAGGGCATCAATGGAGCAGGGCCTACGGCGAGCCTCTGTGTGTGTCGAGACAGCTAGAACTGTTACTGGTGGAGGGTCTTGACTGCAAGTTGTCCAGGTTCTTGGTGTTCTGAACGAAGAATTGGACAAAATGCACAGCAAAGAAAGGAAAGAATGAAGCAACTAAAGCAGAGATTTATTGAAAATGAAAGTACACTCCACAGGGTGGGAGCAGGCCTGAGCAGCGGTTCAAGGGTGCTGGTTACAGGATCTTCAGGGGTCCAAATACCCCCTAGAGGTTTCCCATAGGCCACTTGGTGTACACTTCATGCAAATGAAGTAGTGGCCTGCAATCAGTCTGATTGGTTGCAGAAATCAACCAAATCGGACAGGTGGGGGTGTTTACAAAGGGAGTAGCCTCTGGTCCTTTTGTTACTTAGGTGTGGAAAGTTGGGGTTTCCCTTTTGATTTAGTTCTAATTAGTCAGTGTGAATCAGCCTTAGGTTCCCTGCCTCCAGACCCTATTCTCCTGCCTCAGAACTTGCCTGGGCAAGACTAAAGGTGGTCTCACAGTCCAGAGAAGCCACAGTAGGGGCCAAGGGAAAAACTTCTTTGCCCTCTGTATGTTCATGGAAAAATCATCTCACAAAATGCAGATTAATAAAAGAAAAGGCAGACAAATTTGTTAATGTGCACATGGGGGAGAACCACAGAGTGATTACCTCCACCCTCCACCCTCCACCCTCCTCCACCCTCCTGTCTAAATAAGCTCTTCTTCTAGGCAAACTGGTGGGGGGAATTGATTCACTATCCTCAGAAATTAGGAAGCATGAAATTATGCTGGCTCTGCTACTGGGGAACAAAGAGCAGGGGCGTGGTGTGCAGCGGCCAGTGCAGGAAGTATAAGTATATATACCATCCTGAGGTTACAGAAAGAATGGGGGCTTGGATCGGGGCAAAATAGGTTATGGGAGGAGAAGATGAGGAGGCCTGGTGAGCCAAGATGATCTTGTTACGTAGACGAAACCTCACAGGGAGCAGCCCCGAGAGAACTGATGGGAAATGTTACTTTCAGACCTTTAAAGGTGTCCCATTTTCAGTTAATTTTTCCTAGATTGGACAAAGGACGACCTCTGAGAAAACCTGAGAAAACCTGGCTGCATCAATGCAGATTCTCTGCAGATGCAAATCTCCCCCAGAAAGACAGCTTTGCAGGGCTCCTTCTGTTTGCAGGCCCTCTGAACAACCATCTCAAATTATGTCAAAGAAGTGTATTTGGGGATGAAACATGTGGATTTCTTTCACCCCCCACCCCCCTGCATCGCTTGTGTACTCTTTTCCCAAAGTGGAGTCTACAGCATGGAGTAGGGGGAGTTGATCTCCAGATATCCATGTCTCTTCCCTGCGCATAGTGACAGGAAACTGAACCCAGGAATCAAAACTCAATATATGAGGCCAGACAATGGTGCTTGTTCCTCCCTCTTGTTGTGAGAAGACATGAAGTGAACTCTGGGGTCATGAGTTACTGTGCTTCGAAAAATAAGCTGTGTGACTTTGGGCAATTGCCCAACCTCTCTGGGACTCAATGCCATTGTCTGTAAAATAGGGCTAAGAACTCCTTTCCTGCCTGCCTCCTAGATTTGTGGTGAGGATCACAGGAAATAATGTATGTGAGTGTGCCCTGTAAACCATAAAGTGCCCTAGTGACATGCACCCATGCACCTCCATCATTCCTGCAGTGACTGAAACTTGGAAATCTCACCAGAATGCATCACTGTGAGACTTGTTGAGAATTAAGTCAAGCAGGGGTTAAATTTGCCAATCACCAGAGCACACTATGTATATTTAAAATCCTCCACTCTTTTAGTAATTGGGGGCAAAAAAGAAAAAAAAAAACATCCACTCTGTCCCAGAATCATTATTCTGTAAAGTTAATGAGTTCCATGAAGGGTCTTTGTGGTGACTCATCCCATCACTTCTTCCACTCCTGCCACCAGGTGAGACCTGGGGAGAGCATCAGGGAGCAGGTGTCTTAAGGATCTGAGGTGCAGGGTGGGGGCTCCCGCAGCGCTGTGTTTAAACAGGGCCCTGCTGACGCCTCACCACGGCCGGCTGGGAAACAGCTGCAGCATAAGGCCTCTCCTCAGGCTAGTGTGGAGCCCAGCAGATGTGCCATTTGCCTCCACAGCAACAGACGTGACCCTAAAACCAGTGAGGTCCCCACCCTGAAAGGCTCCACTGGCTTCTGAGCCTGTGTCTAGAGGGAGTGGGCAAGGATTCCAGGTGCATGGAGAGGTGAACGCTATTACTGACTCCTCTGCTGGCCATATGCTTACTTCCTTTATCCTCCCATCAGCTCTGTGAAGCACCCACCACTTTAGTGCGGAGGAAGCCGAGCCTTAGAGAGGTCAAGGCCTTTATTTCAGCCTCCCAGCCAGCAGGCAGCAGGGCTCCAAATCGGAACCCAGATTTATTGGACCCCAAATCATAGGCTGTGACAGGGCTCGTTATTAACCAGGCCATAAATACTTCCTGAGTCCCTATCCCGTCCCTGGAACTGCTGGGGACATGAAAGGCACAGGAGGCAGGGGCCCGACCTCACGGGGTTGGAGCAGACCTAAAGTGGGATGAGAGCAGAGGAACCCTGCGGCTGGGGCTCTCCACTCTTCCATCACGCTCTGTCCAGCAGGGCAACTGGAGGGAGCCATGAGCATGCGATGACCTGGCGGCTGCTCAGGATGGGAGGGACCACTGTCAGCCAGGACTGGCAGGACTGTGTGAGTCATCCTAGTGGGTGAGGGAGTCTTCCTGGGCTCTGGGAGCTATGAGTCCATGATTCCTGGGCATGTGAGGAAGCTGGTTAGGAGCTCAGCCAAAACTTAAACTCTCAATCCAGCACTCTTTACACTCCCACCACATCTGAGCTGAGACTTGAAGGGGTGGGGCATGGGTGATTCTGGTCCCAGGGACTAGAGCCTGGGGGCTCCCACCTTTTCCTCTGGTTCTGCACTGACCTGCCCTCTGGTTCTGCCCTGACCTGCCCTTGCCAAGCCCACTGGGCCGGCGAACAGTTGTTTCCATTTTCCCTGCAGCCTCTGTTCTGGGAACCAGGCCAGCATTCATAGCCTTTCCCCTCCTTTTCTTTTTGTAATAGAAACTGCTCAGGGCTGCCAGGAGCCAGCAGTGTGCTCCGCGGCTCACCGTTTGGCTGGACTGGAGGTGAAGCTTCTTGGTGGCTCCTTCCCAGCCTTCTATGGAAGCTGGAATCCACTCTCCCGAGGCCATTTCTCCTCCCGGGGTTCCCTCTCTGCAGCCTCAACCCCCCAGTGCCCTTTGTCCCCTAAAGCGAGCAGTTTGTTTTCAGTCCAATACCTCCAGGGGATGGGGGGGGGCGCCTGGAGGAGTGTCCCAGGAGAGGGTCCCACCAGCCACGCTGCCCTGAACCCCCTTAAAATGGGGGTGGTGTGACAGTAACTTAGAGACCACTTAGATGACCTCAGGCATTCTGAGAAATCTAAAGGCTGATCTGAAGCCAGAGGAGGAAAGTTCATTCACCTTTGTCCCAGCCCCTCCCCGACTCCAGGACTCTAGCGTTGGCTGTTTTTATTTGCAGTCCAGCGTCCGGAATGAGCGGAGTTCCTTTTGGGAAGGATGTGCGGCAGGTGTGCTCACTCTGCCCGGGAGCGTCTCCCCGCCGAGGAGCGCCCATGCTGACTGCGAATTGTTCCACACTGCACGCAGAGCATTCCTTTAGCAGCCTCTTGTTTTCTTAAGTGACTCTCTACAACTGTTTCCTTGGAGGCGTTTGTCTAAATAAGCTCTTCTTCTAGGCAAACTGGTGGGGGGAATTGATTCACTATCCTCAGAAATTAGGAAGCATGAAATTATACTGGCTCTGCTACCGGGGAACAAAGAGCAGGGGCGTGGTGTGCAGCGGCCAGTGCAGGGCCCAGGACAGGGTGTGGGGGCTAATCACAGCCCGCGGGGTGGGTGGGAAGTGCCCCAGCCCCAAGCTGGGACTGTGCTTCTCGGCACCTTCCACACCTTATGTAGCTCCCCTTTGGTCTCCACGTTTCTGGAAGTCACAGCTGCACCCTGGGTCACCTTAAGCTTTTTCACAGTGGACCACATGTGATTCTGAGTTACATTACTTTAACCTCAAGAGCTTGACTATTTTCTATATCGTGAAGTTATAAAAGGATAGTGGAATCTCACAGTCATTTGAGAGACAATACTTTTTTTCGACCATATGAATGTTTTGTACCATGGAGACAGTGTGAGCCAGGCTAGGAGGTCTGGTCAGAGACACTTATTTTATTTTTAGTTTTAGTTTTTGTAGAAATGAGAGTCTCACTATGTTGCCTAGGCAAGTCTTGAACTTCTGGCCTCAAGCAATCCTCCTACCTCGGCCTCCCAAAGTTTTAAGATTACAGGTGTGAGCCACTGCACCTGGCCAGACACACTTAGTTTAAGGAGCAATGTGCTATAGGCAAGAAAGCCAAATATATCTCAGGTCAAATCTGGCTCTGCTGTGTGATTTGGGGCAAATTAATGAACCTCTCTGCACTTCTGTTTCCTCATCCATCAAAGGGGAATAATAAAACCTATCTCACTGTGCTGTAAAGATTAAATAATGAAATGGATGCAAACTACCTCACATAGTACCTGGCCCACAGCAAGTTCTTAACTAAAGAGAACTCTCTTTCTCTTCTAAAACCTAGGATGCCTGAGGAGTCTAGGATTAGGAATCTCTGAATATTTACTAGTAGCATTGCTGGGGTGGATCAGAAATATTTGGGAAAAAAGTTAGGAGGAAAATGGCACCTATGAGGATGTCATAGTCATCAGCAATGAAGGATTTGAGAAGTTCTTTAGCAGAAATCAGGAGATTACCTCTTTCATTCAAACCCTAGCGAAGGATGCTTTACACTATGACTATGATTACAGAGAAATGAGAATATTTTCCATTTGTGATATAGAAAAACCATTCCCTTAACTGGGGGCCACATGCTGTAGGGAGTTCAATACCATTCTCCAAGTACATGAGGCCCAACCTACATCCTGGTTCTGTCTCTTTCCCCAGCCCTGGTCCTTTGCAAGAGGTAAAAGTCTTTATAAGTGCATGAGAATAACTGCTCAAAATCACTTTTAGGTTTCCCCCAAATTCTCCTGATCTCTAATAAAAACAAATAATTGAGGGGATGTGACATTACCCTTGGTCACTAGTGATTTAGAGCTTCTGTCCATTGCTCCTTGGAGCTGCTCATCCTCAAAGGTACCCCAGGCAGAGGCCAGCAGCGAGTTCAAGGCCTTGTCAAGAAGGTTTTCCTTTAATAATACGCATCCACATACACAAAACACAGGCCTTCCTGGAATTGCCAAAAGACAGCAGCTGCAAAAAGGACTTGGACAAGAAAGTTTATTGCAGCTTTATTCCAAACAACCCAGATGCCCATCAACAGGAGAATGGTAAACAAATTATGGCATATTTATACGATGGAATATTACACAGTTATAAAAACAGCAAATTTTTGAAATGTGAACCTCACAGTCATGATGTTGAAAGAAACAAGACACAGATAAAAAAGTACATATTGTGTAATTCTATTTATAATGGAGTTCAAGAATCAGCAATGTTAATCCTAGATGACGGAAGTCAGATAGCAGTTACCTTTGGGTAAGCATGCTTACTTTGGACTTGGAAGGGGCACAGATAGCTTTCTGGGGCTGTGGAAATGTTGCGAATCTTGGTTTGGGTAGTTACATGGGTGTATGCGTAGATAAACATTCACAGTGATGTGCGCTCAAAATTGTGCATTTTATGGGACATAAATTAAAAACGTAAAAATATTGAAAAACAGAAATTGGAGAAGTGTTAAAGGGTCAGGTTGAATGAGGACTGTCTAACCTGGAGCTGGCATCAGAAACAACTACCAGAAATCCCTGTAACCTGCTTCTCCTTTGGGGTCTGTGAACCGCAGGACTAAGACACTCCCACATTCTGACCCTGGCACCAGCAACAGACTACTTGCCATCGGATTGATGTCGAGAAATGATCACAGGATAACAGCTCTTCTCACGGTTCAGCAGATAATAGTAAGTCAAACTTTTGCCCCAGTTGAACATCCTATCTCTAAGTATACCCCCCATTTCCTCTGAACCCCCCTAAACCATTTGCCAGTCACCCAAATCACCATCTGTGACCACTACTCCCCTGCATTCTACATCCAATCAATCACCAAGCCCTGTCAATTCTCCTTACTTGATAGCTTTAACACTCCTCCACTCCTCTCCAGCCCAGTGTCTTAAATCCACACTAACATCCTCCTTCTAGATGATGCGCCCACCTCCCACCTGCTCTCCCAGACTCCTGTGGTCTTGCCCTCCCTTCAATGAACTTGCCAGCTGCTGAAGGGATCATGGCCCTAAAATGCAAATCATAGAATACTTAAAAGAATTTCTAAACCTCCCAGGATTCACCCAGGCTCCTGGCATGGCTTACAGGCTGTAACCCATGATGCAAACCAGGCTTGCCTGTCCTGACAGCCTCATCTCTCTATGCGGGGCACTGTCCTAAGTGGTAGAATTAATTACAGCAGTGAATGAAACAAAGTTCCTTCGCCGATGGGATTTGCCATTTTGTAGGGAAGTACAGACAACAAACAAACAAATATATGAGATGATGTGGTATACATGTGAAAGACAGAAAAGCAAGATAGGAGACAGGGAGTGATGTGGGATTCTGTGTCAGCTGGGATGGTTAAGGAAGGCCATTCTAATGAGATCACATTTGGGCAGAAGCCTGAAGGAAGAGGCTGCTTGCCACCCCACACAGCAAGGGTGTGCCACAGTCATCTGCTCTCCTGGCAGTTCCGAGAGCAGGCTGGGCTCCCCTAGGCCTCTGGGCCTGTGCACGCACACTTCCTCTCCCTGCAGCATTCCATACCATCAAGAACTGAGATCTTATCTCATGTGCAGGTAATAATCACACATGCCAAAATTTCACGGATGTTGGTAGAAGACATGAGGCTCCTGGGTCAGAGAAGAAGGACAGTTTCTTCACTTCCAGTAATAGTAACAGCCAGAGTGGCAGCATTTTTGCACTGGTTTTCTGACCCCAGGTGACCCAACACCACCATTCAGTGAGATAGATGAAGTCTAAATAAGAGAGTAAACCATTGTGGAAGGCATTGAAACCATAAAAAGTAAGATGAGAACAGTTGAGAAAAAGACACTTAGAATTGACTGCAACATTTACAGAGTTTTGGTGTCAGCAGAGGCCTTAGTATTAGGTGATGGAAGCCCGCCACTGTAAGGTTCCCGCCCTTGAGAATCTGCTCAGGACCAGCTGGTGAGATGGACGTGTCAGCAGATAAATTGCAAGGCTGTGCTCTCAAGCTCTAGTGCACAAAGGACTATGGGAGCCCATAGAATGGGTAGGAGGAGGCCATTCAAGCTAAATCTTGACAGATGGGCAGGAATTCATCAGAAAGACTTAAATATTGGTCTTGAAAATAGCACTGCATACAAGAAAAAAACACATGCATTTATGAGGCAAGAGTCCCTGAAGTTTCACATTTACACAAAATGATGTGTGTCTTTTGGTGGGGGAAGCGGATGTGAAATTCCCTACAGATAAGCCCAGGCTAGCTGACCAGATGAGGTGAGATTTCTTTCAGGTACTGCCTAAGCAATCAATGGCCAGAGAGGGCTGCGGGGCTGGGCTGCTGGGCTGCGAGGCTGCTGGGTGCTGAGGGAGCAGGGGGAATGTTCCCTGGGGTGTGGCTGGCCATGGTGCTCGCCATCCTGGAACAAATCAACTGAGGCGCAAATCTGCAGCACCTTTGCCACAGCCAGAATCCACGGTGGTTCCTCCGTGAGCACATGCCCTGAATTCCACCTGGCCTGTGCGTCATGCTCAGTTGGCAGGATATCAGAACCAATGCTGCCAACACCAGACTCTCCACGTGCGGAGCAATTTATGAAACCCTGGGGCCAGCAATGGCCACCTTTGCATCCTGGAGTTAGGATGACCCTGACACATCCCAGCCCCAGCATACACCACCGCGCTGCCCTGAGGCTGGGCTCTACCTTTTGAGAGCTACTGAGCTCTGCAGAGATGTGGGTGAAGGGAGCCACAGACATATCAGTCTGGCAGGGGCTTAGAGTCACTGCTCTAACTGCCTATCTGGCAGGTGAAGAAACAGAGGCCAGGGCAGGCAAG
Source organism: Homo sapiens (assembly GCF_000001405.40). Classification (NCBI taxonomy): domain Eukaryota; kingdom Metazoa; phylum Chordata; class Mammalia; order Primates; family Hominidae; genus Homo; species Homo sapiens. The sequence continues at coordinate 106,070,549 of NC_000007.14, forward strand.
CCCTGACCAGGGCAGTGTACCTGCTTGGTAGACGAGTTCTCTCCTTCCCCCAGTGCAGTGCCTACTGTCTCTCTTTAGCTGTGCCTAGCTGGGTTGGGGTCTTTTCTCTGGGCTTCCCTAACCACTCCTGCTGACCCCTATCTGAGCTCCAACTTCTCCCTGGAAACCACGCATTAACCTATTACCTCCTCGCTACACTGTGAGTTCCTGAGAGGGGCTTGCGTCTTTCTCATCTGGCAGTTGGCCAGAGCCCCATAAGTACACTCAAGTTGAATGAGCGATTAAATGGGTGACTGCAACAAGCCTGGGCAGGAATGGGTAGTGCTCTTTTTGGTCATGGCTTCTTAAACACAAACAAGGTGGGCTTCATTGGGCCTTATTTCAGAAAAAAATATTCGTCTTATTATAAAAAGTAATGTTTGGCCAGGCACAGTGGCTCAAACCTATAGTTTCAGCACTTTGGGCGGCCAAGGTGGGAAGATTGCTTGGGCCCAGGAGTTTGAGACCAGCCTGGGCAACATAGTGAGACCCTGTCTCTTAAAAAAAAAAAAAAGTTAGCTATGGTGTTGCATGCTTGTGGTCCCAGCTACTTGGGAGGCTAAAGCAGGAGGATCACTGGAGCCCAGGAGTTGGAGGCTGTAGTGAACCATGACTGTGCCACTGCACTCCAGCCTGGGCGACAGAGAAGACCCTGTCTCAAAAAACAAGTAAGTAAAGCAAAATAAAAAGTAATGTTTGACTTGAACTTACAAGTTAAAGAACTGATGAGTCGATTGTGCTGTTTTGATTCTGTGGCTCCTGTCATCCGTCTCACTCTACCTCCCAGCGACACAGTCCTGTCCTCCTAGATACATGTACCCTAGCTTGAGAAGTGGGACTGCGGGAAGCTGGGCCAACCAGGTGGCTTATTCACTGTCTGCTGGGGCAGGAGGCAGGGCAGGGGCAGGAGGGAGGCAACCCCAGCCTGTGCCCGGCTTCCCCGAGGCGTGTGCCTTGTGCGGCTGCTGAAGGAGTGACTCCTGAGGAAACCAGCTTTTCCAGGGAGGCAAGGGATGGGAGAAGAGGGTGGAGAAGGAAGTGGTCACACCACTTGCCTTCTGCCAATACTGTCCCTTTCTTACGCGTTAACCTTCCACTCTGAGCTATGACACTTTCAGTACTAGTGTGGTAAGTTCTACAGGAAACAGGAAACATGGTTTAACAGACATCCCTTTAAGCTTTAAGTGTAGCCCAGGCCCTGTTCTAGCTAGAATGAAGTTTTGCATAATGAATAGATACCAGATTCCCCTGAAGGGCTCTTGCCCCAGAGACTCTCAGTGGCCCACGTTCACAGGTACTTGCAGGCATGCATATATGCTTCTCACCTCTTAGGAAATGGCCTTTGCAGGCATGAAAAAACAAATACCTCAAGTTCCCTTCCTGAGCCTCTTAGGCAACATGAAAAAACTACATACCAATCCCGAGAATGGAAGCTGGTTTGGAGTTTCACCTCACAAAAAGCTGGCCCCACCATGCTCACCCAAATGGCAGATTTATGAAGGTTCTGTTTGACAAGAGCAAAGGATCCACTTTGAGCAGCTCTGGGCCTATGGAAGGCAAGGTGTTCATGTTTAAGCACAAAGGTAAACAGAGCATAGCAGCAGGTTACAGAGATCATTTATTTTCCCGCTGATGACAGACATGAGCTCTGGCCCAGGGCCCAAACTTCTTATCCTTGAAAAACACATTTTACAGATTGCCGGCAGAGACAGCCAACCCAGATTAAGCTGCCAGACCTAACTATTTTAGATCTTCCTCCTACTCCTCTGGAAAAAAAAAATATAAGATAACGATTTTTGTCCCTGAAAAACAATGAGAGGAACTAAAGGAAAGCCCGGGCTCTATTCTTAGGGGTCTGCTGCCCTCCAGAAAGCCCAGCGTACAACTTCAGGCAGGCCCATGACACGCCAAGTGTTTGCATTTTGGAAGAATCCTAATAGAATTCCTTCAAGTGGCAGATTCCTGAGGACATTTCAGGATTTATTTACAGATCGTTAACTTACTTGTCACAGAAACCGAAGGGCAGGGAAATTTTGAGCTGACATTTTGGAATGCCACCCTCAAAGGGTGATCAACCAGAAATAAAGATAAAGTGCCTTTGAAATGATAAATATGAAGTAATGGGGACAAGGATTTGTTTCATAGGCACCGTTTCAGAAAAACATCTCTAATGTAAAGTGAAGCCCAGAAGTATATTTTACCTGCTCTTCACTGACTATGTAATTAATGTTTCAGTGACTGACAATTCTCACTTATCACCATAAATTTTTTTCTAGAAATTGCCACATAAATTGGAGCATCATAAAACAGGTTTCTGCAAACTGGTTTGTATGTTTTTTATCATAATAATGAGGTTATAGCCGGGTGCATTGGCTCACGCCTGTAATCCCAGCACTTTGGGAAGCTGAGGTGGGTGGATCACCTGATGTTAGGAGTTTGAGACCAGCCTGGCTAACATGGTGAAACCCTGTCTCTACTGAAAATACAAAAATTAGCCAGGCGTGGTGGCTTGCGCCTGTAATCCCAGCTACTTAGGAGGCGGAGGCAGGAGAATTGCTTGAATCCAGGAGGCAGAGGTTGCAGTGAGCTAAGATCTTGCCATTGCACTCCAGCCTAGGCAACAAGACTGAAACTTCCTCTCAAAACAAACAAACAAACAAACAAACAAATAATGAAGTTATAAATTTGGACTTACATTCTGGGTTAGGGACTTGACATCAAGCACATCAGATATGATTTGATAATTTCTGTCAGGAATGCAATAATAAAATAGCTCTAAACTCCGTGGTCATTATAAATAGTAAACTCATGCTCCAAGCACTATAAAATGGGCATGGGCGCACTGTCTGCATCCCACTGGTTTCCTGTTACCCCACCTGCTGCCTCTTGCTTGACCATGGGCTGTTGATGGAAACTGAGGACTAAACTTATAAGGCCCACCAAGCTTATCTTGCCTTGCTTGCTTTTAGCCGCTTGCTTCTAGCTGATTTTAAAATCCATATAGCTAAATAATATATATCTGCCAGTAGCTTCCTTATAGTTAACAACTCTAAGGCATTGCTCACCATGGTAACAGTTGTTTTTCAGGAAGTGGGGGTCAGTCCTTGTCCACTTCAAACCAGCTGAGACCACCAGCCCTTCAACTGGACCTGTGTGAATGTCCAGTTGATATGGACAGGAGACAGGGAAATACTGGGTAGAAGAGGGTGGTTCCCTGGCAAAGGCCCCACCCTAAAGCCTGGAAACCTGCAGCCTGGAATGAGAACAAGCATTCCTGTTTTCATGCCCAAATGTTGCCTTTTGGTCTGGAACGCCCCCTATCCTGTAGTCATATAAACCCTAAGCCCCAGGCTCTACAAGCAGATGAGCAGACAAACAGAAGAGCAGAAGAGCTGCAGAACGGCGTGGCAGAGAAGGAGAGTAAAGAAGGAGCATCTGAACATCAAGAGGAGTTTGGCTGGGGCAGTCAGGGAGGAGAGATAGGCCATTGGACAGCCAAACTCCAGGGAAAGGTCATTTTCCCACTCCATCCGCTTTCCGGCTCCCTGCTGACAGCCACCTCCACCACTCAATAAAACCCCCACATTCACCATCCTTCAAGTCTGTGTGTGATCTGATTCTCCCTGGACACTGGACAAGAATCCAGGTACCAAGACGGCACTGAGCTGTTTAACATTTAAGCCATCTGCGGATGGCAGAGCTAAAAGAGGACTGTAGCTCATCCACTGGGGCTTCAGGAGTTGCAGGCTCCTACCCCTAGACACCACTGGTGGGCCGGTGCCCAAAAGCGCTCACCCTGATTCCTGCACCTGCCTGCGTGCTCCCTCTCCCGTAAAGGGTTTGAGCACACACAGTGGCTGAACAGACGAGCCACACCCTTGTTGCATGTCCTGCAAGGAGGTTCAGGGAAACCTCCCGTTTCACAGTGGGTGACCTTTTGATGTTGGAGGGCCAAAAACTCCACCCTCAGATCACGCTAATGATCTCATTTTGTTAACGTGCATCCTGTTAAGAGCCATGAAGCTTGACTACACTTGTGCAGGTCACTCATTGCCTTGTTTTCCCTTACTCCAGTCACCTTTCCCCATGCCTCGGACCGCCTTGCTACTCTACCCCATAAATATCCATAAAGCCTCTTCTACGGGGAGGCAGACCTGAGAGGCATTCTCTAGCTGCTCACTTAGCTGCCTCAAGAATAAAATCTTTTCTCCACTGCCAAACTCATCATCTCAGTGATTGGTTTACTGTGTAATGGGCAGAATGTGCCTGGCCACTAACATGCTCACATCTACTTTCTCAATACACTAACTCTGAGGTAAGGAAGGCATATCTTAGTTCCCGAGTTCAACAGATGGGGAAACTGAAGTTCAGGAATACTTCAGCTTTGGAAGCACGGCAGAGACTTAGCAAACAGGTTTTCTTTCAGTGCTTAAGTCCTCACTTTCCAATCTCTGTAGCCCTGCTCGTGACACAGTGGACATTGTGCATTTGCTTGTCTCACATCTAAGGGAACACTGATTTACTTATTTATTTTGAGACAGGATCTCAGTCTGTCACCCAGGCTGGAGTGCAGTGGCACAATCATGGCTTGCTGCAGCATCAACCTCCTGGACTCAAGTGATCCTCCTGCCTCAGTCTCCCGAGTAGCTGGGACTATAGGTACATGCCACTATACCTGGCTAATTTTTTTTTTTTTTTTTTTTTTTGAGACGGAGTCTCACTCTGTCGCCCAGGCTGGAGTGCAGTGGCACCACGTTGGCTCACTGCAACCTCCGTCTCCTGGGTTCAAGCAATTCTCCGGCCTCAGCCTCCTGAGTAGCTGGGATTGCAGGTGCCCACCACCACACCTGGCTAATTTTTATATTTTTAGTAGAGATGGGGTTTCACCATGTTGGCCAGGTTGGTCTTGAACTCCTGACCTCAGGTGAGCCGCCCACCTCGGCCTCCAAAGTGCTAGGATTACAGGCGTTAGCCACCACGCCCGGACTACCTGCTTAATTTTTTGATTTTTTTTTTGTAAAGACAGTGTCTTACTTTGTTGCCCAGGCTCAAGTAATGCCCACTCCTTGGCCTCCAGAAGTGATGGGATTATAGGCGTGAGCCACCGTACCCGGCCTGGGATGCTACTCTAAATGCACATTCATTCTAGCTCCCAAACTACTTTTTTTTCGCTATTTCTAAATCAAAATGCTTTTCGACATTGCTATGTGGAAACTGTGGGTTTTATAAAGTTATAAAGAATAGTTTAATAAGAAATTACACCCAAGAAAAGTATAAAACACATTACAATATAAATGTGACCTGGCACTTAGAATAAACATTTGCTTTGCAATACTCTCATTTGTTTTTTTCCTAGAATTTAAATGAGACTTTTTTGGAACCAGATTTTTAAAATAAACAAATGAACAACTGTCCCTAAGAAACCTTAGCTGACACCTTTTTTGTTTCTGTCTTAAAGTTCCCAGCCAAGGTTTTCAAAATCTTTCCCCTGACCTCAGAACTGCTGGAAGTGGTGCAGTGCTGACTGACAGTTTGTTGACAAGAGAGGCAACACTTCACACTTCACTGGAAAGCATAAAAGCGTGCTCCAGGTCATTAACTGAGACTTTTAAGAGGAACTGCTTGCTGCATTATGATAGTGGGATTCAGGAACATTTCTTTGCAATTCGTACAGTTTTGTTGTTTTTTCACAAAATGGAATTCAAATGCACAGAATGCAATTAATAAAAATTCTTGATTCATGGCACACTATCATCATTGGCCCGTGAATGGCCTTATTTTACTTTATATCACATTTAGTAATGAACACCTGGTAAAACCAAGGCCCAACCAAGAACTAGAATATCACCACCATTTTACCTTGACCTAAGGGAAAGGGAAGGGCACCCACTCTATCTCTGCCCTCTGGCTCTCTCACATAGGTTACTCTTCTAAATCTGTTGTTTGTCATTCCTTTGCTTTTTAAAGATGAGTTTTACCAAATATGCTTGAACATCTAAATCATATGTAATTGGGTCTTCTCAGGTGATAAAAGTAGTATCACCCTGTATATAGTCTTCTCTAGCCTGTTCTTTTCACTCAACAGTGTTTCTGAGACATTCATGTGGTTGGTAAAGCTGTAGTTCCTTAATTTTCACCTCTGTGTTATAGTCCCTTGTGCGACTCTACTAAAATTTATATTTTTTCCTGCCAGTAGATATCCGAGTTGTTTCTATTTCTTTCTGTAAGACAAACTTTTTTGCTTAGAACAATCTTCTGTTTCATATTAGGTGCTAATGTTTCTCTTGGGTATATAACTAGATGAGGAGTTACTGGGTCTTCAGGCATGAACAACCTTATAAGGTAATGACAAATTATTTTCCAAAGTGGTTATATTAATTTACATTTCTACCAGGAATGTGATCACATTGATTCACATTCCCTTCAAACTCAATATTGTCACACAAAATTTTTATCAATAGGTGTAAAATGGTATCTCTGTGGTTTTGACTTCCATTTCCCTGATAATGAGGTTCAACAGTGCTTCATGATTTTTAGCTGTATGTATTTTTTCTTCTGTGAAATGTCTGTTTGAATCTTTTGCAGTTTTGCTAGCTTTTCCCTCTTTTTGTTTGTAGGAACCCTTATCTATTCTGCATGCTAATCCTTTGTGCTATAATAACTTCAGTTGGAATTTTTCTTCTATTTCTTTAAAATATTTTTTGATGACATGTTTTGGTGACTAATTTTAACATATCTGAATTTGTGAATATTGTTTCTTACGGTGAGCATATTTTTGTGTGTTATTTAGGAAATCCCTCCCTGTTCTAAGATGAGAACAATATTAGCTTATTTTTCTCTAAAAGTGAAAGTGTGCTTTTAACACGTAAACTCTTAATCCTTCTAGGTTTGATTTTTGTATATGGTGTGAAGTAAGATCTGATTTCATTTTTCCACATGGATAACCAATTTTTCAGCTCCATTTATTATTCAATCTTGCCTTTCTCCAGTTCTGTACTTCCAGCCTGTCTTAAAAATTCAAATATGCATGAGTCTGATTCCTGGCCCTCTATTTCTATCTATCAGTCAGTTCATTTATTCCTGCACCAAGACCACACTATCTTAATTAGTATAACTTTATAAAAAATCATAATGTCTGCTAGAATAATTCTCCCCTTTTAATTTTTCTTCAGAAATACCTTGGCTATCCTTGACATCTGCTCCTTAATATATATTAGAATTAACTTCTCATGTTCTATGAAAAATCTTTTGGGGATTTTGACTGTAATTCATTACATCTGTAGATTAACTTGGAGAAAATTCATGTGTTTATCATAAGAACTTATGATTCATAAAAATGGGATCTTTGTCCATTTAGGTATTCTTTAATGCTTTTTGCTAAAATTTTGTAATTTTTTTGTATAGATTTTACACATCTTTGTTAGTTTTTTTTTACCCTAGAACTTATATAGTTTGGTGATATTCTACGTCAATAATATTGATATTTGTTTTTATTTTTTATTTTATTTTATTTTTTTTGAGATGGAGTTTTGATCTTTTTACCCAGGCTGGAGTGCAATGGCGCTATCTCAGCTCACTGCAACCTTCACTTCCCGGGTTCAAGAGATTCTCCTACCTCAGCCTCCCAAGTAGCTGGGATTACAGGCACCTGCCACCATGCCCAGCTAATTTTTGTTTTTTTGTATTTTTAGTAGAGACGGGGTTTCACCATGTTGGCCAAGATGGTCTTGATCTCTTGACCTTGTGATCCATCCGCCTCAGCCTCCCAAAGTGCTGGGATTACAGGCATGAGCCACTATGCCCGGCAATATTTGTTTTTAAAAATAAATTGTGCTTTTAGATTGTGTCTGGTATAGAGAAATGAAACTGAATTTTTATATTGATCTTATCAAAATCATCTATTATGTCTAAGAATTTATTTTTAGATTCTTTGGGGATTTCTACTGAGAACTAAGCTCTGATTTTTTTTTTATCTTGCCCCAATTCCTATCTAAGGGGTCTGTGGAGTCATGTCCTACAAACCACAAATTCTCATCAGAAGGGTTTTATTTAACCCTGTATATTGTGGCTTACTTTCCAATCTGACTCTGGCATAACAAGGAAGAAAAGCAAAATATTTTACCTCAAAACATGTTTCTCTGCCGTATCTTGAAATGGCCCTGCAAAGCTGTCCCTTGTGGGAAAAAATCCACATTCTATAGAGAATCCCTTTCCCCTCCTTTTTTTTTCCTTCCTTCCTTTCCAGATCCAGGAGATAATCAACTAAGAGCCAGGCACCCTTTTAGGTCCTATAAGAAACATTTTACAACCTGCTGTCTCTGAAGTCTGCTATCTAGAGCTTACTCTGCACAATAAAACTTGGTCTCCACAATCCTTTATATTAACCTGAACATTTCCCTTCTGTTGATCCCAGGTCTTCAGATAAACTCAAACTACTGTCAACCAGTAAATGTTTAAATTTACCTATTGCCTGGAAGCTCCCCCTGCTTCGAGTTGTCCTGCCTTTCTGAACCAAACCAATGTATTTCCTAAATGTATTTGACTGATGTCTCATGCCTCCCTAAAACATATAAAACAAAGCTGTGCCCCGACCACCTTGGGCACATGTTCTCAGGACCTCCTGAGGGCTGTGTCACGGTCCATGGTCACTCATATTTGGCTCAGAATAAACCTCTTCAAATATTTTACAGAGTTTGACTCTTTTGGTCAACAGTACTGTAGACAATCATATCATCCACAAAAAATGATAGTTTTATTTCCTTTATTTCAATTCTTATGTGTTTATTTTCCTTATGGTGCTGCAAAACATCTCCCTAAAACGCTGACTTGAAAAATGAGGGCAGGCCTCTTTACTTTGGTCCTGATTTCCAAAGAAAAACTTTCCATGTTTTCCTACTGAGTATGATTTTTGTTGTAGGCGTTTTATTTAAGATTGGATCTAAAGAAGACTCAAAGTCCCGCACAACATTGCTTTAATTCCATTGGCCAGAACTTAGCCACACAGCTATACAAAGCTGCAAGGGAGGCTGGGAAATGTGGTGCTTTAGCTGGGTGGGCAAATGGAGTTCTGTTAATTTGATATAGAAGGGAAGAATGGCTATTTACTTGGTAATGAGTAGGCAGACTCTACCATATCTTTTGGATGTTGCCTAGAAACCAAGGTGGGCATTTAGGCTAGTGTCATATGGATATCTTGCAAGATATAAAAATGTCTTAGGCCTTTTCATGTAATTATAAAAACAAACAATAACATTACAAAAAAAAGTTGCAAAGGAACTTTCTTAGCCAGCCAGTCCACCCTGTCTACTTCCTGATCTCAGAACTCCGTTTGTGCCAAAACTAAGACTCCCTACTTGTCAGGGAGAGAAGAGTAGAAACCATATCATGAAGATTTTCATGGTAAAATGAAAAATTGAAGTTTAAGCCAGTTTTAATTACCAGTGCTCTTTGTTACCTCACCACCCCTACTTCCTTGAACTTTGAAGGCATGAGGGAGGCATGAGACAGCAATCAAATACATTTGAAGGCATTTCCTCACCCTAGGAAGCCAAGGCACCATACATGGTAGGGTTGTTTCCAGACAAATTGTACAGGGAATCAAATAAGTGAATGCCCAGGTAGCGTATTTTCAAAATATACGTCTGCAGTCCTCCTCCCTTGCTATATACTTTCCCCCACACTCACTGCAATCTGGCCACACTGGCCCCTTTTCTGTTCCTCATTGTGATTTTAAAGTGTGGTAACTTAGTTAAGCTATAACTACATTTCCCAAAATTCCCATCTCCCGCCATTGGCAGTGGGCTGCAGAGAAAAGACTTGGAAAGTAGCAGAGGGGAGGCAGCCAGTAGGCTGTGAAGGTCAGCGAGGGCTGCCAGGCATGGCTGCTGCTCCTCCAGCTGCTGTCGGATAGCCTTTGTCCTGTCTGAGTCCTGAGCCAGAAACACACAGCTCTGCAGTGAAGGGCACAGGCTGCTTCTGTGGCTCCCCTGTATGATCAAGGTAGAAAACGGTGCATTCCAGTTTGTCCTTTTGAGTTCCTATTTGTTCTCATGGGTTCCAACTTGCCCTCACAGATTCTAGTTTGTTCTCTCATTTCATGTTCAGCTTTGCTTCCTGACTCCTGGTCTTGCTGGTCTACTGTGACTTCAGATCCATCTCCAAATGCAGAGGCAACCACCTTCCATGGGCGTCCTCCCCAGTTCCTGCAACTATGTGAGGCCCAATCCATGGAACCCCTTCACAACATTGTACAATAGCTTCATAGTAAGTATCACGATTTAGTAAGGCAGATCCCTCTATCACCTTCTCTAGGAGTGCCTTGGCTATTTGGGGAGCTATTTTTGCTCTTCCATAACAATTTTAGAATCAGCTTATTAAGATTTCCCAAAAACTGTAGAAATTTGATTGGAATTCAATTGAATCTGTAGATCAGACAAGAGAGTTTCACAGTTTTCTTAGTAATAATTTTGCACATTTTATTTTTATCTCTAGCTTCCTAATCCTTTTTTTTTACTTCAGATGATATATATTTTTTAAGTTATATTTTATAACTGTTGTTCTTGTATAAAAACAGTTTTTATATATTGATCTTGTATTCAGGAATCTTTCCTTTTTTTTTTTTTTTTTTTTTTTGACACAGAGTCTGACACTGTTGCCCAGGCTGGAGTGCAGTGGTGCGATCTCGGCTCACTGCAACCTCCACTTCCCAGGTTCAAGTGATTCTCCTTGCCTCAGCCTCCCAAGTAGCTGGGATTATGGGCACCCGCCACCAGGCCCTGTTAATTTTTTTGTATTTTTAGTAGAGACGGAGTTTCACTTTGTTGCCCGGGCTGGTCTCGAGCTCCTGACCTCATCATCTGCCCAACTCAGCCTCCCAAAGTGTTGGGATTACAGATGTGAGCCACCTCACCCGGCCTATTCGGGTACAGATGTGAGCCACCTCACCCGGCCTATTCGGGTATCTTTCTAAACTAATTCTAGTGGTTAGTGGTAGATTATTTTGGGTTTTCTATCTGGACACATAGTATGTGCTGATAACAGTTTAGTTTCTAATATTAGCTTTCTAATATTTACTTTTTTTCTTGTTCTGTTGTGTTGGCTAGGATCGTCAGTACAATGTTATTTCATTTTTACACATTCTATGAATATGGCCTCCCCTTCAATCAAATGTCTGCACTGCGTCGCTACTCATTCTTAAGTGATGAACTTGCTTATTTCACTGAGAAAACAAGTGTAGAGAGAACTTCCTTAGTCTAATCACCATACAATCTACAAACAAATCTTCCTTTAAACTTTTGTGTTTCCCTCCCAATACAATGAATGGATTGTGTGTGCTCTCGCCAAGATCAACCTTTCCTCTTGGGCACCTTCTTAAGGAGTTGGCTCTGCAATCACCCTGCCTCTCCTTCTTGTATCAGCATTTTTTTTTTCTATTTTAAAATGAATCAATCTTCTCAGGTTAAAAACACACTGTCATAGCTTAAGTCTTAAGTACACAAAAATGCGTCCCTCGATCTCACATCTTCTTTCAGCTATTCCAATTCTCTGCTCCCCTTTATAGCAGAACACCTCAAAAGAATCATCCATACCTGCTAGTTTTCACTCTCTCACCTACAAATTACTCTGTTGGACTACTGTAATGAAGTACTGTTGTTCCCAGAATTCCGCTGAAATAGCCCTTGTCAAGGACAATAACCTCTACAATGTCAAAGGCGATGGTTGATTCTCACTCCTTATCTTACTTAATCTCTCCGAAGTGTTTGACAGTGTGTGTAGTATAAATACATGGGGTTTGCTTACTCATTAATTTTTTCGAAGGGGTGAAGCATTTGGCTGTGATAAAATAAAAACTTCAGCCGAATTAAATTTAAAGGAGTTTAATGACTAATGAACGATTTGCGAATCGGGCAGCCCCCAGAATCACAGCAGATTCACGGAGACTCGAGCGCAGCCACGTGGTGGAAGATTTATAGACAAAAAAAGGGAGGTGAGGTACAGAAAAGCTGGTTTGGTTGCAGGTTGGCATTTGCTTTATTTGAACACAGTTTGAACACTCAGCAGTATGTGAGTGGTTGAAGTATGGCCGCCGGGATTGGCCAAGACTCAGTGACTGTTACAGGCGCATACTCCTAAGTTAGGTTTCTGATCTTGTCTGCCTATTAAGCTAGGTTACAGTTCGTCCACAAGGACTCAAATATAGGAGTCTTCTCAGGCCATATTTAGTTCACTAAAATAGCTGTATGATACAGATAAACCTCTGTTTAAACCAAATTTTTCTGTTATTTGCAACCAAATGCATTCCTCACTGCTTTATAAGTTTATAGAACCTGTTTTAATAATCCCAACCAAATCCCAGCACTTTGGGAGGCTGAGGTGGGCAGATCATGAGGTCAGGAGATCAAGACCATCCTGGCTAACACGGTGAAACCCCATCTCTACTAAAAATACAAAAAATTAGCCGGGCATGATGGCATGTGCCTGTAATCCCAGCTACTCAGGAGGCTGAGGCAGGAGAATCGCTTGAACCCGGGAGGTGGAGGTTGCAGTGAGCTGAGATTGCACCACTGCACTCAAGCTTGGGCAACAAAGTGAGACTGTCTCAAAAAAAAAAAAAAAAAACAACCGAACCAAAAAACATCTATTATAAGAAGCAACATGGTACAGTGAGGGGGGAAACTGAATTTAGAGTCCAGATGTACTTCTCCTTTGGGACTAGCGTGGATTTTACTCCCACTCTCAAACTTACTACACTTCAGATCCTACAGCTACTACACTTCGGATCCATTGTGCTAAGAAGGAAGAAAACAATGGCTGAGATTGAGGTAACAGTGCATTTTCTCTACTAAGTCTTCCCTCCACCTGGCTGACTAAAAATGTAGTTTGGCAATTGAAAAAATAAAAGGGAGCTTCAACTTCAGCTTCCCAAAGGTTGGATTAGATGCACTTTCCTTATTTTTCCTATTAAGTGCAAGTAAAAACTTAATAGAAAACAAACCTAAGATGTCTCTGAAAGGCGGAGATGAAGGGAGACTGGCTAGGGACCTTGGAACCCAAGAAACAACATAGTGGTGAGTTGTCTGGATTTTCCTTTTGCCTTATAAATCCCAGACTTGGAGCTGAAGAAACTGGCAACATGTGAACAGCAATAATGCAGACAGAAAAAAAAAAATAAAGTCCCAACAAAAGTTGGCTCTTCCTAGCTAAAGGACAAGGAAAAAGGCAACCTAGCAAGACAGAAAACTTTTAGGAAATAACGACTCTACCCTAGCCCAGCACCACAGGAAAAAACTATGGTTCCACCCACACCCACACCAGCAAAGGCCAAATGAACACCTCCACCCATGGAGGCTCTAATGAGGTGGCCCTCCCTCTTTCTCTCTGCTGGAGTGATGTCAGAAAAAGCCTGCAAAACAGAAGGCATAGAAAGACCCAGAGTCTCAAAATATAGTACCCGAAATGCTCAGGTTCCTATCGAAAATCACTCTTCATACCAAGAACCAGTTAGATCTCCAACAAAGGAAAAAAGACAGTGGATAACAACACTGAGATGACAGAGATATTAGAATCATCTGATAAAGCTTCTGAAGCAGTCATATAAAAGTGCTTCAACAATGGGCTCACGCCTGTAATCCCAGCACTTTGGGAGGCCGAGGCAGGTGGATCACAAGGTCAAGAGATCGAGACCATCCTGGCCAACGTGGTGAAACCCCGTCTCTACTAAAAATACAAAAATTAGCTGGGCATGGTGGCATGCGCCTGTAGTCCCAGCTACTCGGGAGGCTGAGGCAGGAGAATTGCTTGAACCTGGGAGGTGGAGGTTGCAGTGGGCCAAGATTGTGCCACTGCACTCCAGCCTGGAGACAGAGTGAGACTCCATCTCAAAACAAAACAAAACAAAACAAAAATGCTCCAACAAGCAATCATAAACAGGCTTGAAGCAAACGAAAAAGTAGTCTCAGCGAATAAAAAGTCTCAGTAAATAAAAGGAGAACCAAATTTTAGAAATGAAAAATACAAAAACCCAAAATTCAAAGGATAGTCTCAACAGCAGAACAGAAGACACAGACGACAGCTCAGTAAATTGGAAGAGAGAGAAGAAAAATTATCCAATTCTGGCCAGGCACGCTGGCTCACACCTGTAATCCCAACACTTTGGGAGGCTGAGGTGGGCAGGTCACTTGAGGCCAGGAGTTCGAAACCAGCCTGGCCAACCCGGCGAAACCCCTCTCTACTAAAAATACAAAAATTAGCTGGGCATGGTGGTGCGTCCCTGTAGTCCCTAGAGCTACTTGGGAGGCTGAGACATAAGAACTGTTTGAACCTGGGAGGTGGAGGTTGCAGTGAGCCAAGACTGCACCACTGCACTGCAGCACTCCAGCTTGGGTAACAGAGTGAGACTCTGTTTCAAAAAAAAAAAAAGAAAAAAAAATCTTAGCTTTGGCCTGTGGGGGAAAAAATAAATTACCCAATTTCTAGAGATAAAATGGACTGTTAAACCTGTATTACTATAACAAAAACAACAAAAAAATCTAACTTTCACATCATTTGAGTCTGAGAGAGGAGAAATAGGGTAGGGTGGGGCCAAAAAAGTACTGGAAGAAATAATGGCTGAAAACTCCTTAAATTTGGCAAAAGACATAAACCTACAGATTCAAGAACTGAGCAAATCCCAAACAGGTAAACCTGTTTTGCTTAATGTATCTTTTTTTTTTTTTTCATTTTCAATATACTGTTTCCTTATTTTACATGTGCTTTGGTTAACATATAAATTTAAAGGATAGAATAAGCTGATATACAAGGCAAACAGTACATCACACTCAACAGATACATATTTTTAAGCACATGAAAAAGTTAAAACTTTTGACCATCAACTAGGTCAGAAAGCAAGTTTCAGCAAATTTCAAGGGTCTGATTATTGCAGAAACCACAATGTGATTACCTCAGTAGTCAATAAAAAAAAAAGAAAATTCCATATGTTTGGAAACATATTACTAAATAACTAGTACATCAAAGAATTATGGGAAATTTGAATGTATTTAGAACTATGATCAAAATACTGCATATCAAAAACTTGTGGGATAAAGCTAAAGTAGTAGTTTGTAGAAAATTTAAAATCTCACATGTGTGTATTAGAGGAAAAGAGGCTTGAAGCCAATGAAAAAACTAATGAGCTAAGTACCATCTTGAGTTAGGAAAAAAAGCAGCAAAACAGACCCAAAGAAAGCAGAAGAAAAGAGCTAATGATGACAAGAGTAGAAATTAAGAGAAATAAAACAAACATAAAAGAGCAAGGATCAATAAAGACAGACTTGATCATTTGAAAAGAGATCAAACTGACAAACCTCTGACAATATGGATGGAAAAAAGGAAGGCACAAAAATAATAGGAATGAAAGAAGGAACGTAAATGCAGTTGGTGTAGACATTAGGCATATAATCAACAGGCTATGATCAACTTCATATTAATAAATTTGGAAATTCAGATGAAATGGAAAAATTCCTGGTAAAATACAACTGAATGAAGGAGAATAAAAAACTT
Organism: Homo sapiens; assembly: GCF_000001405.40. Classification (NCBI taxonomy): domain Eukaryota; kingdom Metazoa; phylum Chordata; class Mammalia; order Primates; family Hominidae; genus Homo; species Homo sapiens. The sequence goes on from NC_000007.14 coordinate 106,086,125, forward strand.
GAATAGTTCTATAATCAAAAGCAAGACTGAATCAGTAATTTCTTTTTTTTTTTTGAGACAGCGCCTCACTTTGTCACCCAGGCTGGAGTGCAGTGCCGAGATCATAGCTCACTGCAGTTTTGACCTTTTGTGTTCGAGTGATCCTCCCACCTCAGTCTCCTTAGTAGCTAGGACTAGAGTCATGTGCCACCATGCCTGACTAATTTATTTTATTTTTTGTAGAGACGGAGTCTTGCTTTGTTACTCAGACTGATCTTGAACCCCTAACCTCAAGTGATCCTCTTGCCTCAACCTCCCAAAATGTTGGGATTACAGGTGTGAGTCATGGTACCTGGCTGAATCAGTAATTTAAAAATAATCTTCCCACAGAGAATTCTAGGCCCCAATAGTATTACTGGTGAGTTCTATGAAATATTCAAGGAATGAAAAATTCCAATTATTTCAGAGTATTGAATAAGGGAAAACACTACTCCAACTTATTATATGGGCTTGGGGGAAGAATATATGTTACTTTGTATAAGAGCCGCAAAAACTACAAGACAGATGTGAATCTTAAATCTTTATGTTGACAATTACAAAACTTTACTGAAGGGCATAAAAGATATAAATGGAGAGATATACCATGTTCATAAATACAAAATACAAAAGGCTTTGTATTTATTGGTATTACTGGTATTACAAATATGACCATTCTCCTCAAATTGATCTTATAAACTCAATGCAGTTCTTTTCAAATGAAATCCTATGAAGGTTTTTAGGAACTTCACAAGCTGATCCAAAAATTCATGAGAGTATAGGGCTTCAAGATAGCCAAGACAATTGTGAATAACCTGAATAATGATGGTGCTCTGGTGCTTATCCTATCAGAGAGTAATTCTTACTGTAAAGCTATATTTAATAAAGAGTGGGGCTAGATATGGTAGTGGTAAAGAGCATACAGAAAGAACTACAAATAATATGGAAATCTGACATATGACAGAGGTGAATAAATTTTTTTTTTGAGCTCTGTCACCCAGGTTGGAGTGCAGTGGTGCCATCTTAGCTCATTGCAACCTCCGCCTCCCAGGTTCAAGCGATTCTTCTGCCTTAGCCTCCTGAGTAGCCGGGATTACAGGTGCCTACCACCACACCTGGCTAATTTTTGTATTTTTAGTAGAGACGGGGTTTCCCATGTTGGTTAGGCTGGTATCAAACCCCTGGCCTCAAGTGATCCACCTGTCTCAGCCTCCCAAAGTGCTGGGATTACAGATGAGAGCCACTGTGCATGGCAAGATAAACTTTTAAATAAAGGTGGTACTATGAAAATTGGATAGGAGTATTGAAAATTATAAAAATTGAAGTAGACACCATGAACGTACAAAAATATAATCCCAAACTGCTTAACGACTAAAAAGTGAAAAACCATATTCAGAAGAAAAAAGGTTAATATCTTTATGACATTGAGGATTTCTTAATACAGCAAAATGCACCAACGGTGAAGAAGATACTTACATTAATATTAAAATAAAGTTTGTTTTTTTATTTTATTTTTTTTGGAGACAGAGTCTTGCTCTGCCACCAGGCTGGAGGGCAGTGGCACGATCTCGGCTCACTGCAACCTCTGCCTCCTGGACTCAAGCGATTCTCCTGCCTCAGCCTCCCAAGTAGCTGTGACTACAGGCACACACCACCATGCTCAGCTAATTTTTGTATTTTTAGTAGAGACGGAGTTTCACCATGTTGGCCAGGATGGTCTCCATCTCTTGACCTGGTGGTCCGCCTGCCTCGGCCTCCCAAAGTGTTGGGATCACAGGTGTGAGCCACCGACCCCGGCCATAAAGAACTTTTATATGACAAAAATCACAAAGTGAAAATGCAAGCCAGGAACAGAGAGAAGATATTTGCAACCTCTATAAATGTCAAGAGGTTAATACCAAGAATACATAAAGAGCACGTCAATTCAGCAGGAAAAAGCACCAAACAGAAAAATTTGCAAAGGATATGAATAGGCAGTACAGGGTGGTGGAAACCAAATGGCCAATAAATACAGGAAAGGACCACCAACCTAAATAGCAATCAGAGTAACATAAATTTTAAAGCATCAAAGACACAATTTCAAACTTATCAGATTGGCAATAGTCCAAAAACATCAAGTTATTGGCAATATGGAGCAAGAGGAAATCTTACTTATTGCTGGTGGGAGACTAACTTGTTACAGACATTTTGCTGAACAATTTGGAATACCTAGGTTACAATGGAAAACATGAACATCTCACATTCCAATAGTTCCCATTTCTAGTGATAGGTCTTAGAGAAGCCTTCACACACTGCAGAAGAATATTTGTGTGCTATTTTTAATAGTGAAAGGTAGGAAAAATGTAACTTTACCTCAGTAAGGAAAAGGCTTTATCTGTAATGTTTTATTTCCTTTAAAAAAAATCTGATGCAAAGCCAGGTGCGATGGCTCATGCCTGTAATCCCAGCACTTCGGGAGGCCGAGGTGGGTGGAGCGCCTGAGGTCAAGAGTTTGAGACCAGCCTGGCCTACATGGTGAAACCCCATCTCCACTAAAAATAAAAAAATTAGCCCGGCATGGTGGCGAGCACCTGTAATCCTAGCTACTTGGGAGGCTGAGGCAGGAGAATCACTTGAACCCGGGAGGTGGGGGTTGCAGTGAGCTGAAATCGCGCCATTGCACTCCAGCCAGGGCAACAAGAGTGAAACTCCATCTCAAAAAAAAAAAAAAAAAAAAAAATCTGATGCAACGCTGGGTGAGGTGGCTCACACCTGTAATCCCAGCACTTGGGAGGCTGACGCAGGAGGACTGCTTGCGCCCATGAGTTTGAGACCAGCCTGGGTAATATAGTGAGAACTCGTCTTTACAAAAAATGTTTTCAATTACCAAGCATGGTGACACGTGCCTGTAGTCCCAGATACTGAGAAGGCCAAGGTGGGAGGATCACTGGAGCCTGGCAGGTGGAGGTTAACAGGGAGCTGAGATGGCGCCACTGCATTCTAGCTTGGGTGACAGAGTAAGACCCTGTCTCAACAAACAAACATCTGATGCAAATAAAGCATTTGTTAAATATTATTTTGTATACTTACCTATTAATCTGAAATACTATATGAAAAAATTTTAAATGTGAAACATAAGCAATATTGCCTTTAACATTTACAGTAGGTTAAACATCTATTCAACTGACCTCTGTTCACTAAAACATTAGTAATGCTCATCTTTTTTATAAATAATTCTCTACAACCTAACACCTAGTAAGTAAAGCTTTTATTGCTTCTCTCCTGGAAATTATCCTATAAATGGGTTAACCTTGTAATGTTGATTCAAAAGCACAAAGGGAAAAGGCAATAGAAGTCCTTTTAAGATCTACTTTAATCTCAATACTTTTAAGTTTTAAATTTTGATCTCATTAACCTTATGAATGTCAACCAACAGAAAAATAAAACACACCAAAAGATCCAGAACTCTTTAAGGATTGTAAAGGGACAAGCTTGAAAGCCTGACGCCAATCCTCTCTTTGTCCAAAACCACCACCCTAACGGCTCCAGCCCCATGAATTCCTAGTTTAAGAATCTCTATATCAGATGCTATCAAAAGTTAGTAATCGTAGCTAACATTTATAGAGTGCCTACTAAATGCGGAACACTGTTCTAAGGGCTTTACATTTGTTAATTCACTTTTAAATCATAAACACACTGAGATCAGGAAAGTGGTTTAACTATTCTTAGTTTCAGTTCCCCGTAGTACAGTACAGTAAGATATTCTGAGAGACCATATTCACATAACTTTTACTACAGTATGGTTTTAATTGTGCCACTTCATTATTAGTCCTTGTTAATCTCTTACTGTGCTCAATTGATAAACTTTATTATAGGTGCATGTATGGATAGGAAAAAAGACAGTTCACATAGGGCTTGGTACTACACTTGGTTTCAGGCATCCCAGGGGGTCTTGAAACATATCCCCAGTAAACAGGAGGGAACTACTTACTTTATTTCCGACTTCCACATAAGCAAACTGAGGCACACAGAGGGCAATTTGCCTACAGTTAAACAGCTAGTAAGTGGTGTAGACAAGATTCAAATCTAGGCAGTTCGGTTGCAGAGCACACACTCTTAAGCAGGAATCTTTGCTAGTTAATTAGACAATTAATGAGAAAAGGTATATCAGGAAAACAATCTAAGAGTTGCAAATAAGTATTTTCTAAATGAGGTCGGAAGAAAAAAGGATAGAACCATAGTCTCCAAAGCATTTCTGTCTGTTTTATTCCTTGCCAAACATTAAAACTGTGATTCTATTTCCTGCTTTGAAAATCAGTTCTGTTTTGCACTGCTCAATGCCTTTAAGATGAAGGTTTCTTTGTAATATTAACAATCAGTGCACTCTTTCTTTCAACTCCTTTATTAAATTGGTTGCAAAAAAGATATACATTCTTATATTGACAATTCTTGTCATGAATAAAAGCATCAAAAATAAGGCAACAGCAAGATGTGCTTCACATATAAACAATCATGTTGTAAGAATAAGAAACCTGAATCCCTGTACAACAAAAAGATTAGGAAGCAAAATGTGAATAAGCTTGTATTCAGAATATACCTATATGTGTGTGCAAAGACAATACACTCATCATATACCTCACTTAGGTTCCTTTATGATGCATAATTCCTTAATCATTCATTTGTGAAACAAGAATGAATATTAAGAAACATGAAATCCAAATTGCACTTATTTTCACAATATCAATGCTAAACTCAAAATAGCAACTTCATTGACTCTCAATGGTAAATTTCAAACATGGAAAGCAATCTTAATTTTTTTAACCCTTTGACTAGGGTCTGTAAAAAACGGTGGATTATTTTACTGTACTTACAAAGAGGCTGGGTCTCAGCCTGCACTTAAACAGCATGAGCAACAAAGGACAGGAAACAAATATCACTAAGAGTAATGCCCATACATATAAAGATATCTAGTTGAGCCACGTTCTACTTACATAGCAAGCCTATTAAACCACTAGCATAACAGATCATATCTCATGAAACAGAATTACTAAATTAACTACACATCTCTCAGAAATTTCCAAATCCCTGCTCCCAACACAATTTTAGTACACCTATTAAGTACCACGGGTCATTTAGAAAAACAGAAAAAAATATACACCTAGTCTTTGCAATTAAAAAAAAATCATAACATAAACAATGTTAGATATAAATTTTGAACTCAATATGTTTTTTCCTACATATTTATGTAATCAAGGCTCTTTAAGCAAAGACAGGTGGTAGGTATATGATCTGTACAAACTTACAGTAGTGTATATTCCAAATAAAGGTTTTTCTTCCTACTATGGTATGACAATATAACTGTTTTCTGAATGAAGATACATGTTAAGGCTTAAGGTGTAAACACTTTGGAAGGCAAACAGCTTAGTGAAAAAAATTATGGTTCATTTAAAAATGTGTATCATTTCATAATAGACCCCTGAACTTTCAAATTTACATGTGAGAATACATTTACATCTTAACTTTCTAGGAAAGGCACAGGCTTTATGTAAAAAAGCAGCAAAGTTTTAAACCCACCAATATATTGACAAAGCCATTACTTTTATTAGAAACAAATAATGCTTCTCAAGGTGTTGGCAACATGTCATAGTATCAACATATACTTCATACAGTGTATTTCTCCCTTTAATTATATTCCGGTAGGAGGTGGAATACCTCCTTGGCTATGAGGGGCAGATGTATTTGATGGACTGTGTAGGCTGGTCTCCTTGTACACAAACCAAGCATTTCCTCCCCAGAGTATCATATTTAGAAAGCCAAATATCTATGAAAGAGAAAAAGAAATATGAAAATCAAATACCTACTTATAAAAATTCATGCCCTACTTAAAAATCTCACTTTTTCTTTAAATATTTAACATTTTTAGGAAGTACGCCATTATTTCACTTAAAGTTTAATACTACACACAATGAGAAATAAGGAAGACTACACTTCAATGTACAAAATGTGGTTATATAATGACTTATTCCCAATGAAATAAGGCTAAATCTCTAACATATAAAATCATGGCTAAGAGATTTACTCTTCCAAATACTTTTCACTTTTCTCCTATTTAGAATGATTATCAACTGCTTGTGTAACTTTTCCCATTTACTTATCACCCCCTCCTACCATCTCTTCTACTCCAATCCAACAGTTGTAGCCACAAAAAAAGAGGAGTCACACAACTTTACTTCCCATCCCAATGAGTTAACCTCAAAGAAATTAATCTTCCTGGCTGGGTGTGGCAGCTCATGCCAGTAATCCCAGCACTTTGAGAGGCTGAAGCAGGCAGATCACTTGAGGTCGGGAGTTTGACCAGCCTGGCCAATATGGTGAAACCCTGTCTCTACTGAAGATACAAAAGAATTAGCTGGGAGTGGTGGCACATGCCTGTAATCCCAGCTACCTGGGAGGCTGAGGTAGGAGAATCACTTGAACCCAGGAGGCGGAGGTTGCAGTGTGCCGAGATCATGCCACTGCACTCCAGTCTGAGCGACATAGCGAAACTCCATCTCAAAAAAAAAAAAAAAAAAAGAAATTAATCTTCCCAGATATAAATCTGACTAGATGAAAGAAAGTCTCAGAGATGAATAAAATCATGATCTTGGTTACAGGTAATACTTTTTTTAGACAAACTTTTCTTCACTAAACACTATATTGTTACTAGAATTCAGGTAGCTGAGTAAAAATAAAAACCATCCAGAGATTTACTGAAAGCTATTGCTTTCCTGAATTACTAGTACTTTAAACAAATATATGAAAGAAAAAAATTATAAATAATGCATACATACCACAGATACATTTAGGGATCCCATACTGGTCACAGAGCCAAAGTAACACAGTACTGCTTTCTTCTTACAAGGCGGAAGTTCATCAATAATATTGTGACCAGTAGCTATTTTAATATCTGTCAGAGCTTTAGCCCAGGCTGAAGTGCTCACCAACCACAAAAAAGTGGCAACAAGTGTAACAACAAAGTCCTAAAGCAAAAATCAGTAAGAGTTAATAATGAACAGTTAATTTTAATACTAAATTTCAAATCCATGATGAAGAAACTGAGATTACATTCAACCTTATGGTGCTGAGAAATGGCCTTCATGATATACTTTATTAAAAAAGTCAGTCAGCATAGTAAACATTGCTGTTAGTGTTACAAGCACAGTGCCTGAGTTACAACAGTAAATAAGACTCAGTCATCCCCTCAGAAGTCTAAGATTTTCACACTAGAAACCAAAGTTTTATACAGCCTTCAACATAACCTCACCTCAGCCACTTACTCCCAGGACCATACCTTAGACCTTGTCATCACCAATAACTGTATCCTTCCATACTCTGTTTTGATCATCCCATTTTCCCATAACACCTCTTTCCAGCTCACTGTCTCTGGCACCCCAATCCTAAAACTCCTTTGACCCCACCAAGACCTACAATCTGATCCTACTGCTTTCTTACTGTATCACCACTTCACTAATGTCCTCACTTATTTTAATCAATTTCTGTTCTAAGGGCCTTCATTATCATCTCTTGCACATACTCTCAACTCACTTATCCTTCTTCTGCAAAACTCTAACTTTAGTTAAACCAAATTCTCCATGAGATGGATAATAAAATGGTGAAAAGCACACACCAGAATGGTATCTCTTTTAAATTTCCTAACCACAAATTTTAAGAATGCTCACTATATTAAGAAAAAGGCAACAACAAAAATCTCCCAAGACACCTTATCACTATTAACTCTGTACTAAATCCTTTGCTATTTATTACAAAGAATGGGATGGTTTTAATATTTTAGAATAAATGGTTCTAATGGGTGGTTTTAATATTTTAGATCATAAGTCTAATCTTGTTTGATCTTCCTTCAAATTAATGACCAGGGTAGGAATAATATAAAATTTGTATCTTTTGGATGCTATATATGCTAAACATATGCGTACACTCAAGGATAGGAGCTCTTACATATCTGCAGCAAAAATCTTTCTAACCTCAGAATGGATTTTGGAGCTTATCACAGAAGCATTTTGTTTTTTAAATAAACCCAATTAGTTTTTAATTATTTTGCCAGCCACCTTTTAGTCATTTATTAGGTTGGTGCAAAAGTTATTATGGTTTTTGCTATTTATTTTAATGATAAAAACCACAATTATTTTTGTACCAACCTAATATTTAGGATAAATACCAGTGATCTCTTAGGAGATATAGAAGCTATGCTATATAGCTTGCCCACTTGGTCAAGACAACACTGAATGAATACTTAGGATTAGAGAACCAAAAATAATTACTAATTACATGAACACGGAAGTACATGCATTTTGTATCTGAGCTCTCTGCTGCTACTTGTCCTTTTAAAAACCGTAGCTCAAAGAGAAAAGGCTAGAAATATAGCTTATATTTTCTGCACTGTGGAAGTACTCCCCCCTTTTTACTGCTGTACATCTGCTATACATTCTGCTGCAGGTAGACATTTTCTAAACGCTTGCTAGAAATACAGTGTTTTTTGGAAAACTGATGAGTAACATGAGGTTATATCGCATGTTAAATAATTTCTCTTTACGGAAAAGTTCACAACTTTGATCAATATATGTCAAATCCTCCTAATTTTCAGGTATTTTCTTCCTTCCAAAGTCTTTTTTTTTCGTAGTTATACTCTTAAATCCACTTTGATGGCTTGAGGCCATTCTTATATTTCAAAAGCAGGAACTTTTCTGAAAATGATGCACAAAGTAACCTAGGTTGAAGGAACGTGGGGGGAATTCTGGTCCCTTCAGATAGTATTTGCTCTACTCAGGACTCTAGTCACACTGCACTCTAAGCGAATGGTGCCACCTGGAGCTCTGCAATGCACAACCTGCAGCTGCCTAGGGCAGCTCTACTCCTCCCAACAATTCACAATATGAGTCATAGATTTTTAGAATTTGGGATACCCTAATTTTGTTTGGATTCATTTTCTGGTATTCTCAATTTTCCACATTGCCTTGAAACCTTAAACTCCTGCTACTTAACAAAAAAAAAAGTGCTATATTTACTTCAAAAGAGAATTGAAGTAGATTTAAATTTTCATAACTGAAATACTCCTAGAAACACCTTAGCACAGAATTGAGAATATTGCTAAAAGGGCTTGTCCTCATTAATAGTACCTAAAAATTAATGTCATATTTGGCTATATCTTAAATTTTGGGTATCTCAAAAAAAACCTTTTTTTTTTTTTCCCCTGAGATGGAGTCTTGCTCTGTCACCTAGGCTGGAATACAGTGGTGTGATCTTGGCTCACTGTAACCTCCACCTCCTGGGTTCAAGCGATTCTCCTGCCTCAGCCTCCCAGTAGCTGGGATTACAGGTGCCCACCACCATGTCCAGCTAATTTTTGTATTTTTAGCAGAGATGGGGTTTCACCATGTTGGCCAGGCTGGTCTCGAACTCCTGACCTCCTGGAGTGATCCACCCACCTCGGCCTCCCAAAGTGCTGGGATTACAGGCATGACCCACTGCACCCAGTCTCTCAAAGAAAATCTTTTAATATTTTTATGGTTACATTAAAAATAGAACTGAAAATTAAATTTAGAAGCTAGACTTTTATAGACAAGAAGCACCCATTATGTAACAATAAAAACCTACTTAAGGAATTTTGGATTATCTCTTTATATGACCACTAATTGGTCATTCTGAGGTGGAAAATTACTTTTTACGTTTCTGAATGATGCAACTAGGTCAGTTTTATAGTTTTATCAGACAAAAACCACCTACAAAAATAGATTGGAATGCTGCTTTAAGAAGGGTAGTATTTTTAAAAGTTTACTAGACAAAATATGAGAAATAAAGGGCACACTGATAGATTTAGTAAAAAAATTTGTTGGGATGACAAAATGGCAAGAAATAGCTTCTAGTTATAAAGAATTTTAACAAAATATAATTATCTATAAGATTATTCCAGTTCCCTTTTAAATAAGATTTGAAAAGTCTGCAGAAGACACAGATTCCTAACAAGTATGTTGGATAAGCACTGCAAATTAAAACAGTTGACGTCTTATCTTTTTAACAACCGAGAAGTATTTTATGAAAACCTCTAGTTTTCTTGTGTCTCCTATGACATAAGAAACAGAATTAAATATGAATGATAAAAGACTGTTGTATTACTTACCATTTCCATTCTTATGATCCAGCAGCAAAATTAAAAATAAATATGTAAATAAAACTTGTAATGTTATTTAATAATCCTTCATATTTAAATAGCCTTCCCTTTAAAGTAACTTCACAAATAATTAGCAGATGTGTTTTCTCATACATATGAATGACCAGTATCACACATAAAAAACACCTCTGTTTTCCCTTTAAGTCACTAATAACTGACTTTGTAGTTACTCTTTTATAGTGGAGGTGTAGCTTAAAACCATGATTTCTCTCTGGATTTGCCACCAATAATCCAGGGCAGATTCTACTAACTAAATCTCAGAGAATATTTCTAGCTCAGTAGGCTCTGAAGCCAAAAGTATAGGACTTCAAATCTAAGTCCTTTGTTGATACCTCAAAGATTCAAAATTAGTTCATGGTTGCCACTAATGCTGAGTATAAGAATTACCTGGGTCTGATTTTAAATTAAGGAGTTTAGGGACATAGACCAGGAATCAACAAACTTCTTTTGAAAAGGGCCAAATAGCAACTATTTTTTATCTCTGTTACAACTACTCAACTTTACCATTGCAGTGTGAAAGCAGCCATAGGCAATGTGTAAATGATTGTGTATGGCTGAGTTCCAAAAAAAACCTTTATTTAAAAAAACAAGGCCAGGCTCCTGGCCACACCTATAACCCCCAGCACTTTGGGAGGCCAAGGCAGGCAGATCACTTGAGCCCAGGAGTTTGAGACCAGCCTGGGCAACATGGTAAAACTTCGTCTTTACAAAAATACACAAAAAGTAACTGAGTATGGTGGCTTGTGACTGTAGTCCCAGCTACTCAGGAGGATCATTTGAGCCCAGGAGGTTGAGGCTGCAGCAAGCCAAGATGGTGCTACTGCCCTCCTGCCTGGGCGACAAAGCGAGACCTTGTCTCAAAAAGTAAATATATAAATAAAGAAGTAAAAATAAAAAATAAGACAGTGACCTCTGGGACATAGTTTGTGAACCCATGATATAATTAAACTCAATAAGTTTTGTAGAAGTATAAAGTGGGCCTTTAGAGAAAGAAAAAAAGTAAGAAGCAGAAAGAGTTATGAGACTATGTTGTGATAAGTAATTCTTCAAATTAAAAGAATTTCGACTTAATTTTTTTGCTATTTGTAACCTGATGTGCTTTATTACATATCTGAGTTTTTTCCAAGTTAAAATAGATTTAAAAAAGAAATAAACTTTCCTTATAGTGCAAATAGGCTAAAAAAAATTGAGTTAAACTTAATGGGAGAAAGCTCAACCTCGTGGCAAACACAGGCTAAAATATGCTGAACTGGCTTACACCAAGAATTTTTATTTCCAGTATAAGAAAATCTATATTTAGCTTATACAAATTATTTTTGTATTTAAAAAATAAAGTGATTACTTACTATCATAGGAAGTTTACGACTATCCAGATACAGACTCGTGTAGCCAACATAAAGCAGAAGGGCAGCAATGCAGTACAGGAACACAAAGACTGCAAAGGTAACATAGAATTGTGCAGAAGAAGAGTAATCGCCTATGAGGACGTAATCTTTCCAATTTACATCACATATGTTTACACCTGGAGGTGGCTGAAATGATGCCTCATTCAACCTATTAAAATAAATGTATGAATTATTGGACTTTCCCAACAGAGACAGAAACATTTAAGCAAAACAATGAGTGACACTTCAAAAAATACTCCCCAAATATATTAAAAACATTCCTTTGGGGAAAAAAGTAAAATTCAAATATTATATTTAAGTAAACTGAAATTTTCATAATAAATGTATATGTTATACCTGGTATTAGTTTATGATACATTGAATATAGACTGAATTAAATACTTTCATACCCAGATACTATCTTCCTGCAGTAAACAATTAGGTAGGAGAGATTATACCAAATGGTTTATACTTTGAGACATCATATTTCATTCTGTGTGGCAGAGTATGTGTGACTAGCCCCAAGAGAGCCAATCACAACAATGATTCACATTTTTAACCCTGGATCAATAGTTGCTAACAATAAATATTGCCTTTCATTTTTCCCAACCATAAATTGTAAAAAACTTGTCACTAAAGATGCTGTAACAGTCCCTTATGTGAGAAGTGTCTAGGAGAAAGGATACAAGATAGAGAGGCTTTGATGATTAACCACTTATTATCTGACTTATCTTTAATATGGGGATTTTATTTAATCATCAAAACAGCCTTACAAGATAATACTTCCAATTACTGGACCAAAAAATTGAGTCTTGGGTGAAGTAAGTAAAATTAGTAAGTGAAAGAAGATTCCCACCCTGGCTTAAACACAGGACATATTCAATAAACTTTTCAATGGATACTGATGTCAAACAAGACTTCACAGATGAAATACTCATTTTACTTTAAGAAAGTGTGGCTTTATGCTAATGAATGAAATATGGAATCTCTTTATATACATATGTCTTAAAACTATATAAAGACATTAATATTCAGCAATTACAAAAAACACTGAGAATCTGGATTTTTCTAAGTTATGTTTCCTTCTACATTAGGGCTTCTTATACTAAGGTGATAGAACAATCTCTAGTTTGCTTTATTTTTACATTTCCAATCCTCTGTTAGAATAAAATTATCAAGGCAACATCACATTGTTATAAAAGTTTCTAAATGCTTACTCTCACTTTCTGTACTATTTTGTCACAGATCAGGAGATGTTTTTAGACAGGCATGGGTCTGTGTACCACAGTTTGGGAGGTAATGATCACTTACAAATGAGCATACAGTCTAAAATTTTCTACCCCCCACAATCAATAAATTGCTGGAAATCTTAATGACTCACTGTGAAAGTAAAAAGAGTTGTGAAACCATTAAAATAAATATAACTCACCTGAATGGATAACCAAAAGTAGCTGTAACAGTTTTATTCTCAGTAACTGCAGGAGGACAATTCACTTGAATTTCTGTTTGGCCCTTAAAACCTCCACAGGTGGCAAAAGCAAAGATAGAAGCAATCTACACAAAGTAAGATGAAAAAAGACAAAAGAAAAAAAAGATAAGCAATACTACAACCAAAACAAGGGTCACTAAAACTGTAAGCACACTGATTATTAAAAATTGGCTAACATTCTAGAAATTCTTTTTTTGAGACAGGGTTTCTGTCGCCCAGACTGGAGTACACTGGCACGATCAGGGCTCACTGCAGCCTTGGCCTCCCAGGCTCAAGTGATCCTCCCACCTCAGTCCCCCAAGCAGCTGGATCACAGGTGTGCATCACCACACCTGGCTAATTTTTCTTTGAATTTTAGTAGAGATGAGGCCTCGCTATGTTGCTCAGATTGGGCTTGAACTCCTGAACTCAAGCAATCCTCCCATCTTGGCCTCCCAAAATGCTGGGATTACAGGTGTGAGTCACTGTGCCCAGCCCCCACTACCCTTTTTTAAAGAGATGAGTCTCACTCTGTTGTATAGACTCAAGTGTAGTGGCACAATCATAGCTTACTGCAGCCCTGAACTCTCAAGTGATCCTCCCAAGTAGCTGGGACTAAGGAGTGTGCCACCATGCCTGGCTACATTCTAGAAATTCTTAAACACAAACTAAGATGGTGAAAGACATTAAAACATTCATTTGCAAACCTCGACAAATGTGATTTTATTTTCCCCGGAGTATAATATAGAAATAAATGTACCAGCCCATATGACAATTCATTTGCTCATACTTTAGTGTATCCACTAAGTATTAGTATGAAATATAGAGGGAGACTCATTTATTAGTATAAAATCAAAAGGGGTGAATTGGAGGTATTTTTATTTGGAACACAAGTTACCAGTAATTTGTAAAGCCAAGAGGTTGTCAGCAGAGAAGAGACACTATTTCATGAGCCTGTTAAACCTCCCTTGTGGGTATTTCCAGGTCTCAAAAAGTTGTTGGAAACTTATTTTCCTAATCATGTATATGCTTAAAAAAATGAATGGTGTTCTCTCAAATACCATCTAAAACACAAAAAACCTAGAAGCAACCTAAATGTTGACAGGGAATCAAACTATAATTCATCCATTCATTCATTCATGCAATGAAACATTATATAGCTGTTGGAAATTAACAACATAGAATGTTGGAGATTAACAACATAGAAAGTGTTCATTACATACAAAGTAGATTTAAACAACAAAAACTAGAAAGGTTATGCATCAAAATTTTAACACTGGTCACCTCTCAAAGGAAGATAAATAATTCCTTTTTATTTTTGTACTTGTGAATTTTCTACAAAACAACACAAGTAAGCAAAAAATTCCAGATGCGCTGTTAAAGTCCAGGAGCTCAATCTTTCAGCAAGTGGTGATGGCTCTATTTTCAAAATACATTTGCAATCTGACCACTTGTACTGCCTCCTGATCTGAACTACCATCACCTTTTGCCTGAATTTTGCACTAACAGCCTTCTAAATGATCTCTCTGCTTCTGCCCTTGCCCCAGCTTCAGTCTGTTATCAACACAACAGCCAAGACAATCTTTTAAAAATGTAAGGCAGAAAATGTTATCCTTTGCTCAAAACCCTCCAATGGCTTTTGAGCTCTCTATGAATAAAAACCAAAGTTCATATAAAGGCCTGCAAGATCCTTTCTTCCCTTATATTTCTGACCTCATGTTGCTACTTTTTCCTTTACCTAATCTGTATACACAAACTGCTTTCCATGCGATACCTTTAATGACACGGGATAAACTCTTCCTTCAGGACCTTTGCACTGGCTATTTCCTCTGCCTGGAATACATGCTTCACTCCCTCACTTCCATAGCTTCCTGTTCCAGTATGACCTTCTCAGAGAGACCTTCCCCTCACCACACTATATCAAATAACAGCACTCCTACCCCGCACTACCTATTCCCTCTACTCTATTTCTGCTCTGTTCTAATTACCACTGCTTGACACAGTACTTAATTTGTCTGTCTTTCCCTAGAATAGAAACTTGAAGAGGTCAGGGGCTTCGTTTTGTTCAAGGTCACACACACTCAGCAACTGGTAGTAGATAATATTCAATGCAGATTTGATATCAAATATTCACTGTGGAACACTTGACATAATGCTTCCCATGGATTATTCCAGGGCCTTGAATCTTGTAGGCCATAATCCACATTATAGTAATTGTCAAGGGTTTGTTTTTTCCCATCCGCCCCCCCCCCCCCCCCCCCCCCCCCCCCCACAAAAAAGATACATGAAAAGAATCTGGTTACAGATAGGAAGAGTCTGAGGTAATGTCCAGCACATAGTTTGGGGTCTTAACTGTTAAGAGGTGATCCCCAGTTTTTACAGGATTTCAAAATATGTAAAAGTAACTTTCCTTGGAAAATGTGTCATGAAATCATTTTTCATTATTTGTACTAAATAATGTTTTATGTTAAAAAAGAAGGTAAAGATGGAAGAATCAATACTCTCTCAGAATAAATATGCATGAATACACAGAGTGAAAAGGCCAGAAAATGAGTCCTGAGCATATACCCACGTTTAAATTAAAAAAAAAAAAAAAGAAAAGAAATGAGATACACAAATTGAACCAATGGAGCAGAATAAAAAGGCCAGGAATAGACTAGTGTGTATAAGACAAATTGTATCTAACAGAGTTGATTTGTAGATCACGGAGGAAAGGAATGTGGTGGTTTTAAAGATATGCCCACAAACTCTTTGATACAACTCCCATCAAGAGATGGAGCCTGATTTCCCTTCCCTTGAGTGTCAACTAAATGTAGTGACTTGCTTCTACAGAATAGAATATGGTACTGTAGAAGAAATGGGATGTCTTTTCTGAGACTCAGTTATAAAAAGATTACAACTTTTTTTTTTTTTTGAGACACAGTCTCGCTCTGTCACCCAGGCTGGAGTGCAATGGTGCAATCTTGGCTCACTGCAACCTCCACCTCCCAGATTCAAGGAATTCTCCTTCCTCAGCCTCCTGAGTAGCAGGGGTAATTACAGGTGCCTGCCACCATGCCCGGCTAATTTTTGTATTTTCGGTAGAGACGGGGTTTCACCATGTTGGTAAGGCCAGTCTCGAGCTCCTGACCTCCGGTGATCCACCCGCCTTGGCCTCCCAAAGTGCTGGGATTACAGGCTTGAACCACAACGCCCGGCCAAAGATTGCAACTTCTGTCTTCCTTTCTCACTCTCTCGAACTTTCTCATTCTCCGGGGGAAGCCAGTGGCCATGTTGGGAGGATACTCAGGCAACTTTTATAAACTCACATGGTGTGGAATTGAGGACTGCCAGTAACCACATGACTGAGCTTGGAAGGGGATCCTCTGAGGTTTGTCAACAGTCATGAGAATAAGCTGGAGGCCTTGAGATAACAGCAACCCCAGCCAACAGCTTGACTGCAACCTTATGGGAGACCCTATGCCCAAACCACATAGCTAAGCTGCTCCCAGATTCCTGACCCACAGAAGAATGGGTGAGGTTTATTATCTCACTTAATAAAAGTCAACAGACCTTTGTTTTAAACTGCTAAGCTCGGCGTAATTTGTTATACAGCAATAGATAACTAATACAAGGAAGAGCTGTTCAGTAAATGGTCCAGATGAGCTGCACACAAAAGTAAAAAGTCTTTAAAAAATGTGAAGACAATATAAAAGAAAACCTGTGACCACATGAAAAGGGAGAATTTAAGATTTTTTTTTGTAAAAAAGAACCATAAAAGATTGTTAAATTCAACTACAGAAAAAAAATCTTAATCAAGTCAGCTGTTGAATGTAAAACAAGCTACCAATTAGATGAACATATTTATAATAAACATAATGTCACAAAGGATTTACTAGTATATAGATCTAAGAGAAACCCTTGCTCACACGTACTAAGAGACATATAAGAATGTTCATGAAAAATGGGGAGGGGAAAAGCAACAGGGAAATGGATAAAATACCATAGTATATTCTTACACTGGGAAGTTATACGGCAAAAAAGATATAAGAATTACAACTGCCTACATCAACATAGATGAATCATAGAAATCCAATGCTGAGTTAAAACAAAAACAAAATAAAAACCATGTTGCATATGACTACCTAGACTATAAAACCATTTTTTAAAAAGCTCTGTTTACCTGCCTACATTACACCTGCCACTATTTTTGTTCAGGCCCTCACCATTTTTCATTGGGACTAACCCAGCAGACTCTTTCTCACATTTCCAATTTCATTCCAATTGATACTCATCTTCTATAATGTGGGCACTATAGCTGCAGTACCCAGTAATGCTACTTGTGAGTCTTGAACACTTTACATGTCACTAATCTAAATTGATATATACTCCAACTGCAAAATACACACTAGATTTTGAAGATTTACTATGAAAAAGATGTGAAATACTTCATTAATTTTTATATTGACGACTTGTTCAAACAATAATCTGGATAGATTGGGTTAAGTAAAATATATTGTTAAAATTAATTTCACCTGTTTCCTCTTATTTTAGTGTGGTTAATAGAACACTGAAAATTACTATGTGGTTTGCATTTTTGCTTCCCATTGTATTTTTTTGTACTGGACAGAGCTAGTTTAGAATGATGCCAAACTGATCTGAAATAAAAATCTGATCATGTCCTTCCCATTTAAAGGAATTTCCTCAATTGTTTTTCAACCTAAATTAAACAAAAAATGCTCCAACTTCTTAATTTGGCATAAAAGGCATGGCTGATCGATCCTCAACTTTATCTTTCTAGATAGATTTATCTGCAGTCTATTCACTGCCAGGTACTGTATGATTCTGTCACATTATACTGCTTACTGTTCCTGAAACATACCATGTATTTATGTCTTAAATGTATATGCTTCTTCTTCTGGGAATGCCCTGTCTCTGATTAGCTCATCTTTTAAGGCCCTACCCAATTCCCTGTGGTAGAACTCATGATTCTTCTCTTGAGCTATCATAGACATTAACTCTATTATATATGAACTCTACTATAGGCATTTTTCTTGTGTAACTTGCTTTCTAAAAAATAAAATGGGGCCGGGTGCAGTGGCTTATGCCTGTAATTCCAACACTTTGGGAGGCCGTGGCAGGAGGATTGTTTGAGCCCAGAAGTTCAATACCAGCTTGGGCAACACAGTGAGACCCTGTCTTAAAAATAAAATAAAATAAAAAAATTAAATGGAAAAATGAATTTCCTAATATAACAAGTAGCAAATAAATGGCATACTGCACTACAGCTTGTTGCTTTCAAGACTATCACTTCTACTGCTCCTTTGCCAGACTGTCATGTCTTTGCACCTGGTTTTGTTTAGGATTTTCAGTGACTAGCAGAAAACCTGGCACATAGCAGATGCTCACTAAATAACTACTTAATTAAGGAAAAAATAATTTCCAATAACTTATAAATAAAACCATATTTTGAATCTTACATAATTATTATTTTAAAGCTTTTTGTTATAAGGATAGATAAATATCATGACAGCAATTCTGGTCTTTATCTTATAGAAAGAAGGGACAAAAGCACATATTTTATATTAAACAAAGTACAAAATTATGAGGGCAAAATATCCAACTATCTCACTTCTCCCTATATTCTACTGCTATTTTGATCTAGACTGGAAGTTATATACTGGCAGCCTGTTGGTAAAACCCGGCCTGCAAATATATTTGTGTGGCCTTTCCAGTATTACAAAAAAATGTGAATTTGTTGTCATTGTTTTAATATCAGGGTATTACACATAAAAATTTGGATTTCCTGCTTTTCCTGAGTGTGTATGGGAAAGCTGAAGAATGGCAACATCAGACCTACATTCTCATAAAGCAACAATCAGAGAGAACTGAGTGACAGATGTCACTTATGGCAGAGTATGTGCTTTCCAGGTTATCCGCTTCTCCATTGTCTTAACAGCCCTCAGGATGTGTGTTAGTTGCCAGTAAGTAATCAATGACATACTATTCTTTTTCTTCCAAACATCTTGCTTCACTCATTTACTTTAGAGGGTGGTTCCTATGACCATTTCAGTTTCCAACCCTAGTCTAAAATGAAGGAGTACTGGTGTTCTGATTTATATTTTCTGGCCACTTTTGAAACTTATTTTCCCATATACTCCTACCCCATGAAGAATGACTGAAACTACTGACATGGAATTCTATCTGCACAGTGACTAGTAAGAATCCAGGGGCGGGGTGACAGCAAGCTTCTGTTTAGTCAGAAAAGTTACATGTTCACATACAGCCCCAAGTATCCAGAGAAACAGTCCCACTTACTTCTCTGCCCACCAGACCCATACTAGATGACCACCATGGCAGATCTTATTCAGAGAATTGTAACCTCAGGGTGAATAGTACAGCCTGGTTTTCCAGAGCACTAGTCTCCAAAGTAGACTGGAGTACCAGAAGAAAATATGTAAACTTCTATTTAGATCTACTTTCAGACTTAAATAAGGAATTGAAGCTTTATTGCAATTAATATACCACTGAAACCCATGCTGGGCATGCACATCAGAAGGTCACATGTCAGTACAGCATGCTGGGTATCCTGAAGGTAAGGGGAATCTCATACATGGAAGGACAGACAGTGATAACCTCATCTATTCTTTCACTTTTAGTGTTCATGCATTACAATGTGAGTGGGCCTGGATTTATGGAATAATTTGTCTAGTTTTAACCAAATCAACCTTCACAAAATTGACCCATGGCTTTAAAATGTCTTCAAAGAAATAGATTGGTAACACACACACTCATGTATAAAAGAGAAAATGGAAGCATTCATACTACTCTATGATTACAATCAACAGCCATATTACAAGGTAAAAACAGACTACTTAATCAGATCACAAGACGGTGGCACAACAATAAAAAATTATCAGAATAGTATCTGAAGCAAGGATTTAAAAATATAAACAAAATTTGCACTGAGTATATAATATACCTTAAGATACTAACTGACATAGTAAAACATGCATCTTAAGTTGTAGATGCATATTGTGGCTCTGTCCATAAAATTTTGCACTAATAGGAGTGCAAAAAAGACTCTGGAGGCTGGGCACAGTGGCTCATGCCTGTAATCCCAGCACTTTGGGAGGCTGAGCCGGGTGGATCACCTGAGGTCAGGTGTTCGAAACCAGCCTGGCCAACATGGTGAAACCCCATCTCTACTAAAAATATCAAAAAAAATTAGCTGGGTGTGGTGGTGGGCACCTGTAATCCCAGCTACTTGGGAGGCTGAGGCAGGAGAATTGCTTGAACCTGGGAGGCGGAAGTTGCAGTGAGCCGAGATCATGCCACTGCACTCCAGCCTGGGCGACAGAGTAAGACTCTGTCTCAAAAAAAAAAAAGACTCTGGAGGCTGGGTGCAGTGGTTCATCTCAGCATTTTGGGAGGCCAAGGCAGGTGATCGTTTGAGCCCAGGGGTTCGAGACTGGCCTGGGTGACATGGTGGGACTCTGTCTCTATAAAAAATTATAGAAGTAGCTGGGGGTGGTGGTGTGTACCTGCAGTCCCAGCTACCCAGTAGACTGAAGTGAGAGAAAAGCTTGAGCCTGGGGAAGTCAAGGCTGCAATTAGTTGTGATCGTGCCACTGCACTCCAGCCTGGGTGACAAGAGTGAGACCCTGTCTCAAAAAATAAATAAATAAAATTTAAAAAGAGTTTGGAGCCTTAACTTCTATTGCTAGACCATGCTAATTCTGAGGATTCTACTGGAGAATACTAGTATTCACCTGGTTTATGAGTGTTGTTTACACGTTTCTAGTTGCAGGATCTTCATTGCTATTTAATTTCATCATTAATCTGAAATCATCTATTTAAATTTCTTTCTGTCCAAGGTTTAGTTTATCAAAGTGATAACTGAAATCTTCAAAAATAGATATAAAAGTATATTATGTATGAGTGTTTACATGCAAAAGAAATGTATGCTGGTTTTAAGTCAAATGATCATTCAGCACTTAAAATGAAATATTATAGCACGTTTGCCTTTACAATCAAAAGATTAGATGCCTAGAGCCAAGGTATGATTTTTATGAGTCAAAGTCCAAAATGTTTACTAAAGTTATTCATTTCAAAAAAGTATTGTTTTTGATGGTGGTATTTCAGTTTATTCCCACTGGGAAATAAAGTCAGTTACAAAGTGCTTCAGTTTCACTCTATCTCCCTTTGCTTCTAATGTACAATAGTAGAAAATTCTAAATAGCCTGCCAAGATAATTCCATAATCCTTAAAAATTTGGATTATGGCCGGCTGCAGTGGCTCACGCCTGTAATCCCAGCACTTTGGGAGGCCAGGGCGGACGGACTACCTGAGGTCAGGAGTTTGAGACCAGCCTGGTGAAACCAGGTGAAACCCCGTCTCTACTAAAAATACAAAAATTAGCCGGGCAAGGTGGCACACGCCTGTAGTCCCAGCTACTTGGGAGGGTGAGGCAGGAGAATCACTTGAACCTGGGAGATGGAGGTTGCAGTGAGCTGAGATCATGCCACTGCACTCCAGCCTGGGTGACAGAGCAAGACTCCGTCTCCAAAAAAAAAAAAAAAAAAAATTGGATTATGAGAAGTAAACTCTAGAGTTCCTACTGAAATAAACAGCTAGAAGTTTTTTGCTAACTCCTAATCATTGTATGTTGAAAACACATTTATGTCACCTTAAATCTCTGAGGAACCTAAATATATTTATTTAAAAATCATTTATCAGCCAGGCGCGGTGGCTCATGCCTATAATCCCAGCACTTGGGGAGGCCGAGGCGGGTGGATCACTTGAGGTCAGGAGTTAGAGTCCAGGCTGGCCAGCATGGTGAAACCCCGTCTCTACTAAAAATACAAAACTTAGCTGGATGTAGTGGCGAGCGCCTGTAATCCCAGCTACTCGGGAGACTAAGGCAGAAGAATCTCTGGAACCTGGAAGGCGAGGTTGCATTGAGCCGAGACCACACTACTGCACTCCAGCCTGGACAAGACAGAGACTATATTTTTAAAAATTTAAAATATAATTTATATTTTTAAAAATAGAAATCATTTTCTAATTGCTCTACTATTTTCATGTCTTCTGGAGTGAATCAATATCCTGATTGTTGATCTGGCTGGCTGTCTTGAAGTAAGCCTGTCACTCTGTGGAAAACTGACAGCATTTGTTGCCACTGACATAATTTGAATTTTTAAGTAAAAATTAGTTTTCTTCATGTGTTTTAGGATATTTGATATAGGCTCAACTTGATTGTCCCCTCCTGCTTCTATCCCTGTCTAGCGGCTTTATGGTCATGGTCATTTCTGCTTGGCCTTCTGAGTCCCCTGGTCCACAAACACACCTTATGATGGGACCCCCAAACCACCAACATAAGTGAACATACACGTTATCACAAATCCAGACCTTAAGCCTGCAAGTAGATTGGTCCAGGTCTTGAGAGGCTATATATATCTCTTTATTTCTACACTTTTAAGTACTCAGCTCTATTTAAGTCGTAAATCCAGATAGTTGGTTGAGCTTTCTTCAGATTTATTAATAATTACCAAATTTGGGAATAGTCTTTCTCCCTGCCGTATTTTCTGTTCTGTTTCTGGTCCCCAGTGGTGTTTACCTCATCAATTCTCAATGCGTGGTCTGTGGACCCCTGAAAGCTCCCAAGGCTCTTTCAGGAGTTCATGAAGGTAAAACATTTTCCTAACGATACTAAGACATTATTTGCCTTTTACACTGTGCTGACATTTGTACTGATGAAGCAGATAAACTGGTGGGGAAAACTGCCGGGTTTAATAAGAATCAGGAAGAATACCAAACTCTATTTCACTGCCACATACTTGCAGTTAAAAACAAAAAACCAAAAACAAAAAAGAACAAAAAACCCCCACCAGTTTTACTTAAGAATGTCTGATGAAGCAGTAAAAATTTTATTAAACCTTGACCCTTGAGTTCTCTTGTCAGTAGGATAAAATGGGAAATGCAAATAAAGACTTTTGTTGCATACCAAATACAATGGTTGTCTCCAGAGAATGCATTTAAGCAACTGAGTTGTAAGCTGAACTAGTGGCTTTTTTTTGTAACCACCAAATTTCTCCCATCTTCACAGTCAAACAGCGGTTTATGCTGTCTTCACTTTCTTACCACACATTCATTCAGCCTACTAAAATCTGGCTTTTTGATTTTACTGAAACTGCTCTTGCTAACTAGTCCTTATTTTATCAACTAGTCCTTATTTTACTTTACCATTCTATTGCACCTTACGTTTTGGGGTACTCTTTTCTTGAAATTCTAATAGTGATGCCAAGGCATTATTTCCCTCAATTTTCCTAACCATTCCTTCTCTCCTTTGCAGGCAGATATCTGCTATATCTGCAGCCCAAACTCATATTTTAAATTCTAGATCCATATATATAGCTGTATCCTATAGGATACCTCCAAAAGATCTAAAGAGACCACAAACTCAATACATCTGAAACCTTTGACTTCCCATAAAATCTGCTCCTCCTCCTCTTAATGACATTACCTTGAATATGCTAATGGCAACGAAGTCAGAAAGACAGCAGTCATCTTAGGGTCCTCCCTCTTTGTTACCTTCCATATATATTCTAATTTGTAACCCCCTTTTGTAAACCCCTTCAGTCCTACTGAAACTAATTTTAGGCCCTCATAATTCCTCAATCAACAGATTTCCCTTCCTCCAATTCTAGCCTTTCCAATTCATCCTTTTAGAAATTTTCATTTTGTCGGCAGTTAGAGGGATGGATTGGAAAGGTCAGAATTGGAGGGAGAAATCGATTGATTGAGGAATTATGAGTGCCTAAAATTAGTCGTATCATTGACTTGTTTAAAGCCTTTAAGTTCCCATCCCCTATGGCAGGGATTCTGGGCTTGAATGGAATAAACACTCCAATATTCCATACCCTGCACATATGC
Source organism: Homo sapiens (assembly GCF_000001405.40). Lineage (NCBI taxonomy): Eukaryota > Metazoa > Chordata > Mammalia > Primates > Hominidae > Homo > Homo sapiens. The sequence continues at coordinate 106,110,111 of NC_000007.14, forward strand.
ATTTTCCTAAGGAAAGGGCCCAGATTCCCAAAGATTAACCCCAGAAGCAGCCGACCTCTGAAATCTTTTCAGAACAATCTCAAACCGTACCCTCCAACCTAGCATATATTCCAACTAACCCCCAATTACTTTTAAGTTCTCATACAGGGTTATGCTGCTTCAACATTTCCTTCCACTGAACATAAGATTCCTTCTGCCTAGAAAGCCACTCCCCAAGTGAACCAGTACCCATCCTTCAAGTGTTCTCTCAGCTATGAAGTCCTCCCTAGTTCCTCCAAGCAAATGCTCTCTCCCTCATTTCTTCTACTATTCTTTGCATACACCTTTATCACAGTTTATTACATGGCATTTTTGTATTTTGTATGTCCTTCATCCTTAATAGATCATGAGAAAAAGACCATGTTTTATTCATGTGGTATGCTAGTGTTTAGTACAGATCTGGTATAAAATAGTCAAATATTTACCACACCATTAACAATGTGTAGTCTTTTCATAAAAGGCTCTCCTGTGTAATAACAAGCTGTTCAAACTGAAAGTATTTCTGTAAGATGCTTAAAAAGGGATATTTTTCAAAATACATCAAAACACGAATGAACTTATCACTAGTGCTTGAAATATTAAGGAAAAAGCTAAGTCTACAGTTGTTTAAAAACTTGACAAAAAATATAAGCACAGATATAAACAACTGCCTCTTCATTTAAGTGGAAATCTAAATTATTAGTTATACATTTAATTATAATCCTCAATGAGACTAAATCTAGATATAAGACTTTCTTAACGTTCATATTTGATTAGCCTCGTTAATGAGATTTTCCTCTTGCAATTTTTAAATGCTTTAATCATGGTTTTCTTTATACTTAAATCTGGACTTAGGTTTAAAAAAATCAAGTATATTTATTTATGCGTCTTTCAAGTAGTCATTTGTGTGAAGTCAGCACTACTTCAGTTTTCAGAAAACACACAAAATGTTCAGTGAATGGTGAAATTGCCTAACCCCTTGCGCGGTTACAATGGTCCAAGTAGGAAATCACATTAGGTACCCATCAGAGAAACTGAGTTTCTACGCTGCTTTTAAAAACATCCTCGGTAGGTTATTTAGAACAGGAAATTGAAAGTTCTTATTCTTCTTCACCACTCTATCACTAAGGAAAAGGGCGAAAAAGCTATGGATGTAAATGCTGCTGTCTATAAACACAACTTGCCTGCAGAAATATGTAGTGGGCCGCGAAGTTTGAAGGAAGCCCGCAGTGCCTGGTATATTCACCAACTCCTCCAAGTAACTGATCATTGCCAAGGTCGAATTAATAAGCGTTCTTTGATGTTAATGATTGTGAGTGTTCTCAGGAAAGGACTAAAAGCTGACTTTCTAAACAGGATGTTGTTTGGAAATACCCCAAACAAACTCGATGTCCATTCCTAACGTGTTATTAAGTGAACCGATCTGACTCGATGCGTTTTGTTAAAAGGACTTTCTTTAGTTTCCCTGGCCCACAGTTTATTTTTTTACTATTTTTAACTCGGAGCCCATCTTAAAAACAAATTAAGAACGGAATGCTCGCCAAATCACGTCTACAAGACAAAATCGGCTTCCCAGGGAGCTAGACCTCGAGTGGGCACCGGCAGGGACGTAACCGCTGAGCCTCTCCGCAGAGCGCGACGCCGGCCGCCGGGTTTCGGTTAGACCGCAGCAGGAAGTTTTCCCTTCCTCTGCGGGAGGCAGTGGAGCCAAGGGGAAATTTGAACTCCCACTCCACGGGGACACCCAGAGGGGAGCTCCGGTGTGGGAGGGTGGCTCCCCTGGGAGCCAGGCGGCCGAGGAGCTCGTGATTCGACGCCCGCCGCGGCGTCTCCGCCCCGCGCGGCCCAGGCCGCGGCCTCCCTGCCCTCCCTGCCGTCCACTCCCAGTCCCGGGGCGGCGGCCTCAAAGCCCGCGCGGCAGGGCTGCGTCCCGGCTCGCAGGTCCCCGTCTCCCCGCCTAGGGCGCCGCGCCGAGCGGCAGGCGGGCCTGGCCGGCGCGGGCTGCACTCACCCACTCGAGGACCTTGATGAAGCCGAGTGGCTCCTTGAGCGGGTTGAGGTTGATCTGGAAGCCGGACATCCTCTGAGGAAAGGAGGGAGAGAGAGTCAGGACGACGGGGCGGAGGAGGGGACCGACGAGACCAGAGCAGCCCGGTGGCGAGGAAGGGCAGGCGGGGCTGGCGCGCTGGCCGGGCTCGGAGGCGGGCCCGGGCGGCCGTGGGGCGGGGCGGGGCGGAGCGGCGGCGGTTGAGCTGCTGGCTGAGACTCTGGGGCGGAAACGGAGTGGGGCGGCTGGGGAGGCGAGGGGCGGGCCGGGGCGGAGACCGGGAGGCTTCTCCTCAGGCCGCACCTGGCCGAGTCGACTGATCCGCTGGCGAACCAAGTAGATGTTGGGCGCCATACTGCGTGCGCCGCGCCCCCTTCCCTGCGGTTCAGCCCCTGGCACTCGGTCTTCCCCTGCGCACGCGTGTACGCGTGCGCTCGTTGGGCCCGCGCCGCGCTTCCGGACCCGCGCGACTGCGAAGAGCCCTGACCCGGGGGCGCCCACGCCCGCTCCTGCGCAGCTTGGGGGCGCTGGCCTCAGAGACACCCTCACTTGACCCCGAGCTCACCACAGCTGAGCTCACTACACCGAAGCTGACCTCTCCTTCCCTTAACAGATCTCAACTTTTTTATGAATTTATAATGTATTGGCACAGATGAAGTTGTGTTTCAAGGCATGTGTTAGGGGCCTTTGATTAAAATTGCAAAACAACAGACTTCTGGCTACCGTGCTGTGGGGTGCCTCGAAAGTGTGAATCACCAAATATTCGTATGGAAATTAGGTTTATTTTCAAAGTTACCATCGCAGCCATGGTTGAAAAATGAAGTAAGTTTATACCTAAAAGGAAAGGCGTGGCCGGACAGGCCCTCGGTGACCTACACTTTCACCTCTTCTACGCTGTCGGTCGACAGTCCTCTTTTTAAGGCATCGTTGGTATCTTTCTTCAAGAAGCTGACCCCTTTAAGATTCGGCTTAGGTGATACTTTCCTCTTGGCACGCAGTTACGGGAGCCCCAAGGTAGTGTGATCTCCTTCCTGGCTTCTTCAGTACCTGGAAAGTTCCTGGACAGCTGGAATGTGGTCATATTCGTGTATATGAAAAACCAGCTTCCAAGGACTTACCTGAATTTCAAGCACGAATATGATTTGCAGGCTACTTGCCACTGAGGTTATTCCGTCAGGGTTGACAACTGTTATTGAACGTCCTTGTAGTAAGCGAACCCTTTCTCTTTCGAGACCTATCTCCTTGTTTGCTGTCCAGAGAGTGCAAAAAATACATTTCATTTTCTATGCAGACAGAGACAATCTTTATGTTTATCTTGGCTCCCGTTCCTCAGTCCCCAGCACAGTCAGTGCTCAATGAGCACCTAATGGCATATCTCATTTTGAAATAACATTAAGAACTGGGCGCGGTGGCTCACGCCTGTAATCCCAGCACTTTGGGAGGCCGAGGCCGGCGGATCGTGAGGTCAGGAGTTCAAGACCAACCTGGCTAACATGGTGAAACCCCGTCTCTTATAAAGATACCAAAAAAATTAGCCTGACGTGGTAGCACGCGCCTGTCATCCCAGCTACTCAGGAGGCTGAGGCAGGAGAATCGCTTGAACCGGGAGGTGGGGGGGTTGCAGCGGGTTCCTAATGGATGGTTGCAGATTTCTCCCACTAAGCAACAAAGCATCATAGATACCCCTTAGGGCTAGGTGAGTGGAAGGTGACCATACACTGCTACCTGGTGCGTCTGAGACCACGATGAGCGGTGCTCCAGGTCTTCCAGCTTCCTCTCTCTCCTTTTTTTTCTACTTTGTTTCTGTATCTTCCTCTCAGTACTTCTCTTTTTGTTCTCTTTAGCCCGTTTTTCTAAGCTTTTACTCTCATTCTGTTGCGGTCTTCTGGGTAGGCACCTGGGGACGGAGTAGTGAATAGTAAGACTATTTAGCTTGAGCTTCATATTCACGAATATTCAAATTAGACTCTTAATGTTATTATTATTATTTTTTTTTTTTGAGACAGAGTCTTGCCCCGTCACCCAGGCTGGAGTGCAATGGCGTGATCTCAGCTCACTGCAACCTCTGCACCCCCGGGTTCAAGCGATTCTCCTGCCTCAGCCTCCCGAGTAGCTGGGATTACAGGCACGTACCACCACGTCCGGCTAATTTTTTTGTATCTTTATTAGAGACGGGGTTTCACCATGTTGGCCAGGTTGGTCTTGAACTCCTGACCTCATGATCCGCCACCTCGGCCTCCCAAAGTGCTGGGATTACAGGCGTGAGCCACCGCGCCCAGCTCTTAATGTTATTTCAAAATGAGATATGCCTTGACAGATTAGAGATATGTTCACATGCAGCTTTATTAATTAAAGATCTAAAACATACCATGACTTAGTAAACCAATATTGGCATCTCTTCTTCTTTTTGTTTATTGAAGGCCTTAGAAATTGGAATTGGCCAGGCCCTTTCTCAACTTCCGCGCTAAACTTTCTGTTGCTTCTGTCTGCCTCTCCTCACTTTCTCTCCTGCTTCTTGTTCAAGCCCACCAGTGGAAGGCATGGTGGTTACATTTCCTCAGGAAACCTTCAGTGCTAGAGTAACTCCTTGAACTTTAAGAAGGTTCCTTCCTTGGCCCTGTGGCACTCGATTTTAAAGATGGAGACCACCGAGGGTGAGCAGAACCACATCTGGTCACTTATCAGAACTCATTCGCAGAATCTCTCTTGAGCAGAAGGAAACAGAAGTGAGCCGCCACTGCTCACCTTCAGTCACAGCCTAGCACTGCTTCTGCCAGTCAGCTGAGCTCAGGGGCCTACCTTCCTGAGAAGGAACTGGCCGTGACTGGCAGAGCCAGTGAGATCTGATTGGGCAACAAGATAATTGTGATTTTTTTTTAAATCCTCCTCAAACAAAAGTGTTTAAACAATAGCATCTCATTGAAGGCACAACTGTTCAAAATCAGGGAAGAATGTTCAGATGACTGTATCACATTGACTACAACACTGGTCATTTTCTGATTTGTTCCTCAAATCTGAGGAAAGAGCCAGATGCTCTGGGAACAACATGTTCCAGGTCTACTCTACCAGGGCTATTTGGAAAAGAATCCCTGTAATATAAAATGGTTCTGTCTATCTGAGGTAGTATTATTGAGCTTTATCTGTGGTGGTATAATTATGGCTAAGTTACCTACATAATTTGTCATTGTTTTACTTTCTCTCTGTGGCTTTGAACACATGTGCCAGACTGTGACACTTGGGATTTAGGAATGCTCAGAAGGCCAGAAAGGAAACTATATTTAGTCAACCATATATTAACTATATTAGACATCTCATTGGCTAACTATAATATTTTTTGTTTTTCTCAATGGGAATACAAAGTTTTGGTCATCTTATTGGCAAGATGAGACTTTGTAACTCATTCCCAACCAATATTTATCTCCTTTTCTGAAAAGATATTGTTTAATACCAAATTCAAAACCTGACTTTTGCTTATAAACACAAATAGGTGTTTTGTTTTCGCTAATGAATTCAATAATCATTTTAGAAAAATTTTAAGATAACCAAATTTATTTAAATTGTACAATAGATGGATTTAATAGGCTCAGTAAATTAATCTCAAAGTAATCTGAGGCCTCTTAAACTTTTCATTTTAAAACATATTTTGATTTATGAATTGCAAAGTACAAAGAGTTCTGTATACACTTCACCCAGTTTCCCCTAATGTTAACATCTTCTATAACCATCATACATTTGTCAAAACAAAAAAAATTAGTATTGATGTGTTACTACTGACTAAACTAAAGAATTTTTCAAACTTCATCAGTTGTCCACTAATGTCTTTTTTACTCCCCCAGGATCCAATCCAGGAAACCACATTTAATGTAATGAGTGTCACAGGTGATCAGAAACTATCTGGGGCCAGTGGTACAGGCAGTAAGAAGAATTTACCAAGACAGTCGTAGGTAAAGAAAGGCAGATTTATTTGAGAACGTAGGAAAATGTATTGCAAGGGTGCAACAGGCAGGTCAGCGAAAGAGGAGCTGACTGCAAAGAGTCAAAAGCTTGCTAGGGATTTTATAGGATGGTGCTTGTGCTCTGCGCTTGAAGAAGACTTTGTGCAGTATTGGTAATGCCGAGGTTGCAGTGAGCTAACTTGCATTTTTCTGTCAGCCAAGAGTCAGGTGGTAGCTCGGCACAGGAAGATTGTGAGTGATTTACACATGAGGGCTATGTGTCCTGGACCATGAAGAAAGGCAGACTTATAGCTTATCTATCTGCTTTCTCGTTTTGCTTTCCCCTGGTCCTGCCAGCCTGACTCCTTCTCCTGAATTAGGACTCTACCTTTCTTCACACCCTGACAGCAACAATGACTAATCTTTGGCATGTGGTTAAAGGTCTCATCTTCCAACTGCTTCTTGCTGACCAGGGGTGTATAGTTGGCCCTACCTAGGATTGTTAGTCGGTCAGGAGGTTATGTACACCTAAATCCCTGAGTTGGGACTTAAATTGGTCAGGGTTGCTATGAGACTATGGGAGAACAGCATTTGTAGCCTAAAATTTTGTTCTGCTGCATTCAAAGGAAAGTTATGTAGCTGATACCTTTGCTGTAGTACTGTTTTGGTTTGAAATTGTTGTATCCTAGAAAACACAAAATCAGATGTAGAATTAACAATACAGTATGCAAATAAACAAACTAATATGAGCTTTATTATAGGCAGAAGAAGTTGAGCAACCCATGGCCAAATTTAACTGGAGAAGCTTTGAAATAGTTGTGCTGAAAAGGAATCTTGAGGAACTCTGTTTTGAAGGCCCTTTAATATTTTTATGTTGTCTGTTATCTTTTCTAAACTTTCTTCTACCTGACCTGAGTTACTGATGTAAAAGCAACAAGTTTTATTTAACAGCATGCAGGTGCCTCCTGCTTCAGCAGGAAGCACCTCCTAAGTGAGTTGGTTCTGCAAAACATACCCTGCCAGCGAGTTCAGGGCCTGCCATTGGCCTTCAATGGCCGTGATTGTAGCTTCCCAAGATTGCTGGACTAGGATGGTGAGATTATGAATACTGCACTTAAGCATGGGTATATCTGCAAACCAAAAGATTGCACTGGCTACAGAATGTCCTAGGTCATTTTTCTCTATGACAGGATTATTATTGGCGAGGATGCTAAATGATGGGAGACTAAGTACTGCTTCTGATGTCCTTTGGAGGGACCAACATAAGAAGGATTTTAAATTTGGAGCTTGGCTAGAGGTTACGAAGTCTGAGGAGTTATATATGTGCACTCCAGATATTGCTGCAACTGTAGTGTAAGTGCCTCTTCACTTAATAGACAAGGCTAGAAATATGTTAGATCTGTATAAAAAGAAGAACCCAGTTCCTTTTAATGAAACTCCTGAAGAGGAACCTCACAACCAGGCATAGGTGTGATTAGTTTAGATTCCCGTATGGTTTGCATAAATAGAGGGATCCCATGGTCCCCTGGGATTAAATGTGGATGGGCAGTGACCCAAAAAGTAGTTATCCACGCATAAGGGGGTAAAAGTTTGACTTGTAGTGTTATGTGAATGTGGGGCCTGACAGATATGATTTTTGAATATTAATGGGATAAGAGAAAATTGAGGAAAAGATGTAGATGTATTAGTGAAGTTGAGAAGTCGTCCAGTTTTGACTGCTATTTCTATATGTTCCATCCTGGCTGCTGAACTATTTATAGGCATAAAGGAATTGTTATAAATCTTTCTGGCATGAACTTTGTTGTTTCCTCACCATAGAGAAAAACTGTGGAGGTACACAGTGAACTTGTTAAGAGTCATTGCATGGCTTCCATTCTGGTTTGTTTGATCATAGCTGACAGTGTAATTGCAATGGACTTGTGTGTTAAAGCCCCTGGGAAAGGGCCAGACTCCTTGGAATTTCTAGCATTATAAGCCATCTCTGGTGCCCTCCCTATTTGCTCGGTCACCGTGGGTGATTGGCATGAGGGATCGATTGGCCTAGGTTTACCTCATAAACCTGTATTTTTGGTGTGCGTGTACCTGGCGTAGTTGAATCCAGAGTATTTGGCTTGTGTGTTAGCAATTTCTTCTATAGATAGTGGAACTGCTAGGAGTGTAATGTCATTCTCGAGTGACTGCCCACGTGAGCATATCCAGCGGTTAGTGCTGTGTGTTGTGTTAGCAACCTGAGATATTACTGGTTATAGTGGGTGCTTGGTGTAGCCATGGAAGCAATAGTTAGCCATGACAGACAGAATAAACACAGAAGAATATTTAAGGAAAATGACAATATACAGTAAACTTAGGGAGACAGGAAAGAAGAAAGGCTGTAAAGAGTATGAAAAAAACCAAACAATTAGTACCTCAGCATATCAATGTTGTGGCATGGGGGTAAATAACATTGCTAGGACAAAGATAAAGAAATTTCCCCTGGGCTGTAGTTTTGGAGGTCGGCCTGCAAATAGCAATTGTGTACTATCTCCCTTATAAAAGCATTAATATCAACAGGGTGAAGCTGCTCAAGAGAGGCAGTTGGATAGTTACTGAGAACTTGCAGTAGAATTGAATAAAAAGAGTCAGCTTTAAGAATAACGTTTAAGGGCCAGTCACGGTGACTCACTTTGGGAGTCCCAGCACTTTGGGAGGCCAAAGTGGGCAGATCACCTGAGGTCAGGAGTTTGAAACCAGCCTGGTCAAAACGGTGAAACCCCTTCTCTCTTTTTTTTTTTTATTATTATACTTTAAGTTCTAGGGTACATGTGCACAATGTGCAGGTTTGTTACATATGTATACATGTGCCATGATGGTGTGCTGCACCCATTAACTCGTCATTTACATTAGGTGTATCTCCTAATGCTATCCCTCCCCACTCCCCCTACCTCATGACAGGCCCCGGTGTGTGATGTTCCCCTTCCTGTGTCCAAGTGTTCTCATTGTTCAATTCCCACCTATGAGTGAGAACATGAGGTGTTTGGTTTTCTATCCTTGTGATAGTTTGCTGAGAATGATGAGGTGAAACCCCTTCTCTACTAAAAAAACTACAAAAATTAGCTGGGCGTGGTGACACGCACCTGTAGTCCCAGCTACTTGGGAGGCTGAGGCAGGAAAATCACCTGAACCTGGGAGGTGGAGGTTGCAGTGAGCCAAGATCAGGCCACTGCACTCCAGCCTGGGCGACAGAGTGAGTCTCTGTCTCAAAAAAAAAAAAAAAAAAAAAAAAAAGAATAAGGTTTAAAGGAGGTGCTGGATTTATTTCCATTAACTTTAAGGGAGATTTAAAAATTCTAGGTTGTTTGGTTTAACAAAACCTCTTTTACCTTTTTTAAAAATTTAAATGAGTTTCCAATGTTTACCTTCTAGTTAGAACGTAAATAATGAGTATCATCTCAGCACTAGCAGCTGAGTAACAGCAGATTTAAAGCAGGCAGAAAAAAAGAGAGGAAGATAGAGAGCTTTAGAAGACTCTACTTAACTCTATAGTGCAGGTTAACCATTTGAGCTATGAATTTTTTTGTTGTAGTTTTTCCATCAGTTTAAAATGTGCACAAAATTATAATAGTGAAAGAGATCCGATCTAGCCCACCTGCCCCTCTTGCCTTTAGCTTGTAAGCTGCCTTAATCATTCCAGGGCTTTTGGGCTGAGTTAATTTTAGAAGACATCTGGGTTATAGTTTAATGATAATAGCCCTTCCCCCAAACTCAAACACCTTTTTAAAGCTAATGAGTGGCCATCAGGCTAGGGGGTGGAGAGGAGCCTGATTTCTGCTAAGGCGTAGCCAGCCATTCCTGTAGATAACACCACTATTGTAGGTTGGCTTTTTGAGGTATCTTTTCAGGTTTTTTGAATGTCTGACACCCATGGCTCTACCTGTACCCACCAATCCCACTCCTGTGACCTCACCCAAAAGCGATTCAGTGTGCAGGAGGACAGCTTCCACTCCCTATGATTTCATCTCTACCCCAAACAATCAGCAGCAACCCCAGCCACCCCCACCCCTCTCCTAAACTGCCTTTGAAAAACCCCTAAACTACGATCTTTGGACGAGGCACGTGGCATGGCTGGCCTCATGTCTATTAAACTTTTTCTGTACTGTAATGCTGTACTCTTTCTTTGTACAGCAGGCAGGAAAAACTCCTCGGGTGGTTACACAACCAACCCAAAACTCAGGACTCAAACCCCTGTATGGCTGTTGTTCTACTGGATGGGCCTGGGGCTCAGATGTTCCTCTCATACAAGGAATGAACCTCTGGTTTGGCTACTCCTGTATTCCCTCACTGGGAACACACAGTCAGGTGCGTCTGTCCCACAGGGCCATTCTAAGGGTATGTTCAAGTTATTCCTCTCAGGGGCATTTACCCTACACTTTGACAAGAGGTTTAACCTTCCTAAGTTTCCATTTTCTCATTCCCATTTTGCAGACAGGAAATGAGAGTTGTAGTGGGATTTAAATTTTATAATCATAAGAGATCATTTAGAAGAGTGCCTGGTACAGACTAAGAACTGAGGAAATGTTACCCGTTCTTGCCACTGTGTTCCAGAAACAGTGGAGTGGGTGCATCAGTCTTCTGATTGGGTGGGTAGGAAGCAGCTAAGACTTAGTGCTAGAACAAAAGTCATTTAAGGAAATCAGACTTTGGTTAGAGCGAATTAGAGTTGTAAGGAAGAATGTTCCATTGATAAAATGAAAGAAATATGAAATGAGAATATAATTCTTGAAAGCAAATAAAATGCAGTTTTTCATTACTGAAAACTATGTGGGGCAGAGGTCATGCTAATCCTCCCTGTGTGGGTCTACTTTTAGTCTATTTGTGTCATCACCATTTCAAGCTTAGCTCACATTTAAGCAGTGAATAGACAGGGAAAGTCCTCTAATTTGTAGCAGTTAATTTTATTTTTATTTTTATATTTTTGAGACTGAGTCTCACTCTGTCACCCAGGCTGGAGTGCAGTGGCCCAATCTTGGCTCACTACAACCTCCGCCTCCTGGGTTCAAGCGATTCTCGTGCCTCAGCCTCAAAAGTAGCTGGGATTACAGGCATGCGCCACTGCACCCAACTAACTTTTGTATTTTTAGTAGAGATGGGGTTTCACCATGTTGACCAGGCTAGTCTCAAACTCCTGGCCTCAAGTGATCCACCTGCCTCATCCTCCCAAAGTGCTGGGATTACCGGCATGAGCCACTGTGCTGGCCGAGGTTATTTTTATAATAATCATTACAAGTACTGTAATTAAGTTTCTAAAAAAAGGCTTATTGTGTAATAACTATTTTATAATAACATAACTTGGCCTTTGAATAGTGCTTTGCCTTTTTCAGAGAACTTTCAGGGTCATTTTTTTATGTGATCTTTGAGTTACAGTATGGTGTAGGAATTATAATCCACATTTTGCTAATGCAGAAACTGAAGTTCAGAGGGAAGAAAGTGTATCAGAAAAGGCTTCCTAGGGGAAGTGACACAGCACTGTAGCTTGAGAGATGTGTAGGTGATTCCTCAAGTAGATGGGGGCTGGGGAGTTTTCAGCAGAGGTGCTGCAGAGGGTAGGGCATAGTGATAGAGGAGGGGGAGTTCTATAGTGGGACCAAATACTTTGATATATCTGATGCTTTGGGTTAGGGGAGCAGTGTAGAGTCAGGGCTTTGTATATCAGGCTAGGAGTTTGGACTATATTCTCTGCTAGGGAGGTGCTTTTAGGCAAAGGAGAGTAATATGATCAGATTTCAGTTTAGGAAGATCACTATGTCAGTAGTGTAGAAGCTGAACAGGCAAGGTGTTTAGGTGGTAGGTTCAAGCTAGCTGATATTTTCTAAACCTATTGGTCATGAGGTCTCAGTTCCCGGGTATGGTGACAATGAGCAAGTGTAGACAGCCAGGTTGGCACTAGCAGCATAAACTGCTTGTGAAAAAAGCACAGCATTTAGACACAGAAACCACTGGCTCCTGTCCTGGATTTGTGAGATCTACAAATTTTCCTGGAGCATTTGCCATTTAATTTCCTTTGGCTTACCTCATCTGTGTAATGAGGGTATTTATATGGCATCAGCTTTGCATATGTTAACATTGATGAAATACTTCAGATAAAACAAATCGGAACTTGGGAATGAAAACAGATATGAAGAAGCCACAGGCTTGTCCCAAAATCATAGCCAAGGATGGATGGAGGGCTTAGCAGGTTACCTATGCTATATGAGCAGGGTTGATAAGAGGTTTTAAGATCCAGTTTTGAGCAGCCTCTCTCATAAATAATTATTCAAAGGACTTGCATGTTTTGTTGTCTCCCTGAGAAGCAGAGTGCCCACAAAGATTTATACAGAGTTTTCAAGTTTAACATTGTATTATAGCCACCACTCTCTCTTGAAATCAGGTGGAAAGCAAAACAAAATGTCCACTAGTTCTGAATGAATGGTTTATTTATCCTATTTGCAATTGCACAGAGAACTGACTTCCTACGAAGAAGAAAACAGTTGATAGATCTTCTGAGACAATAAACTGGGTGAACGAGGGGCTTTGTTTTAAGTGTGCTAGACAGAATTTTTCCAGGATCTGAACTTCCTGTACCTAGGGTGGGAAATCCAGAAATATACAGTAGCCCTTCCCTCCTAATTCTAACCCTGCAGAATTTGTGTCAGAACCACCAAGATCAGATTCTGAGTGGCATCATAGCATTTATTAGGAGGGAACAGATCACTGAAGGTGACCACTTTCAATGTTAGCTAGTCACATACCCAAGATGTCTGTGATCTTATCAACAACAGAAATCGATCTTCTAACATGATGCAAAGAGGGGAAAGAAAGAAATGCCTGAGTGGAGGCTGGCCAGGAAAATTCTAATGCTGATGAATTGATGGCAATGGAAGTTTGTATATCATTTCTCTAGCAGGCATAGGAAGGTACTTTACACAGTAGGTGGGTTTCTAGAAAGTTAACTATTTTTATTTATTTATTTATTTTTGAGTCTCACTCTGTCACCCAGGCTGGAGTGCAGTGGCACGATCTCAGCTCACTGCAACCTCTGCCTCCCAGGTTCAAGCGATTCTCCTGCCTCAGCCTCCCAAGTAGCTGGGACTACAGGCATGCGCCACTGCACCCAACTAACTTTTGTATTTTTAGTAGAGATGGGGTTTCGCCATTTTGGCCAGGCCAGTCTCGAACTCCTGACCTCAGGTGATCCAGCCACCTCAGCCTCCCTAAGTGCTGGTAGAAACTTAACTGTAATTTTTTCAAATGGAATTTTCTTTTAAATACACTTTACGAGTTGGTCATTTAAAGGAATATTTTGGAGAATCTGCTTGTGAACATTCTTTTTTTTTTTTTTTTTTTTTTGAGAGAGAGTCTCACTCTGTTGCCCAAACTGGAGTGCAATGGCGTGATCTTGGCTCACTGCAACCTCCACCTCCCAGGTTCAAGCGATTTTCCTGCCTCAGCCTCCTGAGTAGGTGGGATTACAGGTGTGTGCCACCACACCTGGCTAATTTTTGTATTTTTAGTAGAGATGGGGTTTCACTATGTTGGTCAGGCTGGTCTTGAATTCATGACCTCAGGTGATCCATCCACCTCAGCCTCCCAAAGTGTTGGGATTACAGGCGTGAGCCACCACACTCGGCCTGCTTGTGAATGTTGTTTATGTTTCATGGGCTTGTATTTTTTTATACTTTCCACCCATTCGAATTTTTTAAAGTGATAAACATTTGTCATTAATTGTCTTACAAGCTCAATAAATTGGTCTTTGCTTTCTGACGCAATTTGTTATTGTTGCTATTTTCCTTGAGGGAAAAGCAAGGTTTCTGTGTTTGTATTTAAACCCCTCTGCTTTCTTATTTTTCTTTGTTGATTTTTTCCTCTCCTAGTATGACCAATGGTGAGAAGCCTGAGTTTATTGATTTTGACTAGGAATTTACTGACTTTGACTTTGTAATCAAGGCAGGTGACCACCTTTTTGATGAGGCCTGAGAGAATAAGAAAAGTCCCAATCACCCCACCACCCACCTACGGAAATATATATACACCCCATGCCACTGTCACACTGACCCTGAAATGCCATCATAATACATTCTCTATCTTAGGCTAACGGCTTCATGTTCTAAAATACAAATACCCTGGAGAATTACTGGATTAAATGGTCTATTACAGCATAATGCTTCAATGAGAAATTATCTGAATATTTTTCTCCTGGCAGTAAAAAATAAAATAATGGGAGTTTTAATGGGAGTAGAGCAAGAAAGAGATAGTCTTGGAATCTGGGCACCATCCCAGGAAGACAGACTTAACTAAAGGGAAAAGTTCTAGGCTGCCAAAGAGCTGTAAAAGGGATAGTGAATGCCTGGGAAGTATGATGGAGAAGCTGCTCAGTATTGAAAAAAAGGAAAATGCAAAGCAGAGCTAAGGCAACTTGGATTTATGATACAAGTTAGCTTGGGGAAGACTGAACTCTTAGTATCTTTCATTTCATTATTTGCCAATCATTTGAGAAGAAAAACCTGAACATTTCATACATTCCTTCTAGCATTTACTGATCACTCATATGTACTGGACACTTTGTTAAGTGCTGATCATACAAAGTAGACCTCAAAGAGTTTATTTTAAAGGGAGAGATAGGGCTGGGCGCAGTGGCTCATGCCTGTAATCCCAACACTTTGGAAGGCCAAGGCAGGTGGATTGCTTGAGCTCTGTAGTTTGAGTCCAGCCTGGGCAACATGGTGAAACCCCATCTCTACAAAAAATACAAAAATTAGCTGGGTGTGGTGGCCTGAGCTTGTAGTCCTAGCTACTTGGGAGGCTGAAGTGGGAGGATGGCTTGAGCCCAGGAGGTGGAGGTTGCAGTGAGCCAAGATCACACCACTGCACTCCAGCCTGCGTGACAGACCCAGGCCCTGTCTCAATAGAATAGAATAAAATAAAATAAAATAAAATAAAATAAAGGGAAAGATAGGACAAAAACTATATATATTTTCAAGTTGTGATAAGTGCAGTGAAGAACACAAAACGTGCTTTTTATATATATTTTTTTGTTTTCTGCTTTACAATTAGATTGCCCTGCAAAATCTATGGCAAAACAGAGAAAAATTGGTAAGGGCTGCAGTCTTCATAATCTACATAAAAACTATGATTGACTCAGGTCCTGTAGGAGGAAATTTCTGGGGATAATCCTGTGACACTCTCAGTACTCTTTGAAATTCTATAGAGCAAAGAGCTTGTGGAGTCTGGCAGGAAGAGCAACGAAGGTGAAGGTGAAGACATTGAGCTGGAATCCGGACAACTATGTCCGCAAAACCAAGTTGGACTTACAGATTATTCCAAGAAACTGTGATCCTACCTTACATCCTTTTGAGGTCCTGCAAGAATGTGTAAGAGTTTTAAATGCTACCAAACTGGAAGGAGTATTTGCAAAACCATGCCTGGCTTGGCTGGATGGTCACGAGATGGAGTGAGTTGCTTGGCAAAGCATCCAAAGATCCTGGCTACTCTCCTTTCTAGGGGATGTGATGGAGCAGTTAGAATTTGGAACCTGACTCAGCTGAAATGTATCCGTATAATACAAGCACATGAAGGTTTTGTACAGGGAATACGTGCTCACTTTTGTGGGACTTCTTTTTTCACTGTTGGTGATGACAAAACTGTGAAGCAGTGGAAAATGGATGGGCCAGGCTACGGAGAGGAGGAAGGGCCATTACATACAATATTAGGAAAGACAGTGTATACTGGGATTGATCATCACTGGAAAGAAGCTGTTTTTGCCACATGTGGACAGCAAGTAGACATTTGGGATGAACAAATAACTAATCCTATAAGTTCAATGACCTGGAGATTTGACAGTATAAGTAGTGGTAAATTTAATGCAATTGAGACATTTATCTTGGGAAGTTGTGCTTCCGACAGGACTACAGTACTGTATGATATGAGGCAAGCTACTCCTCTGAAAAAGGTTATCTTAGATATGAGAACAAATACAGTCTGTTGAAACCCTATGGAAGCTTTCATTTTTATGGCAGCAAATGATGATTATAACTTATTTACTTTTGATATGCGTGCACTCATGTAATGGTCCATATGGATCATGTATCTGCAGTGCTTGATGTGGATTACTCTCCCACTGGGAAAGAGTTTGTGTCTGCTAGTTTCAATAAATCTATTTGAATCTTTCCTGTAGATAAAAGTCAAAGCAGGGAGGTATATCACACAAAGTGAAAGCAACATGTTATGTGTGTAAAATGGACTTCTGACAGCAAGTATATTATGTATGGATCTGATGAAATGAACAGTTACCTATGGAAAGCTAATGCTTCTGCAAAATTTGGTATGCTTACATCACAAGAAAAAGCAGCCAAGTATTATAACCAGAAACTGAAGGAGAAATTTCAGCGTCATCCTCATATACAACCGATAGCTCGTCATTGACATCTACCAAATTCTGTCTACAGCCCAATTCAGGAACAGTGCATCATGAAAGAAGCTTGTCGATGAGAGGAAGTGAATCACGTTAAACACAGCAAGCCTGGATCTGTGCCAATTGTGTCAGAGAAGAAGAAACACATAGTGGCAGTTGTAAAATAATATTTGGTATTCCTAACAATCCTGATGTATAATTAGTTGTTACTTTGATTTGAGAACTCTACAAATAAAAGTGCTGGGACTAGATTAATGGTAAACATTTCAGTTATGTATGTAGAGCTTTATTGTTGCTCCTTTTAGCTACCCTGATAAATGATTCTTAAAGGTGGCCTAGTTGATAAGACTGTCGTTTTATCCTTAATCTGTGTTCTTCTTTCATTGAAGGATACAGTACTTACAGTACTAGAAACTAACTCATTTTTTCCTGATTTTTTTTTTTTTTTTTTTTTTTTTTTAGACAGAGTCTTGCTCGGTCGCCTGAGCTGGAGTGCAGTGGCGCAATCTCGGCTCACTGCAACCTCCGTCTCCCAGGTTCAAGCAATTCTCCTGCCTCTGCCTCCCGAGTAGTTGGGACTACAAGTGCTAATTTTTGTGTTTTCAGTAGAGACAGGGTTTCACCATGTTGGTCAGGCTGGTCTTGAACTCCTGACCTCGTTATCCTCCCGCCTCGTCCTCCCAAAGTGCTGGGATTACAGGTGTGAGCCACTGCACCCAGCCATTTTTTCCTGCCTTTTGTTTTTGGAGATGGTGTCTCGCTCTTGTTGCCCAGGCTTGAGTGCAATGGTGCGATCTTGGCTCACTGCAACCTCCACCTCCTGGGTTCAAGCGATTCTCCTGCCTTAGCCTCCTGAGTAGCAGGCACCTGACACCATGTCAGGCTAATTTTTTTTTTCTTTTTTGTATTTTTAGTAGAGACAGGGTTTCATTATGTTGGCCAGGCTGGTCTCGAACTCCTGACCTCATGATCTGCCCGCCTTGGCCTCCCAAAGTGCTGGGATTACAGGCGTGAGCCACCATACCCGGCCTTTTTTCCTTTACAGATATACTTACTTTCTCTCTGATCTATTATTGTAGACACTGTACATTCAAATTGACATTTAAGACCCAACATTTCTTCTGATACCTTTAATATTACTTTGAAAATGATTGCAATGATGTTTCTTCCTATGATTCCACATAACATTTAGAAGAATGATGTCAACTGCTTATAACTGAATTTATTTCTAGTGCTTTATTTTTATTTGGCTTTTTGACTCTTTCAAAACAATCAACCTGCATTTATATAACTTTTATAAATAATATTATAATTTGGGTCAAGTTAAGATAATAAAACTTCCTTTCACCATTGAAAAAAAAAGAGAAATTCTGTAGACTCAACATTCTAAACACTGAGGGGCTCCTCAGAGCCAATTCTAATAATTAAACAGGTGTGATTAACTGCTGCCTGTGTGGTTTAATGTTAAACCCTACCTTCTGTTTGCTATGCCCACCCACTATACGATGCCCACCCTCCTGTTATATATCCCAAAATTCCAGGCTTGAGAATTCTAATAGACTGGCCTGAGAAGAAGAAAACAGGGAAATGTGATTAGTCATGAAGCAGCTGGTGACAAGGAGAGAGGAATGAGGAATATGCCCAGAGCCGTGGAAATAAACTAACAAGAAAACTGACTGAAGATGCTCCACGTAGGAGAGTGAATTCGCACCATTTCAACATCAGTAACTTAGGTAATGAGAAGAGGGAGAGTGGTGAACAGAATTCCTTTTAAGTTTAATAGTGTGGGGGCTGCATGCAGTGGCTCATGCCTGTAATCCCAGCACTTTGGGAGGATTGCTTGAGCCCAGGAATTTGAGACCATCTTGGGGAACATGGCAAGACCTTATCTCACTAAACACACACACACACACACACACACACACACACACATTAGCTGGGCACAGTGGTGCATGCCTGTAGTCCTAGCTACTTGGGAGGCTGAGGTGGGAGGATTGCTTGAGCCTGGGAGGTCAAGACTGTAGTGAGCTGTGATTGCATCACTGCACTCCAACCTGGGTGACAAAGCAAGACCCTGTCTCAAAAAAAAAAAAAAAAAAAAAAAAGCATAGCATGGGGATCCCATGCACGAAACTCCAAAGTAAGCCCTTGAGGACTTGTTGCTCAGTGTTAAGGTGGTACTATAAATATGTACTATGCATGCATAGTCCTAAACACTTACTTAGCAAAGCATGTGATTCCTAAAGCCATTAGAAGTAAGAAGACAGGGAGATAACTTAATGTTATTTTTATATTAAAAGTTTAATTGTACTATCATTAATAGAATACCAAGGAACTATGTAAAATATGTCTATGCCTTGTTCTCATGTACCTACTAGTGAAAGAGGCAGGAGAATTAATTAGAGCAATCAAATAAAACTATCTCCTCAGGTCTTTTAGTGGCACACATTTTTGTCTGCCCAGCATTCCTTGTGGGAAACATGCTCCTCCTCCAACACTCCAAAGTATTCCTGGTCATGTGGTTTGGGCCAGGGATAGTATGTGATGTAGGCTCAGCCAATCAGTATATTTTATTCCTCTCATCACAGTGACTGGCTCATGAAGGAGTATGTAATATATGACGGACCATTTGAAAGTCTCTGGGTGTTTTACCAGAGACTTTCCAGAAAAATGTCCCTTTTTTGGATCATAGGCTCTAAAATCTCTAGAGGTCTGGAACAGCCAGGATCCATCCATCTTGCTGCTACATAGAGGGGGCTAACTTGAAGATGAAGCAAAGTAGACGCAAAGAATGCTAGGAAGAATAGGGAATGGGGGAAGAAAGAGTCCAAACAGACATTTTGTCCATGCTAAGAGATCCTTGTGTGAATGAAGCTCAGTAGAAGGATACATTCCTATTAGCCTATTAGCAAGGGGACAGTTGGTGGGGCAGAGGGGGTATGACTCACTGTAGAACCACTTGTCCTTGTGAGGAGGGGCCAAGCTCCCCCAGGAAATTTACAGTGGTAGGGGAATGATGATAACAAGTCTGGGACTTACTTGAAGTTATTTGCCTTTCGGTAACTTCAAGACTGATGAATATGCACCCACTTTCCTGGAAGCCGTCTTGTGCCCTCTGCTGCCTTGATGTTAACTTGAGTTACCTGATTCACCTGAGATACTGTCAAAGTCCAACATAATGGTTTTGTTGTCTTACTCAAGTGTGCGACTTTAAGATGTTTGGAGGCAGGGCCTGTATCTCCCACTTCTGCATCTTCATGCTTCGCACAGCCCCAGAACCCAGTAAGCATTTCAGTGATGCTTGGATGAGTGAGTCTGATAAGGCGTATAGAAATGAAGCCCTGAAATATTAGCCTGAAAAATTCATGGCTTTGCATTGAAGTACTGCCTTTCCAAGCATCCTCTTAAAAAATACGAATACCCAGAAGAGACATAGCATGTTCAACTAGCGACCAGCAATTCTCATTTTTGGCAGTTATCAGAACAAAGGTGTCAGAAGTGTTAAACAGAACAACTCCATCTTCAATAGGAGCTGGGTAAAATAAGGCTGAAACCTACTGGGCTGCATTCCCAGATGGTTAAGGCATTCTAAGTCATGGGATGAGATAGGAGGTCAGTACAAAATGCAGGTCATAAAGACCTTGCTGATAAAACGGGTTACAGGAAAGAAGCCAGCAAAAACCCACCAAAACCAAGAGTGACCTCTGGTTATCCTCACTACTACACTCTCACCAGCGCCCTGACAGTTTACAAATGCCATGGTAATGTCAGGAAGTTACCCTATAAGGTCTAAAAAGGGGGAGGCATGAATAATCCACCCCTTGTTTAGCATATTATCAAGAAATAACCATAAAAATGGGCAACCAGAAGCCCTTGGGGCTGCTCTGTCTATGGAGTAGCCATTCTTTTATTCCTTTACTTTCTTAATAAACTTTCTTTCACTTTACTGTATGGATTCACCCTGAATTATTTCTTGCGTGAGATCCAAGAACCCTCTCTTGGGGTCTGGATTGGGACCCCTTTCCTGTAACAAAGAGAACTATAATAATTGGATTTTAGGCCATGTGCAGTGGCTCACACCTGTATTCCCAGCATTTTGGGAGGCTGAGACAGGCGGATCACCTGAGGTCAGGAGTTTGAGACCAACCTGCCCAACATGGTGAAATCCCTTCTCTACTAAAACAATTACAAAAATTAGCCAGATGTGGTGGTGCATGCCTGTAATACCAGCTACTTGGGAGGCTAGGCAGGAGAATCGCTTGAACCCGGGAAGTGGAGGTTGCAGTGAGCAAAGATTGCACCACTACACTCCAGCCTGGGTGACAGAGTGAGACTCCGTCTCAAAAACAAAAACAAAACAAAAACATAATTGGATTTTAAGGAACACTCTTTGTATGAAAGAAAGGGCATAGATTTGTGTAACTAATTTGAAAAACAGTTTGGCATTATTTCCTAAAGCTGAACATTCATCTGTGTATGACCCAAAAATTTCACTCCTAGGGATGGGACCAAAGGAAACTGCTGTGGTTCGAATGTGTTCCCCAGATGTCATGTGCTGGAAACTGAATCTCCAATGCAACAGTGTTGGTAGGTGGGACCTTTAAGAGGTGAGGGATTAATGCTGTTATTGTGGGACTGGGTTAGTTATCTCAGGGGTGGGTTCCTGAGGGATGAGTTTGGCCCCCTTCTCGTGTGTGAGCACTCTCTCTTGCCATGTGATGCATTCCACCATGTTATGATGTGGAGATTAATTCCCTTGAACCTCCAGAACTGTGAGCCAAATAAATCTCTGTTCCTTGTAAACTACCCAGTGTGTGATATTGTGTTATAGCTGCAGAAAAAGGACCAAGATAGAAACTTTTACAGATGTAAAACAGAAGATGTGTACAAGAATGTTCATAGCTGCCCTGTTTTTGATGCAAAAAACTTGGAAACAATTGAAATGCCTGTCAACAGGAGAGTGGATGGATAAATTGCGGTGTGTTTACATAACTATTGTAGGACCATAAAAACAAATGAACCACACTGATTCACAACAATGTGGACAACTCCTAGCAATAATAAAACATTAAGTGAAGAAAATAAATGCCCCAAATGTATATGATATGATATATAGTCATATGCCACATAATGACATTGCAGTCAGTGATGGACTCCATATATGACAGTGGTCCCATAAGATTATAATGGAGCTGAAGAATTGCTATCACCTAGCGATGTTGTCCTGAGGAATTGACTAACAAGAAGTTTTTGGAAATGGAACAGGAATGCATGGCTGAAGAAGAGGTAAGAGAAAAGGAAATTGTAGGAGAAGAAAAAGAAGAATCCCCAAGAAAATTCATGAAGGGTTTAGCAGAAGGTTTGCAAACCTCAACAAGCTCCTTAAAACGTTTAAAAACATAGACTCCAATGCAAAGTTTTCATTAATAGAGAGGAATTTTCATAGTGCAGTATCTGCTTATAAGCAAATCTTTGACCAAAAAAAAAAAGGAAAAACAAACCAAGAAAACCACCATGCATGTATTTCTGAAGAGTGACCCTCCTCAAGAAGAACCACAAGCAGGACCTTCAGGAGGAATTCCAGAAGAAGGCACTGTTATCATAGGAGATGACAGCTCCATGCATGTTACTGCCCCTGAAGACCTTCCACTGGGACAAGTTGAGGAGGTGGAAGACAGTGACATTGATGATCAGGAAGCTGTGTATGCCTAGGCTAAAGTGCATGTTTTTGTGTTAGTTTTTAACAGAAAAGTTTAAGAAATAGAAAATAAAAATTTAAAAGTGGAAAATTTGAAAAAAGCTGATAGAATAAGGATATAAAGAAAGAAAATACAATGTGTTCCTGTTTTAAGCTAAGTGTATTTCAAAGTTTAAAAAAGTTTATAAAGTTAAAAAGTTACAGTAAGCTAATTTATTATTGAAGAAGGAAAATATTTTTAAAATAAATTTCCCATTGCCTAAGTGTCCAGGGTTTATAATCTCTACAGTACTCTACAGTAATGTCCTAGGTCTTCACATTTGTTCAACACTCACTCACCGACTCACCCAGAGCAACTTCCAGTCCTGCAAGCTTTACCTATGGTAACTGCCCTATATAGGTATGTAATTTATAAATCTTTAATACTGTCTGTTACTTTACCTTTTGTATGTTTAGATACCCAAATACTTAGCATTGTGTTATAGTTGCCTACAATATTCAGTGCAGTGACATGCTGTACAAGTTTATAGCTTAGGAGCAATGGGTTATGCCATACAGCCTAGGTGTGTAGCGGTCTACACCATCTAGGTTTGTGTAAGTGCACTCTGTGATGTTCACACAGTGACGAAATCACCTAATTATGCATTTTTTGGAATGTATTCCTGTCGTTAAACGATGCACGATGTATTTTTCTAGAGTTACAATTAATATAAAAATAAGCTTTATAGAAATACATATAGGTGCAATAAAACTATATATTTCAAAAAGCCAAGGAATTCTCTGGATGATGGTGACCTTGTGTGTGTGTGTGGGGGGGGGGGTTGGGGGGGTGGCGGGGTGAGGGGTGTGGGATGTGGGCAGTGTATGGTTAGATGAAGTTTATGTCAAGGTTCCAGATTTTGTTTTGGATGGTAGGTTTCCAGGTACTTATATCATTAAGAATAATGAAATAAGAAACTAAGCACAAACATGACTAGAAAGCCTGGGTTCCCTAGGAAACTGTCTAAGGCTGATGCTTTATTTGGAAAGTGCAATCTCAGAGCATTGATAGTAGGGGAAAGTGAGGCAAGGAGGAAGGATAGGGAGCAATGCCGGGGTGCTTTGGCCTTACTTCATGAAGAGCTCTGCTGGTGAGTCAGCAGGTGAGCCTGTCCAGCCGCATAGGAGTCTTCAGGTGGGACAGGTCTGCCTTGGAGCAGTCCTTGGGTGGAAGAAGGGAGAGGAAATGAGCAGATTGGGTCTCTAATTGGAAGGTAACTTCTCTGGGGCACTACCTCTGGGTTGCTTATCTGGCCTCTTTTGGTGGCAGCCGGGAAACTAGATCTCACATCTTGTGTTTTATTTAAGTCTAGAAGTGGTGAGAGATGCCAGAATCTCAAGCCTGTGGCTTTTCTGCCTAGCTGCCCAGCAGCAGCAAGGGTATGGTCCCAGCCCTCCCTGGCAAGATGCTGGCTGGCCCCAGGCAGAGTAAGTTGGTGCTATGGAGGCAACTGAGTCAGAGCTGGCAGCCGAGGGTCTATGGGATGCCATGTGAGCAGGAGCTTGGGAGTCAGACCTACGTTTGAATCTCCGTGTGAACTTGGATCGATTTCTTAACTTCCCTGGAGGCTCATCTAGAATGTGGGAGTAGTGATAACCACCTCCAAGTGTTTCTCATATTAGAAAGGGATAATGTACATAATGCAACCAGCAGAATCTTTGGCATCTAATAAGTGCTCAAAACATGTAACTCCCCTTCGTCCTACCCCTGCCATGAAGCACAACTGAGACAGTATTGGGGGTTGAGGGTGGGCAGACCTGGCTTAATTCCCCTTCTCTCCTTGTCCCACCTGGCCCATTTCCTGGCCTTGGGCAGCCCAAGGGCACTGGGCCCTGTGTTACAGGATGAAGGGGAGAAAGACGCTTTGCACCCCCTTCCTAAGGTCGTCAGTCCTGAGGCTGCACCTTCCCTCTGTGCCCTTGATTTGAAAAGATACTGGGTTTAAAGAGGGATCGCAAACAAAGATGGGTGCTCCAAGCAGGCATATAAGCTGCTGTCCCCTTGAAATAATATTCGTCAATTTTTTGTCTAATATTTACTTTGGCTAGGGGCAAAGCTGGTCCAGCAGGACAAAGGCATCTTTCCCCAATATGTCAGGGGTTGGGCATGGAGACCCAAGGCCACTGATGGCAGATTTCCAATTTATTTAAGGGATGTGTCTGCTGTCTTCTGGCATGCTACCATGCCACCTGTTCACCTGGTTGTTTCTCATGTGTCTAGAGCCCCACAAAGGGTGACTAGGTCAGCCAGAGCTCTTGCTAGGCTTCCCTTTAATTCAGGATTACTTTTACTCTTTGGTCACATAAGAATATTCATTTCCTGATTTGCCTGTCTTATACGTTTAAGTGCTCGTGTATTTCATAACACCACTATAGGATCTTGCATTTGAATACTTACCAGGGACTAAAATAAATTCACACTGCTATTTTGCTGATGAAGTGTCCTATTGTGTAAGTGAAGTTTTTAATTTTGTAGGTTTAGATGAGTAAGTTAAAATTTTCCTTTCTGGTTCTTAATTTGTTTTCTAATTTGGGGTAAAATGAAGTTAGGTGGGGGCAGGGGAGAAATTTTCAAAAGGAGCTCTTCATATCAGTAATGCATATTTTATACATGCCCCAACTCCAAGACGCTTCTCCTCAGAGCCGTTTCAAGGGCAGAGAAGATTCCTGATCGCTAGATTGCCCCTGTTCCCTTTGAGTTAATCCTATGGCCTCCACAAGCATGTAGAAAATTCTGGAGGAGTGGTACTCCTTATGCTTTCACGAATTTTATTTGGCCTCCCCATTCTGGCTCACTTCTTGTGAATGCAGATTCAGTTGGCCCCAATTTCTTTCTAATGGGCAGGAATCAAAGGCGTAGAATGTTGTTGAAAGGTTTTGTACTATTGTGCAAAGTAGTACTGTACAAATTATCTTCTGCCTCTTTCTCATAAGACCTTTTGAGCAAAGCCCAATTCTAGAATTCTGGAATTCTACTGCTAGAACTTTCCTTTGGCTAAATTTTGATTGTTACTAAAAAATCAGTATGCCGGAGGACCACATTTTATTTATTTTTTTGAGACAGGTTCTCACTCCTGTTGCCCAGACTGGAGTGCAGTGGCACGATCACTGCTTACTGTAGCCTCAACCTCCTGGGCTCAGGTGATTCTCCCACCTCAGCCTCCTGAGTAGCTGGGTCTACAGGTGTGCACCACCACGCCCAGCTAATTTTTTGTATTTTTAGTAGAGACGGGGTTTTGCCATTTTGCCCAGGCTGGTCTTGAACTCCTGGAGTCAAGCAATCCACCTGCCTCTGCCTCCCAAAGTGCTGGGATTACAGGCGTGAGCCACCGCAGCTGGCCAGGACTGCATTTTAATTGTCCTAAGTCATTTGTGTCTTAATTTGAATGGCAGACAGCTTGTGTCAGTGGCTGCTGTGAGGACAGCCCTGGAATGGAGGTGAGGAGAGCCTGGAGTTAGGTAGCTCAGGACTTAGGGAGAACTTCAACTTTGGTAGGAGCCATCCCGGACCTGCCTACAGCTAGTAACATTTTGAACCTGAAAGCCTCCTCCTCCTTGCAGGTGTAAGCTGTTCCTTAGCCTTTAACTTTCAAATTAGAAATGTTTATTTAGAGTAGCAATGGAAAATAGAAGATAAGTTAGCAAAGCCAGCAGAAGTTGGAGAACTCATAAACAATAAAATATCAGAAAAGTGTTACCCAAAATGCAACATTGAAAAAAGGTAACATTAAAAAAAATCTCGAGAGCCAAGAATAAAGGTGCCTCAAGGGAAGTAACACATACCGTGATTTTTCTTGCACTCTCTTTTTCTTTAGCCCTGTGATACTGGTCTATCTTTTATGAAGGTCCTCTTTTATGAAATTCAATAATGGTAACTAATGTTAGGGTGCCTCCTGAGGCAACATGAGATTATATGGTAGGTAAACAGTAGGCCGTTGCTGACTCAAAGGAAAGGATCACTTAGGAACACCATTAGCCCAGTGCCAGTGGTCCCTTTTAGTCAGAATCCTCAATCTCTGTGGGGATCACCCTTTGGCCTGGACTTTATTAGCTGCCAGATTAAAGGCACGAGAATTGAGCCTCATTTTTTCCCATTTCTATTCTTAGATAATCCATTCATTCTTTTTCAATTTACCAGGACCAGTCCCAGAAAGTGTTGAGAACTGAGTGTGAGCAATAATCACTGATATTATATAGTTCCTTGTAGTTTGCAAAGCAGCTTTACATACATTATTGCATTTAGTCCTCCCAATAAGCCTGCAAAACAGGCATTATATTATTATTATCATCACAGTTTCACAACTGCAGAAACAAAGCTTAAAGAGATGACAGGACTTGCCTAAGTTCACGGAGAGAGGGAATGGCTCTCAGCTCAGGTGTTTTGATCCTAAGTCCTGTTGCTCCTCAGTTCACATTGAATCTGAGGAGCTGCCATTTGTCCACCATGCTCCTCTCACTCTTATTAACAACAACAATGGTAATAGTGGCCAATGTTTGAGGGGTATTCACATGATGCCAATTACATCCCATTTAATCCTCACACCAATTGTATGATACAGGCTTAATAACTGATCTTATTTTACAGTTGAGTAAACTGAGGCTCAGAGAGGGTAGGTAAGTCTCAGAGAGGTGGGGTATGTCGACCAAGGGTCATAGCTAGGAGGTGGTGAGATAACATTTAAATCTAGACCTGTTTGGTGTCCGTGCTCTTAAACACGCGACTCTATGACCTTGCTGTCTCTTTGGTTTCTCTTCCAAGGTTTCTGGCTTAGTCTAAATGTTTGATTCAACACAGCAGAAGCACACAGGCCGCTTTCAAGGGCAAAGAATCAAACTACAGGCTGTGGGGAGGACATAGAGAATGAACAATGGGTTCTCCAGGACTTGTAAGAGTGGGAAGCACCACTGACCTGCAGATGAGGATTGACGGAACAAAACAAACAGTAATGATGGGGTGCAGACATGCTACCCCAAAATATGGTACCTCGGCATATTGAACAGTGTAAGCTGAAGGAATTGGAAAAAAAACACATAAGCAGGAAGGTCTCTGTGACCTTTGTCCAGGCTTCTTTCCTGAGGCAGTTCCTAAAACCTGGAAGGCCTCTCTGACTTTCCGTTGCAGCAGGTCTTCAGGTGCTCATGTGAGAAGTGCCCTCCCCACATCTGGAGGAAAAGAGCATCCTTACCTCTGAGGACATAGGACACAGAGAAAAATCTGAACAAACAGGCCTGCCTAAGTTCCCCCGGCTTATTACCATTACATCATACTCTTTTCCCTCTCATATTTCTCCATGACTGTCCACTCTTCATGAAACCTACTATAAAAAACAGGTTTCACTGTTTCTTCAGGTCTTCATTTCCTTATGAAGGCTCCCGTACCCATAAAACTTACATTTAAATAAATTTATATATTTTTTTCTCTTGTTCATCTATCTTTTATTAGAGGGGCCTCAGCCATGAGCCTAGGATGGGTGAGGAAAATATATTTTTAGTCACTACGATAACAGATGCATTAGTCAGAAGGGACATGGAGCCTACTGGGGGACTGGGAAAAAAGCTGGATGGATTCACCCACATTCAGGCATCGGGGACTTCATACAGATCCTCTGGCCTGAATCATTTGCATTTCATTGCAGGATGGCAGCGCTTAACACCAAGGCATCCCTTACTAACTAACAATGACCTATCATAAGGCACGTGGAGGGCTCAGGGTCGCCAACTGGGTACGGGAAGCTCCTGGAAACACCCTATGAAGGCAGCAGCCTGCTCCAGACAGGGAACACAGACTGAGAGTATCAGGACTCTCTCGTTGGCTACAAATGCTTCTGCAGTAAGTAAATCCTAAAAGATAAAACTTCTTTGATGGAAAGGCCGTAATACACTTAAATGTTACTTAACCCAGCAATCCCATTACTGAGTATATACTCAAAGGAATAGAAATCATTCTATTACAAACATACATGCATGTTTATGTTCATTGTAGCACTATTCACAATAGCAAAGACATGGAATCAACCCAAATGCTCATCAATGATAGACTGGATAAAGAAAATGTGGCACATATACACCATGGAATACTATGCAGCCATAAAAAGGAATGAGATCATGTCCTCTGCAGGGACATAGATGGAGCTGGAAGCTGTTATCCTCAGCAAACTAACACAGGAACAGAAAACCAAAGACTGCATGTTCTCACTTATAAGTGGGAGCTGAACAATGAGAACACATGGACACAGGGAGGGGAACAACACACACTGGGGCCTGTGGAGAGGGAGATGAGAGGGGGAAGGAGAGCATCAGGAAGAATAGCTAAAGCATGCTGGGCTTAATACCTAGGTGATAGGTTGACCTGTGCAGCAAACTACCATGGCACACGTTTACCTATGTAAGAGACATGCACATCTTGCATATGTACCCCGGAACTTAAAATAAATATTAAAATTAATTTTAAAAAGCAACAAACAGTTCCTCACCACCTTTAAGAGATGTTTAGCTAGTTTCCTTGCTGATTGAACCTGGCAGAGGTGAGGGGGGAAGTTGGTGAGAAAAGATCTGGGAATGAGACGATTTGTCCAGCCCCATAAAAGGAAATCCCTGGAAGAATTGGAGCAGGTGGGAGAATCTGCATCTCTTTCATCTTCCATCGCTCCCTGGGGAAGCAGTGGGGCGGTGCTTCTCCCAGTCTGCCTTCTGGTTCGCAGGCCTGGAGGCACATTAGAATCACCTGAGGGGGCTTTTAAATCCACCCATGCCTGGGACCCACCCAGAAATCTCCAGGAGTGCAGCTGAGGTAGGGAAGTTTTTAAAAACTCTTCAGGTGACTGTGAAGCAGAGAGCATATCACTGCTCGAGCGTTTCAGAACCAGAAACAAATAAGTGACACAAGTGAAGAGTGAAACTACAACATTTCGGTGAGTTTGGAAGGGAGCAGGCATTGTAGATAGATTTTTAAAGAGGAGAAGTGGGACCCCGAGAGGAGGAGCAATTTGCCTGGGTCAGTGGCAGAGTTGGGGAAGGAGGTAGCCTCGTTTTCTTTTTGGTCCCCTATACCCTTTTTTATTTTCTGGTGGCATATTATAGTATTAATTGTTCTGACGGCTTAGCTTTATATGTACCCAGCCATGAAATTTCCACTCTGTCATTGGGCAACCTCTCCAGTTAGACCTACACACTGTTGTAAAGTGTTTCCTGGCAGGGAAACCCAAGTATTTCGTTTCTAATTCTTAGCTCTTTGCAAGTCTGAGCAGTGGGTCATGAGACTCCCACAACTGTTTAGAAGGAGCCAGGGCCCACTTTTCATGCATTCTGTTCAAAGCATAATCCATGTGCATGCAGTGAAAATGCAAACGTGCGGGTGGCATTCAGACCTAACGCAGTCTCAGCTTTCAATCCTGCTGTGAATCCAGAGTGGCTGTCATGGGATCTACTGCAGTTAATTTTTTCAGAACTCAGAGCTAAATCCCTGAGGAGGCCTGGGCTGGAGAGGCCACCTGAATGGTGGCCTGCTTAAAGGTGCGGTCATGTTTCCTGATTTAACTGGGTCAGTTTGGTTGTTTATTTTTGCCATTTGATTTCAGGGCAGGGTTGGCTTCAGTGTGCTGGCAATTCCCAGATAGTTTATGCTCTGAGGGACTGGGACAGGTGTTCAAGAACCCCCAGTGACTATTATTTAATTTTGTTCCTCCCCCAGCCTCATGGTTTATATATGAGTTGTTATGTGACAGAGTTCTATTTTTAACCACAGACATGCTCTGTTCAACTGGAATCATGTTCTTTAGACACTGCATTATGCAAGCTGGCTCCAAAGTTTGCCAGAAGTGCTAAACTAAACTGTGACAATTCCCAGCCGTAGTCACTGACACCCCCACAGTGAACCAAACAGCATGCTTACTTGCTTCAAGATAGAGTTTCAGTTGTGTTAAATAACTGTCTGGTGCTACCTGATGAGAAAGCCATGTCTGGCTGTTTGGATCAGCTTCTCTGATCTTGTCTCCTGTCTAATCCCAGAATAAATCCTTTGGGTTTTGGGGGAGGACGTTAAAAAGGCTCTGGTGAAGAAGATTAAACCTGAAACAAGTCATAATGAGGCATAAACAAGGTAATACTCATTGTAAGGTATCTTCCCAGGTTCTAAGCAGGAGAGGAGAAAAGATGGTTTCGATGGAGGGCATCTGTTGAGAAACCCCTCTGATGTAGATGTTCCTGTGGAGTCATTTATATCCAAACATTAGGACATTAGACAAGTGCACTGGTGGGTTCTCAGGGTTTTTTATGGGGTGATCATAAAGAAGTGGCTCTCAAGAATTGCATCGAGCCAGGGATCTTCTGACTTCTGAAGACTGACATCTGGCTTATCTAAGATGATCCAGGGAAGGGGCGGAGCTAGAAGTCTCTGCGGGAAGATTGTTAGTATTTGCTGGGATTCTTTGGTGGCAAGCAACAGAAATAAACTCTCAAGAAGGGTTAATCTACTTAGGCAGAAAAGGACTTTTTAGAAAATAAGTTCCATGAGAGCAAGGGCTAGCTTGTTCACTGGTATTTCCTCAATAGAACAGTACCTTGAATATAGTAGGTACTCATTGTCTTAGTCCGCTCAGACTGTTAACAAAATTCCTTAGACTGGGTAATTTATAAACAACACAGATTTATTGCTCCCAGTTCTGGAGTCTGGTATGTTCAAGATCAAGTTGCCAGCAGATTCGGTATCTGATGAGAGCCCGTTCCTCATAGTTAGTGCCTTCTGTGTGTCCTCACATGGCAGAAGGGGCCAGCAGGCTCCCTCACACCTTTTCTATAGGGCACTAATCCCATTCAAGAGGCCTCCTAAAGGTCCCACCTCTTAATACAATCACACTGGGGATTAAGTTCTATAAATTTTAGAGGGACACCAACATTCAGATCATAGCGCTCAGTAAATATTCATGGACTAAAAGAAGTTATAGGGTGGATCAAAGCATTGTTAGGAAGATTGTGAACCAGTTTTGGAAAAAGATAAAGAATGAGAGCATCTCTGGAGAGGCTTAGGTAGCAGGAACTAGGTCCCTGACAGTCTCATCAGGACACCACTGCTGGAATAACTGCTTTCCAAACATTTTTATATTTTTAAGTGTCTACACTCATGCTTCAAAATCCAGACAGAGAGAGTGAGTGTATATTAATCAGGGTTCTCCAGAGAAACAGAACCCTCTATCTCCACCTCTCCCCTTCTCCCCCTCTCCCCCTCTACCTCCCCCTTCTCCCCCTCTCCCCCTCTACCTCCCCCTTCTCCCCCTTCTCCCCCTCTCCCCCTTCTCCCCCTCTCCCCCTTCTCCCCCTCTCCCCCTTCTCCCCTTCTCCCCTTCTCCCCCTCTCCCCCTCTACCTCCCCCTTCTCCCCCTCTCCCCCTTCTCCCCCTCTCCCCCTTCTCCCCCTCTCCCCCTTCTCCCCCTCTCCCCCTCTACCTCCCCCTCTCCCCATGTGTGTAAAAGAAGGAATTGGCTCGTGTGATTGCAGAGGCTGGCAAGTCCAGTCTGGCAGGTTGGAGACCCAAGCAGAACCCATGTTCCTATTTGAAGGCCATCAGACAGGAAGAATTGATGTTGCATATGAAGACAGTCTGCTAGAGAATTATCCTTACTTAGAGGAAAGGTTGGTCTTTTAATTCTATTTAGGCTTCAAGTAGTTGGATGAGGACCATTCACTATGGAGGGCAATCTTCTTGACTGATTAAAATGTGAATCTCTTTCAAAAACACCCTCGCAGAAACACTCAGAATGTTTGACCAAATATGTGGGCACCCTGTGACCCAGTCAAGTTGACACACAAAATTAACTATCAGAGAGGAGAGAGAGAATGCAACTGACCTAGCTTAAGTTGTGTGCCCACCCCTTTGGCTGGTAGAAGGCAGGGTATTTTGTCAGTTCTAGAGATTTTGAACCATGGGGCAGAACTGATTTCCTAAAGGGAAAGTGGAGAGCTGTTACCAGGAGAAGGAGAATAAATAGTGGGAAGCTACAAAACAACTGGCTCTTCTTGAATGATGGTTTTATTTTTCTTATTTTGTTACTTGCTTCCATGTGAGTAAACATTAAAACACATCTGTGCTGCTTTGCTTGACTTCTTCCAGCTCCTTTATACAAGAGGAAGAACAGCTGGGAGGGAGAAAAATATTTTTTTTCCTTTCTCTCTTCACTTCCAGTCCTCAGTAGAGGTGACTGACGGGTGATGGTTACCTCTGAGTCCTTGCTTTTGGGGGTCTGTGCTAATGATTGAACACTCAAATGCTGCCTCACTCTGAAGAGGTCCTTCAACACTGTAAAAGGCATTCACAAGACATCCCTGCCCCGGAAGAGTTTGAATCTGTTGGACTTTGTGCATTTTTCTTCTTTTCTATCCTTCACCTACTAGTTGTGGCTACTACAAACCCATATAGTTCTTCTGGAATTAAGGAGACACACTTCCCTCAAAGTGCTTTACATCTATTGGTCAGAGATGGTCATAATGTACTGAGTTTGTTAGAATGACGCGTTGCTATGTACCAGGAAGTTATCACAGGGCATATAAGTCTACCATGTCTACAGTGTGAAGGATGCCTCGTTAGACGCAGCACTCTTGTGCAATGTACAATCTGTCTACTTTATATGGCAGGCCTGAACTACTGAGGGAGAGAGAGACCACCAGAAATCGGGAAAGCACAACTTAATTAATGCTCTTATGAATGGTGTGTGCTGGGGGGTGGTTGTAGTTCCCTTTGTGTTCTGACCAATAGCTGAACCACTGATCAGATTCAAGACAGAACCTTGAATCCAAAACTCCTTTAGTGTGGCAAGTCCACCATAGTTCCTGAGGAAGCTGCCTTCGAGGAATCGGGGACCACTGCTCTCTTTTTAGGGGAATCCCTGAGATACCTGCATATCTCAGACCCGACAAGCAGGGAGTGGCAATGGGCATATTGCTATTCCAGGATACAACTGCTGTGAGATCCTCTTCAGAGGTTTATAAGCCTGACTTCTCATTAGCACGTTAGATATAAGGCATGACTCATTGCCAAATCTACAGACCCATGATAGGGTAGACAAGATCAATAGTCTAAAATGAAAACAGATTTTAAAATGAACAGAAATTTAATGCTTTTTCCCGTATGCCAATGGATTACATGGTACACATCCTGGGGTAGGCATAGCCCACTTTGTAGACCACTGATCTAGAGCCTGGTACTCCCCTTACAAAACCTGTGCAGGCAGGGCTAATTGACTCAACACCGTGGGCCTGGAGACATCCTCACCCTCCATTACAACAAGTGGACATGTGGTTTCTAGGCCAAGAGTTGGCAAATTACAGCCCATTGGCCATACCTGGCCAGCCCCCTGTTTCTACAAAGTGTTTTTGAGACACAGCCACACTCACTTGGTTATGTATTGTCCATACCTTTTTTCACACTATAAAGGCAGAGCTGAGTAATTGCCATGGAGAGCAGATGGTCCACAAAACCTCAAATACTACCCGACCTTTACAGCAAAAGGTTGCCCGAACCCTGCTCCAGACAGGCAGTATTGATCCCTGTGTGTTGGTAATAAAAGGTAAGACTTGTCTGCTGCCTCTGCTCTGGAGTTAGGCCAGAGTTTGCCGCATAGCTCCTTGTGTTAATGAGGCTCAGCTTGGCCTTGCCTTCTGGGGATTAGCACCTAATCCCGGCTAGCTTTCTTAGAAAGCTCATTCACTGGTCACAAGGATGCAGAGAAGTGAGTGTGGATGAAACTGGTCCTGGTCACCTGAAGTCCATGCCTTACACGGCGTGGGTCAGCTGTGTCCTCTCTGCTAGCTGGCCCCTCTGCTACCTACCTCTAGGTGATGTGCCTGCTACTCAGCACAAGTGACAGAGCAGCCACAGGCCTCCCCCACTGCAGGGCTGCACAGCTGCTGCACATCCCCAAGGGGGCGGGGCGAATGCATGCTGAAATGTTTGTGTGCACATGTGAGTACATTGGTTAGGACTATCCCCAACTCCAGCTAATGCAAGCCTGGTAGACACATGCGTTTTTGCATATCCATGCACCCTTCTTTTGGGAACTGCCGCTAGATGAAAATCCAAATATTTAATTCCTAGCAATTAGTTTGGGCTTGAGTGGTATTCATTTTTATTCAGAACTCAGGTCCTAGGCCTTATTCAGATTTCAGTCCCACGTGACAAACTTCCACAGTTCCTCTGAGATGTCCTGATTCTCACTGGTGAGAATGGCAGAGACTGCTGGTTCCTTACCTAACAGCCATCTACCCTACAAGCCCTGATTTTGAGACAGTCTCTGCCACCTAGGCTGGAGTGCAACCTCCACCTCCTGGGTTCAAGTGATTCTCCTGCCTCAGCTTCCCAAGTAGCTGGGACTACAAGTGCATGCCACCATGCCCGGCTAATTTTTTGTATTTTTGGTAGAGACAGGGTTTTGCTATGTTGGTCAGGCTGGTCTAGAACTCCTGGCCTCAGGTGATCTGCCCACCTTGGCCTCCCAAAGTGCTGGGATTACAGGCATGAGCCACCGCACCTGGCCCCTATAAGCCCTGATTTTATTGGAAACGTGTCCTTTAGTGAATTGTGCATCTGGAACAGAGACAGACATGTTGTGCTTCATTTGTACTTTATCATTTTTGTCCTTGGTGCAAAGGTATTACACCCTAATGCTGGCTCTTTGGGGCCATGAAAATTGCAGAAGTCACGGCTCTTCCCACTTCAGTCACTGAGCCAACACCAGTACTCACCTACTTCAAAATTTATCTTCCCATGAGAGGAAAGGAAAACCCCACCTTGTTTTTGGTTTGAACACAACTGCATCAAATTCCTTACTGATGACTGAAAAAATTAAGGAAAAGCTCAGAGTGAACAAGAAGTAGATCAGCTTTCCTTACAGATGCACAAAATTACACAGCAGGCCTGGGTTTTTTTTTTTTTTTAAACTTTGGAGTAGGGTCTTCTGTCCCCACAGCTGGAGTGCAGTAATGTGATCATAGCTTAATGCATCCTTGACTTCGTGGGCTTAAGCAATCCTCCACTTCAGCCTCCCAAGTAGCTGGGACTACAGGCTTGGGCCATCGTACCCGGCCTAAGCCTGGGTTTGAGGTCTAGATTTATCATTCTCTCATCCTGTGCCCCAGAGCCAGTCACTTTCTCTTAAAATTCTCGGTGTCAAGGCAAGACCACTGCGCTCTGAGGCCCCCTTGATCTCTAGGGCATTAAAATATATGGGAGATTTCCACCCTTCCTCACGGGGCTTGCAGGCTGAGGGAGTGAGAATTTCCTCACCAGCAGCATGGGCAAATTCGTAAAAAGAAAGAAATAATTTGCTTGTTTTTAATGGCCACCAAACTTCAAAGTCTAGTGACCACCAACCAGTCCCTCCTCAGTGAACATGGTCGAATACAGAAAGGCTTTCTCTGGAAGAGCCCAGAAACCTGCTGTCTCATTTCAAAAGCCATCTTCCTTCCCCGAGACAAACATGGTGGAAAGGAGGCCCGCCTGATAACACTGAGGGTTTTGGGGCCAGATTTTTTTCTGCAGGCAGTTTTGGACATTTATTTTAATCTTCTTTATGTGAGCTATAAAACACATTTAGAAAAGTATATATTAGCTGGTTGTAGTGGCTCATACCTGTAATCCCAGAACTTTGTGGGGGCTGAGGCAGGATGATCATTTGAGCTCAGGAGTTCACGTAGTGAGACCCCATCTCAACAAAACATCAAAACGTTAGCCAGGTGTGGTGGCACGCACCTGTAGTCCCAGCTACTCAGGAGGCTGAGATGGGAGGATCACCTTAGCCTGGGGAGGTTGAGGCTGCAGTGAACTGAGACTGTGCCCCTGCACTCCAGCCTGGGTGACAGAGTGAGACCCTGTCTCAAAAGAAAAGAAAAAATATATTAAACATAATGAACAGTTAATGTTTTTTAAAATAAAGTAAACCCTTTATTAGGTCAAGAAACAGAAGTTTGTGAGACCCCTGGAGCCCTCCTGCCTATCCCTTCTCAATTGCAGTCCCCTCATTTAATGGTAACCACTGCCTCGATTTTTTTTTTTTTTTTGGGATGGAGTTTTGCTCTTGTCACCCAGGCTGGAGTGCAATGGTGTGATCTCGGCTCACTGCAACCTCTGCCTCCCAGGTTCAAGTGATTCTCCTGCCTCAGCCTCCTGAGTAGCTGAGATTACAGGCACCCGCCACCACGCCTGGCTAATTTTTTGTATTTTTAGTAGAGGCGGGGTTTCAACACGTTGGTCAGGCTGATCTTGAACTACTGACCTCAGGTGATCCACCTGCCTCAGCCTCCCAAAGTGCTGGGATTACAGGTGTGAGCCACCGTGACTGGCCCCCCATTGCCTCTACTTTTATGGTCATTGATGTCTTTGATTTTCTTTAAAATTTTACTACAGACATATATGTCCATGGCCACTATTATTTGATTATACCTGCTATTGAAATTTATAGAAATGGGTCCATACAGGATGTGTTCTTCATATCTGGCTTCATTCACCAACATGATGTTTATGAGATTCATTCTGGTTTTTGCACATAGCTGTAGCTTATTCTGTCATTGTCATGTAGCATTTTATTGCATCAATAGGTTTTCACAAATTCATATCATTGCACATACTTACTTGTTACCAATTTGGGGATTTCATGATAGATCTGCTCTGAGTGTTCTTGTCCCTGCCTCCCTGTGCATATTTCAGTAGGTTGTCCCCCTGCAGTAGAATTGCTGGGTTGTGGGGTATGTTCTGTTGGCTTTGCTAGGTGATGCCAAAGTGATTCTGTGGATTTATACTCCCAGCAACTGTACATGAGAGGTCTCCATGCCCCACATCTTTGTCAACACTGGAGAATGCTATTCTGTAAAGTTAGCTACTCTGGGTGGTGTGCACGGCTATATCTGTGTGTGTGAGTGTGTGTTTGTGTGTGTGTGTGTGTGTGTGAGAGAGAGACAGATTTTCTAACCTAATTTTCATTATTGCATTAGCCTAATTTTTATTAAAAATTTCTTTTTTTTTTTGAGATATGGTCTCTATTGCCCAGGCCGGAGTGCAGTGGCACAATACCAGCTTAACTGGGCTCAAGCAATCCTCCAACCTCAGCCTCCTGAATAGCTAAGACTAAAGGCACATGCCACCATGCCCAACTAATTTTTTGTTTGTTTGTTTTTTTGAGATGGAGTCTTGCACTGTCGCCCAGGCTGGAGTGCAGTGGTGCGATCTTGGCTCACTGCAACCTCTGCCTCCTGGGTTCAAGAGATGTTCTGCATTTGTCTGATGTTTTCTCATGGTGTCTCACTCGTTCTTCTCTATAAGCTGGGAGTTGGGTCTAAAGGCTTCTTTAGATAAATCTCAGTGTGGCTTTAATGTGCATCTGTTGGATTTGTTTTTTTTCTTTTTCTTTTTTTTTTTTGAGATGGAGTTTTGTTCTTGTCGCCCAGGTTGGAGTGCAATGGTGTGATCTCAGCTCACTGCAGTCTCTGCCTCCTGGGTTCAAGTGATTCTCCTGCCTCAGCCTCCTGAGCAGCTGGGATTACAGGTGGCTGCCACCATGCCCAGCTAATTTTTGTATTTTTAGTAGAGATGGGGTTTCACTGTGTTGGCCAGGCTGGACTTGAACTCATGAAGTCGTGATCCACCTGCCTTGGCCTCCCAGAGTGCTAGAATTACAGGCGTGAGCCACCACGCCCAGCCCCATCTGTTGGATTTGTAATGAGATTGAGCACCTTTTCATGCATTTTCTGGCCATTTGGAATTCTTCTCTCTTGAGGTGCCTGCTCAAGTCTCTTGCCTATTGTTCTGTTTGCTATGTGTCTTTTTCCTGTTGATTTGCAGGAGTTCTTTATCTTATACATGTGTTGAAAATGGCTTGTCCCACTCTGTGGTTTGCCTTTTTACTTTTTTTTTTTTTTTTTAATTTCACTCCTGTCACCCAGGCTGGAGTGCAGTGGCATGCTCTCAGCTCATTACAACCTCCATCTCCTGGGCTCAAGCGATCCTCCTGCCTCAGCCTCTGGAGTAGCTGGAACTACGGGTGTGTGCCACCACACCTGGCTCATTTTTGTATTTTTAGTAGAGATGGAGTTTTGCCACATTGACCAGGCTGGTCTTGAACTCCTGGCCTCAGGTGATCCACCTGCCTTGGCCTCCCAAACTGCTGGGATTAGAGGTGTGAGCCACTACACCTGATCTGCCTTTTTATTTTTGTAAGGGTATCTTTTGGTGAGCAGAAGTTTTAAATTTTAATGTCCAATTCATCAATATTTCTGTAACCTGTTGAAAAAATATTCCCTAACCTGGGGTCACAAAGATGATTATAGATGATCTCCCTGATCGCCTTCCATAACTGGGTCTAAGATCCTCCTGGAAGTGTTGTTTGTGCATGGTGTGAGGTGGACGCCAGGTTTCATTTCCTCCCGTAACGACATTAAGAACATGGTCCTTTCCCTAGCCCTCTGCAGTGCTCCCTTCCTTGTAACCTGAGGGTCCCTGTGTGCATGGGTCTGTTTTGGAGATCTCCATTCTATCCATTGGTCTATTTTTCTAAATTTTTATACCAATGCATACTTTCTTAGCTGCCATAGGTTTATAATAAGTCTTGATGCCTACCTATGTAAGCTCTCCCTCTGAATTACTTTAATGATGCTGTGGCTAGGATTTTGACATTTCACAGGAGACTTGGCTCAAACCTCATGCCCCTTTTTTGAGATAGGATTATGGGGTTACTATTCTTTCCTGGGCTGTGATCTCAGAAGTAACTTACTCAGTTTTCCAGTTGGTCCTTTCCAGGGACTCTTCTCACTTGTGTCTTATTAAATAAAGATTTGATTTGAGACCATGGAAGTCCAGTGTTCGGAATGCCTGTATCTGTTATGTTCTACTTTTTGGGACAGGTGGACATAAAGGAACTGAATCTGAAATAGGTGGTAAGGAAAATCCCCTGAAATTTGAAAATGGGTGCCTGAGAGGTGATTTTGATCTCTCCTTTGGCAGCTGCACGCTGTAGAGAGAATGAACTCTAGAGTCAGGTTTTTGGGCTCAATTCCTGGATACACCAGTTACTAGCCCTATGACCTTGGGGACATTGATTAACCATCCTGGCCTCAGTTTCCTCATCAGTAAAATGGGAATAGAAACAGACTCTACCTCATGGGTGTTTGTGAGGATTAAATGCGATTATATACAAAAAGGGCCTGGCACAGAATAAGTGCTTGGTAAAGCTTAGCCATGATTATTTTTGTTGAAAAGAATTCATCTTTCCTCCAAGGGCTTTGAGACTAACCTAGGAGGTAGCAAAACCTATTCCTCTTGTGTTTCTGAGGTGCAGAGGCTATACTTGTTGGAGACTCGGCACAGGCCATGATGATGGTCTGAACATTACCACCTGCCCCTCAGCACTCAGAAAAGCAGTTAGTTTGTGGCTGTTGACCTGAGGCAAAATTGATACAAATAGAGTTTATTTGGGCCAAATTTGAGGATTGCAGCCAGGAGCACAGATTCAAGTTGCCTTGAATATGCATTCCAATTAGCAGCAGTTACAAGCGGATTTTTTTTTTCCTGAGATTACAAGTGGTTTTTTTTTTTTTTTTTTTTTTTTTTTTTTTTTTTTTTGAGACAGGGTCTCACTGTGTTGCCTAGGTTGGCCTGCAGTGGGATGATCACAGCTCACTGCAGCCTCCACATCCAGGGCTCAAGTAATCCTCCTGCCCCAGCTTCCCGAGTAGCTCAGACTACAGGTGCGCGCTACCACGCCTGGCTTATTTTTTGTAGAGATAAAATTTTGCTATGTTGTCCAGGCTGGTCTCGAATTCCTGGGCTCAAGCAATCCTCCCGCTTCAGCCTCCCAAAGTTCTGGAATTACAGGTGTGAGCCACCTTACCTGGCCACAAGTGGATTTTTAAAGGCAAGAAAAGGGGTATGGGAAATGGGCTGACACAAAATTGTTTGTCAGAAATTCTCATGGGTTTACAGAAATATCGATTAGTGAATGGCTATCTATTGTTAAGCTATAGGGTGTGGATTCTAGTGTGGGGTGTGGCATTATTAGGTTAATTTATAGCTAAATGTGGAAAGAGCAAATAGTCTCAAGAGATGAATACGTAGCTCAAAGTGGGGAGTAGGGCATGATTGTAGTCTCATTTTAATGTCTCTCTGGGCCTGATAATTAAAAGGACTTGCATTCCTCAGATAAAAGCTCTTTTTTCTGCCCCTGGCTAATAGTTATCTAATATACTCGACTCCTTTAGTTCTTTGAACCTTACGTTTTGGAGGTCATAGAAGTTACAGAGGGCAGGAGTCAGAGGCACGGGCCGGGCCCTGTTCTGTGCTTGACCACCTTGCTGCTGTGGTAGGGCATTCACCACTCTTCCCATCTCTCCTGGTCCTTGGCCCTTCATCGCTGGAGGTGGAGTTGTTACAGAGGCCAAATATGGGGAGAAACCGTTTACATTCGGTTTTCTGGGGAGCCAAAATGAAAGACCCCAGTGGAGTGGAGCAATGAGTTTACACCTTTAGTAGACTGGAAAGAAACTAAAAAGGGAGATGTCTCCTCAGTGCACTGGAAGAGGGTGAAGGGCGATGCAATCTTGGGAAAGCTGGGGGCTGGGGTGGGTGAACTGCATTGGATGGTCCGTGTCGGGCAGAATCATCGGCATGCTCAGCCCACCATTGTCCCAAGCCAAGCCAGTTGGTACTGGTGCAGAGAAGTAGCTTCAGCTTCTGGTCTCAAAGCCATCCTCTGAAGGATGCCACCACCTCTCAAGCCCTTTTAGAAATGGAGATGGACTGGTGGTGGCATGGGAGGGCAGACCTAAGTCTGGTATGTCAGTGGAGCCAGACAGAAGGGCAGGCAACTCTAGTTACATTAAAATAGCAATGTATTGTTGACGGGTTGGAATTGCACACTTACAATCACACTATTCTATCTATAGTATTATCCCATTTAATGATAAATATGTATTTGTATATATGTATATCCGAAAAGATCTGGAAGGTTATTTCTGCAGCTTTAAAAAGAAATTGTCTTTGGGTGGAATTATTAGCACTTTTGATGTTCCTCTATTTTTTTTTGTATTTGTACTATGTATCTGCATAACTTTCTGGTTAAATGAGTTTATGTTTACAATTTAAATAAAAAGAGAAGGAGCATCATTTGGCTGCACCTCCCTCAACTTCAGATGTAACTTGTGGGGGTGGAGGACAGGGCAGGGAGGCCAGCTGGGGTGTTCCTCCTAGAGTTGGCGTTGATGGTAGGGCCTCACTCTGTTCCCTACACAGGTTGGTCACTGCCCAGCCTCTAAGATGCGAAGCTCTCTCCAGACCCTCTGGCCCCCTTACTCTAAGGTTCTAATGTTATTTCTGTTTCAATATGGGGAAGAGAAACAAAAACAGATGCTGCCTATCTCGATCAGGGAAAGGCAAGAGGGTGTCTTTCTTCCATCTGGGTTTTCTCTGTGACTGTTAACTGGATGCTTACAATGCATGGGGCAGGGTAACCTCCTGCCACTTATAGTGGTGGGGGTTGATGTCAGTGACTTAAGAAAATTAGGGAATAAATGTTTCAGTTATTTTCTCCAGTAACAGAAGGAGGGAGGAGTTGAGGCAGGTATGGTGGCTCCAAAAGGTTACTGGTGTCAACCCCTCCTGTGTATGCCTGCCACTCCTGTGGGTGGCTGTCAGCACTGAGCTCACAAGATGACTGCTGGACCATCCCTGCTGTGGCCGTGTCCCTGTTTCAGTCAGGATCGGACAGGGACAGGGGCAGATGCACCTCCCAAAAGGCCTCATCCCCAGGCTCGCCGGCATATTTAGTGACATTAATCTGTGCAAGAGGCTTGGAATGCAGTTTTTTGTTGTTGTTTCTTTTTAAACAAACATACTGTCCAAAGTTCTCTCACTAAGGAAGGAGGAAGAATAGACTTTGAGCAGGCAACAAGTACTGTCACATAGTCCAAAAGCTCTGATTCTCACAGAAAAGTCCATAATCTTTAAGTGCTGCAGAGATTTCAGGATCAAGGTAAATTTGTAAAAAGTTGGGAAACCAAAGGTATTATACAGTCCCATGGGAAGAGTTTGCTCAACAAGACGGTTCTTTTGCTGTAGTTGGTGAGCCAGGTTCTTGCTCCACGTTCACCCTCAGGGCTTGGTGGGGTTGGGGTTAGCCTGCTCTGCAGCTAGGCTGGCACCTGTCAGTACCTGGGTGATTGTTCCAACACAGACGGTACGTAGGAAGCTGGCACAAGAGCTGACGGTTCTTGTTTGTCATCCCCTATATTTCCTTGTGTCCCCACTCAGTTGGGCCTGCCTGCATTCTTTTGACAGTCGCTAAAGTCACAGACATACTTGACCTTGCAGTTTTTAGAGGGGACCTGTCACCTTTCAATAAACAAGAGGGAAGATCTTTGAGCAGTGAGTTCCAGAGACCCTGTTAAAAAGAAAAACCTTAGACAAGTTTAGCAGAGTTTAAGTGAGAAAAAAACAAAAACTCAGAAAACAAAAACACATGACATGTGAATCAGGCAGCCCTCTGATTCAGAACGGGTTCTAAGAACATGGTCAACAATGTGATCAAGTGTTATGGATGCACGGAAAACAGAAGTGAGGTACATATAGGGCTTAACTGGTTCCGGCTCAGCGTTTGCCTTATTTGATCGTTGGCAGCCAGGGATTGAAGGAAGCTCAGTTGCCGTGATGGCGGAGACTCAGCTATTTTTTACAAAAGCATACTCCTAAATTTAGGCTTTCAATTAGATTAGTAAGCCAGGCTGCCTGCAGTTAGTTAAGTAAGGACTTGGGTGCAAAGGCTTCCTCAGGCCAAATTTAGGTTATTTTAACATCCCCAATGGCCAGAGACAGGCTTCTTGGAAGCCAACTGCTTGGAGTAAAACTGTGATGACAATTCCTTTTGAAACATGTACTCCTTGAAATTTGGAAGACATTTTGGGCTAATAGATGTTCTCTGTGCCTGAAAATAAGGATGGCTTCTTCCAAAATGCAGGTGAGTCAGCCCTTCCCTGCAAAGAACTTGCTGACTGCTGCAATTAGGGGCAGTCCACAAAAGAAAAACCATAAGGCTGCATCAAAGCACTGGCTCCTCTCTCAGAGAACAGAGGAGAAGCTGCCCCTCAGAGGAAGGAAGGTGGCTTTCCAGGAGGCAGATGCTGAGTCAGGAGGAAGGTTGCTTCAGGATGTTATGTTAAAACAAAACAAAAAACAGACCAGGTGCCCTGGCTGACGCCTGTAATCCCAGCACTTTGGGAGGTCAACGCGGGCGGATCACTTGAGGTCAGGAGTTGAAGACCAGAGTGGCCAACGTGGTGAAACCCCGTCCCTACTAAAAATACAAAAATTAGCTGGGTGTGGTGGTGCATGCCTGTAATCCCAACTACTCGGGAGGCTGAGGCAGGAGAATCGCTTGAA
The DNA here is from genome assembly GCF_000001405.40 of Homo sapiens. Lineage (NCBI taxonomy): Eukaryota > Metazoa > Chordata > Mammalia > Primates > Hominidae > Homo > Homo sapiens. The sequence continues at coordinate 106,153,677 of NC_000007.14, forward strand.
CCCGGGAGGCAGAGGTTGCAGTAAACTGAGATCGTGCCACTGCAATCCAGCGTGGGCGACAGAGAGAGACTCCGTTTCAAAACCAACCAACCAACCAAAAAAACAAGGCTGACCCCCACCCCCAGCAGAGGCTGAACTTAGAACAAGTACAGATCCCATCAGAACTATGATCTCTTTCAGATCAAAGAGGCTCATGGTACATTCTAGCTTTTCTTGTTCTCTGATTCTAGACATTTTCTGCCTTGAAATAGGAGATTTCCTGGGGTGCGCCCGCCCGCCTTGCCTCATCTCTCAAATACATTCCTGGGAGCAAGGAGCCCTGCAGCAGGCAGCTGCCCAGCGCTCAGCCCTCTGCTGCTCTCTGCTGGAATGTCGCTGCCAACACCACTAGTGCTTATCCTCAAAGCTTTGGCCAATTCCTGGTACTTCTTTTTGGCCTGTTAACAGAGAGAAGCTGACAAGCAAATTACAGACCTTTGTGACTTAGAACTGAATGCTAAGTAAAATCAATGCTCCGTTAACACAGAATGAGCAACATGACTGTTAAAAAAGCAATGATAGGGTCGGGCGCAGTGGTTCACGCCTGTAATCCCAGCACTTTGGGAGGCCAAGGCAGGTGGATCACGAGGTCAGAAGATCCAGACCATCCCGGCCAACATGGTGAAATCCCGTCTCTACTAAAAAAAAAAAAAAATTGCCAGGTGTGGTGGCGCGCTCCTGTAGTCCCAGCTACTCTGGAGGCGGAGGCAGGGGAATTGCTTGAACCCAGGAGGGGAGGTTGCAGTGAGCTGAGATGGTGCCACTGCAGCTTGGCGACAGAGCGAGACTCTGTCTCAGAAAAGAAAAAAAAAAAAAAAGGCAATGATAGAGACATCAGTTGCTTTTTAACTTAATTACCAGACAAGAAAGACCGTAAATTTCTTGTACTTAACAAGAAATGCTTCTCAATGGCCATATTGTGCAAAATATTGTGCGCATACTAAAAGGGACACATGAAACAAGTTATGTACTCTCTGCTTGCAGGAGTTTATAATCATATAACTCAGAAGGAGGGGAAGTCATTACAAAATGAGACAGATCCAGATATATCCCATGAGAGAGCACCAGATAGTGATAGGCTCACATTCAGCTAGAGATCAGGGAGGTTGTGGAAAAGCAGCCGATGCAGCCAGGCTGCTGAGGAGGTGCAACATTTTGGGGAGAGGACAAGAGGGATGAGGTCTCAGCAGGAGGGAAGAATGCTGTGTATATGTAAGTGTGTGTGTATAAAGAACTGTGTATCTGTGCCCATATGTTTGGAAAGAGTGTTGTCAGGTTGCCTTGGGTTCCTTAGAGTCTAATTCAAAAAGCTATTGAATACTTCAGGTAGGGTTGGACCAGTAAAGACTGAGCAGTGAGATAATATTTTGAGATAGGAATAACTGCCCCCTTCTGACTGTTTAACAAAACCCTTTTTACTATGAAATAAAACCAGCTATAGAAAACCACACAAAAGACAAGTATAGCTTAATGATTGCAACGTGGACACCCAAACACAGCAGCCTCCCACACCCGTAAGTAACCACCGTTCTGACTTTTATAGCAATTACTTATTTGCATTTCTTTCTAGTTTGTCATCTAAATGTGTAGCCATAGACACTGTAGTTTAATATTGTTCCTCCTTTTGAATATTGTCATGTGTCCTCAAGTTATTTTTAATTTACGTGTTCCCCTCCATCTTTTCCTTTCCCTTTAAATGTATGGGCTTAAGAATCTGGGCCACTTGACCTGTGATCTGGATCTTAGATTGCGTGTACGTGGTCATCTCTCATGTTCCTCTGACCTTTGTGATCCTGCAGATGGGCAGCTGGATCCAGAGGCTGGCTCACCTTCAGGCTTGAGCCCTTGGTAAGATGCTAGGTGGTGAGGCTTCTTTCATCTCGTAATCTCTCTTTTATGTGCATGATGTTAGCAGCCATCGATTCTCAATGTCTACGTGGACTAACTCATTGGCCGTTGCAAAACGGTGATATTCGGAAACAATAATCTCTTTGTTGTTTCATTTGTTAGTTAGAATACATCTATAAGGAGAAGCTTTGCCATGGCAGCAGTTCTTTAGAAAAAGGTAATTCTAAGCATCTTGTGTAGTTTTGGATAGTCACATCCTCCTAAGGCTGAGCCCTTAGTAATTGGCTCTCTCAGAATCTTGCAGAGGCCAAACTGGCCCCAGGAATAGTGGCCCAGAACTACTGGCCACTGGCCACTTGTGGACGTAATCAGAGGACCCCTACCCCACCTGCCACTCTTCCAGTGACCTACTCCTCATGGGGTGGGATAGCTGTTTCTGTCCATATGGAAGATTAAACACTCTAAATTATCTTCCACTGGAAAACTGGAAGCAAAATGCTAGACAAAACAACATATTTAAAACATGTAATGCTGAGCTTCTTTGAAAGAAATCTGGAGAGGTCAAAAAACAAGAAGGAAGCAGGAATTCTGTGAAGTAATACCGAGGGTTTCCGCTACAGACAGGAGACTTTCAGCTTCCTTTTTGATAGTTGCAGGGGAGATCAGAGGGTAGACGATGAGGCTAGGGCTTGCCCAAGGAGTGAGTCTTTGTTAGGAGACTCTTCTGCCTAAGGATGAGAACCCAACAGGCTACAATCTGATGGCAGGAGTGAGCAAGAAATAAACCTAATACGCTGAAGAGGATAGTAAGGAGAATTGCCTGTTTCAACCTTGACACCGGACGAGAGGGAATAAAAATATCTCCCATGAGAATTTGTAATGACAAGCTGGCTCTCTCAGAGTTGTGGTCCAAATTTACGTAACCTATGTGGTAAAAAACAAAACCTCAAACAGATAATTACATTTAGAATGGTTCTGGGTTGAGACTGGGTGCAGTGGCTCATGCCTGTAATCCCAGCACTTTGGGAGGCTGAGGTGGGCAGATCACCTGAGATCAGGAGTTCAAGACCAGCCTGGCTAACATGGCGAAACCCTGTCTCTACTAAAAATACAAAAATTAGCTGGGTGTGGTGGCGCATGCCTGCGAGCCCAGCTACTTGGGAGACAGGTAGGATAATTGGTTGAACTCAGGAGATGGAGGTTGCAGTGAGCCGAGATTGCACCGCTGCACTCCAGCCTGGGAGAAGGAGCAAGACTTCATCTCAAATTAAAAAAAAAAAAAAAAGGGAATGCTTCTGGGTTGATAGTGTCCCCAGAAAAATGGCAGAAGCAAACATAAAAACTTCCTGGAGGATTGCAATCTGAACGACAGCTTCAGAGATTTCCTATGGTGAATTTCTTTACTTTTAAGTAAGTGAGCATTTCAAGGTCAAAAATCTTAAAAAGAAAAGGGAAATGAGGCACCTGACTGAAGGCCAGTTGGAAAAACTGATATCCAAAACAGGCTCTAAAGACTATGAGTATTAAAATCATCAGATGCAAAGTATACAATAGTTATATGTAATATATCTAAATAAATAAAAGCAACTTGAAAATATGATTGGAAAAGAGACTGTAAGGCATCACAAAGCAAATCTGCAAAAGAAATAAAATTTCTAACAATAAAAAATCAGTAATTGAAAATAAAAACTCCAAGGATAGATTAAATAAATCAGATTTTAGATGAAGCTGAGGAGAGAACTAGTGAATGGGAAAATAAATTCGAAAAGTTATCCGTAACATAGATCAGAGGGACAAAGACACAAAAACAAGACAGGTAACAAGACATAGAGGATAGAGAAGAGTGTTTAATAGATGACCAGCTAGAGTTTCAGAAGGAGACAATGTCAATGAGGTAATGTTGAAGAGACAATGGCTGAGAATTTTCCAAATTTGATGAAAGCAGATTTCATCAGATTTAGAAAGCCCAAGAAATATCAAGTAGTATAGATAGAAATAAGGCCGGGTGCGGTGGCTCACGCCTGTAATCCCAGCACTTTGGGAGGCTGAGGCGGGTGGATCACAAAGTCAGGAGATTGAGGCCATCCTGGCTAACACGGTGAAACCCCATCTCTACTCAAAATGCAAAGAGTTAGCTGGGTGTGGTGGCGGGCGCATGTAGTCTCAGCTACTCGGGAGGCTGAGGCAGGAGAATGGCGTGAACGGGAGGCGGAGCTTGCAGTGAGCCGAGATCGCGCCACTGCACTCCAGCCTGGGCGACAGAGTGAGATTCCATCTCAAAGAAAAAAAAAAAAAAAAGAAATCTACCAAGACACACCATAAGCAAACCATGGAACACCACCACAAAAATGAGATCGTAAAAATAGCCATATTAAAAAGAAACAGCAATTAGAGAAGGTTGTCTTAATTTTTTTTTTTTTAATTGAGATGGAGTCTTGCTCTGTTGCACAGGCTGGAGTTCAGTGGCTCAATCTTGGCTCACTGCAACCTCTGCGTCCCGGGTTCAGGCAATTCTCCTACCTCAGCATCCCAACTAGATGGGATTACAGGCATGTGCCACCACGCCCGGCTAATTTTTGTATTTTTAGTGGAGACAGGGTTTCACCATGTTGGCTAGGCTGGTCTCGAACTCATGACCTCAAGTAATCCACCCGCCTCGGTTTCCCAAAATGCTGGGATTATAGGCGTGAGCCACCATGCCCACCCTAATTTTTTTGATACATAATATTTGTATATATTTACTGGGAATGTGTAATATTTTGTTACACACACAGACTATGTGATGATCAAGTCATTATTTAGGACATCCACTGCCTCAAGCATTTATCATTTCTAGGTGTTGGGAGTATTTCAAGTCCTCTCTTCTAGCGGCTTTGAAATATATAACACGTTTTTGACTCTAGTCACCCTACTCTACTACAAACATTAGAATGTATTCCTTCTACTTAACTGTATGTTCATACCCATAAATCTACCTCTCTTCATTCTTCTTGCCCCAACACACTTCCCAGTCTCTGGTAAGTATTATTCTACTCTCTGCCTCCACAAGATGAAATTTTTTTAGCTCCCACATATGAGTGAGTATATGTGATATTTGTCTTTCTGTGCCTGGCTTATTTCACTTAATATAATAACTTCTAATTTCATCCATGTTGCTGCAAATGACAGGATTCTGTTTTTTTATGGCCAAACAGTATTCCATTGGGTACATATTACTGAATTTTCTTTACCATTCATCCTTTGATGGACCCATGGGTTGATTCCATATCTTTGCTATTGTGACTAGTGCAGGCATCCCTTTGATATACTGATTCCTTTTTCTTTGGGTAAATACCCACTAGTGAGATTGTTGGATTATATGATAGTTCTATTTTTCATTTTTTGGAGAAATATCCATACTGTTTTCCATAATGGCTAACTTACGTGCCCACCGATAGCGTATAAGAGTTCTCTTTTCTCTGCATTCTCCTCAGCATCTTTTCTGTCTTTTTGGTAATAGCTATTCTAACTGGGGTAAGATTATATCTCATTGTAGTTTTGGTTTGCATTTCCCTGATGATTAGTGATGTTGAGGATTTTTAAATATACCTGTTGGCCATTTGTATGTCTTCTTTTGAGAAATATCTGTTCATGTCCTTTGCCCCATTTTTAAATTTAGTTCTTTTCTTTTTTGCTGTTGAGTTCGTTGTATGCTTTTGATATTAGTCTCTTGTTGAATGAATAGTCTGCAAATATTTTATCCCATTCAACAGTTTTTTTCTTCCCTCTGTTGATTGTTTCCTTTGCTGTGCAGAAGCTTTTCAGTTTAATATAGTTTCATTTGTCTATATGATGGATACACATTTTGTTGCCTGTGCTTTTGAAATCTTAATCATAAAATCTTTGCCTAGGCGAATGTCTTAGTGTTTCCCTATATTTTTTTTCTAGTAGTTTTATAGTTTTGGGTCTTACATTTAAGTCTTTAATCAATTTTTGAGTTGATTTTTGTATATAGTGAGAGGGGTTTAGTTTTATTCTTCTGCATATGGATATTCAGTTTTGCCAGCACCGTTTATTGAAGAGACTGTCCTTTTTCCCGTATATATCCGTGTTGCCTTTGCCAAAAATCAGTTGGCTGTAAATACATAAATTTATTTTTGGGTTATCTCTTCTGTTTCATTGATCTCTGTTTATTTTTATATCACTATCATGCTGTTTTGTTTATTATAGCCTTGTAATATATTTTGGAGTTAGGTAATGTGATGCCTCCAATGTTATTCTTTTCCCTCAGGATTGCTTTGGCTATTTGGGCTCTTTTCGGGTTCCATATAAATTTTAAGATTTTTTTTTCTATTTCTGTGAAAAATGTTATCAGTATTTTGATAGGGATTACATTGAATCCATAGATTACTTTGGGTAGTATGATCATTTTAACAATATGAGTTCTTATCCATGAGCATTGGATGTCTTTCCATTTGTTTGTGTCCTCTTTAATTTCTTTCATTAGTGTTTTATAGTTTTCCTTGTGGAGGTCTTTCACCTCCTTGGTTAAATTTATTCCTAGGTATTTTTTTTTTTTTTGGTAGCTGTTGTAAATGGGATTGCCTTCTTGATTTTATTTTTCAGCTAGCTCATTATTGGTGTATAGAAATGCAGCTGATTTTGTATGTTGATTTTTGTATCCTGCAACTTTACTGAATTAATTTATTAGATCCATGAGTTTTTTTGGTGGAGTCTTTAGGTTTTTCTAAATAGAAGATCATGCTATCCGCAATGAGGGACCATTTGAGTTCCCTGTTTTGCATTTGGATGCTTTTTATTTCTTTCTCTCACCTGATTGCTCTAGCTAAGACTTCCAGTACTATGTTTGATAGGAATGGTGAGAGTGAACATCCTTGTCTTATTGCAGTTCTTAGAGGAAAGGCTTTCAGGTTTTCCCCACTAAATATGATGTTAGCTATGAGTTTGTGTCTTTGTTATGTTGAGATATGTTCTGTGTCTAGCTTGTTGAGTTTTTATTGTAAAGAGATGTTGAATTTTATCAAATGCTTTTTCTGTATCTATTGAGATGATCATGTAGTTTTTGTCCTTGATTCTATTGATAAATCATGATTATTGATTTGTCCATGTTGAACCATCCTTGCATCCCTGAGATATTTCCCACTTGATCATGGTGTATTATCTTTTTTTGACATGCTGTTGGATTCACTTGGCTAGTATTTTGGTGAGGATTTTTGTCACTGTGTTCATCAGGGATATTGGCCTATAGTTTCCTTTTTTTGTTGTGTTCTTGTCTGGTTTTGGTATCAGGGTGATGTTGGCATCATAGAATGAGTTAGGGATAATTCTTTTCTCTTCAGTTTTCTGGAAGCTTGAGGAAAATTGGTGTTAGTTATTTTTTATAAGTTTGGTAGAGTGGCAGCAAAGCTATCCGGCCCTGAACTTTGCTTTGTTGGGAGACTTTATTACTGATTCAATCTCCTTACTTGTTATTGGTTTTCTATTTAAGAAGGCTGGTTCTTAATAGCAAAAATGGAAGCCAGAAGACAGTAGCATAATAGCTTAAATTTAATAATAGAAAATAACTTTCAAACCATAATTCCATACTCACACAATATTTCTCAAGTATTAGGACAAAATTAAGAGATTTTTAGAAAAACCCAAATTTGAGCATTTAATAATAGACCTTTATCAGAAGAAAATTCAAGGAAGAATTTTAGGAAGAAAGAGAAGTTTCCAGATAGGTAAAAAAGAATGATAAACACAGACACTGGTAAATGTGTGGATATCGATAAGCTAACATTAACCCTATAAAATAATGATATTAATAAGTCTGTATTTATGGAGGCAAAACAAAATAGGCCCAAAATACTGAACAGAAATAGCATATAAGTTATTAGTGTTATGATTAGCAAAAACATATTCTATCCTTCTAGTATTGTTTGGGAGGAAGGTAAGGATATTGATTAACTTTAGTCTTTATAAGAATATGCATCTTAAAACATCTGGGGGTAAAACAGGAAGGATAGAGAAAGAGAAGAACAATCAGTAGATCAGTAGAAACCCACACTCAGTAATCTACAATAGGGATCTGTAGAAAATTAAGATGGTAAAAATAAATTGAAACTTACCTTTAATCCCAACAAAGGTAAATGGACCACAATTCAGGTACAAGGTAAAGAATGTCAGATTGAATTTAAATAAAATTATGCCATTAAATGAGACATAAGGATACAAAAAAGGTGCAAAGTCAAAGGATAGAAAAGCTGGTAACTTCAAAATAATTAAAGATAGACTTTACTGGAAAGTTATAACAATTCTAAACTTGTATGTATCTAATAACACAGTATCACAATATTTTAAGCAAAACGACAAATCTAGGAGAAAGTGACAAATCCATCATTATAGTACAAAATTTTAACACATTGCTCTCAGTAAGTTTTGGATTAAGCAGACAAAAATCAATGGGATATAGGAGATTTGAACAGCGCAATTAGCATGCATTGTATAAAGAACTTACAGGAACAGTTGGAGAATATGCATCTTTTGCTGGTACATAAGAAATATTGATAAAATTATCCACATGCTAGATCACAAATCTAGCTTTTACAAATTTTGGAAATTCAGTACCATATAGAACATATTCTCTGACAACAATCCAATTGTGAGATATAAATATCTAAAACTAAAAAAATCCTCTGTATCATTCAGTACTCAAATCAAAAAATCACCATAGCTATTTTGAGCAGAAAAGGTCTTCATACTAGGAATCAGGTGATTACAAAACTGTTGGAAGGCATGGATAATTGAACTTTAGGTGGGGTTTATGGAGATGGTACCCAGAACAATATCCCAAGGGCACTGCCCTGGACTCTGCCAGGGTGGGAGGGTGGGAACCAGGGCACTGTGCAGGTTTCCTGTGGCAGCTGTCGTGCCACTGGGAACTGTTGAGTTGAACAGGCCACTGGACCGTGATCCAGGCATCTCAGTCTGTTTGGGCTGCTATCACAAAGTACATTATATTGGGCAATTTATAAACAATATAAATTTGTTGCTCACAGTTCTGGAGGCTGGGAAACCCAAGGTCAAAGCACCAGAAGAATGTGTGTCTGGTGAGGGCCTGTTTCATAAGTGGCGCCTTCACATTGTGTCCTCATATGGTGGAACCCTCTTTTCTTTTTACTTCTTTTTCTTTTTTTTTTTTTGAGATGGGGGTCTCACTCTATTGCCTGGGCTGGAGTGTGCTGGCATGATCACAGCTCACTGCAGCCTCAACCTCCTGGACTCAAGCTATCTTCCCACCTCCACCTCCCAAGTAGCTGGGACTACAGGAGCACACTACCACGCCCAGCTAATTTTTCTATTTTGTAAAGACAGGATTTTACTGTGTTGCCCAGGCTGGTTTCGAACTCCTGGGCTCAAGTAATCCTCCTGCCTCAGCCTCCCAAAGTGCTGGGATTACAGGTGTGAGCTGCTGCGCCTGGCAAGCCTTTTTTAAGGGCACTAATCCCATCTGTGAGGGTGGAGTCCTTATGGCATAGTCACCTCCCAAAGACTCCCACCTCTTAACACTTGCTTTAGAGGATAGATATCAGGGGATATGAACATTCGGATGTGAACATTCAGGTCATAGCCCAGGGATCAGGAAGCAGCCCCTGCTGCCATCACAGCTGCCACATACCCACAAAGCCAGTGCCTGAACATGAGAACTCTGAGTTCAGTGCTGCCACCATCAAAACCAACTCTTAAAAAACCCAGAGAGACTAGACACAGGAGTGCTATGGAAGAAAAACAAAACATTCCATGACCTTGCCTGTCAGCAGGAAGAGGGCATTTACTTCTGTTCCTCCTTTCAAATCATGTGTAGGTGTGTTGAATGGAGGAACCTAATTCACATTCAGAACTGTAGCTGCAAGGGAGTCTGACATATGAAGTTTTTCACTTTTTGGACTCTGTAGTACTTCTGTAGTGTATAAAGAGGTTTGTAGAAAGAGGATAAATGCCAGTTTACCAAATCCATCACCCCTCATGGGTCAAAGGAAAAAATTCTGATGTAAATATTTTAAAAATTGAACAATAAAATACAACATATCAAAACTTGTGAGGTACAGCTAAAATGACACCCAGAAATGGATAGTTTAAGTGGTTATATCAGAAAAGAAAGGCTCCACATCAATGAGCTAAGATTCCAACTTAAAAAATGTAAGAATAAACCTGGTGTATCATTCCCAAAGAAAAAGAGCAGTTTAGAAATAATAAGAGCACAATATTGACATAGAAAAGAAAGACACAGTAGAGAAGATCAACAAAACCAAGAACTGGTTCATAGAAAAATAGCAATAAAATAGACTTCAGGCAAAATTATCCCATAAAAAAGAGAAAAGATGTAAATAACAATGATAGGAATGAAAAGGGAAATAAAACAACAGATGCTGCAGACATTATGATAGTAAAAGGAAATTATGAACAACTTTTTGCAGATAAATTGGAAGGCTTAGATTAAATTATTATGTTCTTAGAAAAATATAACTAAATTAAATTAAGAATAAGTAGAAAAATGAATAGTTTTATGATATTAACCAAATTGGATCAGTTGTTAATATCATCCCTTGAAGACACCAAGTTCAGAAGGTTTTATAGGTGACTTTCACCAAACTTAAAAAGAGTAGGTAATTCTGCTTATAAGCAAACCCTTTCAGGGAACTTATTTTGAGAAGAGCTGGATTTTTAATAGAATCTTATTTTTAAATGTTGGCAATTATTTAAACATTTTTGTCAGTGCAGGCAAAACAAAATATGTCTGCAGGATGGTTTCAGCCCACAGTCTGACGGTATGCAACCCCTGATCTAAACCTTACAAAGGAGAGCTGATCCAAATCATAGTGCAATTAAACTGAATGATTTAGGTCTAACATTAAGAAAATTTGCTGATGGAATTATGAGACACTGATAAGCATTTCCAGAGGTGGTTGTGGAAATAGGCTCTGAAGGCTAAAAATTATAGCTGACTGAAGTACTCCTAATAAGACTCACGTGCAGTCTTGCCTGGAGGCAGAGGGATGGACCAGATGATCTTTCTGGGTTGTTTCACGGACTCTTCTGGTCTTTATAATAAATGCAGTTTTCTCAATGCATCCCTTCTGTGTTACCATCTGATCCAATAGTAAACAGTGATTTGATGCTTCCTCCAGACAATCTTGCTTCAGGAAAAAAGGGTTAGAATATTTAGGCCCAATTTGGGGCTGAGAATCTTTCACAGCATACAATTACTTACATGTCTTTGATTAGGAGAGTTAATATAGTGTAGTGATTAATAGCACAGACTTTGGATCCAAATTCTTTTAATTTGATCTTGCTTCTGTCACTTCATAGCTATATGGCTTTTCCTTGCCTTTGTTTCCTCAATGGTGAAATGGGAATAAGACGGGATCCCTGTTTTAAAGGCATTCACACTCTAGTTGTGGGAGACGACAAAAAAAAAAAAGTGCTGGGGGTGGTGGCTCACATCTGTACTCCCAGCACTTTGGGAGACTGAGATGGGAGGATTGCTTGAGCCCAGGAGTTTGAGATCAACCTGGGTAACATTACAAAACCCCATCTCTACAAAAAATACAAAAATTAGCCAGGCATAGTGGTGTGTGCCTATAGTCCCAGCTATTTGGGAGGCTGAGGTGGGAGAATAGCTTGAGCCCTGAAGCGAGAGGAGGCTGAGGCTGCAGTGAGCCAAGACTGCATCATTGCATTCCAGCCTGGGCAACAGCAAAACTCCATCTCAAAAAAAAAAAAAAAAAAAAGATGCATAGTATGTATCAGCTAGCAGACACTATTTCCCCATCCTTGAATCTGGCCTTGGCCATGTGATTGGTGTGGCTAATAGCATGGGGCAGAAGTGCTGGTCCTCTAGTCCTGAGTCTGAGTCTCAAGTGCTGGTGTGTTTCCACTTGCTTTCTTGCACTTCTGTTATTGCTATGACTAATTTGCTAATCCCCGGGGAATGGAAAGATAGATGGAGCCGAGCTACATTCAGCCTAGATTATTCAATCCCTAGCTGCTTACAGAAGTATGAATGAGCCCAACAGAGACCAGCAGAACTGCCCAGCCCTGCCTAGACTAGCCACCTCCCCAGCTGACTGGCAGATGAAGGAGAATTAACAAATTCCTGTTATTTTAAGCCATGGAGTTCTGGGTGTTTTTTTACACAGCCATAGCTCACTGACATAAACAGCTGAGATTTATCAAGGTCTACTTTGTGCCCAGGACTCTTCATTTTCACAGCAGTCGTGGGGTAGGTACGGGGCATGCTAACTTAATTAAAATGTAATTAATGGAAATTTGATATAGTGCAATAAAGATATTAATAAAATCGTGCTTTGTGTGCAAAGTTTGAAATGAGGCAAATTTGTATTATACATCTCACCTCCTCCCATCGCTCCCCCACCCCCAACCAAATCTTGTCAAACATCATGGAACATCAAGGTTACATGACTGGTTGTAACCAAGGCTGACTGGCTGAGTGTGTTGTAAATGGTGCCTGCTTGACAGCAGAAATGTTTGATATTCTTTGTCTGGATTAGCTTAAATTACTGCATTTTGTATAATGAGAAGTCTACATTGAATTTGTCATATAAAAAGGACAACTACTTTGGACTATCATTATTAGCTCCAATGAACAGATGAGGGAAGTGAGACGTAGAGAGGTTAAGATCATGTGGTCAGTAAATGGGTACTGCCTTCTAGGATGATGGACAATGCCAGAAGTTAGATAAATGCCAAATGCCTAAAATCATTTTTCCTCATCACAGGACACAGTTCAGCAGTATCTAGTTGCTGCAGGGTATTTGACTTCAGGCTGAGAGGGTCAGTCCAGGTTTACCAGACCATGCGCCCTTTGCTTTCTCTCTTCAGATTCTAGAATTTCTAGTGATTCAGGTGTTGATTTTGCATATTCTCCCTGGTCTTTGATATTTTCAACCTTGTATTTAACACTACTAGTAATGTGATTGTTCTCTGCTCCCTGTGTCCATGACTTTTAAGCATTTCCTACTTTATTAATGTGCTTTGCTAATTTGGATTAAATTTTAAAAAATCATCCATCTCTGTCTTTTCCCTTTTTTTCAGCGGTGTTCTCACCTCTGCCCTCAGGCTCATAGAAACACCAACATGGCACATGTATACATATGTAACAAACCTGTACATTGTGCACACGTACCCTAGAACTTAAAGTATAATTAAAAAAAAAAAAACAAAAACAAAAAAAACAAAGAAAAAAAGAAACTGGGCCTAAATGGGAGTTAGGTCATTCCCATGCCCTTAGTGGGCTTTCTTGGCTCTGGAATAAATTCCTGGCCCTTTATTGCCCTCTAGTGGCCTCCTGAATTACTGCTTCATGTATGTGACGTGTTTAATCCACTGTTTTGACCATTTTGAAAGGATATAGTTCATAACAGCATTTCATCTCTCACTGGATCCAGTCTCCTTCATGATACTAAGTTATGTGTTTGAGGAAAGCTTAGACATTTAAAGATTTGAGGCAAATTGATAAAAGTTATTTCAGAGAATCCCAGGAAAGTTCTGCTCTAACATTTTGACCTCCAGTTGAGCCCCGTGCTAACAGATACTTTTCCTCTCAGCGTTAATGAGAAGCCAGTGAATAAGTCAGTCAACAAACATTTACTGAGCACCTGTCAAGTACCACACACTCTTTTAGATGCTGGGACCTAGGCGGAAGAAAGTGTGTCAAGCTCTTGCGTTGCTTTTCAAAAACTATTCTGCTATTATCATTTTAAAAAGCTAACAACCAGCCCACTCACTTTACATGACTTACCTGAAGAGGAAAAGTTCATGTTGCTTTCTCTAACCCCCAGTGAATCTACATCACTTTTTATAGTCCTGGCTTGGTTAGTTGTAATACGATCAGATAAGTCACCAATAATGGGTTAAATTATGGTAACCAAATTTTTCATAACAAATGTACAATGAGCAAATTCAATTTTCTACAGCAAATAGTAAAACAAGTGTCATAGTCTCTGGGTTAAGGTTATGTAACAGTAAACCATGGCAGCTAAAATAGAATTTCGCAAGAATTCTTGTGGCAAATGAAGCACCCAGTTTTATGATCTGGCTTGAAAGGGCTTTTACTCCAACTTGGCTAAAATTCATCTTTTTGGTTTCTTTGAGACTAGCTGGGCTTGCTATTCTCAAAGCATTTGTGGTGATAGTATTTTTATTTTTTTAAAGTTTCTTAATGACCATTTTTGGAACATGTAGCTTCTGATTTCAAGTATAATCTTAAGGCTGAAAAAAGTCCTGCAGTTTATAGCTTTCTATTTTTACATGTAATGCTGATGGCCAAAGCTGCTGCTGTTTAGGAGCTTGCCTTCTTGTAGGGGAGAGAGCCTGTGATCGGGTAAGTAAGTAAGCCCAGAGGAGCAATGCCTGGGTTAAAAGTCAGACTGGGCTAAATGTCATAGTTCTCTCTGGCTCTATCCCTAGATATTTGGGCTTCCAAGGAGAATATTCAAAACACGACTTAATTTAACACCTGCTGTGGTACTGCACCAGCTATTAAATCTTCACAGGGTCTATTGTCCCTGACTGGCTTCACCTGGCCCTGGGCCCTGGTGGGATTGGAAATGTCCTCCTGACCGGTGTTAGTCGGGGGGTCACTTCCTCATGCTATGCTGAAGGCATGCGACCTCCCCTCCAGGAGTCAGTGCTTAGCACAAGTCTCCTTCTAAAAGGTCAGTGCCTTTTGAGGAGTTTCCCTCTGTCTGTGTGGAAGAGGGTGTAGGGGGAGTTTTTGGAGATACCGAACAGCTACTTTAGGTAGTCTCCCTCTCTCAGGCCCCTCCCATGAAGAGCTCCATGCAGTGAAGCCAGTCCAGGTTTTGTGGTTGATATGTTTTGGCTCTATGTCCCCACCCAAATCTCATGTTCAATTGTAATTCTCAGTGTTAGAGGTGGGGCCGGGTGGGAGGTGATGGGATCATGGGGGTGTTTCTTATGAATGGTTTAGCACCATCCTCTTGGTACTGTCGTAATGATAGTGAGTTCTTGTAGTATCTGGTTGTTTAAAGGTATGTGGCACCTCCTGCCTTGCTCTCTCTTGCTCCTGCTTCTGTCATGAGAAATGCCAGCCCCCCCTTCACCTTCTGCCATGATCAGAAGCTTCCTGAGGCCTCCCCAGAAGCAGAAACCTCTATGCTTCCTGTACAGCCTGCAGAACCATGAGCCAATTAAACCACTTTTCTTATAAATTACCCAGTCTCAAGTATTTCTTTATAGCAATGCGATAATGGACTATTAGTCTGGTGGGGCCTGAAGGTTGACGTAATTGTGTGTATGTGAGTGGTCTGTAAGCGAGAGAGCACAAAATTTGGAATAAAAACTAGATACAAAAAGGAACATTTATTTAGAATGAGAAAGATGTCATCAGAAATTAAATTTTTTAAGCTAACGAATGCTAGAAATGTCACAAAATTGGGTTGCCTTTCTTGGTGGCTAGGAGGAATGGACTTGAAAGAGAGGGATGGCGGTTGGAGAATTAGCAATGCCAGAGAAAGGTGAGAGTTCTAGAGGCCCCATGAGTGAGCCAGGGGCCTAAGAGTGGCTGTGAGAAGAACAAGTTCCCTTCAGCTTTTGGAGCACTGGTCCTCAACCGGCAGGAGCATCAGCTGGAAACTGGTTCAAAATGCAGATTCTAGGTCCTCACCCCAGACCAATTGAATCAGAAACTCAGGGATGGGGTCCAGCCATCTGTTTCAACAAGCCCCCAGATGATTTGGAAGCATACTCAAGTTTGACAACCCCTGATGGTAGAGGAGAGTGGAACCCTGTTGTGCATGTGAGCATCTCCTATTAAAAATATAATTACTGGCCAGGCGTGGTGGCTGATACCTGTAATCTCAACACTTTGGGAGGCCAAGGTGGGAGGATCACTTAAGCCCAGGAGTGCAAGATCAGCCTGGGCAGCATAGACCCTGTTTCTACAAAAAAGAAAAAAAATTAGCTGGATATGGTGGGGCACACCTGTGGTCCCAGCTACTCAGGAGACTGAGGTGGGAGAATGGCTTGAGCCTAGGAGGTCGAGGCTACAGCAAGCCGAGATCGTGCCACTGCACTCGAGCCTGGGCAACAGAATGAGACCTTGTCTCAAAAGAGTGGCTGAATTTTTTTTTTTAAATAATGTATTTTATGAGGTGAGTGTAGTGGTGCCCTCAGCTGAGGTAGGAGGCTGAGGTAGGAGAATCGTTTGAGCCCAGGAGTTTGTGGCTGCAATGTGCTGTGATTGCACCCATGAATAGCCACTGCACTCTAGCCTGGGCAATGTAGTAAGAGCCGGTGTTTAAAAATATATCTAGATACACACACACACACACACACACACACACACACACATATTTAGGCAATACACACACAGATGATATCTTTCATAAAGCAAACCAACTCATACAGCTTTTATGTCATGGTTGAGTGTCTGAGAGATAAGTGATACCATCCACCGTGATTGGGTGCTAAAGAGAATACATTTTAAGGCTGGGTGTAGAAGGGAAAATTCTCAAATCTCAGTATTCTCCACAGTATAGTTTATTAGCCAGAGACACATGGTAGGTTGTTTTTCTGCTAAATTTATGCAAGTGATTGTTAAAATTTTGCATCATTTACAAACAACCAAAACCACAACAACATCGAATTCAGGGTAGAAATTTATTTTATTGTTTGCCATTAACTGAGCTAACTTATTTTTCTTTTAACTTTCCATTTTTTCCAGCTTTTCCTTCTGTGTTCATGGTTGGGGTGTTAATAGCATGTCTAAACTAATTGCACTCCTGATGGTCTAATTCTAGTTACTGTCATTTTTGGCAGGAAAATTTTGAGTTTGGCATGCTCTCACACTGCACACAGGCATGCTAAATTAGCTGAGAAGAATCTGAGAATGCTAGATTTTTATAACCAGGCAGAATAAGTCCAAAAATACCATCAAGGATTGTACAGAACAGTTAAGAATTCTGCTTGGTAGGCACTGGGCATAGAGCTGCCAAAACAACAAAACAAAACAATAAAACCTAAAAAAGAATTGCATCCACTCCAGGGAAAGCTTGTCTGATGAACTCTCTTGCCACTCTGGTTTTATTGGTGTGGACCTTCAGGATGCGTATTAACGTTTTAGTGAAGAGGTCTTTGGGCTACACATGACATGACAGAAACCCAACTTGAACTGATTCTTACAAAGAGAGAATATATCACCTCTCATAACTGAGAAGACTAGGAGGAATCAGGCTTCAGGCATGGCTGCCTCCAGGGGCTCAAATGATACTGTGTTAGGCAGTCTCTCAAATGGCTCTCAATGATCCTGGCCTCCTGGTACTCACGCCCTGTGTAATCCCCTCCCCTTGAGTGTAGTTGGACCTAAGATCTGCTTCTAACAAATAGAATACAATAAAAATGATGGGATGTCGTTTCTGAGATTAGCTTGCAGAGGGACTGTGACCTGGGCCTTGCGTGCCATTGCTTGCTCTTCTCATAGAGCCCTCCACTTGCAGGAATCAAATTGTCATGTTGGGAGTAGTCCTATGGAGAGGCCCCGGTGGCAAGAAACTGAGGTCTCCAGCTCTCAGCAAGAACCCGAGGCCTGCTAACACCCACGTGAGTGAGCTCAGACTCAGGTGTGCTCTGAAACCTGCTGCCAGGTGAGTGCAGTTCTTCCCACAGGGAGCCCTGAGATGACCGCCGCCTCCGGGGAGACCTTGAATCAGAACCGCCCAGCTAAGCTACTCCTGCATTTCTGACCCACAGCACAGGTGAGATAGTAAACGTGTTGCTTTAAGTGGCTTCTTTTTGGGGGTAATTCATCAGTCACGCTCGGTAACCAGTACCGATGCCATCTACACGTCGTCTTCTCTCCATCTTCCCCAGAGCTTTCCTCTATGTGGCCTTCATGACCAGGCAGAGATGGCAAAACAGTGGCCGGGAACTCCAGACTCATGGCCTAGCTCCCTCCAATAGTGGCTTTCTCCTTTGCAGTAGATAAGGAAAAATTCCTGGGATCGAGTCTCATGAAACTGACTTGGGTTGCTTTCTGCTGGAGCCCTTAGCATTGATTTTTCTTTGTGCTGTTCCCTCTGTCAGTTTGGAAATGTGAAAGATTGTAACAGGAAAGTTCCATGTCAGTCTTTGTGGCCTCCCTGCTTTCAGCCTCCCTGAGTTCTAGCCTAGGCCAAAAGTGACACTGGAGTTTCTTCTCCTTTTTTTTTTTCCCCCCATTGGTGAAGCTCGACAAAAATCAAGGTGATGGGACAGAGAAGGTACAGACAGATGAGGCAGTGGTAGGTGCCTCTGCCGCTAAAGAGTGCTATCGTCAATTTATTTATTGACTGTTAATAGTTACTAGTGACTACTAAAGTGTTCAGTTTTAATTTTTATTTTCTATCTTTATGACCAAGCATTGATTAGTTTCTATAAGCCTCCTGGGCCCAGTGATTGGCTCAACTGCTGAAATTATACCATATAGTTATATAAACATGTACCAAGCGTTGAATGGCTGCTGCTGAGCTCTGTTCCCAATGGGGATCACGGCTGCAGCATTCATCCTGAGTTTTGCCTTCCCACTTCTAGCTGGGAGTGGAGGAACATCACATGTAAAGGCCAGGGCTATAGATTTAGGGACCTGGGTTTGAGTCCTGGTTAGAGTGTTGCCTTGGCCTTTCTGAGCTGTAGTCCCTTTTTATGTAAAACGAGGATTTTAGTGCCTGCCTCATAGAGCTGTTGTAACTATTAAATGACACAAAACTTATGCTGTTGTTTATATTTACTTATTCCTGGAGCAAACTAAATGTTTTATACATTGTCCATAGAAATAATGTTTTAATGTCCCTCTTAAAATGCAGAAACCGGCTGGGCACAGTGGCTCACGCCTGTAATCCCAGCACTTTGGGAGGCCGAGGCAGGCAGATCACAAGGGCAAGAGATCAAGACCAGCCTGGCCAACATGGTGAAACCCTGTCTCTACTAAAAATACGAAAATTAGCTGGGTGTGGTGTCACGCGCTGTAGTCCCAGCTACTCAGGAGGCTGAGGCAGGAGAATTGCTTGAATCCGGGAGGCAGAGGTTGCAGTGAGCCAAGATCGCGCCACTGCACTCCAGCATGGTGACCGTCTCCAAAAAAAAAAAAAGGCAGAAACCAAATCTGAACAGACACCTCATGTAATGATGTAATTACTTCAACAACTTCTGAACTCTTCTAATGACATAGCTTAGTCTGTATAGATTTTTATTTTTACTTTTGGTAGACACATATATTGTTGACTTAAATTGATCTTTTAATGAGTGAAAAACCCTCCCAGTTCTTTTTTACATGGACTGTTGACAAACCTCATATCTCTGACTCTGCACTTGTCCCAGTGAATATTTGTACTCAAACACTTGGCTTCACATTGATGCCTTTGACACTCGTTTTGTTGTTTGTGGACATATTCATTTTATCTGCCCGGTCTTTTTGAATTTTTTTTGCCTTTGCCCAGTAGATTGGTTGGATGTGCACTATGCTGGATGAATAATTTGACCATTTGATGACCAGGCCATCCATCTTGTCAGTTGAGACATTGCAAGAGTCTAGTCTAGAGACCCTTGGCACACCAGTAGAGACCCCTTTTGGCTCACACTTGCTGGATAATCAATCTGTACTTCCTTTTTTTAGCCAGCTATGGATGCTCCTAATCGTTCTAATCTTCAACCCACATAGCTCTATATTCCCCACCTGGATGCCATGAAAGCCTTTTCTAAATGCTTTTTTAAAATTCACAGCCTATATCTACATTATTATAATTATCATAAAAAGAAAACAGGCTGGAAGCAGTGGCTCACATCTGTAATACTTGCATTTTGGGAGGCCAAGGAGGGCAGATCGTTTGAGGTCAGGAGTTCAGGACCAGTCTGGCCAACATAGTGAAACCCCATCTCTACTAAAAATACAAGAATTAGCTGGGCATGGTGGTGCATGCCTGTAATCCCAGCTACTTGGGAGGCTGAGGCAGGAGAATCAGTTGAACTCAGGAGGTGGAGGTTGCAGTGAGCTGAGATCACTCCATTGCACTCCAGCCCGGGCGACAGAGGGAAACTCTGTCTCCAAAAGAAAAAAGAAAACAAAAGGTCCTTCTATATCATTAGCTGTCCCTTTGTTGAGCAGAAGTTTCAAGACGCAGTTTCCTTTACTACTTGCGAATGATGCTATTGCTACCACGGAAGAGTTTCTGCTTTTCCACATTTTTGCCAGTACTTGGTATGATCAGATTTTTTAAATGAATTTTTCTGAGGGTGGAATGCTATCTTACTGTTTTTGTAATTAGAAATTCCTACTCACTAGTGAAGAAGAGCATGTTTTATATTCATTGACAATTTGAGTTTTCTTTGATGACTTGCCTGTTTATATTCTTTGCTCATTTTTTTGAATTTTCATTTTAAACTTAATATATCTTGATATTTCTAGATATGTGCACATATAGAGTGCTAGTATTTTGTTTTTAACAACTGCAGAATGTTACATTTTATGGATATAGTATGATTTATTTAACCATATTCTTCTGATATTTAGTTTTTTTCCTAGTTTTTGTTTCCTACTATAAACATTGCCTTACTTGATATCATTTGGCTAGTATATCCACAGATAAGGTTCCATTCCAGGAGGAAATTGTAGATTGTTTTTAAAGTTTGTGCATTTTATATTTTAAGCGATATTATTAAACAGCTTTCCAAAAATGTTGCACCAATTTACACCCTTTCCCCAACAGGTATCTCATCTGTTGTGACGATGTGTCAGGACAGGGCTATCTGTGTTCTTCAACTGACTAGGCCATTTGTACAACATGCCCTTGGCATTGTCTTCACTTGTCTCTCTCTCTTTTTTTTTTTTCCCCAAGAGAGCTCTCTCCATGGTACAATCATCCTCTCTTGCCCAGCTTTCCACAGGATTCTGGGGGAGACTGTATTTTCATTTAGCAAGCATTTGCTCTCCCTCTCCCATACCCCCGCCACCCCTTTATGGGAAGAACATATTATCCCACTGATGTTGGGTTGGCCATGTGACTTCCTTCAGACATCAGAGTGCAAGTGAATGAGGCATGAGCAGAGGCTTTACGTGTGCTTGTATGGCTTAGCTTCCCTCCTGTGCCACTGCCATTTTCCATGAGAAGAGCATGCCCCAGGTGGTTCTGGTTCAGAATGAGAGACACAGGGAGCCTGACCCACAGCCTAAAGCAGTCACACCAGCCAACCCACTGATCCGTGAGTGAGAAATACATGCTTTTATTGTACTTGCCGAGATTTTTGGGTTTGGGTTGTTACATGGCATGATTGCAACAATTGCTGACTAATACAAGCTTCTCACATTTATATTTTCAAAATGCTATATACTTGGAAACATATATATATTTTTACAGAAGTGCATAGCATATTTATGATTGTGTTACACAGGTTTTCCTGCTGTCTTTGTCTTTTCCTTATTAGATCGGTTATCCCCTCTTTTATTTTCCCTTATCCTACCTAAAGAAGTCTCCTTTCCTTTCCAAGTAATCCATGTTAACAGCCTACAATGCAGCCATCTATATTTTCTCCATATTTATTATATACTTATATACAATAATATGAATGCATATATTGCAGGAATGACATTCAAAATATGTAGCAAATACGTACTGGCTGCAGTATGCACAGCACCAACCAAACACAGTGAACGCTTGCTAAAATGTCCAATATGGTTTTATCAGTGTACACTGGCTGAATGCCAGCCCTGCACACACACGTACACATATACACAACAGAAATTTCTATCATTATGTTGTTTTACAAAAATGGAGCAATATTATGAACACTTTTACCCTATATTTTTAATGATTGTTTTCCACACAGTACCTCATTCCTTAAATTTCAACTCCAATATGGCTCTATTCATTCCATTTAATTGCTGTATAAAGCCATATTGAATGGGCTAGATCTATCAGTGTTTATTCAACAGTACCCTATTAATGGCCTTTTTCTTTGTACTGGTGTTTTTGCTACTGGGAACAATGCTGCAATTAGCATTCTTGTGCAAATATTGATGTGTCCTGGTGCTTTTATCTTGAGAGCATCAAGTCCCCAGAATGGAGCAGGTGGATTGATTGAGTGGTAAATTTTGTTAGATGACGTCAGATAGCTTTTCAAAGTTCAGTAACAATTTATATTTTTTGCCATCAAGATTTAAAGAAATCCTTTCCCCTACATCCCACTCAGCTATAAGTAAGTGGCTTTCTGATTTTTGCCAGTAAGTATAGGTATACAATAATGATCTGCATTTCCCAAACTGCTAGTGAGCTGAACACTTTTTCATGTCTTGGCTACTTGGATCTTCTCTCCATGTCTTTGCTCATTTCTCCATTGCGTTTTTTATATCCTTGTCAATATGTAGAACCTTTTTTTGCATATTGTAGGTATGAATCCTATGCCTACATTGAAATACTTTTTTTCTTAATCTACTATATGTCTATTGTTTTGGCGTAGGTTATCACTGCCCTAGCAAATGCTATCATGAGTTTAGGAGTGTGCTGCATCTTTCTCATGTATTTCTTTATATCTCTCTCCCCCTTCCCTCCCTCTGTTCTCCTCCCTTTCCTCTTCTTTCCCATTTCTTTCTCTCTCTGTGCCTGTTTTCCTTCCTTTCTGTGTCTTCCTCAGGATCTCCTTTTTTCTACCTCCTGCTCTGTCTGCTTCCTTTCATCTACTCCTTACCTCCTTGCTTCTCCAGCTCCATGGGAATACTCATTTTCAGTGCAGAGAGCACAGTGTTTTTCTGCTTGTGTCACTTACAAAACCAAGTCAGACCGAAGAGGTATTGCAGAGCAGCCCAGTAAGGGGTTAAAGCAGTATGTTTTCAAAATCGGCTGAATGTAAGTTCCTTTGGGAAGGTTTTTCTTTTTATATGGATCCCCCAGACCCATCCTCAGAGGTTTTGATTCTGTAGGTCTGGATGGGTGTCAGTGGGTATTTATTTCCAAATCTATCCAGGTGATTGCAGTACCTGGCCATCTGTGGGTGAGTGCTGGCTCAGGGAAGTTGGACATGTGCTCCCCAGTGTGGGGGTAGCTTGCTTGGGTGACTGGACAACACAGGTTATTGCAGTCTTAGATAATTGGCTTCCACAACCACCCAGCTCAGCACAAGACAGCAGGGAGGGGTTCCAGCGGAGTAGAGACAATGGTGAAGTCGTGGTCTTCTGGCCGGATTCTGCATCTCAAATGGCAGCTTTGCATGAATGCAGCCGCAGTGTGGCAAATGGGCACAGGGGGGCAGTGTGGCCCCACGTGGCTCCGAAGCCCTCTGATTCTGCATGAGGCCTGACCCGGGCTGGAATGCCGGCTCCAGGAAAGCTGTGAGCTGGTGAAGGGCTCTCCCACTGCCTTCTTCCCCTTCCACTCTTAGTCCCTGTCCCACAGAACCTGGCTTTCAGATGATTAAAGTTCATCCACCATTTACTGAGCATGAATTATCTCATGTCGAACACTGTCCTGGGTTATTTCATTTAATCTTCATAACAATCCAAGAAAGGCATATGATTTCCACCCTACGCAGAGGAAGCTGCAGTTTGGGGAAGTTAATTAGTTTCCCAGTGATGGCAGAGCCAGGATTGAGACCAAAGCCTGTCTGACTCCAACCCCAGTTGAGTGGAATTCTTTGCATTCAGTAACTGCTGCTCAATACAGGTAACAAATAGTTGATTCTGAACATATTAGGTGCTAATTTACCAGTTAATTTATTCATGCACGCTGATTGTTTCCCCTTTCTTCCTTCTTTAAAGAGATCAGTAAGAATAACCGAGTTAGCTAAGAAAGCTCAAAGCCCGAGGTCTGTTTGGATTTTAACAGGAGACTCTGAAGAAACAAAGAATGAAATAGCTGATGGTGAAATAGTGGCCATGGGGTTGGCTTCTCCATTCAACTAGGCCAGGGTATCACACTAAGAGTCTGCAGATCAAATGCAGGATTTTATTTGGCTAACATGATGTTATTTAAAAACCTAAATTCCAGTGGTTTTGTTGTTTATTTAGAGACAGAGTCTCCTTCTGTCGCCCAGGCTATTCCAGTGGTTTTAGGTGGGACATCTGCTTTGCAGTTTATCACAATCCCACCCTTCCCCTTTCTGTACATCTTTCTGCTTTGCTCGTTGATGCTACCTGCCTGGCATCCGCTAACAGCAGTGCCGGGCTGACGGGTCCTGTCACACTCCTGCAAGATGAGAACTGGCTTTGGGCCCTGCTCTGTCTCTTTCCCTTGCTCCACTTCCCTCCCAGGTGCTTCCCTCCCAGGTGCCATCATTGGCCCTCACACCTGTGTTGGGTGCGTCAGTCAGTCTGCTCTGCTGCTTCTAGCACCCAGATCAGTCCCAGGTTCGCCAGGGCTAAATTTAACCTGCAGCTGCTTCATCAGATGCTCGGGTATTTTCAGCCCTAGGAGCCTCGGGTGGCTGAGCTGAAAGTAGCTGAGGACTGCTGGCCAGGGCTTACGTCCAGTGTTGTGGATTGAAATTAGCATCCAGGTTGGTCCAAGGTCTTGGCTACCCCCCACACTGTGCTTCCATTTTTCTTAACTGAAGATGAGGAGAAGAGAGAGAAGGCAAGAACTGGCAGAGAATAAGACAACACAAAATAGATCCTGGGATCCCTCTGAATTTGCTCCATCATTCCTCCCTTCTCCACAGCCAGGAATGCCCCTCTGGTTGGTGGCCTAGCAGAGGGTACAGTCTGCATCACACAGTGAAGTGCTGCCAGCTGGCCTGTTCTCTCCCAAGCCACTGTTTTGGGGAGCCACCAGCCTTGCTCTGAGCTCCAGCGTTCATGTGTCTGTCATTCAGTGTCCTTTCCTGACATGGGCATTCACCAACAGGACTATGTTCCCCAAAGCCTTGGCCCATGACCTCTGAAAGTTCCCTGCTGATGTGTGCTGTGGAGTCGATAGTCCCTCTGGCCAAGCAAGCAGATGCGTGTGCAAAACTGCAGGCTGTCAGTGGCATTTACAAAGAGAAGAGGAATGTGGGTCCAGAGATGGGGCAGGCGGCCTTGAGGGGAGGAGAGGAGAGGAGATGCATGTGGAGGGGGGTTGTAGCCCCTAGGTCCTGGGGCCCTGGGATGGAGGAGGTGCCTGCCTGGGCATGAACCATCCTGCCTATCCTCAGCTGATGTCCTTGGCAACAGGCTGTCAGCCATCATCAAACCTCCTGTGAAGCCAAGTGAAGCAAAGTCCTCCCTTTCTCCCTAAATCCTACATGTCCAAGGCAGGAGATGTTCCCCTGACTACTACTTTAGTAGGTGCCCAGTGGGTGGCACCTCTAGCCCACAGCTCCAACACTAGAAGGGCTGTAGGGATCCTTTGTTTGGATCTGCTCATGTTACAGACAGGCAAGCTGTAGCCCTCAGAGGTTGTAAGTTTCATGGCTGGAACCCTGACCTCCTGATATGAGTCCTCAGCACCCTTCTCTCTTTCACGCCAATATTCACAATACCTAACAATCAGGATTCTGTACCAGGCACTATTTCATTTTATTTGTTTGAGACAGGGCCTCGCTCTGTCACCCAGGCTGGAGTGTGGTGGCATGATCACAGCTCACTTCAGCCTCAACTTCCCTGGGCTCAATCGATCCTCCTGCTTCAGCCTTCTGGGTAGCTGGGACTAGAGGCACATGCCACCATGCCTGGCTAATTTTCCATTTTTTGTAGATACGAGGTCCCACTATGTTGCCAGGGTGGGCTCCAACTCCTGGGTGCAAGCGATCCCTGCCTTGACCTCCCAAAGTGCTGAAATTATAGGTGTGAGCCACTGTGTTGGGCCCACCAGGCACTATTGTAAACACTTCTCAGGTATTAACTCATTTAGACCTTGTGTGAGGTAGGCACTGCTATCATCCCCATTTCACAGATGAGGACGCTGAGACTCAGAGAGGTAAGTGACTTGCCCAAGGTCCTGCAGGAATTGAAGCTGGGTGTTCTGGCTCCAGAGCCCAAGTTCTTCACTACTGTGCATACTGCCTCTCGCAGGACTTCCTGGGACTGCCTATTTCATGTCCATCTCCTGCACCAGATTGTAAACCTCTTGATGAAAAGGATTCTGTTTTAGTCCCCCTTGGGTCCCCCAGATTACGCCAGAGCCCAACACAGTGGAAGCTCAAGCGAATGTTGGTTGAATGAATGGAAGAAGAAAAGCATCAGTTAAACCATTGTTCCTTACCCTGCATTTCTTGGAACCAATGTCTCTGAGAGCTTCCTGAGTATAGGGTGGGACATTTTGGCCTCTGGGCAGAACCCAGCTGGGTAAGAAAGCAGCCCTTCCCTGGGTGGGACCCTCCTGGCTTCTCGCTCCGCCTGTGTGACTATGAAGCGGGAGCGCTGCATATTTTCTTCTTCAGAGCAAACACCTGGGTTGATTGTTTTGGCAACTGTCCTGCAGACTGAGGAGCACGCGGAGCATGTGGAGTGTCCGGCTGACTGCTGTGACTGTGGCAGCAGCGTCACCTCTGTGTGGGGCCAGAGACAGTGAGGGCTCCCTCTTTTGTGCCTCAGCCGCTGTGTTCTTGAGGCTCAGACCCACAAAGGTCTCTGAGTATCCAGTTTTCTGAGGCTAATGCAGGGGAAGGGACCCAATGTGGGTAGGGGTAAGGTTGGGGTGGGGTGAGGGGTGCCGAGTAGATGGGGCTTGCACTGGGACCTGGGAAACATACTGAGAGTCAGAGATTTGCATGCAGCTGTATTGCATGTGGACTGGGGAAGCCCCGTGGGGAGTCAGGGTGGCTCTTCAGAGGTCCTGAATTGAGGCAGTGGGGCTGAGCTTTACACCCTCTTCATCCACCAGTTATGGGGACATAGTGGCTGCCTCAGGGATGGGAGCAGACCTTGGGCAAGCAGCTCCTTAATTAGAAGCAGGCTTCCTAGAAAGGAGGATTTGTGAGCCATCAGCAAGCAACACTTGGGCCAGCATGGTGGCTCATGCCTGTAATCCCAGCACTTTGGGAGGTCAAGGAGGGAGGATTGCTTGAACCCAGGAATTTGAGGCTGCAATGAGCTGTGATCACCCCACTACACTATAGCCTGGGCAGCAGAGTGAGACCCTGTCTCTAATAAATTAATAAGCAATGCTCCCCATTGTTGGGGAATGAGGTGCTAAGTCTTAAAGAAGGATCTGGGGAGGTACCACAACATCTGTCAGACACATTCACCTGGAAGACGACAAGAAACAGCTATGGCTGTTTCTTCAGCCCATGGCTGTTTCTCTTGTCATCTTCTAGGTGAGTGTATCTGGCAGTGGATGTTGCGGTGACTTCCAGGTGATTGTGTCTGGCAGTGGATGTCATGGTGACGGCGAGAGAAACAGCCCCGGGCTGAAGCCATGCTGAGAAGCAGCAACAACAGGAGAAACAATGGTTCTGAGTGCCAGAATCACCAGTTAGCAGCAGCACCTCCTGGGAATTTGTTAGAAATACACATTCTCAGCCCCACATCAGATTCGGTCAGGAACTCTGGGGAAGGGGCCCAGGAATCTGTATCTTAACAAGCCCTCGAGATGATTCTGATGCAAGCCAAAGTTTGAGAACCACAGTTCTAGACTACCCCATTGGCAGGACTGATTGAAGACGTCAAAGAGTATTTATTGAGTTCACATATTTTGTAGAAGGTGGCATTCAAGGCATGTTGCAGACTGAATACAACCCTTGTCTCCCTCTTCCTCACCCTGATGGAAACTCTGGACCAAGTATGAGAACCTTAAAGAGCAACAAAGTACATGGAGCCAATCATTGCATTGGCCCAAATCCTACATCTACAGGAAAAGGGAACAGAAGATACATTTTTATCCAAGATTTGTCACATCTGTGGGCCTCCAAAGATCAGCAAAATAAGACATTAATACTTTTCAATCTTTTTCAAGTTGTAATATGCTAATAACTGATGGGTTAAATTACAAATCATGATCTGTTCCCAAAGACTCTCAATACACATAATTACTTAGAAACAACAATTAGCCTTGGAAATTAATGATTAAAACCAACACAATTTATTACTAAACTATGTCCTCAAAGCAAGAAGTGGTGTTTAAAGAACCTCCCAGTAGGACTAACGCTTGTGAAAAAGTTAATTTAGGTAGGCTAATTTAAAAACCAACATAGGCCCTCTTTTGGATCACCATTTATGTAAAATCATGTTAGTAAGTATCTTAAGTTTTAACTCCTATCTATTCAAGACGATTGATTTATGAAATTTTAATTTTTCTGAATCAGAAGTTGACACTTAGATCATCTTTTTTGGTTGCTTTAATTAACAGGCTTCTACTTTCCCTTTCTTTGTGGTTGCATAGTATCAGAAGCCACTCCTTTATTTTCAACTTCTTAAAATCACTTTGTTTTACATTTCTTTTTTGCATGTAGTACATAGCTGGATTTGTTTTTAAGCCAACCTGACAGTCTGTTTTTTAATGGGTTAATTCAGTTTGTTTATATTTAGTGACAACTGATAATACAGTTGACCCTTGAACAACACGGGTATGATCTGGGAGACTCTACTAATACGCAGATTTTTTTCAACCAAACTCAGATTGAAAATACAGTACTCCCTGGATGTGAAACCCACTTTAACAGAGGGCTGACTTTTCACATAGGCAGGTTCCACAGGGCTGACTTTGGGACTTGGGAATGAGCAGATTTGGGCATCTGTGGGGGTCCTGAAACCAAACCCCCAAGTGTAACAAAGGATAACTATACTCACTTTCCTTCTGCCAACTTAAGTATGTTCACTGTTTGTTTTATTTTTTTATTTTTTATTTTCTTTGAGATGGAGTCTTGCTCTGTCACCCAGACTGGAGTGCAGTGGCCCGATCTTGGCTCACTGCAACCTCCGCCTCCTGGGTTCGAGCGATTCTCCTGCTTCAGCCTCCTGAGTAGCTGGAATTAAAGGTGAATGCCACCATGCCTGGCTAATTTTTGTATTTTTATTAGAGACGGGGTTTCACTGTGTTGGCCAGGCTGGTCTCAAACTCCTCCTGACCTCAGGTGATCTACCCGCCTCGGCCTCCCAAAGTGTTGGGATTACAGGCGTGAGCCACCGCGCCTAGCCTGTTGTTCGTTTTATTTTGCTGGTTCCTCTTTATTCCTTTTCTTATGGTTTGGTTAAGTTACCATTTATTCCCTTTTCCCCCGTTGTTAATTTTTAGCAGCTTCATTGAGGTATAATTGACATATACAATAAACTGCACATTTTAGATTATGCAAGTTGATAAGTCTTGACATATGTACAGGTCCTAAAACAGTCACCAAAATTCAGGTGATGAACATATTTATCATCCTTAAAAGTTTCCTAGTGCCCTTTTGTAGTTTCTTCCTCCCATCAACTTTCTGTTACAGTTTGTACTTTAAAGAATTTTATATAAATGAAATCATACAGTATGTGTATGTTTTTGTTTGGCTTCTTTCAGTCAGCATTCTTTTGTTTTTGAGATTATAAATTGTGTGCCAGTAGCTTCTTTGTTTTTATTGCTGAGTAGTATTCCACTGTATGGATATGCCATAGTTGACATTCACCTGTTAGATCCATGGTATGGATATTCCATAGTTGGCGTTCATTTACCTGTTGATGAACATTTAAGTGGTTTCCAGTTTTGTGCTATTACAAATAATGCTGCTATGAACACTGATGTGTAGATCTTTGTGTGCATGTACATTTTCATTTATCTTGGCTAAATACCTACAGTTGGAATGTCTGGATCAAATAGTAGGAGTACGTTTAACATATTATGAAATGTTCATATTGTTTTTATTTTTTTAATTTTAATTTTTTATTTTTTTGAGAAGGAGTCTCTGTTGCCCAGGCTGGAGTGCAGTGGTGTGATCTCAGCTCACTGTAACTTCTGCCCCTCGGGGTCAAGCAATTCCCCTACTTCAGCCTCCTGAGTAGCTGGGCCTACAGGCGCCTGCTACCTTGCCTGGCTAATTTTTGTATTTTTAGTAGAGATGGGTTTCACCATCTTGGCCAGGCTGGTCTTGAACTCCTGAACTCATGATCCACCCGCCTCAGCCTCCCAAAGTGCTGGGATTACAGGCATGAGCCACTGCGCCCAGCCTCATACTATTTTTAAAGTCAGCGTTCCACATATAGTGGGTCTGTAAAATGACCCACTATCAGTGTATGATAATTCAGTTTATTCACCCGTCTCCAACCTTAGTATGTTTAGTCTTTTTAATTTAAGCACTCTAATAGGTGTGTCAAACCTAAATAACAGAGAAGGAGACTCTGAAAGAAAGATTTATTCAGGAATGGGCATTGAAATGGGAATATGTGTGGGCGTATTCAGGAAGATAAGGCAAAAGTTTTTAAAGGTAAAATGAAGAAGATTAAGTTGTTTTCAGCCAATCCTTGGCTACTAGGACCAATAGCAAGGGTGGCATCGATTCAATTGCTAGGCAGATGTCCTTGTAGAAGTAGTTTTTTGTAAGGTAGTGGCAGCCTTTGTGCAAGGTTGTGGTTTTTGCAGAGTCTTTTGTGATAGTTCCTGTTATCAGGCATACGTGCATGAAAGTCCTTCCTTCATGGCCTTCCTTAGCTCTGTTTGTCAGGGTTTTGACACAAGTGACTCCATTTTGATTCTGACAACTTTTGCAGACGTATGATGGTATCTGATTGTGGTTTGAATTTGCATTTCTCTAATGTAATGATGTTGAGAAAGTTTTAAAGGTTTATTTGCCATCTGTGTATCTTATTTGGTGAAATGTGTTTTCAAATCTGACTATTTTTAATGGTTGTTTGTATCTTATTTTATTGTTTGTCTCGTATTACTGGGTTTGAGAGTTCATTATATATTTTGGATAAGAGTCCTTTATCAGACATATAATTTGTAAATATTTTCTCCCGATTTCTGGCCTTTCATTCTTAACAGTATCTTTCAAAGAGCAGAAATTTTTGTCTTCAATGAAGTCAAATTGTCAAATTTTCCATTTATGGATTGTGCGTTGAATACTATAGCTGTGAAACCTTCACCTAGTATAAGGTCACAAAGATATTTTCCTAGATTTCCTTCTAGAAGTTTTGTAGTTTTAGGTTTTACACTTGAGTCTATGATCAATTTTGAGTTAATTCTTGAATATGACATGTGGATCAAAGCACTTTTTTTTGCATATGGATATATAATTGTGTCAGCGTCATTCATTAGGAAGAACATTCTTTCTCCTCTGAATTTCTTTTGCACCTTTATAAAAAATCAATTGTCCATTCATATGTGGGTCTATTTCTAGACTATGCTGTTCCATTGATCTATTTGTCTATGTTTATACTAATAACCATACTGTCTTGATATTTGTAGATTTATAATAAACACTGAAATCAGATGGTGTTAGTCCTTCAGTTTCATTCTTTTCAAAGTTGTCTATTCTCTGTCTTTTGCGTTTCCATATAAATTCAGTCTTTCACCACTACGTATGATATTAGCTATGGGTTTTTCCTTTTTTTTTTTTGCTTGAGACTGAGTGTCGCTCTGTTGCCCAGGCTGGAGGGCAGTGGCGTGATCTTGGCTCACAGCGACCTCCACCTCCCTGGTTCAAGCAATTCCCCTGCCTCAGCCTCCTGAATAGCTGGGATTACAGGCTCATGCCACCACACCCAGCTTTTTTTGTATTTTTTTTTTTAGTAGAGATGGGGTTTCACCATGTTGGCCAGGCTGGTCTCAAACTCCTGATCTCAGGCAATCCGCCCGCCTTGGCCTCCCAAAGTGCTGGGATTACAGGCGTGAGCCGCCGCACCCAGCTAAGGCTATGGGTTTTTCATAGATGCTCTTTAGCTGACTGGGAAAGTTCTCTTCTATTTGGATTTGTTGAGAGTTTTTATCTGGAATTGGATGTGGGATATTGTCAAATGCTTTTTCTGAATCCATTGAAATGATTATGTGTTTTTTCATTTTAGTTTGTTCATATGGTGAATTATATTGAAAAAATATTGCTTTGTTTATTTATTTTTGAGTTGGGGTCTCACTCTGTCGCCCAGGCTGTAGTGAAGTGGCACAATCTCAGCTCACTGCAACCTCCGTCTCCTGAGTTCAAGTGATTCTCATGCCTCAGCTCCCCAGTAGCTGGGATTATAGGCACCTGCTACCATGCCTGGCTAATTTTTGTGTTTTTAGTAGAGATGGAGTTTCACCATGTTGCTCAGGCTGGTCTCGAACTCCTGACCTCAAGTGATCTGCCCACCTTGGCCTCCCAAGGTGTTGGGATTACAGGCATGAGCCACTGCGCCTGGCCTATTTTTGAATATTAAACAACTCTTGCATTCTTGAGATTAAACTCCTCTTGGTCATGACTGACAGCTTAAATGGGATAATACGTCATGTTATCTTGGTCAGATAATGTGTCAGTTAAACAGTTGTCTTTTAAAGTATAAGAAAAAATCATGTTGTCTTGGTCAGATAACATCAGTCAGTTAAACAGTTGTCTTTTAAAGTATAATAATAAGAAAAAAATCTTGTGTGTTTACAACTGTAGTGATCATTTCCAGTGGTCTTCAGTCTTCAGTCCACACTTAACATTTGGCATCCTTTTACTTGCCTTCCCTTTCCCACTCCTTCCCTTTCTCTCTCCCTCTTACCTTTCTGAAAGACTTTATCACTTTTTGTAATGTGAATCTGCTGGTGATAAATTCTTTCAATTTTATATGTCTCAAAATGTACTTAATTCACCTCATTTTTGAAAGATATTCTTACTGGGTGTAGATTTTTTTTTTCTCTCAGTCCTTCAAAGATTTTGCTTCATTGTTGTCTCACTTGCACTGCTTCTAACAAAGTCTGCCCAAATGCTTATCTTGGTTCCTCTGTATGTAAAGTATCTTTTTTCTCTGGCTGGTTTTAAGACTTTTTTTTTTTTTTTTAAAGACAGGGTCTCACTCTGTCATCCACGCTGGAGTGCAGTGATATGATCTCGGCTCATTGCAGCCTCTGCCTCAGGTCCTCAAGCAATTTTCCTGTCTCAGCCTCCTGAGTAGCTGGGACTACAGGCGTCTGCCACCAGACCTGGCTAATTTTGGTGTTTTTTGTAGAGACAGGCCTTTGCCATGTTGCCCAGGCTGGTCTCAAACTCCTGGGCTCAAGTGATCCTCCCGTCTCAGCCTCCCAAAGTGCTGGGATTATAGGTGTGAGCCACCATGCCTGGCAAGACTTTAACTTAATACTTCTTTTGAAAAATTTGATTGTCATGTGCCTTGGTATAGTTGTTTTATGTTTCTTGTGCTTGGGGTTTGTTGAACTTCTTAGATCTGTTTATAATTTTAGTTAAATTTTGAAACATCTCAGATATATTCACTTATTTTTTCTGTTCCTTTCTCTTTCTTTGCTCCTCTGGAGACTCTAATGGCACATGTATTAGGAAACACCTGATGTTTCCTACAGACAAATAACGGTATGTTATTTTATATTTGAGTGTTTTTTTCTCCGTGTTTTATTTTAGATAGCTTCTATACCTATGTCTTTAAATCTGCTAACCTTTTTTTCTGTACTGTCTAATCTGCTTTTACTTCCCTAGTGTGTTTTAAATCTCAAATATTGTAATTTTCATCTCTGGAAGTTCAATTTGGGTCTTTACAAAATATCTCCCATGTTTCTACATGACACATTCACTATTTCCTCTAGCTTTCTGAATACATAGAATATAGTTGTAAGTTTTAATGTCCTTTTCTTCTAAGTCTAGCATCTGTGTTCAGTCTGGGTTGGCTTCAGTTGATTGATTTTTTTTCTCCTTATAATGGATTGTAGTTTTCCGCTTCTTTGTGTGTCTTGTGAAATTTGATTGGCTGCCAGATATTATGTTTATCTTGTTGGTACCAGAATATCCACGTGGAGTATCTTCCAAGACCCCTAGTGGATACATGAAACCAAGGATAATACAGAACCCTAGAAATATTATGCACAAATTTCTTTTTCCTTGTTCACAATTCCACAGATTGAAGATTTGTTCTTACCGTAGGTCTTAGCAACTTCAGCATATATATGTATTTTACCTATCCAAGGAAAATGTTCACCTTTTCACTTAAAGGAAGCACTTATTGGCTTCTCTTTGGCATATCTGAATTGCCAGCATTACTACTCTCATGCTTTGTAGGCATTATTAAGTAAAATAAGGGTTGCTTGAACATAAGCACTGCAATACTGCCGCATTCAATCTGCTAACCCAGATGGCTACTGACTAATGGGAGGATAGGGTATACAACAGTGTGGATACGCTGGACAAAGGGATGATTCATGTCCCGGGCAGGACAGAGCAGGAGAGTGTGAGATGTTAATCTTGCTACTCAGAAAGGTGCGCAATTTAAAACTTGTGAATTTTCCGTTTAATATTTTTAGGCCACAGTTGACCATGGGTAACTGAAACTGCAGAAGGTGAAACTGTGAATAAGAAGGGACTACTGTATTTTTATGTTTTTATAAATATTCTTGAGTTTTGTTTTGGGATGCAGTTAATATTTTGGAACAATTTGATTCTTTCAGAGGTTATTTTTAAGGTTGTTATGTGGGGCCAGAACTGTCTTGAGGTTTAGTTGCTTCTCACTATTGAGGTAAGACGCTTTGGAGTATCTACCACATAACCTCTGAATCATAATGTTTTCTAATTTGGATGGCAGAAAAAAGGGACCATTTCTGGGCTGGCGTGTGTTCTATGTTCTATTTCACTTAACTCTTTCAGATAGTTCTTCTCATATGTGCTCTGATCAGTATTTGCTGAATACTCGAGAAAAACCCTCTGCAGATGTCTGGAGCGTGCTCTCTCTCTCTCTCTCTCGCACTCTTTCTCTCGCTTCTCTTTCTCTGCAGTTCTCTCCTTTATGGTACCCTAGCCTACATGCCAGCCATGTGAACTCTAGCTGCCTTTGTCTTCTTGGCTTTTCAGCTTTTTAACTCAAAGAATCTGTCAAGCTCCCCAGGTTCATTTCTTGTTTATTTCTTTAAGGGATCACTTTTCTTTGTTGTATGGTGTTCAGTGCCTTAAAAATCATAGTTTCATGTTTTTTTCCTCTCTGTGTATGTTTTTAAAAGTGGTTTTAGGAGTGAGGGCAAATATAGTCCTTGTTCCTCCATCTTCCTTGGAAGCAGAAGTTCCCAGATTCTGCCTTTAGTCAAAGCCTCAATGGAAGAAATCCTGCAGAAGGTTACTCCCTACATTCACTCTCAGAGGGAGGCTCTTCTTCTTGACATCCTCCTTTCTGGCTGAATGGGAGACCTGAGGGCTGTGGCTCAGACAGGGTTCTTGGGAGCTATGCCTAGGATGTGGGATTGGAAAGCCCAACTCTTTCTGTGAGGGTGAAAAAGTAAAAGTGCTGCCCTTATCTTAGATAAGAGAGAGTCAGAGAGTATAGACACAGATCTTTTCTTTAAAACACGTTTTCCTATATTCTCCGATTGCCCAGGCTGGAATGCAGTGATGCGATCACGGCTCACTGCAACCTCCACTTTCCAGGTTCAAGTGATTCTTCTGCTTCAGCCTCCTGAGTAGCTAGGACTATAGGCACGCTTCACCACGCCTGGCTAAGTTTTGTATTTTTAGTGGAGATGGGTTTTTGCCATGTTGCCCAGGTTGGTCTTGAACTCCTGAGGTCAGGCAATCCTCCTGACTTGGCCTCTCAGAGTGCTGGGATTATAGGCATGAGCTACTGCACCCGGCTGGCTCTGGCCTTTTTATTCTGTTCTGACAAGTGAAATCCTGTCAAGTAGGAGGTCCAGTACATCAGGAAATCTGAAGGGACTGAGGCTTAGGTGATGCGGAATCAGAGGGATGGCATGCTGAACAGGGAAGGCAGGTGGAGGAGACTTTTTAGCTAAACTTGAAAACAAAACTATTAGAAGGAAAGGCCATCTGTATTTAAAAAATTATCACACACCTTTGTAAGACTGTGTAAAAAAACCTTTTTGAAAAGCCAATTCAATCTCACACATTTGTCTCTTGTATAACAGAGCCCTTAAAAGCCTCCAAAGACCATTTTCTGCTCATTGGTCTTCAAAGGTAGTGGTATTCGACTTGAGAACGGTTACTTTAGAAGTTATATAAATGGTCACTTTTTTTTTTTTTGTCAGACAGAGAATCCTTTGACTCTAGGTCTGTGTCTTTTCCCACTTCCTCAAGAGAAACTCATCAATAAATGTGATGAATCCCTGGCCTTCTAGAATGTTACTAGAGGTTTACTGTTGACAGGAGCAAAACTGGGTTTGAAGCATCCAATTCCAGAGTGTAAGTCTGCACACATAACAAACAAAAGAGAGCAAGTGGATTTGGGTGATGGAACTCAGGTTTGTTAGGTTTCTGGAACAGGAAGATTGAAGATGTGCAGCAGAATGTCGGTGCGGGGGGCTGGAAGCCACAGGATGAGCACAACCTGTTTTGGGACATCAATTTTACACATTGGTAAACATTTAAAACACAGTTTAAAAGCAAACAGATGTATTATGATATAAAAGAAAAATTTTACCAAATGTTAAGATAAAATGATTAGACTTAGAAGAAATACTGAGCCTTGGGTGACCTTAGACCATGCCCTCAGACTCCAGAGGGCAGAGGAGGTTCTGGTCATTCCCCTGCATGGACAGGGATACTTCAGTGGGGAAAACTGAGAAAACTTGCTCTAAAACTACAGTGCCCCTAAAAAGGGGAAAGAAAGAGGGAGCCCCTTATGGAAGACCTGCAACTGTCTAGTGGGCTTGGAGGGAGATGTTGATGGGCCAAGCCCATGCAGAAGGCCTTGAGAGCTGCCCAAATGGGGTCAAGACCGTTGCATTCACTCATTCACCCATCCATCCACCTTATAAGGATTTATTAAATGCTTCCTATGTATCTAGGATAATAATTAGCAACGAAGACAAAAATCGATAAGAAAGACTGTATTCTCAAGGAATTCAATGCCTAGTGCAAGAGTCTCAATGTTCTTCCTGCCCCAACATATATCATTACAAAAATATTTGTTAAATCTCTTGTCTAATGTCAGATACTGTTCCAAGTGATTTACATGAAGTGGCTCATTTAATCTTTACAATAACCCTGTAATTCACATACTATTATCATCTCTGTTACACAGCTGAGGGGCAGGTGGACTGTGTTTTCCAGACTGAGTCATTGTTCAGAAGGCATACATGTTTACAAATCATTATAATATCGGGATATCAGTGTAAGTGGAACAAGAGTATGAGACTAATTATTTCTAAGGAAGCTGATCCCAGATGGATGACCAACAGGAAATGGAAAACCCCGACATGGAAATCCGTTCTTTTTCCTGCTTCTTATCACAGAATCTCAAGCCCTGTGATGTGACTCTTCACAGCATTTGACCTGTAGTGAACAACTTCAGTAGCAAAGCATTTCTGACCTCACAGGCAGCCCATTCTGTCTTTGGCTAGCTTGAATGTTGGGATATATTTTACTGTATATTGTACCAGAATTCATCTCCTGATAATTTCTGAAAACCTGCCCTAGTTATGTTTCTCTTTTTCCCCGGCTTTACAGAGTTATAATTGACAAATAGCAATTGTTTGTATTTATAGTGTACAAGGCAATGCTTTGCCTAATTCTGCTTTTTAGAACGGCTTTTCCTAATGTTCTACGTACGACGTTAATAAGCATTACATGGGGAAATAAAAGACGAGATTGTGGTTCAGTAAGTTTGGTAAATAATCTTGAACAAAGGTTTCTTTATTAGAGGATTTTCTCAGACTCTTCTGTACGCTAATGTTCTTTGTGAACTTCAGAGGGGCTTACCTTTGTGACATTTTCCAAATTTATTTACCCACACAACTCTTTGCCTGAATGCCACATACTAATGCTCCACTGGAAATGGCTGGGGAGGTAAGGCTGGGCTGTCTCACAGTTATAAGGAGCCTGGTTCTCCTTTCTCAGGCCAGCTTTTCAAATGGTTGTGTGTGCGCTATGAATACAATCTTCTCCAAACTAAGCATCCTTGCATCTTTCAGTCTTCTTCATGGTCGGGTTTTCAGACCTTTCTTTCTCTGGTCATCCTTCTCTGGGCAGCTCCAGTTTGCCAATGTGTGTTGCTCCTAATGCATGGGGTTCAAAACAGGGTATAGTAATCCTAAGGTGGATTTTGGGTTGGTTCCAATGAGCACATCTGGAACCCTTGGGACATTGTCATTCTGCTCCTTTGTTTACAACCTCATAGGGAGGATTAACCAACTGTCAGCATAGAAATGACGGACTC
Organism: Homo sapiens; assembly: GCF_000001405.40. Lineage (NCBI taxonomy): Eukaryota > Metazoa > Chordata > Mammalia > Primates > Hominidae > Homo > Homo sapiens. Next base: position 106,191,778 of record NC_000007.14, read on the forward strand.
TAGAAGCAAGAGAAACTGGTGGAATTTGGAGCAGTTCAGAGAACAAATAGAATGTTTTTTAGTTTTGAAAGTTTGGGATATGTTAAATAATCAAACATTTGGGAGCCTACTATGTGCAAGGCACTACAGAGGATAGAAAAGTTGTGAGCCATTAGTCTTTCACTCATAAATCTGAACGTTGATCTCAGGAGATGGTTAACAGAACAGGCCAAAAATATAAGATAGTATCGCCAATGCTGAAGGATGCAGATGAAGTAGGGTTTTGGGAATTCAAGGAAGATTCGCTGCTAGCTGTTTATGTATTTCCTCCATAGACTCTCATCCACACATTGAGGATGAATAAACATCACCAATGGGTTGAAAGAGGTGGTCTTGCTTGAAGAATGTATGTGCTTCCAAATAGCTCAGCAGTGAAGTGAACTTTTGATCATGGAATACTTTCTCCCAGTGATATTTTATAACATTATAAATGTGTTTTCTGGAAGAAGGTCATGTTTACTCCAAGTCAAAAGTCATGTCCTGAACTGGATTCAACTTCTAAAAAGTCATACGCTTAAAAGCCAAAACAGAGAGTAAGTTTTTTAGGGTACAAAGTATTATTCAGAATAAGTTAAGAAATACAAGTACTTTCTTCTCAAAGTAACTCCCACACTCAAGGTGGGGCATTATAGTGGCTAAGAGCACAAATGTTGGAGCCAGACCATCTTGTTTCTATCCCTGTTCTTCTACTTGTTAAGTGAATGACCCTGGCTGTGTACTTCTCACTATCTTGTTTTGCTTTTTTTTTTTTTTTTTTAAAATGCAGATGTTAAATAATGCTTATTTCATGGACTGGTATGAGTGTCAATGCAACACATACAGTCTATGTGTTTTAAGTGCTTTGCAGATAAAAAGACAGGGTATCTCTTTTTATTTGTTACTATGTAACAAATCACTCTAACACTTAGTAACTTGAAACAAGAATCATCATTTATTATCTTTCATATTTTCTGGCGGTATGGAGTTCAGGAGCAGCTTAGCTGGGTGATTCTGTTGTGATTTCTCAAGTTGCAGTCGGATGTCTGTTGGAGCTGAGGTCATCTGAAGGCATAACCGGGGCTGGAAGATCCACTTCCAAGGTGGCTCACTCATGTGGCAGGCAAGTTGGTGCTGGCTGTTGTCAGGAGGCCTCAGTTCACCTTCACATGTGCCTCTGCATAGGATTGTTTGAGTGTCCTTACAACATGGCAGCCACCTTCCCCCTGGAGTGAGAGACCTAAGAGACTGATGTGGAAGTGCAATGCCTTTTATGACCTATCTTTGGAAATCATACACGGTCGCTTCACCTTTATTCCACTCTTATTTAATGTGAGACGGGGCTACACAAGGGCATGATGCTATCAGTGGGGGTCATCTTGGAGACTGGCTACTACACCCTTCAAAAAGGCACTATGTCCTATTGTGTTACTGATACTAGGTATAGGAAACTTAAATACAGAATATTTTATTTATTTTATTTATTTTGAGACAGGATCTCACTCTGTGGCTCAGGCTGGAGTGCAGTGGTGCTCACTGCAGCCTTCACCTCCTGGGCTCAATTGATCCTCCCACCTGAGCCTCCCAAGTAGGTGGGACTACAGGTGTGCACCACCATGCCCAGCTAATTACAGAATATTTAGAAATCATGCAGTCCATGTAGATACTCAGCATTGTTTTCCTGAAGGAGAGTTCTGTTAACATGACTCCATTGCTGTAAATCACATATCACATGGTTTGGATTGGGTTCTCCTGAAAGCAGAGCCTGAGACAATGACTTGGGTACTAGGAGTTTATTTGGGAAATGGTCCCAGGAAGCAGGAGGATGGGAGTGGGGACAGTGAGCAGGGAAGAAGGGAAAGCCAATATAAAGGTATGTCATGGAGGCTGCTGCTATAGCTACTTTGGACTTGATTCCTCTGGGACCTCCTAAGAAGGGGACTGAATGCCTCCCAGCATTATCTACTTGAAAGATGGGAGGCCAGGGCATTTATCCACCGACTCCCTCCTTCCACTGACTGAGGGCTTCCCCAGGGGGATTAGCTTCCCTTGCACTTAGGATCTGTGCTTGTGCTCAGGCTGAGGGACCCCATGGGATTGGAGAAGACTCAGCCAAAAAGTAGAACTGTTGGCTCTTGCTGGAGGGAGGATCCTGTCAGCACAAGTGGGTCTGGGCTCACACAGCTGTGGCAGAAATCAGAGGTGGGCTGAGGGATGTGATGTAGACACCAGAGGCATTTGCTACATCAGGTTTGTAGGAGTTAGGGATTAGGTGGCTGTGATAGTTCAGCTCCTCCAAGAAGCAGATGTTAAGGTGGGAATAGATGTGCAAGGACTGTTTTGGGGGATATGCCTTGAGGAATAGGAGGAGGGAGCTGGAGGAGGCTGGGAGAGCTGTCAGACTGTGATACAAGTCTGCCCCTGGGGAGGAGAGAGGGAAGGAGGAAAGGTTGGGTAGAAAGTCTTAGGTTGTGGTGCAGGTCTAGGAAAGGTTCAGCCAGGCTGATGGGGAGGCCTCAAGCGAAAGTCCTCATTGGAAGAGTCCTGGTTTCACAGGCATAGACCTGCCTTTGTGCCCCAGCCTGCATGAAGCATGGCCTCTGTGCAGACAAACACAGTGGTGGATTCTGAGCACCTCAGCTCAGCTGTCAGGCAGTTATTCTCCCTGCAATCATTGATCTGAAAGGTCTATTTTTATGGCTGCCACAGGTAGTGTCATGCGTGGACAGCACAGGTAGCTGCAACAAAGCTTGTATTCGGGGGAAACCAGAGGTCATGCATCCGTATATGCTAACATATCTCCTTCCTCTTCTCTTTCTTGCACCATAAGGGAGCAAGACTTTTGTTTAATTGTTGCCCTCCCTTCTGGCTCAATTCTGAAAGAAGTAACAGATTGAATCAGTAACACTTGCAGATAAACACATTATCCAAATTCTTTAATTCTATGACGGATGGAAGGGTTCTGGGACAACACGAGGGCATATGGAATTAAGGAAAAGGGCACAGATCTGAAGGACTGAGGGCCACACTGGACACTCTTTCCAATTATGCCACAGCCCGCCTGCTGGAAGTGGAGCCAAACCAGCATTCAGACTCTGTAGTGCATAGCAGGTGAAATGTCCTTCAAATGAAGTGTCTGTCCAGCGCCACTTTTTTCTAAATCTGGAATATTTTGAGGGAGGGTGTATTTTTCTGAGTGGTTTGAGAAATTAAATGAATATTGCCTAGGTGGCTGGAATATTTGAGTGAGGAAGTGGGGTTGGGGGAGGAAACGATCCCAAGATTTTTCAGATGGCGATCCATGAGCCACTTGGAAAAGAATCCCAAAAACTTAAAAATATTAATTTCCTGTTTTCCCTGACCCATGTCCCCTCACACAAGATCAACTGATTTAGAACTTCCGGGGATGAGACCCAGGAATCAGTAATTTTACCAGTGTTTCTGGTGATTCTTGTGAACACTAACATTGGAGAACCACGGGTTCAAAGCTAATTGTAGTAGGACAAAGGACATAAAGATCATAGCTAGGGCAGTTTAGTTTCTAACACATAATTGAGGTCTTTCTATATCTTCTCTCCTGAACTGTAGAAACCAACTGCCTCCAACTTCCAGCTATGTCCTTGATATCCCAAACTCAGTGTGTACATAGCCAAACACCTAATCACTGACCTGGTCCTTGCTAAGATGCTTCTCCACCAGCCTTCCCCATTACAGTATTGACAGCTGTGTCCTTTCCCATTTGCTCAGACCAGGCTCATCTGCCCCCACCCTACGCCACCCCTCACACTTCATAGCATCCAGTTAGCTCAGTTTCACAATATAGCCAGAATCTTCTTAACACTTCTCTCCACCTCCATTGCTCCCTTCCTGTTCTGATTGCCATAATCACTCATTTGACTTTCGACAAGAGCCTCCTGACAGGTCTGCCTGCCTCAGTCTTTGCAATTCGCCCTGCCCCCACCTTGACCCTTGGCTGAAAACCACTCAATGGCCCCCTACTTCTCTTCAAGTAGAAACCAAAGTCCTTACAGTGGCTTAGTTAGGACCCCAACTATGCCCTGACCTCATCTTCTATTCCCTCATTTCTTCTGCTCTAGCCATGCTCGCCTCCCTGCTATCCTGGAGTACGTGAAGCATGGCCTTGCCCCAGGACCTTTGCACTGGCTGCCCTTTCTGCCTGGACCCCTCTTCCCTCGGATCTCTGGGTAACTCTTTCCCTCACCTCCTTTGCTTAAGTGTTACCTTCTCCGTGAGGCCTGCTATGACCTCCCCTATTTAAACTGCAACCCTTCCTGTTCTGAATTCCCTTTACCTGTCTTGATTTTTTCTGCATAGCACAGCGTATTCTAATATGCTATATAACTTACTTATTATGTTTATTTCTTACCTCTCCCCAACAGAAGGTGAGCTCTAAATGGACAGGGATTTTTGTTTTATTCACTGCTAGACCCCAGGGTCTGGAACAGTGCCTGGCATATGGAAGATATTCAGTAAATGTTTGCTAAATGAGTGACTGAATTGCATAGAGTGGAATGAGAGGAAGCACATGTTTTTATGAAATGATTCCTTATAGAGAATTTTCCATATCCAGATCAAAAGAGGCCTGTGAGTTTAGATCATCCACAGAAAGATACAAATCACTTCGGAAGAGTGAGCAATAAACTTTAATTCAGTGTTTACTGTGTGCTAGAAACGACGCTAAACATTTTCACCAGCATTATCTCTTTAAATCATTCCAACAACCAACCCTATCATGGGAGTCTACTGTTCTTATTTTACAAATGGGAGAGTTGAGGCCCAGAGAGGTTAAGGAACTTGTCCAGGGTTGCACAGCTAAGTGTCAGACTCAGAATGTGACCTAATGCTGTGAGTCCAAAGTCTGAGTAGACTGCTGCTTCAGAGTGTGGCCCTTCCTAGTGATACTTCTGTTTAAGTGTCTGTTTACTTAACCTCTATTGGTCCCTTTAAAAATCAAAGTTTACAAGCTTGAAGCTGTGGCTCATACACTTTGTGCTTAAAAATGTTTATTTTGATTATGCTAATATTGCTTCATTGTTTATTTAGCTGAGTTTCTGTGACACTTGTAGGAACATGTGCTCTCACCTCTGTGTACTTTTTTTTGTTGTTTTTGAGACAGGATCTGGCTCTGTCACCCAGGCTGGGATGCAGTGGTGTGAACACAGCTCAGTGCAACCAGGCTCAAGTGATCCTCCCAACTCAGCCTCCCAAGGAGCTGGGACTACAGATGCATGCCACCATACCTGGCTAATTTTTTGTATTTTTTTGTACAGATGGGATTTTACCATGTTCCCAAGGCTGGTCTTGAACTCCTGAGCTCAAGCGATCTGCCCGCCTTGGCCTCTCAAAGTACTGGGATTACAGGTGTGAGCCACCATGCCCGGCCCTGTGCATTTCTGAGATTTTTAGAATCTGCTGCTTTGCTGGCTTTACAAGTTCTTAACGTTGGTGGAAGGAATCTGTAACTTCAGAGACTCCCTTTCTCCTTCCAGTGGACTTTTAGAACTCTTTAGGGGTCCCTCTGAAGACATATTCAGCACAGTCTGTGTTATAGTACTATCCTGTTTCATTCAAGTCAACAGATTTCTTGAGCATCTCAAGAAGCTAAGCTGCTAGGCTCTGAGGACATAAAATGATAAATGCATGGTCTTGCCTACCTGGGCTCTCAGTGGAGCTAGGGAAAATGACAGAAAATGCTGTATAGCCATGAAGGACCAGAGATAGCATCTCCATGGCATAGGATCAAAGCTGGCTGCAGCAGGAAGTGGGATGAGTTTGCCCAGAGTGAGGGGAAAGGGGATAGATTGACAGGAGGAGGTGAAGTCCAGGTAGGCTTCAGGCAGTGCAGGGCTTGGGAAGTGGGGAAAGGAAAGGTCATTCTAGCAGCAAAGAGGGCCCCAGCGACAGGCAAAGTGCAGTAACATGGTGTGTTTGAGGGGGACTCTACTTGAACTTGCTGTTGGGTGGGGAGTGCTGAGAGTAAAGGGTGGGAATGAAATGATGAGATTCCAATTGTGCAGAGCTGGGGATAAAGAGGTGAGGAATCTATAATCCTTGTGGGAGGGTTTTGAAGGAGGTAGATTCTTGACTTACTTGAGATTATGGTTCTGCAATAGGGTGAGGGGTGGGCAGGACTCATGGCCCACTGTGTCATTTAATCCCCTTCACTGGAGGGAAACCTCTGCCTAGAGTAGACCATTTCTTACATACTTTCCTGTGCCCTGCACTGCTTTGCTTAGAGTAGATACTTAGTACATACATAGTGAATAAATGTGTGTTTACCCCCTCCCAGTTTATTTCTGTAATTTTATTTTTTTAATGGAGATTTCTTTTAAGAGCAATTGGGGATAGATTCAGACATCAGGAGATCTGCTCTCACACGGACTGCAGATAGGCAGGTAATTGTGGGCAGCATTCTCTTCAGTTACTTTGCACATTAATTTGCTCCTTGTAAGATGGAAAATTTCCTCCTCTTTCTTTTTCCTGGATTAAAAAAAAATTTTTTTTTTGAGACAGGGTCTCGCTCTGTCACCCAGGCTGGAGTACAGTGGCACTATCATAGCTCACTGTAGCCTCAACCTGCTGGGCTCAAGTGATCCTCCCATCTCAGCCTCTCAAGTGTCCGGGACTATAGGTGTGTGCCACTATACCTGGCTAATTTTAAAAATTTTTGTAGAGATGGGGTCTTGCTATGTTGCTCAGGCTGGTCTTGAACTTCTGGGCCCAGCCTCGGCCTCCAAAGTGCTGAGATTATAGGTGTGAGCCACTGCACCCAGACCCTCTTTCCTGGATTTTATCAAAATATTTGACTGCTCTGAGAATATTCCTTTTCAGAACAAATGCATTTGGTATGGGACATTGTGGGAGTGGATTCACATAGGTTGAAGTGACCAGATGTTTGGGTTACCAATGTTACTGCTTGCATAGAGGGCAAAGGAGATAACAACAGATGGATTTGCCTGCATCCTGGATCTCTTTTAATTTTCTCAGCCATAAATCAATTCTTACATTCAAATAGAAAAAATATATGATCTCTAAAAAACCATGAGAAAAAAACAAAAAAAAATCCACCAAAAATTTTGAGTAATGGAAATAATTAGGATTTTTTTTTTGTTTAACTTAACTACAATCTTTAGTAGAAGCGTGAGTACTTGCCTACCACATTCTGTTGATATGTTTATGGGTTTATTTTCAGAGAGGAAAAGTGAGAGAGAGAAAAAATGGAGAGAGAAAGAGGAGAAAGGGAGAGATGGAGGAGAGAAAGATCTTCAGATGTTTAGCTACTTGTCTGCAGTAGAGAATCCCTTGAGACACAGAACTAAAATTAGCCAGAAGCAAATACCCATTAAATGCCAAAGCATACTCCATGGCCCAGAAGACTTGTCTGGTGCTTAGAGGTAAAGTTTGGCCTATTTGTCCCTATGCTGAAGCCTAGTCTATGACCCTGTTCTCTGGACATCATGTTCCCGTAGCATGTACACAAATTAACTGATGATTGTGATGGGATTCTGTGCTTCTATATCCAGCCTCAATCTGAGAGATTCTTAAAGATTCTTATCTTAAACTTATTCTAAAATAAAAATCCACTCTAGTCAGTGGAGAAATTACTTTGTAGGTCTATGTTATTCTCTATTTATATTTCTTATATGAAGTCCTCCTTTTTCTTCAGGGAAAATAATGAAGTCTTACATTTTTGTATTGCTTTATAATTTACAAAGTGCTTATCATCCATAACTCCGTGGAAATGTTACTGTGCTGTGAGAAAGGATATTTTTATCCCAATTCACAGTGAAGAAACTCGAGCTTCTGATATTTTCCTGAAGTCTCTTGGCTAGCACTCAGCAGAGTTGTGTCCGGTATCTTTATATACGAACTCCTAGACCAGGATTTGCACCATAAAAAGTACTGACTATTAAACTGCAGTAAACCTGCAAATCTTAGTAGGGAAATCAGTTGTGTTCTAATATCTAACTACCTGATTCAAGCAGAAGTTAAAGTAAAAAGTACACATTCAAATAAAACAGCAGCTAATTATTGAACACTTACTGTGTGTTAGTAGGACTAGGAATTTAAAAGGTTTATAATCTCTAATTCTCCTGACAACCTTAGGAGGTATGGCACTGTGGTCACTTCCGTTTTTCTAGATAAGGAAAGGGCTTATGAAAGTTAAGAAAATGTCAGAGGTCGCACAGCTAGTAAACAGCAGAACTGTGAATCCAAGTCAGTTAGATGCCAGAGCTAAGGGATTAGCCACTCTTGTGATCGTCAAGGAAAGTTCATCAAAGGTTGTTTTTTTTACATGATGGAACAACAGCAACTAAAAATAATATTTATTAAGTGCTTCCTCTACGTAGATATAGTGCTATATGTTTTACGTGTAATTTCTCATTCACTCCTTACAACAAATCTATAAAGGAGGAATAATGAATTGATCCCATTTTACAGATGGTACAACTGAGGCACAGAGGGGTGAAGTATCATGCCCAAGTTCACATGACGAGTAAGTAGCAGAGCTGGGATCTGAACCCAAATAATGGTTCTCTCAGGATCTGGGCGTTTCTTGTGTATCCAATGCCACAAAACAGTCTTCTCTTTCTCTGCTGTGGTCAAAGTCTTGGAAGGTGTGGGATTGTTCATTATGCTTAGGGCTCCTTGGGCATGTCAGCATCGTCATGCCTTCTTGGATAAGCTGGTAATAAGCAAACTTTTCCTACATGGAAAGGAAGAATTTAATAGGAGCTTTCTACAAGGACTTTGTTATGGAGAGTCTGTCTGGAAATCGTTGAGACTGAGCTGTAAATAGGCTTCAAAGATTTTCACTCTAAGACAGGAGTTGGACAAGTTAGAAGTTTACTTCTATGAGTCTAAAGAAAGAACCCCAGCACTTTGGGAGGCCGAGACGGGCGGATCACGAGGTCAGGAGATCGAGACCATCCTGGCTAACACGGTGAAACCCCGTCTCTACTAAAAATACAAAAATTAGCCGGGCATGGTGGCGCGTGCCTGTAGTCCCAGCTACACAGGAGGCTGAGGCAGGAGAATGGCGTGAACCCGGGAGGCGGAGCTTGCAGTGAGTCGAGATCGCGCCACTGCACTCCAGCCTGGGCGACAGAGCGAAACTCCGTCTCAAAAAAAAAAAAAAAAAAAAAAAAAAAAGAAAGAACAAGGTTAGGTTAAGTAGCTATTAATAACAGTTGACAAAAAGAAAAAAAATCTCTGGGACCGATTATCACAGTCTCTTAAACCAGATTATCAGGCTGCCACTTGCTACTTATTTATTTTATATTATTATTGAATTCAGGTTCACAGAATTGGATTGATCATAACCCTTGGCTTGTAATATATTGTCTACGTTGGTCTTTGCAACTTGTTTATAGTGATTATTGTTTTAAACCCTATTTTAAAGCATAGTTGATAACCGATGATAATATATGCTTCTGGGTACTCTGGACCCAGAGATACAGCACTGGCACGTGGTTTGTCTGTGGAATATTGACCCACATTCCAGACATAAACTCTAGGAGGAATGGCTGTAGTCAGCCCTGCAACCCAGAACATGGTGGCAAATGGCCCTGCCACAGACATGAAGTCTCTCTCCTTTCCACCAGGGGTTAAGGTTTCAGGGCAGAGTCAGCTATGGGCTTGGTGAGGACATAGTATTTATGACATACTCTCCAAATACCAAGGAGATAAAACAAATAAGTGGAATTTTCCAGGAAAACTGAGGCAACGTTTCCAGTGCCCTGAAAATCCTCAGAATCATCTCTCTGCCATTTAAAAATGTTGCTCATGCCCTCAACCATTTTTCTTGGGAGGGCCAGCTGGGGTGAGGGCAGCAGAGCTGCTGCTTATGGGAAGTCTTGTGGAAGCTGCACCTTGCCCGTGGTCTGGTTAGAGACTCTGCCTCCATTTCTTAAGAGTCATTCATAAGGAGAAGTCGAGGTTGCCTTGGAGAGAAATCTCTTCCCAAACCACCCATCTGGCAAAAATTTTCATATTAATCTCTTTCTTCCTCGTTGCAACTTTTTCTCTCTGCTTCTATGGAAAACATTTGTTCCAACATTCCTACCCCTCGTCAAAGTGGATTTTAATTCTGAAACCAAAGTGAGACCAGGCATTTTGTTTCTAGTGGTTGAGGTCATTGTCACCACTCCTCTTCCAAGGGCATTTGGCTAAGTTTTCTTTTTTGGTTATTTGTCTCTGATTTGGCAGCATGTTACAGTGGCTGCCATCACACTGAGCAGTTTCAAGTTTCAACTCTAACATTTACTAGTGTATTTTTTAAAACCTTGGACAACATATTTAACTTTGCTAAATTTTAGTATTCATCTGTGAGATAATGGCAACTACCTCATAAAGCTGTTATGATAATTCAGATATCCTTTGTAAGGCATTTAGCACAGCACTGGGCACATAGTGTGTGCTCAGTAAATGTTTGTTACTGATATTATTGTGAAATGTGTCTTAATATACTTGTAGTTTTATTTCTTCTCTGTGGATGCCCTGAAGTAGCACTTCTGGGCCCAGCAGAATGTGTGCTATACACTTTAATATATGGTGCCAGATTATTATCAAAAAAGTTTGCAACAATTTAGAGTCTTATTATTAGTGAGCAAGTGTAGCTATCTTCCTCAAACCTTACCAACCTTACCAGGAAATTAAAAATCATCTCAATTTTGGCTAATATCATGGGCATAAATGATTTCTCCTTATTTTAAATTTGCCTTTTCCTGGGATCTAATGAGATTAAGCATCAATGCATAGCTTGTTGGCCATTTTCAGATTCTCTTCTACATCTGAACAGGCCAGGGCTCTTCGTAGTCTTTGTCTATGGGATTTTATAAATATTGCTATTTTAAGTATTACTGATTTGTAACAGCTCTTCATGAGTTAAGGATATTACATATATTGAAAATACATTTTCTCTCATTTTCCTGTTTTGTAATCTTATGCTGCCATTTATATTTTTCATATAGATTGATAATAGCCATTTTTCTTTCATGTATTCTGTTATTCATCAAACACTATTGTACACCCAGTATCTGTTCAAAACTGCAGAAGACAAAGGTGGTTTTTTTTGGTTGTGAAAGTGGCTTGCCATTTTTATAGCATATTTTTCTTTATATATCAGCTTTTCCCTAATTATTTATTTTGAAGAATTAACCTGAGAGTAAACTTAGGTGTAAAGTTTTGCTCTCATTTTCATTCTCTTTTTCTCTCAAAGAAAAAGTAAAAAAAAGAACTCTTTAAAACATATATTGTGGCTTCTGATTTTGATTACATGATCATCTAAGGATTAGTTTCGGAAACTTAAACTTATGGATATTAAGAAGCATAAACCAAAAAATACTCCAGTCTCAAAGCCTCATATTTTTGTAATCGACTTGAAAAGTTTCTTAATAATGAAGAGCTCTTATTTTGAAGAAATATATTTATAAAATTCAGCAATTTCTTAACTGTCATTTTTTTCCCCTTCAAATCCAAGTCAAATTAAGTAGAATAATTTATAAAAGAGTAGTTACAGATGCTGTCTCTGGGTAGTAGAATTGGAATGATTTGAATATATTTGTGTGTGTGTGTATCACACATGCAGTTGGCCCTTGAACAATGCAGGGGCTAGGGTTGCTGATCCCCTGCACAGCCAAAAATCTGTGTTTAACTTTTGACTCTGCAAAAATGTAGCTACTAATAGCCTACTATGAACTGGAAGACTTACATAAACAGTTAACACATATTTTGTGTGTTATATGTATTACATACTATATTCTTATGATAAAGTAAGCTAAAGAAAAGAAAATATTAAGAAATCATAAGGAAGAGGAAATAGATTCACTATTCATTAAGGGGAAGTGGATCATCATAAAGGTCTTGATCCTTGTCATCTTCTCTTTGAGTAGGTTGGGGAGGAAGGGGTTGGTCTTGCTTTCTTAGGGTCAGTAGAAGTGTAAGAGGTGGAGAAGGTGGGAGGGGAGGCAGGAGAGGCAAGCACACTTGGTGTAATTTTATGGAAATACATGATAATTTCTGTCGACTTTTTTGCTTTCTCATTTCTCTAAAAGTGTTTCTGTATAGTGCTGATCCTTCTTCCACTGTTTGCTTTAGTTTCAGTGCCCCTATCATAGAAGGGTCCATGTTATAAAAGCAGTTAAAGCAGTTTTGAATAATTGGAATGCTTCTGCTGTATTGTCTAATGTCAGTTTGTTTCCTGGCACTGCTTCTTCTACACTGTTTTCCTCATTGTCTGGTGCTGGTTCAGAAACACTCATCTCCATCGTGTTGTCTTCTGTTAATTCCTGTGGCATCTGTTAGCTCTTAAATTTCTCCAGGATCCATATCTTGAAACCGTTCACCCTCCACCTATTTTTTTTTCCTTTGGCCATATCCACAATCTCTTTCATGATTTCCTTGATTGGTGCTCTTGTCAATCTTGTGAAGTCATGCACAATATCTGGACACAGTTTATTTTCCAGCAGGAATTTATTGTTTCAGGAATTTATTGTTTCAGGCTTGATGGCTTTTTCTATGACAACAGTGGTATCTTCAACGGTGTAATCCTTGTAGACTTTGTGATGTTCTCTCTACTGGGGTTTTCTTCCATAGCATTGACAAATCTTTTCCATAGGGTACTGTGTGTAATGAGCTTTAAGGATCCTTATGATTCTGGGTCTAGAGGCTGAATTAGAGATGTTGTGTTTAGTCACAAATGGACTACTTCAATGCCCTTGATGATGAACTCATGGGGTTCTGGGTGGTCAGCGGCATTGTCCAATATCAAAAGAACTTTAAAAAGCAGTCCCTTACAGGTAGGGTACTTCCTGACTTCAGGGACAAAGCGTTGATGAAAACAGTCCAGAAAAAGGGTTCTTGTCCAGGCTGCCTTGTTGTACCTCCAAAAGGCTGGCAGCTGGTGTTTCTCTTTTCCCTCCAAGCTTCAGGGTTAGCAGCTTTATAGATAAGGGCAGTTCTGTTTATAAACCCTACTTGTGGATGCAGTTCATCTGCAAGTTTTTTCAAATTGTCACAAACCTCTAACATTTTTCTGACATATTTATTGAAAAAAAATTGGGTCTAAAAGTGGAGCCATGCAGTTGAAACCCATGTTGTTCAAGGGTCCACTGTTTATGATTTTCTCATTTTTCTACCAAGAATGTGTATTGCTTTCATAATTGGATAAAGGACCACACAATTTAAAAAGGAAAAGAGAGAAAGTCCTTTTTAATGCCCTCACCTTCCACTAATCGTTCCCCTCATGTTTGCAAACTCATTTTTTTAAAAGAACTCTCCTTTTCAGGGATAGCATGCATAGTTTTCCATGTTGGGTGCTCCTGTCTACAAGATTTTTAGTTTCTTTAAGACAGGGCCTGGGTCTCTACATCATTTCCATTCTTCTGGTCCAACTCCGCCCAGCCTCCAGCTTCCCCTCCCAGGAGGGAGTCCTGAGCAAATGCAGAGGCCCTTGTTCCCGGCACGCTCTCATAGGTGCCCTGCAGTGGGTGAGGGAGAGGAGTGAGTAGCAGGTTCAGGCTTGGGGAAGTATGGTGATGAGAACCCACACTGCAGGAGCTTAAAGTTCTCTAAACCAGCTCTTAGAATTTTGAAGTTGCATCCAGTATAAATGAAAGGCTTGAATGCTTACTTACGTGTTGGATCAGTGTAATAAATAAAATGATCAAATGGCAGGGAATAGACTAACCTCGCAGTCTCTTCCCATGAACAGTATTTGTGGGAACAAAGCCATTTTTGGAGAGCAGAGAAAATAATTTATTGGTAGAGGTTTGGGACATTGTCACAAGGGACCGAAAGGATAACACACATAGGAACCTTTCAAATGCTGATATTATCAGAAAAAAAGCCTTTCATTGAAAGGGGAGCTGTTTATAATTTGATTCCTCCCCCATGAAACTCAGATCCTTCTTACATCCATGCTTTCCCACAGAGGAGGAAACCTCCGAAAGGGAGAATGAGTACAGAAAGTGGGAAAGCAGGAAATGGGGCCCTAGGAGCTTGAGATGAGGGTGAAACCTCGAGAGGCAAGAAATGCTTCAACCGTGCAATGAGTCATGCAGAGTGAAATTAGGTCTGGGCTTCAGTTTCCTTTCTTTGCTCCCAAATCTTGCCATTATCTTGATTTTTGTCTCTATTCTGCTTGTAGTATCTTTATTCCAAAGAGGGAAGGCTGTTTCTGACATCTTTACAGGCCTTAGCATGCTTAATGTTGGAAGGCAAACACATTAGAGTACACCTACATCCCCAATTAAATATAAGTAAATATTTGATGAGATACTATGTTGAACCATGTGAAATTGCCATTTATAAAGGTCAAAAATGGTCAGATATTAGCAGTTTCATAATTTCAATCTAATGACTTTTTTTTTGAGGTAGGGTCTCTGTCACCCAGGCTGGGGTGCAATAGTGCTATCCCGGCTCACTGCAGTCTCGGCCCCCTGGGCTCAAGCAATCCTCCCACCTCAGCCTCCCAAGTAGCTAGGACTATAGGCATGTGCTACCACATCCAGCTAATTTTTAAAAATGTTTTGTGGAGGGTGGGGGCTGAGGTCTTGCTTTTTTGCCCAGCCTTGTTTTGAACTGGCTTCAAGCAGTCCTTCTGCTTACTGGCCTCCCAAAGTTTTGGGATTACAGGTATGAGCCCCTGCACCCAGCCCTAGTAACTTTACTTTTGAAATTATTTAACTGTAAGTGCTGCATTTAATTTACAATTCGCTATTATTTGTCAGCATCTATTACATATGGGCTGGAATTTACATGAACTGAGAAATTCTGACCTGCAGATGGTGATTAGAGGTAATGATATTTTAAATGTTGATGAATACTAAATTTAACAATTAATGGAGTTCACATAATGTGGCATCTGTAAACATTGCATTAAACATTTATTCATTAGAGCCTCTTAATTGTTCTTTTTTATTTTGGAGCTGTTGTAGGTTGGCTTCCTAAAGAGCAGTTTCTGATGGAGAGATTAATGTGCCAGAGATTTATTAGGGGAGCTACTAGGGTTAGCACCTGTGGGGAAGGAAAGTAAGCCAAATTGTTCAGAGGGAGGAGCTGGGCCACAGTGCATTCATGACTGGCCTCTGCAGCTCCATAGAGAGCTTGGAGCTAGGATGGCCCTTCCTGTCATGAGATCAGGCTGTCCTGGGAAGGGGGCATAACCCCAGGCAGGGTGGCTCTCTGCAGGTGAGGGCAATTCCAGAACGGGCTGGCAGTTGAGGGCTGTTAGCCAACATTCCCAGCAGCTTGCGGGACAGGACCTGCTGTCCTGCTGGGGAGCTGGGTGGCAAAGCAGAGCAACCACAACAGCTGCCTACTTTTTTAAAGGTTTTTATTAATCCCCTAGCACTGGATCTGAAAGACCCATGGGATCAACGGGCTCTGTTGGGAAGTGCTGACAGTGCTTGAGGCATTAGTTAGGGAGAGAAAGGCTTTTAAGTATATGTAAGAGGAAATAGGACGATATTGGGCAGGGTGAGATTTGTCAGTAGATGTTAAGGTAGAGGGACCTGGATGAGAGTCAGGAATCCTACCTGGTTATCTAGCTCCTACCAGGGCTCAAGCTACAACACTGACTGGACCCTTGGTGGCCTCCCCTGTGAACCCAGGGGACGAGGAAAGACTTGGTGACTCCCATCTCTCCTCCTGGCCCTGGCACGCGGGAGCTCTCTAAGTCTCATCTTTTCTTTTGCTTTGTTTTTCTGAGACTGAGTCTCTGTTGCCCAGGCTGGAGTGCAGTGGTGTGATCTAGGCTCACTGCAGCCTCTGCCTCCTGGGTTCAAGCGATTCTCTGCCTCAGCCTCTTGAGTAGCTGGGACTACAGGGGTGCACCACCACGCTTAGCTAATTTTTGTACTTTTTTAGTAGAGTTGGGGTTTCACTATGTTGGCCAGGCTAGTCTCAAACTCCTGACCTCAAGTGATCCTCCCACCTTTGCCTCCTAAAGTGCTGAGATTACGAGTGTGAGCCACCATGCTCAGCCATCTCATCTTGATGGCTCCAGTGTGGAGCAAATCACAGTTCCTAACTCACCCTTTGAAGGGCTAAGAAACTCCGAAATGATTCAGATTTCAATTAGGGAGTTTGTGAACCTTCTCCTGTCTCCTTGCTCTGATTCCTGGGTTGTTGGTGGGGGCAGAAAGCAGAGATAAGATCCAAGCCAGGCCACTTGATAAAGAATCATGCCTTTTTCTCCTTCCTCTCCCTCACGATCCTGAGCAGGCACAGGTATGACTGGGACACTCCAATTCATTACTGAGCTGAAGGCAGCAGATCACAGAAGGAAAGCTAGAGAATGGGGAGGGGAGCCAAGAGTTAGAAAACCAGTGACTTAAACACAAGGCCCCCTTGCTTTGCAGCACATATACCAAAATTGGAATGAGACTGAGAGATTAGCATGGCCCCTGTGCAAAGAGGACACAAAAATTCATGAAGTGTTTCATATTGTTTTCAGGGGCTGGTTAAAAAGATTCTGGAGATGGATAGTGATGAGGGCTGAACAACAATGTGAATGTACTTAATGTCACTGAACTGTACAGTTAAAAATGGCCAAAATGGTAAATTTTGTTATATTTTACCACAATTTTTATAAACAAATAAACATGACCGTGAGAGATAAAAGGCTACATAAAGACATCATAAAGAGCAGCAAGCTATGAAGTGAAAGTCACACAATTATATTAATGATGTCAATTATAGCCAAAAGAAAAGCAAATCTTGAAACCCCTATGCAAGCCCTCAGTCATTTCATATACCATGATGTAAGTTCAGAGTATTAGAATGAGCAGGCTCGATGTCCTCTGGGTTCAAAGCCCAACTCTGACACTTAATAGCTGTGTGAACTTGGACAAGACACCTAACCTCTCTGAGCCTGTTTCCATGTGTATAAAATGAAAATGACATCGATTTAGTCCAAGATGGCCGAATAGGAACAGCTCCAGTCTACAGCTCCCAGCATGAGTGACGCAGAAGGCGGGTGATTTCTGCATTTCCAACTGAGGTACCGGGTTCATTTCACTGGGGCTTGTTGGACAGTGGGTGCAGGACAGTGGGTGCAGTGCACCGAGCGTGAGCCGAAGCAGGGCGAGGCATCGCCTCACCTGGGAAGTGCAAGGGGGTCAGGGAATTCCCTTTCCTAGCCAAGGGAAGCTGTGACAGATGGCACCTGGAAAATGGGGTCACTCCCACCCTAATACTGTGCTTTTCCAATGGTCTTAGAAAACGGCACACCAGGAGATTATATCCCGTGCCTGGCTCGGAGGGTCCCACGCCCACGGAGCCTGGCTCATTGCTAGCACAGCAGTCTGAGATTGAACTGCAAGGTGGCAGCAAGGTTGGGGGAGGGGCACCCACCATTGCTGAGGCTTGAGTAGGTAAACAAAGCAGCTGGGAAGCTCGAACTGGGTGGAACCCACCACAGTTCAAGGAGGCCTGCCTGCCTCTGTAGACTCCACCTCTGGGGACAAAGCATAGCCGAACAAAAGGCAGCAGAAAGCTCTGCAGACTTAAATGTCCCTGTCTGACAGCTTTGAAGAGAGTAGTGGTTCTCCCAGCAGAGAGTCTGAGATCTGAGAACTGACAGACTGACTCCTCAGGTGGGTCCCTGACCCCTGAGTAACCTAACTGGGAGGCACCCCCCCAACAGGGGCAGACTGACACCTCACATGGCCGGGTATCCCTCTGAGACGAAGCTTCCAGAGGAACGATCAGGCAGCAACATTTGCTGTTCAGCAATATCCACTGTTCTGCAGCCTCTGCTGCTGATACCCAGGCAAACAGGGTCTGGAGTGGACCTCCAGCAAACTCCAACAGACCTGCAGCTGAGGTTCCTGACTGTTAGAAGGAAAACTAACAAACAGAAAGGACATCCACACCAAAACCCCATCTGTACGTCACCATCATCAAAGACCAAAGGTAGATAAAACCACAAAGATGAGGAAAAAACAGAGCAGAAAAGCTGAAAATTTTAAAAATCAAAGCGCCTCTCCCTCCTCCAAAGGAACACAGCTCCTCACCAGCAATGGAACAAAGCTGGATGGAGAATGACTTTGACGAGTTGAGAGAAGGCTTCAGATGATCAAACTTCTCCGAGCTAAAGGAGGAAGTTCGAACCCATTGCAAAGAAGCTGAAAACCTTGAAAAAAGATTAGACGAATGGCTAACTAGAATAACCAGTGTAGAGAAGTCTTTAAATGTCCTGATGGAGCTGAAAACTGTGGCACGAGAACTACGTGACTCATGCACAAGCTTCAATAGCCGAATCGATCAACTGGAAGAAAGGGTATCAGTGATTGAAGATCAAATGAATGAAATGAAGCGGGAAGAGAAGTTTAGAGAAAAAAAGTAAAAAGAAACGAACAAAGCCTCCAAGAAATATGCGACTATGTGAAAAGACCAAATCTACATCTGATTGGTGTACCTGAAAATGACGGGGAGAATGGAACCACGCTGGAAAACACTCTGCAGGATATTATCCAGGAGAACTTCCCCAACCTAGCAATGCAGGCCAACATTCAAATTCAGGAAATACAGAGAATGCCACAAAGATACTCCTTGAGAAGAGCAACTCTAAGACACATAATTGTCAGATTCACCAAAGTTGAAATGAAGGAAAAAATGTTAAAGACAGCCAGAGAGAAAGCTCAGGTTGCCCACAAAGGGAAGCCCATCAGACTAACAGCGGATCTCACGGCAGAAACTCTACAAGCCAGAAGAGAGTGGGGGCCAATATTCAGCATTCTTTTTTTTTTTTTTTAATGTTTAACTTTTTTTTCCTTTTTTTTATTATTATTAGACTTTAAGTTTTAGGGTACATGTGCAAAATGTGCAGGTTAGTTACATATGTATACATGTGCCATGCTGGTGTGCTGCACCCATTAACTCGTCATTTAGCATTAGGTATATCTCCTAATGCTATCCCTCCCCCCTCCCCCCACCCCACAACAGTCCCCAGAGTGTGATGTTCCCCTTCCTGTGTCCATGTGTTCTCATTGTGTGATGTTCCCCTTCCTGTGTCCATGTGTTCTCATTGTTCAATTCCCATCTGTGAGTGAGAACATGCGGTGTTTGGTTTTCTGTCCTTGCGATAGTTTACTGAGAATGATGATTTCCAATTTCATCCATGTCCCTACAAAGGACATGAACTCATCATTTTTTATGGCTGCATAGTATTCCATGGTGTATATGTGCCACATTTTCTTAATCCAGACTATCATTGTTGGACATTTGGGTTGGTTCCAAGTCTTTGCTATTGTGAATAGTGCCGCAATAAACATACGTGTGCATGTGTCTTTATAGCAGCATGATTTATAGTCCTTTGGGTATATACCCAGTAATGGGATGGCTGGGTCAAATGGCATTTCTAGTTCTAGATCCCTGAGGAATCGCCACACTGACTTCCACAATGGTTGAAC
This sequence comes from Homo sapiens, assembly GCF_000001405.40. Lineage (NCBI taxonomy): Eukaryota > Metazoa > Chordata > Mammalia > Primates > Hominidae > Homo > Homo sapiens. Next base: position 106,211,232 of record NC_000007.14, read on the forward strand.
TAGTTGACAGTCCCACCAACAGTGTAAAAGTGTTCCTATTTCTCCACATCCTCTCCAGCACCTGTTGTTTCCTGACTTTTTAATGATCGCCATTCTAACTGGTGTGAGATGGTATCTCATTGTGGTTTTGATTTACATTTCTCTGATGGCCAGTGATGATGAGCATTTTTTCATGTGTCTTTTGGCTGCATAAATGTCTTCTTTTGAGAAGTAATTAATTCAAGATGGATTAAAGACTTAAACGTTAGACCTAAAACCATAAAAACCCTAGAAGAAAAGCTAGGCATTACCATTCAGGACATAGGCATGGGCAAGGACTTCATGTCTAAAACACCAAAAGCAATGGCAACAAAAGCCAAAATTGACAAATGGGATCTAATTAAACTAAAGAGCTTCTGCACAGCAAAGGAAACTACCATCAGAGTGAACAGGCAACCTACAAAATGGGAGAAGATTTTCACAACCTACTCATCTGACAAAGGGCTAATACCCAGAATCTACAATGAACTCAAATAAATTTCCAAGAAAAAAACAACCCCATCAAAAAGTGGGCAAAAGATATCAACATTCTTAAAGCAAAGAATTTTCAACCCAGAATTTCATATCCAGCCAAACTAAGCTTCATAAGTGAAGGAGAAATAAAATCCTTTACAGACAAACAAATGCTGAGAGATTTTTGTCACCACCAGGCCTGCCCTACAAGAGCTCCTGAAGCACTAAACATGGAAAGGAACAACTGGTACCAGCCACTGCAAAAACATGCCAAATTGTAAAGAACATTGATGCTAGGAAGAAACTGCATCAAATAACGAGCAAAATAACCAGCTAACATCATAATGACAGGATCAAATTCACACATAACAATATTAACCTTAAATGTAAATGAGCTAAATGCTCCAATTAAAAGACACAGACTGGCAAATTGGATAAAGAGTCAAGACCCATCAGTGTGCTGTATTCAGGAGACCCATCTGATGTGCCGAGACACACATAGGCTCAAAATAAAGGGATGGAGGAAGATCTACCAAGTAAATGGAAAAGAAAAAAAGGCAGGGCTTGCAATCCTAGTCTCTGATAAAACAGACTTTAAACCAACAAAGATAAAAAGAGACAAAGAAGGCCATTACATAATGGTAAGAGGATCAATTCAACAAGAAGAGCTAACTATCCTAAATATATATATACACCCAATACAGGAGCACCCAGATTCATGAAGCAAGTCCTTAGAGACCTACAAAGAGATTTGGACTCCCACGCAATAATAATGGGAGACTTTCACACCCCACTGTCAACACTAGACAGACCAACCACACAGAAAGTTAACAAGGATATCCAGGAATTGAACTCAGCTCTGCACCAAGTGGACCTAACAGACATCTACAGAACTCTCCACCCCAAATCAACAGAATATACATTCTTCTCAGCACCACATCACACTTATTCCAAAATTGACCACATAGTTGGAAGTAAAGCACTCCTCAGCAAATGGAAAAGAACAGAAATCATAACAAACTGTCTCTCAGACCACAGTGCAATCAAACTAGAACTCAGGATTAAGAAACTCACTCAAAACTGCTCAACTACATGGAAACTGAACAACCTGCTCCTGAATGACTACTGGGTACATAACAAAATGAAGGCAGAAATAAAGATGTTCTTTGAAACCAATGAGAACAAAGACACAACATACCAGAATCTCTGGGACACATTTAAAGCAGTGTGTAGAGGGAAATTTATTAGCACTAAATGCCCACAGGAGAAAGCAGGAAAGATCTAAAATTGACACCCTAACATCACAATTGAAAGAAATAGAGAAGCAAGAGCAAACACATTCAAAAGCTAGCAGAAGGCAAAAAATAACTAAGATCAGAGCAGAACTGAAGGAAATAGAGACACAAAAAACCCTTCAAAAAATCAATGAATCCAGGAGCTGGTTTTTTGAAAGATCAACAAAATTGATAGACCACTAGCAAGACTAATAAAGAAGAAAAGAGAGAAGAATCAAATAGACACAATAAAAAATGATAAAGGGGATATCACCACCGATCCCACAGAAATACAAACTACCATCAGAGAATACTATAAACACTTCTATGCAAATAAACTAGAAAATCTAGAAGAAATGGATAAATTCCTGGACACATACACCCTCCCAAGACTAAACCAGGAAGAAGTCGAATCCCTGAATAACCAATAACAGGCTCTGAAATTGAGGCAATAATTAATAGCCTACCCACCAAAAAAAGTCCAGGACCAGACAGATTCACAGCTGAATTCTACAAGAGGTACAAGGAGGAGCTGGTACCATTCCTTCTGAAACTATTCCAATCAATAGAAAAAGAGGGAATCCTCCCTAAGTCATTTTATGAGGCCAGCATCATCCTGATACCAAAGCCTGGCAGAGACACAACAAAAAAAAGAGAATGTTAGACAAATATCCCTGATGAACATTGATGCAAAAATCCTCAATAAAATACTGGCAAACTGAATCTAGCAGCACATCAAAAAGCTTATCTACCATTATCAAGTGGGCTTCATCCCTGGGATGCAAGGCTGGTTCAACATACGCAAATCAATGAACATAATCCAGCATATAAATAGAACCAAAGACAAAAACCACATGATTATCTCAATAGATGCAGAAAAGGCCTTTGACAAAATTCAACAGCCCTTCATGTTAAACTCTCAATAAATTAGGTATTGATGGGACATATCTCAAAATAAGAGCTATTTATGACAAACCCACAGCCAATATCATACTGAATGGGCAAAAACATTCTTTGAAAACTGGCACAAGACAGGGATGCCCTCTCTCACCACTCCTATTCAACATAGTGTTGGAAGTTCTGGCCTGGGCAATCAGATAGGAGAAAGAAATAAGTGTATTCAATTAGGAAAAGAGGAAGTCAAATTGTCCCTGTTTGCAGATGACATGATTGTATATTTAGAAAACCCCATCGTCTCAGCCCAAAATCTCCTTAAACTGATAGGCAACTTCAGCAAAGTCTCAGGATACAAAATCAGTGTGCAAAAATCACAAGCATTCTTATACACCAATAACAGACAAGCAGAGAGCCAAATCATGAGTGAACTCCCATTCACAATTGCTTCAAAGAGAATAAAATACCTAGGAATCCAACTTACAAGGGATGTGAAGGACCTCTTCAAGGAGAACTACAAACCACTGCTCAATGAAATAAAAGAGGACACAAACAAATGGAAGAACATTCCATGCTCATGGATAGGAAGAATCAATATTGTGAGAATGGCCATATTGCCCAGGTAATTTACAGATTCAGTGCCATCCCCATCAAGCTACCAATGACTTTCTTCACAGAATTGGAAAAAACTACTTTAAAGTTCATATGGAACCAAAAAAGAGCCCACATTGCCAAGACAATCCTAAGCCAAAAGAACAAAGCTGGAGGCATCATGCTACCTAACTTCAAACTGTACAACAAGGCTACAGTAACCAAAACAGAGATATAGATCAATGGAACAGACCAGAGCCCTCAGAAATAATACCACACATCTACAACCATCTGATCTTTGACAAACCTGACAAAAACAAGCAACGGGGAAAGGATTCCCTATTTAATAAATGGCGCTGGGAAAACTGGCTAGCCATATGTAGAAAGCTGAAACTGGATCCCTTCCTTATACCTTATACAAAAATTAATTCAAGGTGGATTAAAGACTTAAATGTTAGACCTAAAACCATAAAAACCCTAGAAGAAAACCTAGGCAATACCGTTCAGGACATAGGCATGGGCAAGGACTTCATGTCTAAAACACCAAAAGCAATGGCAACAAAAGCCAAAATAGACAAATGGGATCTAATTAAACTAAAGAGCTTCTGCACAGCAAAAGAAACTACCACCAGAGTGAACAGGCAACCTACAGAATGGGAGAAAAATTTTGCAATCTATTCATCTGACAACGGGCTAATATCCAGAATCTTCAAAGAACCCAAACAGATTTACAAGAAAAAAACAACCCCATCAACAAGTGGGCAAAGGATATGAACAGACATGTCTCAAAAGAAGACATTTATGCAGCCAACAGACACATGAAAAAATGTTCATCATCACTGGCCATCAGAGAAATGCAAATCAAAACCACAATGAGATACCATCTCACACCAGTTAGAATGGCAGTCATTAAAAAGTCAGGAAACAACAGATGCTGGAGAGGATGTGGAGAAATAGGAACACTTTTACACTGTTGGTGGGACTGTAAACTGGTTCAACCATTGTGGAAGACAGTGTGGCGATTCCTCAAGGATCTAGAACTAGAAATACCATTTGACCTAGCAAGCCCATTACTGGGTATATACCCAAAGGATTATAAATCATGCTGCTATAAAGACACATGCACATGTGTGTTTATTGCGGCACTATTCACAATAGCAAAGACTTGGAACCAACCCACATGTCCATCAATGATAGACTGGATTAAAAAGATGTGGCACATATACACCATGGAATACTGTACAGCCATAAAAATGGATGAGTTCATGTCCTTTGTAGGGACATGGATGAAGCTGGCAACCATCATTCTCAGCAAACTATCCCAGGGACAAAATACCAAGCACCACATGTTCTCACTCACAGGTGAGAATTGAACAATGAGAACACATGGACACAGGAAGAGGAACCTCACACACCGGGGCCTGTCATGGGGTGGGGGGAGGGCGACGGGATAACATTAGGAGATACACCTAATGTAAATGACAAGTTAATGCGTACAGCACACCAACATGGCACATGTATACCTATGTAACAAACCTGCACGTTGTGGTCATGTACCCTAGAACTTAAAGTTTAATAATAGTAAAAAAAAAAAGGAAAAAAAAGAGAAAATGACATCAGACTCATATGTCTATTAGGAGAATCAAAGTATTACAGGCAAGGCATTTAATATAGTCCCTGGTACCTAGTAGACATTCATTAAATGTGTTTTCCTTCTCTTTCTGCAACACACAAATGCGGTGTGTTGTGGGACACAGGAACTAACTTGACAAATGGTAAGGATAAAATAAAACAAAAAAAAAGGTAATATTTGTGTAGTAGTTTCTGGCAGAGGCAGACCAGATAGAGCTAAAACACTCTAAGTTGCTGAAAAAGACTTAAAAACTTCTGTTAGGCATAGGGTACTGGCCTAGCTGTTGTAACTAAGAAAGCCCCACATATAATGGTTTAAAAAGATGGGAGTTTATTTTTCTCCATGTAATAACCCAGAAGTAAACTGTTCACAGCTGACAAGGCGGCTCGTCTTTCTCAACACAGGATTTCCATCTTTGGCTCCAACGGGGTTGCTTTGGATCCTGATATCATCTAGGTAGCGGGAAGGGGGATAAAGGCCAGGGGAAGGGAGGATGTAAATTTCTTTTAAGGACATGACTCAGAAATGACACAGCTCATTCTCACCCAGCATGACCAAATCCATGCTGTAAAGATGCCAAGAAAAGTACACTTGAACTGGCCAGAGAAATTCTCAGCTAAAACACAGGAGTGCTCTTATTAAAGACAGGGAATATGGATGTTGCTGGACAGGTAGCCATCTCAGCCACATACCTGTGTTATGTTTTCTCTAGTCTAAAACTTCAGGCTTTCAAAAAACAAACAAAACAACAAAGCTAACATAAACTCCAAAATATAAGCCCAATTTCTTTCTTGTTATTCAATAAATATTTATAGACTACTTACTATGCACTAGGCACTATTTGAAACATTGCAGATTCAGCAGACTGCAAAACAGATCAGCTTCCCGATCCCAGAAAGCTGTATTCAATAGGGAGAGAAGGTAAACAAATGAAAAACAGAAACAACAGTAGATACCAGTAAGAGCAAAGATGAAAATTAAGGCAATGGGGAAATGAGCGACTGGGTGGCTCCTCCCTTTGGGTGGTTAGGGAAGTCAGCCAGGCATTGGAAGAGCGGGAAGCAGAAAGTGCCTGCACGGGAAGCTGCAAGGGCAAAGGTCCCGATGCCGGGAAGATCTTGGAGGGTTTGTGACACGGAAGGGCTGGTGTGGCTGGATTTAGTGGGAGAGGGAGAAGGTTATAAGGGGAGAGAAGAGATCAGAAAGGCAGCTGGGAGCAGGCTTGTAGAGGGCTTTGCTAGCCAGGGACAGTTTGTTCTCTGGCATTTTCCAGCACTGATTGCATTGTACACAAAGTAGGCACCCAATGAGTGATGAATGAACAAACTAAAAGATAAAGACCTGAGGCTGTTGACACTCATAGCTTTCCTTTGCTTTACTTGGCAAAGATTAGGATTAACCTCTACTCATCCTTTGCATACCTCTCGCTCAGAACCTCAACACCTCTTTCTCCTTGCAAGATTGTTCTTAGTGTCCTTGGTAGCCCAGTGTCCCCTGGTTAAAAATGGCCTTAGGGAAAGAATTTGCGGAAAAGATGGCTATCTGAAGAAGATGACCACATCTCCTTTTTGGCTTTGTCTATTCTGTTCAACAGCTCCCATTCTGATTTTTTCCATAGGGTTTAGCAGATCTGGCATCAGCCTGCCACTCTTGGTTAGGGTTAAGTTTGAAGAGGCAGTGTAACAGTGGAGTGGCAGGATGGGATGGTAGTGAAGGCTGTGGCCTTTAGAGCCAGACTGCCCGAGTAAGGTACCTAGCCTTCTTGGTCATCAATTTACTTATCTGTGAAATGGGCAACCATAATCGTTCATGACTGCAATATTGAAAGCTTTGAAACTAAGATTTTTAGTAACTCACTTGAGGCAACACCTGTCCTGAGTTAATCTGAAACTGTTTGGAAGGAAAACTTGACATGAAACTACTTATAATCATTATTTATTCCATTTTTTAAATATTAGTGCATTTTGTTTGATTAGGAGACAGTCATAGACCCTTCCAGGGGAGTTATATAATTTATAATGTAATTTATAATGGGCCATACTTCTTAAAATCTGAAAAATTTTGAATTCCAAAACACTGGGCTTCAAGAATTTGGATAAAGGACTGTGAACCATTACTGTCCTTCCTAAAACATGGCAGCTAAAATGAATGTGAGCTGGCAGTTGTGGTTAATGTGCCAGCTCAAAGTTAAATGGGGAGTGAGAAGGTGTCTGGATGTCATGGAGTCATTCTCCAAACTTGCATTTCACCCTTGTGGGTGAGATGGTAAAATGTGGCTCAAATGATACAGTAGGAGGATTTTCCAGGCCTCACAGGAGTGTTTTTTGGGGGGAGATCTTACGGTGCTCCAGCTCTGGCCATTCTCCAGCTAATGGATTCAGAGGTGATTTCTGATAAATGGGGGTTCTTTTGGTTTCAGGTAAGCAACAGAAGTCCACATAAACTAGCTCAAGCTAGAGGATTATCAACGAAGCCAAAGTCAAGAGGCAGCTGGGCCTTAGGGATGTTCTGGAACTAGGAATGAAAGCACCGTGGACAGTTAAGGCTTCCCTCACTCTCTTTTTCCTGCTTGTATGCAAGTCCATCCATCCATCCATCTGGCTGCAGAGCAGCTTTCTCTGCTTACTAATCCACTTGGCAAAAACCAGCTACTGTCAACAGCTTCTGAGCTGTCTCTCCTGCATGAATTCCAAGCTCCCCAGGAGTAGGACATGGGCTTGGCCCATTGGGCTAAGGAGATGCGGTGGTGTGTGGGGTCAGGTCACCCTGCCCAAACATGGCTTCTCCCTCAGTAACTTTGTGGATGGAGAGGAATGGGCAGCTACTAGTAAAATGTGGGAAGGTTGTGTGGGGAAACTGTGTGAAGGTTAGAGAGCAGAAGAGTTGGATTGAGCAGACCCTGGTTCACACCAAACCAAAAACAAATAGTAAAGTGATGAGCAGGTAGGACAGGCTATAAGCAGAGGTGTCTCTGATCCTGTATCTTGAAGGAAAATCACACTCACCTTCACTACCACATCTGTTTGTACCAATGGCGGTTTTTTAAAAAAGGCAAGGTGAGAAACTGATCAGTTCAGGAAGGCGCTATCTGGTTCTTGTTGGGGTAGGATGGGGGAAGGTATAGAAAGGAAGATAGAGCAACAGCACTAGAGAACAAAGGGATGGTTGAAGTGTTTCACCTCCCCAGTCTATCAGTGCACAGGCTGTGCCTGGTTTCCTTCCACACAGCTGTGTCTCAACATCAGAACAAAGGATTTCCTCTGGGCCCTTTTGTACAGGTCGACCCAAGATCCTTCCTTGCCTATCAGCTCCTGGGGGCTATGACCACTTTAGATGTGGCCCCGCCTCATTCTTCCTGCTGAGAGACAAAATCAGGAGAAGTCCAGTTCCCAGGAAGACAGTAGGAGGAAGATTAGGAGGAAGGAGTCCCTGCTGTCCTTCCCATGGTAGAAAAACCATGCCTTCCTCCCCAAGATTTCACTTAATTGCTACTCCTTTAACTGTGTAGTTACCTTGCACTTGGCATGTTTACTGGGTGGGACAAAAATCAAGGGTCTGCTTGAGGACTTTTGGAGAGGAGACAAATCCAAATACCTTCTGACTTGGGAGCCACTTACAAGCTTAGGTCCAATCTGTATGATTGGAGAAAGTAGCCCAGGACTATCTTTTCATATAGATGCAGAGGCGCAGAACAAATAAAGCCCCATTCTTTGATAATTTACCTGGGGTTCAGAAAGTTTATTCTGAGCTTAATTCCATAAGATCTTCTCCAAATATATGTTGCAGTCACTGGCTCCTTCTTGGCATTTGAGCTAACATGGAACATTTTCCTCTCTAGCCCTCCTAGTTCTGTGATTTAGATTGACCATGAGGGCAAGGTAATAGAGGAGGAAGGTGAGGAAAGGACCAGAAATATGATGTGTCTGCAGACAGCAGGAGTATCTAGTCTTGTAAGCTGTTGCCTCCCTGATGCAGCCCTAGATTCCCTAGAAAGGACCTGCTCCTGCCCCCACCAGTTGCCATGGCAGCAGGTTCCAAGTAACTCCAGCCCAAAGTTTTACACTTAAGAGGCATGCAACCAACAGGTAAGTAATGACAAGAAGGGCTGTGTGTGCAGTTTGGGTAAGATCAGGCCCTGGTAGAAAGAGCTGTGGGCTGGAGGTCTGACAACCTGGGTTTGAGTCATGGCTCTGCATGGTGAAAACTTGGGCAAGTCACTCACTCCTCCTGAACTTCAATTTTCATATCTATAAAATAAGTTAAGATTGATGATCTCTGGGATACTTCCTGCTCCAACTTGCTGGGTTCTGCTTGCCTTTTGAGCATCACAGTTCCAGAAGCACTCTAGGCCTTTACCTGGAAAGCATGGAGCCAGGAAATGTGAAACTCGAATAGCCAGTTGGATTGGTCTACTTAGGCTGCTGTAGCAAAGTACCCCGTGCTGGGCGGCTTAAACAACAGAAACACATTGTCTCACAGTCCTGGAGGCTGGAAGTTCATGATCAAGGTGTTAGTAGGGTTGGTTCCTCCTTAGGGCTGCAAGGGAGAACCTGTCCCAGGCCCCTCCCCTAGCTTCTGATGGTTTTTGGGCAGTCTTTGGTGTTCCTTGGCTTGTAGCTGCATCACCTGGTGTCTGCCTCCATCTTCATGTGGCATCCTCCCTGTGTGTGTGTCCGTCTCTGTGTCCAAATTTCCCTGTCCATGACACCAGTCACATTGGATTAGGGTCCATCCTAATGATCTCACTTCAACTTTATTACCTCTGTAAATACTGTATTTCTGAATAATGTTACATTCTGAGGTACTAGCAGTTACGACCTCAACTTATCTTTTCTGGAGGAAACAATTCAACCTATAATACCAGTTGTAAGTCTTGGCTAAATATCTCTGCATGGAAGAAGTGGAAAAAGTGAACTAAAAATAAGTTTTTATTTTTTAAAATCAGGTGATATTTTTATGCAATACTTGAAGCTGTATTTACCAGCTGTTATCAGGTTTGAGATGTAGTGTTCCAACAAATGATTCTCTGAAAGGAAACATAACATGCTCCTTTCTTTCTTTTCCTTTTTACTTGCTTGTTCCCTCCATTCTTTTTGTTTCTAACTTCAATGCATTAATTCTTACTCCATTCCCCTCCACTCTCCCTACCTGGGTTTTGCAAAATAAAGACAAATCTGTTCTTTATTCTCTGGTTCACCTTCTAGAAGAAAAATGCAGCCAACATCCTTATTGAATCATTACTTCTGCTTTCAAAGCCCCCTTTCTTCCTCTCCACCTTTCCAGGAACTGAGAAATCTTGGGGCTGGATGAGACCTGAGATGTTTTCTAAGCCCCTAACTGACTTGGGTCTCTTGTACAACAGCCAACAGCCTGCCACCTTTTTTTTCCCAAAGATATGGTCTTGGCCAGGTGCAGTGGCTCATGCCTACCATCCCAGAACTTTGGGAGGCTAGGGTGGGTGGATCACGAGGTCAGGAGTTTGAGACCAGCCCGACTAACATGGTGAAACCCTGTTTCCACTAAAAATACAAAAATTAGCCGGGCATGGTGGCACGCGCCTGTAATCCCAGCTACTCCTGAGCCTGAGGCAGGAGAGTTGCTTGAACCTGGGAGGCAGAGGTTGCAGTGAGTGGAGATCACACCACTGCACTCCAGCCTGGGTGACAGAACAAGACTCCGTCTCAAAAAATAAAATAAAATAAAATAAATAAAATATAAAATAAAAATAAAATATGGTCTTGCTCTGTCACCCAGGCTGGAGTGCAGTGGCATGATCATAGCTCACTGCAGCCTTAACCTCCTAGGCTGAAGCAATCCTCCTACCTCAGCCTCACAAGTAGCTAGGACTACAGGCATGCACTACCACACCTAGCCAATTTTTAAATTTTTTGTAGAGATGGGGGTCTCCCTATGTTGACTAGACTGGTCTCAAACTCCTGGACTCAAGCGATCCTCTTGCCTCAGCCTCCCAAAGTGCTGGAAATTACAGGTGTGAGCCACCACGTCCGGCTGTCTGCTGCATTTTTAAGCCATCTCTGCATGATTATCTCACCACTTCTGAGGTATACGTTTGATGACTATAAGCATTAGGTAGATCTGTGTTAGGTTGAAATCCAGGTGCCCATTCTGTCACTTCTGAGCTGCCTGGAGCATGACAGAGCAAAGCCATTGCATCTTCCAAGAGGCAGCCCCAAGAAGCAACACCAGCTACTTAGCCCCAGGCTCCTATTAACATTTGAGAGACAGACATCTCTGGTTCTACTAGTTATTTAGCCAGTCAACTTCAGGATCTGTAACTAACTAGTAGAGTGATATAGGCTCTTAGACTTGAGTTATAGGTAAAAGACTTGAATTTCAAGTACCTGCTCTCTCAATTACTACCTTAACTTTTCAGAATCTCAGTCTGTTCGTCCACAGAATGAAGACCACAGGACTTGTGTTCATTCTTCGTAGGATTGCTGTGAGAGCAAATAGGACAATGTCTCTGAAAGCGGTTTGTCACTACTACTGTTACTACTATTGCTGCTGCTGCTACTATTAGCTCCTGGCTGGAGGTTCTCTTTCTAGACTGGGTTAAGATAGGAAGTCTATAAGGAAACTTCTGCTGTAAGTCACCTTGAGCTTCTAGGAAGTGGCTGGGGACAGGATGTCTGGAAAAGCCAAGAGGGGTTATTCAAAGAATTACTTTTCTAATCTGTGACCCAAGTTCTGATTTTTTTTGCTGGATTATAGAGCTGCCTGGGAAATGGCCAAGTTCAGTTCTTAGAAGAAAAAAATCTAAGTGCATGTACTGTTTTGGAATGAGTTAAGCAAAACACAGAATGACAGCCATCATTTGGATCCTCTCATCCAAAGCAAGAATTAGCTCCCCTTCAATATCAGAGACTTTAAGAAAAAATGGACAGAAAAGAGTTATTGTGTAATGAATGGCAAGAAAAGAAAGTGCTAGGGGTTTGTTCCCTCCTGGCCTACTCTTTCTCACGTACATCCCTTCCAGCATTAAGCAGAACAAAAGAACTGCGTGTGTACAAATTACAGGTGAAATTGTTGGTAGCCTGGGGATGGGCTCTCCCTCTCGGATGTAGACCTGAGGCCTGAAGGCTCCCACTTATTAGCACTGATGGACCCACAGCCTCCATTCCACCCCTGTGGTTTGCAAAGTGAGTTTCTCACCATGCGGGGCCTGTTGTTGCCCTGCTCTAGTCTAAGCGAGCATTTGGAAGTCCTTTCAGTCATTCTAATGAAGAGAGAAAGGAGGTTGCTTTCAGGTGCCTGAGGGCCTGGCATCTGCGGTGCTTACACATGAGTGATTTTAGTATCCAGAGAATTACATCAGGAACTAATTCAAGCCAATCCTAAATTATTTATCTGGGACAGATTTCTTATTCACTCTCTTGTTCAAGATAAATAGATTGTTGCTCTGATATTTTCATAAAACATCTTAATAAATCTCAAATGTTTGCTTCTGTGCCTTTCTGATATCCTAGCCATTATTCATTTTTGGTTTGGATTTGACCTTGGTCTAATAGAGCTACAAGACTTCCCCAGGTCCTTGCTACCACTAGGTGTAGTCACCTGAAAAATAGTTTTGTATCGTTGGTGAAACCATCTGGTGGTGGTATGAATATATATTTAGAGATAACAGAAATAAGGACTTTGAATCTTTACCTCAGAATATCCCAAAGTAAGCAAAATATAAAATACACATTTTTTAAAAGTGAAGGAACCATATTGGAGTAGTAATTCCCAAGCTTTTCTATTTATCACAGTTATCCCAGTAGGTCCTCAGTGTGGCCTTTTCAATTCTGGTTTTTGAAAAAGCTCCACTGATGTTTCTGATAGGCTCCACTCCACTACAATAGTAATTTATGTTTTCTAATTCAAACTCTGCCAGCCCTGGCCTATCAAAATGTGATGTTATTTGTTCTCATTAAATCAAATTATTTTCAATATTATTTATAAACTACAAGCTGAACTTATTTCATGCATGCTTTTTTTTTTTTTTTTTTTTTTTTTTTTTGAGACAGAGTCTCACTTTGTCACCCAAGCTGGAGTGCAGTGAAGTACAGCTCACTGCAGCATTGGACTCCCAGGCTCTCAAGGAATCCTCCTGCCTCAGCCTCCTGTGTAGCTAGGACTACAGGGATGCACCACCACATTCAGCTAATTTATTTTTTGTAGAAACAGGGTCTTGCTATGTTTCCCAGGCTGGTCTTGAACTCCTGGCCTCAAGTGATAATCCTGTCTCAGCCTCCCAGAGTACTGAGGTTGCAGGTGTGAACTGCCATGCCTAGACTATTCAGAGCATGCTTTTTAAAAATTTAGACTAATTTACCAAATCTTAGCTAAGGTATTCTCTTGCTCATGGGCAAAGTAATTTATTCTACTTCCCTTGTTTTTATTTAACTCTTTAATTCTCTTATAGTTAAAAAAAAATAGACTTAGTAGGGAATAATTTGAGAAAAATCATTTCAGTGGCCATGCACTTGTGATTTTATGTATACAGCTGTGTAAGTCTGGGTTTTTTGGGGTTGTGGCATCAGAATCCACCTCACACTAGCTGAAGCAGAAAATGAATGTATTGGCTCATGTAGCTGCAAAGTCCAAGGATGCAGCCGCTTTAGCTAGAGTCGGAGATTTCATTAATCACTCCACTGCCTTCATAACCTAAGCCCCCTTTTCTCCCAGTGCAAATAGACGTCCTCCTTATGGCTAAGAGAAGTGGCCACCAGCAGCCTGAGATTTACAACCCACAGCTAAGCAACCCCAATAGAAAAATCTCCCTCCTAATATCTGTATATCAGCTGCAGGAAAGTCTCCATTTATTAACCCCTTCTAGGGTCACATCTCACTGGCGTTGATGGTGCACAGAGATTGACAGCACCACCTAGACCACACAGAGTGGGGAGGCGCTCTTCAGAGAAAAGATAGAGTCGTCCGTGGAACAGGGGTTGGCAAACTTTTCTGGAAAGGGCCAGACAGTAAATATTTTAGGCTTTATGAGCTACATACCATCTCTGCTGCAAATTCTTCTTCTCCTACAAAGCTTGCTTAGTACTACACCGAGGAACAAGTACTGGGAGCAGAATCAAAATTATGCAGAAAAGGACAATAGGGACAAAGGAAAAAAGGAGAGAAGAGCGAGGGGTAGGGGTGCAGAAGCATGTATTTTAGAAAGTCTTTAGGGCACATTTCTCATCACAAACAACAAAACAAGAAGTTGTAGAGCGAGGAAGCTGGAAAATCTATCCTTGGCCATCCATCCTCTGCCAAATAAAAAAAAAAAAAAAAGGAAAATTTATTTCACTTAAACATAGCTACAGGAAAAAGACCATTATCAATGTCCATACAAAGTTCTTATTTAAAAAAAAGTAATAATAAGGTGCAGAATAACATTCCATTAGACAATGAAAGCAGGTAAGAAAGACATGTTCACAAAAGAGGTGAAAACCATAACCAAATATTTTATGACAAGCTAAAATAAGGCAAGAAAGTGATAAAAGCTATGGAAAAACAACATACATCAAAGGTAGAAGAACTTAGAAATGACGTGTTTGTAAAGTAGGAATATTCAAAAATAGAGGTAACAAAACTACCTTTAGAAAAAGAAATTTAAAAAATCATTTCAGAAATTAAGATTAAATTACATGAAATACTAGAATAAATAAACACATTCTTTTTTTAAAAAGGAGATTAAAAGAAGGAAAAATTTAAAAATCCAAAAGAAATGAAGAGAGAATTTGAGAGAAAATAACAGCTCAAAAAGATATCCAAAGATGTTCAAACATATGTAAAATAGGAGGTCCTGAAAAAGAAAACCAATCAATGGAAAAGAGCAGATGCTAAAAACTATAATAAAAAAAAACTTATCTTAAAATATAAACCTCAAAGTGACATCTTGAAAGGACATATTGTTTATCTGGGGGAAAATGACTCAGAACAGAATTCAATGAGACATCTTCTTGTAAAATTATTGGAATTTAAAGGAAAAAAATTCTTTGGATATTCAGACAAAAGAACCAGACACTTAGAGAAAGAAAACTCAATTACCAACACACTTTTTTTTTTTTTTTTTACTGCAATGGTTTATGCCAGGAGAGAGAAAATGTGAATCAACCACTTTAATCAAACTGACATTAAATTATAAATGCTTCAGACAAATTATTCTGAAGATGTGAAAATTCAGGAAATAATATTTCAAAAATCTTTCCTTGGGAATCTCTTAAAGAAGAATTTCCAGACAACAAAATGACTGGAGAGACATTGACATAAAGACTATTGGTGAGCATTAAGTGTCTATTAGTCTATAGAACAAAATCTAAGTGAAGATTGTAAAGGTATATGTGTAAGTATGGTGCATGACGGCTGTGTGTTCTGGAAGTATAATGCAACTATCCAAAACTGGGGGAAGAATAGAGTGAGTATATGAACAGCAAATTAAATTCACTGATTACCTAATAGATATTAACTGGGAATAAAACATTACTTCAAATTGGATGCTAGGGAATGCTCATGGTAGAAACCAATAGACAACAGTAAAAAATCAGAGCTCTAAACGTATTAAGAATAATGGTTAGAATAAAGGTAATGGTTAGAACACAAATAGAAACCTTTCTAAATACCAAAAGATATACCCATAAACGTATTTGCTTATATTAATCATACAACATAGCAATGCAGCAATAAACAATTACACTTAAAAAATGTTTATGCTTGGAAGAGGAGGAAATGGGTAAAGGGAATAGGGATAGTAGTTACAATTATTTGAATATACCTTGTTTTATAGATTTGACTTTGGAACTATGTATATATTTTATCCATTTATGAAACAAATGTAGGGCTGGGCGCAGTGGCTCACACCTGTAATCCCAGCACTTTGGGAGGCTGAGGTGGGTGGATTACTTGAAACTAGGAGTTTGAGACGAGCCTAGCCAACATGGCGAAACCCCATCTCTACTTAAAAGTACAAAAGTTAGCCAGGCGTGGTGGCAGGTGCCTGTAGTCCTAGCTACTTGGGAGGCTAAGGCAGGAGAATCACTTGAACCCAGGAGGCGGGAGGCTATGGTGTGCCGAGATCGCACCACTGCACTTCAGCCTGGGCTGAAGAGCAAGACAAACAAAACACCAAAATTAAATTTTAAAAATCAATTCCTAAAAAACAAAAGTGAAATTAAACAAACCTCACTGCCTATCTACATAGAGGCAAACCCACATAGAGAAAGATTTTTTTTCTTTTCTTTTTTTAGTTTCATTGTTTTTTTTTTTTTAATTAACTTTTAGGTTTGGGGGTATATGTGAAGATTTGTTACATTGGTAAACATATGTCATAGGGGTTTGTTGTACATATTACTGCATCACCCAGGTATTAAGCCCAGTGCCCAAGTTATCTTTTCTGCTCCTCTCCCTCCCCCCACCTCCCCCATCAAGCAGACTCCAGTGTCTGTTGTTTCCTTCTTTGTGTTCATAAGTTCTTATTTACTCCCACTTAGAAGTGAGAACATGTGGTGTTTGGTTTTCTGTTCCTGCATTAGTTTGCTAAGAGTAATAGCCTCTAGCCTCATCCACATTCCTGCAAAAGACATAATCTTGTTCTTTTTTATGGTTGCATAGTATTCAATGGTGTGTATGTACCACATTTTCTTCTTCCAATTTGTCATTGATGGGCATTTAGGCTGATTCCATGTCTTTGCTATTGTGAATAGTGCTGTGATGGACATTCACGTACATGTGTCTTTATGGTAGGATGATTTCTATTCCTCTGGGTATATACCCAGTTAATGGGATTGCTGTGTTGAATGGTAGTTTTCCTTGTAGCTCTTTGAGGAATTACCATACTGCTTCCCACAATGGTCGAATTAATTTACATTCCCACCAACAGTGTGTAAGTGTTCCCTTTTCTCCACAACCTCACCAGCATCTGTTGTTTTTTTGACTTTTTAACAATATCCATTTTGACTGGTGTGAGATGGTATCTAATTGTGGTTTTGATTTGCATTTCTCTAATGATCAGTGATATTAAGCTTATGCCTGTGTATGTCTTCTTTTGAGAAGTGTCTGTTCATGTCCTTTGCCCGCTTTTTAATGGAGTTGTTTTTCTCTTGTAAATTTAAGTTCCTTATGGATGTGGGATATTAGACCTTTGTCAGATGCATAGTTTGCAAATATTTTCTCCCATTCTGTAGGTTGTCTATTTACTCTTGATAATTTATTTTGCTGTGCAGAAACTTGTACGTTTAATTAGATTTCACTTGTCAATTTTTGCTTTTGCTGTGATTGCTTTTGGTGTCTTTATCATGAAATCTTTGCCCATTTCAATGTCCAGGATGTTATTGCCAAGTCATCTTCCAGGGTTTTTATAGTTTTAGGTTTGACATTTAAGTCTTGAATCTATCTTGGTTGATTTTTGTGTGTGATATAAGGAAGGGGTCCAGCTCCAATCTTCTGTATATGGTTAGCCAGTTATCCTAGCACCATTTATTGAATAGGGAGTCTTTTCCCCATTGCTTATTTTTGTCAGCTTTGTCAAAGGTCAGATGGTTGTAGATGCGTGGCCTTATTTCTGGGCTCTCTGTTCTGTTTCATTGGTGTCTGTGCCTGTTTTTGTACCAGTATCATGCTGTTTTGGTTACTGTTGTCTTCTAGTATAGTTTGAAGTCAGGTAATGTGATGCCTCCAACTTCGTTCTTTTTGGTTAGGATTGCCTTGGCTATTTGGGCTCTTTTTTGATTGCATATGAATTTTAAAATAGTTTTTTCTATTAATAGTTCTGTAAAGAATGTTGTTGGTGGTTTGATAGGAACATCACTGAATCTGTAAATTGTTTTGGGCAATATAGCCATTTTAATGATTTTGATTCGTCCTATCCATGAGCATGGGATGTTTTTCCATTTGTTTGTGTCTTCTCTGGTTTCTTGGAGCAGTGTTTTGTAATTCTCATAGTAGAAATCTTTCATCTCCCTGGTTAGCTGTATTCCTAGGTATTTTACACTTTTTGTGGCAATTATGAATGGGATTGCCTTTCTGATTTGGCTCTCGGTTTGGCTGTTGTTGGTGTATAGAAATGCTAGCGAGTTTTGTACATTGATTTTGTATCCTGCAACTTTGCTGAAGTTGTTTATCAGCTAGAGGAGCTTTTGGGCCAAGACTATGGGGTTTTCTTTTCTCTTTTTTGAGACAGAGCCTCGCTGTGTTCCCCAGGCTACAGTGCAATGGTGCAGTCTCAGCTCACTGCAATCCCTGCTTCTTGGGTTCAAGTGATTCTCCTGCCTCAGCCTCCCAAGTAGTTGGGGTTACAGATGCCCACCACCATGCCAGGCTAATTTTTTTGGCATTTTTAGTAGAGATGGGGTTTCACCATGTTGGCCAGGCTGCTCTCAAACTTCTGACCTCAGGTGATCCACTCACCTCAGCCTCCCAAAGTGCTGGGATTACAGGTGTGAGCCACTGCACCCAGCCTGGGGTTTTCTCATATAGAATCATGTCATCTGCAAACAGAGATAGTTTGACTTCCTGTCTTCCTATTTGGATGCCCTTTCTTTCTTTCTTCTCCCTGTTTGCTCTGGCTAGAACTTCCAATACTATGTTGAATAAAAGTGATGAGAGAGGGCATCCTTGTCTTGTGCAGGTTTTCAAGGGGAATGCTTCCAGCTTTTGCCCATTCAGTATAATGCTGGCTGCGGGTTTGTCATAGATGGTTTCTTATTATTTTGAGGTATGTTCCTTCGATACCTAGTTTATAATATAAAGGGGTTTTGAATTTTTAATATAAAGGGGTGTTGAATTTTATCGAAAGCTTTTTCTGTGTCTATTGAGATAATTGTTTTTTGTCTTTAGTTCTGTTTATCTCATGAATCACATTTATTGATTTGTGTATGTTGAACGAAACTTACATCCTGGGGCCTACTTGATCATGGTGTGTTAGCTTTTAGATGTGCTGCTGGATTCAGTTTGCAAATATTTTGTTGAGAATTTTAAAATTGATATTCAAGGATACTGGCCTGAAGTTTTCTTTTTTTGTAGTATCTCTGCCAGGTTTTGGTGTAAAGATGACACTGGCTTCATAGAATGAGTTGGGGAGGAGTCCCTCCTCCTCAATTTTTGGGGATAGTTTCTGTAGGAAAGGTACTAGCTCTTCTTTGTACACCTGGTATAATTCAGCTGTGAATCCATCAGGTCCTGGGCTTTGTTTTGGTTAGTAGGCTATTACTGATTCAATTTCAGAGCTCTATTGGTCTGTTTAGGGAATCAATCTCTTCCTGGCTCAGTCTTAGGAGGGTGTATGTGTTTAGGAATTTATCCATCTCTTCTGCGTAGAGTTGTTCATAGTAGTTTCTGATGGTTGTTTTATTTCTGTGGGGTCAGTAATAACATTCCCATCCTCATTTCTAATTGTGTTTATTTGGATTTTCTCTCTTTTCTTCTTTGTTAGTTTAGCTAGTGGCCTACCTATCTTATTAATTTTTTTAAAAAAACAACTCCTGGATTCATTGGCCTTTTGAATGGTTTTTCATGTCTCAATTTTGAGAAAGACTTTTCAAACTGACTCTAAACCACAGTACTTTGACTGTATATTCCCAGTGAGATAAACTCTAAGGATAAAAGGAAGTGTAAAATATTGTATTTTCAATGATTATATTATTGGCAGCAATATTGGTATTATTATTCTAAGTCTGCTTTGTATGTATGGAAGGATAAAACAAAATTTATATATGTGTGTGTGTGTGTGTGTATATATATATATACTTTTTTTTTGAGACAGGGTCTCGCTCTGTTGCCCAGATTGGAGTGCAGTGGCACCATCTTTGCTCATTACAGCCTCTGCCTCCCAGGCTCAAGTGACCCACCTGAGCCTCCCAAGTACCTGGGACTACAGGCACACACTACCACACTGGGCTAATTTTTGTACTTTTTTTAGAGAGGGGATCTCACCGTGTTGCTCAGGCTGGTCTTAAACTCCTGGGCTTAAGCGATCCTCCCGCCTTGGCCTACCAAATTGCCGGGATTACAGGCATGAGCCACTGTGCCTGGTCGCAAAATAATAATTTTGATGGTATTACTGAGAACAGGATTTTTGAAAAGAGAGAAAGGAGATTTAGTGGAATCAATGAGGTAGTTATCAATTGAGCTTAAGTAAAAAATCTAACATTTTAGGTATTAATTTGATATATTTTTTCATTTAAAAAATGTTCAGAATCCCAATTTCTGGAACGGTGAAGTAGGGCCCTTCAAGATTCTTCACCTCTACAAAAGCAGTGAGAACAATGGCAAAAACCGCCAAAAATAAATGTTTTCAGAATTCTGGAAATTGAAAGCATGCAACAATTTGAGGGGTTTCATTCAAGAAATATGGCTGAACAGCAAGCTTTGTTTTATTTTTTTTTTTGAGACAGGGTCTCACTCTGTCCCCCAGGCTGGACAGAGTTGTGTTCACAGCTTACTGCAGCTTCAATCTCCCAGGCTCAAGTGGTCCTCCTACCTCAGCCTCCAGAGTAGCTGGGGCTTACAGGCACGTGCCACCATGCCTAGTTAAGTTATTTTTAATTTTAATTTTATTTTTAGTAGAGATGAGGTCTTGCTATGTTGCTCAGGCTGGTCTTGAACTCCTGAGCTCGAGTGATTCTCCCACCTTAGCCTCCCAAATTGTTGGGATTACAGGCATGAACCACTGTGCCTGGCCCTAAGCTTTATGTTTTGGTTTGTCATAATCTCACTCCTCTAACACCTACCACACAGTTCCCATGTAACAGCCTCACAACTATAATAGCTATGAAAACTAGCAGCTTGGTGGGCACTGGAGGAGGCACAACATGTTTGGGGCTCTCAAAAAACTCATTCCTGGAGAATTGCCACTATTTGACCTGTCTGAAAACTCTCTGGACAGATTCACTCTCGGAGCATTCCTTATGTGACCTGACACAGAGCTCATGCTGTGTGAACAACCCTGCCCTCAGGAAATTTGTTAAAAAATGACCAACAACAATCGTTGAACAATGCAGCTGCCCAAGGCAGCATTATTGGTTGGAACTAAGAAGAGATTGACTAAAAAAAGGAAAAACCAGGGAATGCGGCTTTGAAAACGGAATAGAGCTTTGAAAAACTTCAACATAGTCCATGGAATCTAGAAGGCCACATGCTTGTGCAGGGCTGTGCATAAGCCCAGGAAAGAAAGAGAAGGCTCTGGGTGACCCCGAGGCTTTGCACGGGCAGGAATGAAGGGAAATGCAATGTTGCAAAATGTCCGCTGGAGCACTGAAGGTGTGTTTAAACACACAGAGTTCTCAGCAGAGGCTAAGGGGTTAATTGGCTCAGGCATGAATAAATCTCTGTCCAGTCATTAGTTGACCACTAAGTGAAACAAGCAGAGACTTCAGGGGCCACACATGTCAAAGAATACAGATTTTACAGAATTAGTCCAGAAAAGTCACTAAATAAGCACACAGCAGCAGCAGTAACAATAAACAGCAATAAAAGAAAAATGCTTGGGCTGGGCTTGGTGGCTCACGCCTGTAATTCCAGCACTTTGGGAGGCTGAGGCAGGCAGATCACGAGGTCAGGAGATTGAGACCATCCTGGCCAATATAGTGAAACCCCATCTCTACTAAAAATACAAAAAAAAAAAAAAAAATTAGCTGGGTGTGGTGGCACACTCCTGTAGTCCCAGATACTTGGGAGGCTGAGGCAGGAGAATCACTTGAACCCCGGAGGCGGAGGTTGCAGTGATCCCAGATCGCACCACTGTACTCCAGTCTAGTGACAGAATGAGACTCCGTCTCAAAAAAAAAAAAAAAAAAAAAAAAAAGAAAAAGAAAAATGGTTGATATGGGGAATCTGCTTTTCAGATTTGCCACATTACATTTTTTACAATGCCTATTTTATCAACAAAAAGTTATAAGACATGCAAAGAAACAAGAAAGTTTTCTTAATTTGTCTACTGAAAAGACATAGAAACAATGATCAATCCAGTAGCAATAAGCATCCCTACTGCCAAGATTGTGGTCTCTAAATACTATTTCCTACATCAAGAAATAAAAACAGTGCGGGTGTGGTGGCTCACGCCTGTAATCCCAGCACTTTGGGAGGCTGAGGCAGGGCGGATCATGAGGTCAGGAGTTCGAGACCAGCCTGGCCAGTATGGTGAAACCCCGTCTCTACTAAAAATACAAAAATTAGCCAGGCATGGTGGTGCGTGCCTGTAGTCCCAGCTACTCACAAGGCTGAGGCAGGACAATCACTTGAACCTGGGAGGTGGAGATTGCAGTGAGCTGAGATTGTGCCACTGCACTCCAGTCTGGGCTACAGAGTGAGACTCTGTCTCAAAACAGAAATAAAAACAAAGGGTTTTCTGGAGAAATGGTTGATTGCAGGTCTGAGGAAGGAAATGTACAAAATGAGAGCAAAACTTCTTGTAATACCAGAAAAAAGAAAATTATCAAAACCAAGCAGTGTCATGTCAAAAGGACTCAGAAGCCAGTTGAATACACTCCAACTGACCAAAGATGGGATGATTTGAGTCGATAAGGGTAATAATTGCAATAGATCAAAAGTCGTCAAACATAGTTAAATTTATCTTAATTTGGGTGCATCCCAAAAGAAGACCAGGAGACAATGAATTGAATGCCAGTGGTTTACTTGAAAGGTGATCCCAAGAAACAACACAAATTAGCGAGGAAACTGAGACAGGGAAGGAAGAACAGCAAAATGTGCATGTGACTTGAGAGCCCTCTCCTAAATGATGTAGCATGTCTCTAAAAATTGTCCTGCCAAGGGAAGGTGAAGCCACCCCTCATGGTTAAAGGTTGTCTTTTGAGGCATTGAATCTCTGTCATTTCTGGGCTGCCCACAGGTGGGCTCAGCAAGTTCCTATAGCTTTGGAGAAAGCTCTCAAAGAAGCAAAAGGAGGGTGATAAGAGAAGCTGTCAGTATGCATTGTTACTATCCAGCACAAATGCAGGTGAAATCTGAGGTGAACCCAGGGGATATGGGGTTGGACATCAACAGCATCTGCTAAAAATCCTTGAGTTCATTATGATGATACTAAAACAAAGAAAGAAAGAAGAAACACACCAGCTTATTGTTCTGAAAACCAGTAAATGCAAAGAGTCAGATATTTATTGTGTTTTTCCTGTATGATATGTACCTAGAGGAAATCATATCATTGGCGAAAGAATGATTCTTTTATGGATGTATCCCAGATAATAAATGATAGAGGAATAATGGAATTCAAATACCACCATTTTAAAACCCCAACAGAATTAATGATCTAGGCAAAGATCATAAATGTCTGCTACTATTACAAAAATAGCCAGACATCATGCACCTGTTTATGGAAGTACATAAATCCTCCAACAAAAAAGCAGCACCAAAAATATTAAAACTGAATTTGACCAAGCCCCTAAATTTAACTACCACTTACAGAAAATATAAGCGGTCCAAGGAACATATTAAAAAACAGGGAGACAATCAATACACTCTACATTGCAGGAAGGTCTCCAGGACAAAAGAAACAGTTTACTCAGCAAAATAGATGCAATGAAAGGGGAAAAAATTTTCCCTCATCTTGTTAGGGGTGGCAAATATCTGAGTCTCACAGTACCAAATGTTGCCAGTGGAAGATATCTGAGTCACTGGCAGCAATTCTGTATGGGTCTGCAGCAACCCCAATTGTTCCCTCCTCAGAAGAAAGAATTAAACTGAGGGGTATAAGGCAGAAAAAGAGACCAAGGCAAGTTTCAGAGCAGGAGTGGAAGTTTATTTAAAAAGGCTTTAGAACAGGAAATAGAGGAAGAAATGCAAGTGGGCACGTGAGGGTCAAGTGCAGTGTTTAACCTTGAACCTTTATAGGCTGGCCCCTTTCCCATAATTCTTCCCTTAGGGTAGGCTTCCCGCATGCACAGTGCCCTCCTTACCCTTGGGAGGTGAGCATGTGCAGTGTGTTTAGGAAGTCCATCTGAGGCTTGTCCATCTGAGACTTTCTTCCCTTTTCAGATGGAGTGTACCCAGAAGGTCATACTCTGCCATTTTGTCTCTTAAGGCACATGCCCAGGAAGTTGCGTCTCCCTGGCATCTGCATTCAATTAATATTTTAGTGCAACAGATGTGAACCATCAGGAAATGGCCTTTCTCTGGTCTAGCTGCCAATTTAGCACTTCTAGAGAGACAATGTGATAACTTCCGAATCATCACCCAAAATTCCTAGTGGGTGGGGAAGAGCCCTCTCCTGCCCCACTCTTGACCATCTAACTACCTGCCACAATATTACTCTAAAAAACAGAGAAAGCCAGAGAAACTAGTTCCTTTTAGTCTTCTTAAATTGAGACAAAATATTGTTTGTTTGAAAACTCACGATTTGTTCTTTTTGGCTAGAGTTGCTTTAAGCAAAGCTGTGAATTCCTACAAACAGAGGAACTGAAAGAAAATTTTCTCTACTGTGAGTCTCTCAGAGGGAAACTGTCAAGTAATCTCTCCATACATCTCTCTAGATACTCCACATATCCATATATATTCCATTTATCTCTACATAACTACAATTTTTCTATATATCCTTAAGTTAATCAATACAAGAAAATCTTTAAAAGTTAGATTGGGTCAGGATAAATGCTGAATTGGCACCTGGGCAGTTATGACTTAGAGTCTTCCAACACTTTCCAGCTAAAGGAGTTTGTCTTATGTCTATCAGGCTGCCTCCTTTCCCAGGCTGTGAGTATTGGATACTTCTAGTGCATGGCCTAAGCATGTTCCTCCCAGTTTCCCATGGTACTATGTACGTACACCAGAAAACCTTTGAGCAAAATTCAAATAGGAGGGTCAAGGAGGGGAGGCAGTCTCTGGTTCTTTTTGTGCCTTATAAGTGGTTTTGCTCTTACGAGTTGGCTGCAGACTTGTCCAGGTGCCCCCTACCTCCCTCTTTATGTTCTCTGCTCTCTTCTCTCCCGCAGCCTCCGATGACCAAGGTGGCAAGCTCCATTGCTGGTGGGGGTAGCCATCTGCTCTTTATTTCCCCATCTGGAAAGCTCTGCCTACATGATTTCTAATTTTCAACCCTTGCCTCAAAGCTGCAGGCAGTCAGCTGCCTGAGAAGCAGTGTGGATGAGGCTGATACAGACCTTCCTTCCCAGTTCCTTCTGCCTCCTCGGCGAACAGTCTAGGTCAGTGATTGAGGGAACTAAAAATAGCTGAACATGCTCTAGCTAGTCATTCTCTAGTGGCTGGGTCAGATGGGGCACCGGAAAAGGGAATCATGGAGCCTGATGTACAGCCCCAAGAACTGCAGCCTCCACCTCCTGGGTTCCAGTGATTCTCCTGCCTCAGCCTCCCGAGTGGCTGGGATTACAGGCATGTGCCACAATGCCGGGCTAATTTTTGTATTTTTAACAGAGATGGTGTTTCACCATGTTGGCCAGGCTGGTCTCAAACTCCTGACCTCAGGTGATCGACTCGCCTTGGTCTCCCAATGTGCTAGGATTACAGGCATGAGCCACCGCGCCCATGTCTGGCCCACTGCCGGTGTGTGATTTTGGCAGCAGAAAAGCAATAGAATAGACATTCACACACATACTTACGTGCACTTGATACTGTGCACATGCTGCATACACAATGACCATGGAGAAAATCCAGTGCTACCTGCAAGTCTAGAGGTTGACAAACATGGCTTGGAGGGACCTTCCTGGAGGAAGTGACTAGAAAACCAGATCTGGAGTGAAATGCTGAATGTGGACAGACACAAGGAGAGTAAAGAGGAAAGCACTCTTTTCCACGTAGCTGTTGCAACAGTCAGGAGGATGAGAGTGGTGGGCTCTATGGAGTTGGACAGCCCTGCTGGAAATCTACTTTGTTCCTTACTAGCTGGGTGGCCTTAGGCATGCTCCTTTACATCCGTACTCATCCATTTTTTCATCTGTAGAGTGGGGATGATGCTTACCATAGGTAGTTGTTGAGGGGATTAAGGAGGCCATTCATATACAGACCTTGCATGCCCACCTAGCACAAGGTTGGCACATATCAATTAACTTCTTCTCCTTCTAATCTTTCTTTATATAGGAAATAGCACAGAGTGCAAGTCAGTTTATTCACTGCATTCTGAAGCTCATCTGGTTGTAGCTGGAGCCCCTAAGTTTGGCTTAGGCACCAGCTTGACTTGGAGCTTCTTGAAGAACTATGATCTTGTGACTATATCAAGGTGGGTGATGCTATACTAGGTCAGTTTAGGTCAGGGTTTTTGGACTGCAGGTCATAACCATTAGTGGTTCAAGAAATCAATTTTATGAGCTGAAACCAGCATTAAGAAAAAAATAGGTAGAACAGAACTGCACAGAAGAGATCCAGCAATATCAGACTACATGGCACAAAGAGTTTCACTAATACACGTGTGTGTATGTGTGTGTGTGTCCTGGGTTGCAGTGTGAACCATGTTTCTTACTGAGGCTTGTGGTCAAAAAAGTAAAAACAAACAAACAAAAATTGTGGTCTAGAGGATGAAAGCTTTTGTTGAGGGAGTTCTAAATGCATGAAATCCAGGCTTTCTAAATGGTAAATTCCTGAAGACAGTTTCATGCTGCTTGTAGCCGTTTTGAAGGCCTGTCGGGGAATTATCTATTTGGACCTTTTCTGGGTAAAGCAGATGGAAATGTTGGTCCAGAATTCCTCACAAGGTGCAAATGACTGAGAGCTGCTTGATTCATTGAGGAGTTCCCACTGATCACTTTTGGCTGTAAAAAGCACCAGTATTTGGCTCGATGTAATAAGGAGGTGGAGGTATGGAGTGGAAGCGGGTGGAGAATGACATGTAGCTTGACCGGGGGGGTGGCGAAAGGTAGAAGTGAGACTTGTAGGTTTATGAAACTTCCTTTGCTCAACACATAACTGCTGAGTGTCTACCATGGGCCAGGCCTGTGCTCAGGCTCTAGGAATACACATTTAAATAGGTGAGGCATTCTTCCTGCCTTCATAGTATTTAGTGGTAGAAACCAATAAGGGCCTGCCATAGAAATAGTTTTATCCAGTGAGTTAAAATTTTTGCTTATCAAGACTTTAGGCTGGGCGTGGTGGCTCATGCCTGTAATCCTAGCACATTGGGAGACCAAGGCGAGTCGATCACCTGAGGTCAGCAGTTTGAGACCAGCCTGGCCAACATGGTGAAACACCATCTCTGTTAAAAATACAAAAATTAGCCAGGCATGGTGGCATGTGCCTGTAATCCCAGCTACTCAGGAGGCTGAGGCAGGAGAATCACTGGAACCCAGGAGGTGGAGGCTACAGTGAGCTGAGATGGCACCACTGCACTCCAGTCTGGGTGACAGAGCGAAAAAAAAGATTTTAAGTGTTCCTGGGCATAATATGGGACTGCAGTATGCTTTTAAACTATTTGTGCTATATATCATTTTATTCTCTGCCTCTAGTTTAAGAACTAGTTGAGAAAGAATGAGGTATTTCTCTCTTCTACATACATACCTATGAATACACCCATACATACACAATCATGCATATAGAAACACATATTCTCAAACAAAACGCTAAATTCAATTGCTTTTTGGTTCTGTGGCCCTGTTTTTTCAATGGGCCAGTGGTCCTCAATAGCAGAAAGCTCTCCTTGCCCACTCCAGGATTGAGAAAACCCCCTCATTCTCAGGAGTTGTGGACGCCCCACTCTCTGACTTACAAGACCAGAATTTGTGATTTTGTTTGTAGAAAATGCTTGTTGTGGTTACTTGATAATAAAATACATGCACATTATAAAGTGTTTGGACAGGTTAATAAATTTCCAGAGCCTGGAAATGATATACAGCTGTCTCCTTTTCCCACAGCTAAATCATTCTCCTTTTTGCTCCTGTAGGAAAAATACAGAGACCTTTCCTTCCCCAGGCAGGCTAGGGTGATGACAAGTTGTATAAACTTCACAGAACCATTGTTTGCCATCCGTTGTGCCTTGCTAAGCAGAAGGGAGAACACTACTAATGAAGTTTAGAATGGAGGTCATATGGTTTAGAAGGCACTTAGGGATGAAGTCTTGCATCCGTATTTGGGTAGTGGTTTACATAGAGCAGCGGTTCTCTACTGGAGATGATACGTGTTTAAAAATTCTTTGGTGGTTTATCTGAACTACACAGGCCCTTTGCACGGTCATATATCCTGGCATCTATCAAATTTTCAGGAGTACGTGTATGTGGTTCGGAAAAGCCCCACAGGTAATTCTGATCCTCTCCCTCCCTCCTCTACCTACTGATATAAAAGATAAAGCACCTAAACCCTGATAAAAGATACAGAGAATGGGTGTGAAAAATATAAAAACTGGAACACTCCACAGCAGGTACTATTTCTCAGAATGCATCTTTCCCTGCACTGAACAGTCCTCTGACAGTTCTAAATGTGGCATCCTGTGCAGCATTGTGATCTGAGGGCAGACAGAGCTCTTTGCCCAAGGCACATATTATCCCAAAAGCTTGGTAAATAAAGCCACAGCATTGTGCTGGAATGCTGTATCCTTTTAGAGTGCCACACGTTGTTGGCACACTGTTCTGGAGCCCAGTGATACAATGTGTTGTTTCAGCCAGCCCCGGTCAGAAACCCTGAGCAAACAAGTCATCTGACTGAAAGGAAAATGGCAGCAATTATTTCCAGTAAATTGCAAATTTAAAAATATTTCCGATGTTTTTGCATCTTGTTTTAGATGTGTCTCTTGTAAGTAGCAAATAGATTTTAAAATTTCTTTTAACTGATTTTTTTTTTTTTTTGGACAGAGTTTCGCTCTTGTCGCCCAGACTGGAGTGCAGTGGCGTGATCTCAGCTCACCACAACCTCTGCCTCCCAGGTTCAAGCAATTTTCTTGCCTCAGCCTCCTGAGTAGTGAGGATTACAGGCATGCACCACCAGGCCTGGCTAATTTTGTATTTTTAGTAGAAATGGGGTTTCTCCATGTTGGTCAGGCTGGTCTCGAACTCCCGACCTCAGGTGATCCGCCAGCCTCAGCCACCCCAAGTGCTGGGGTTACAGGCATGAGCCACCGTGCCTGGCCTTAACTGATTTTATGTGTGTGTGGGGGGGAATATGTGGATCATTCACATTAGGTATACAGAATTTATGTATCATTATCTTTATTGTTTTGGTATTTGTCCCACCTGTTGTTTTTTTGCCTGTCATTTTATTTTGAAATATTTTAACCATTCCACCACCTTTTCCTGTTAGTTTGAAAGTAACATACTTCATTTCTATGTCTACTAGCACAATGGAGTAAAATTAATCACTTTAACTTCCTCCTGACAATTGATATGTCTCAGAACACTTTTAATTCAATTTACCCTGCTTCTAATATATGCTATTCTTATATATTTTAAATATCGTTTAACTTGAATCCATAAGACGTTGGTTCACAATGTTTTAGTTTGCCCATACATACTTACTACTTTGACTGCTCTTTATTCTTTCATCCTTTAGAATCCCCTTTAGTGACAGCATGCTAGTGTTGAACTTTCAGGTTGTGGTGGTCTGAGTCTTTATTTCGTCCTCTTTCTGAGTTTTAGGGGAACAGGGTTCTCTGTTGGCAGTTATTTCCTTTCGGGACATTGCGCTGTCTTCTGGCTCCCAGTGCTGCTGTTGAGAGTTGAGTGGTCAGTCTCCTTCCTTAGGTTACGATCTTTTTTCCCTCTGGCTGCTTTTAGGATACTTTCTTTGTTACTTGTGATTTGCAGTTTCACCATAATGTGTCTGGATTTAAATCATCTTGCTTGGGATTCATTGAGCTTTAATCTTTAGATTGTTGCTTCTCATCAGTTCAGGTAAATCCTGAACCCTTCTCTCTTAAAATATAGCCTCCACTCCATGTTCTCTTTCCTCTTCTTCCATTGTTCTGATTAGACATATGTGAGGCCTTGTGTTTCATGTTGCTTAACTTTCATTCCATTTGCTTTGTGTTGCATTCTGAATTTCTTCTGACTTGCCTTCCAAGTCATTGGTGCCTTTATAGCTGTCTAATCTGATTGTTAATTTCAATTACTGAACTTTTGATTTTCACAAGTTCTATTAATCCCTGTAGCAAATTTGTAAGGCCTTTCAAAAATTTTCCTATTAGCTGCAGATGGATATTTAAGTGTACGCCTCATTTCTTTTTTCTTTTTTTTTTTGAGGCAGAGTGCACTCTGTTGCCCAGGCTGGAGTGTAGTGGGGCAATCTTGGCTCACTGCAACCTCTGCCTCACGGGTTCAAGTGATTCTCCTGCCTCAGCCTTTCCAGTAGCTGGGATTACAGGTATGCGTTACCACATCCAGCTAATTTTTGTATTTTTAGTAGAGATAGGGTCTCGCCATGTTGGCCTCAAACTCCTGACTGCAAGTGAGCATCCTGCCTCAGCCTCCCAGAATGCTGGGATTACAGACGTGAGCCACGGCAGCTGGTCTCATTTTTAAAAAATAAGCATAATGATTTTATGTTTCATAATTTCAGTATCTGAACCCTTGGTGAGTCATTTTTCTGCTGCTCTCATTCATGGTGTCTTGTTGCCTATGTGATTATTTTGTGAGCCGTTCATTTTCCTTAGAAAATTATTTTGAGAATTCTTTAAGGTGTAGGATGAAAGTATCCCTTCAGGGAGAATTTGCATTTACTTCTGTCAGGCATTTAGGGAACTCTGGACTCTGCCAGTCCTGTTTAAGTTTATAGTTTTAAGGTGTCTGTAATATGTAGGGGAGGTGAATTTGGACTGCAAGGCCAGCTTGCAATGTCAGTTGCTTAGATTTTTCTTGATTTGCTCAAGTTAAGCAACTTTTCTTGCAGTTCCTTAGAAGAGGTATGGGGATAGAGTACCACTGGTTCATCCTCATCATGTAGTGGAGGCTTTTGGGAGACCTGCTTTATGGCAGGAGGGTCTTTGATTTCTGTTCATCATGTCCTTTCAGGCCCTAAAAAGTGAAGCTCAAAGTCCCCAGGTTTGGTAAATACTCTAGGGCAAAAGCACCTTCAATGCTTTGTTACCTCTTGGGGTCCCATTTTCACTTGGATTTGACCTAGCCTGTTTATATTTCTGGAAACAGAATTTTCTAGTTATAAGAAAGAGAACCTCCTAGTTATAAAAATACAGAGAAAGTTTTTGTCAAAAGCTTGGCGTTGCTGGTTTGTATAGAAGATTCCTGGGTTTTATTCTTAATCTTCTTTCATCATATGGCCAGATTTCTTAATTTCACTTCCTAAGCTTGTTTCTCCACCTATAAAAAAGGGCATTTAAAATAGCCACTAATTTTGAAATCTGCATTAGTGAAGTCTGTAGAATCTTTGAGTGGAATTAAAATTATCTTTATGTTGACTTGTTGCAAAAACAATTTAAGGTAATTAAAACCTTAACATTACTAAGAATACTACTAGAAGTTCAAACAGAGGAACATTTGCTAGAAACAGCCCTGAAATCTAATCTCTGCTCTGTAATTAACTTAGAGTTCTCAGTGTGGCGCCTGTGAAACGAACCTCCTCAAATTTTAGGCAAACTTGTTGTTTATTCACAAGTGAGAATTTTTCTGAGAGGAGAGTCCATAGCTCTCATCAAATTCTCAGAAGTCTAAGACCCAAGAAAAGTTATGAACTACTGAACTACATACAAGGTAACGTTAGGCAAATAATTTAATTTCTTTATACCATAGCTTTCTAATCTGTTTTGATGAAACACCTATACTTCATGAATTTAAGAATTAAAAAAGACAGTAATATGTGAATATACTTTAAAAAAATTATCCACCTTTTTACAAAAGTACTTAAAAAATGTCGTTTCACTTTTTAAAAACACTAACATGTTCAGGGTACTAGTATTACAGAGAAGTTATCAAAACACCTTAAAAGTGTTTATTTTAATGACATTCATTTACTCAGCAGACATTTCAATGTCTACTATGTGCTGATGAAATATAGATGAATGTCTCATATAGGACACAGACCTTTGGACTGTAAATGCTAATTCTGAGATACATTCAACACCTACAGAGGCCAGAGGAAGGGCATGTGAGGTGGGGATGGCAGGTGAGTTGTTGAAGGCCTCTTGGAGGTGTTATCACTAAATTGAGTCCACCTTAAGGCACTGTCACCTAAAATAAGTACCACCTACAGGGAAGGCATTCCTGGCCAAGGACTTAGAATACACAAAGGCAGATAAATGGAGAAAATGGTGTACAGCATGTGTGCATGTGTGCGTCTAAGGTAGAGCAAATCAGTGATGCTGGACAGGAAATGAGGAGTGGACATGAGGCTATAAACGCAGCACAGGCCAGATCAGGGAGGGTCAGGCTGGATTCCGAGCAGCATCCTGCAGGCTAAAGGAACACTGAGGTGCTTTCAGCAGGGGACTGACACTCTGATTTTGTTAGAATACTCTGGTAGCAGAGTGGAGGGAGGCTGGATTGGAGTTAGGAAAACTAATTAGATAATTTCTGATTACAAGTTGAGTAATACAGAAATTACTTTCTGAAATGCTTGGGACCAGAAGTGTTTTAGATTTCAGATTTTGGAATATTTGCATTTACTTACTGGCTGAGCATCCCTAATTTGAAAATCTGAAATCCAAAATGCTTCTAAGGACATTTACTTTGAGTGTCATGTAGGCATACAAGACTTTATTCCATGTTCTGGAGCATTTCAGATTTTGGATCTGGGATGCTCAGCCTGTACTTCAGGAAGAAATTTGAGATTCTGAAATAAGAGTTGGAGAGAAGACACAGATTATAATGTTATTTAGTAGGTAAATCAATAGGATTATGTGGCCGATTAAATGTATAGGGTAATGGAGAGGGAAGTTTCATGTTGGGGGCTGCCTGAGCTGCCAAATGAGAGAATCAAAATAAATATAGTAAGTTCTGGGGGAATATGGTAAGCTTGGATTTGTTGCATCTGAGTGGAAATGTATCAGTGACAGGTAGAATGATTTAGAAGTCTGGGCTGGAGACATAAATGTGTGGAGGCTGTAGTAGATAGCTCATAGCTGACACCACGTGAATGGCTGACATCAGCCAAGATGAACATGGAGATAAATGGGATGTGTCAACATTTAAAAATGTGTGAAAAACAGACCGAGAGAGAAGGGACAGTCCACAGGGATTAGAAGACCCCAAAAGATCATAGAACAAAGTAGTAAAGAAATGAATTCTTAGTAGTGGCAAATGCAGGAGAGCCCTCAGATAATGTAATAACAAAATTTATTCATTTGGCAATTAGAAGGTCACTGCTTTGTCCAATAAGAGGTGAGAACCAGATGGAAGATAACTGAATGGGAGGTGAGGCAGTAAATGGAGAGAAGTCTGATGTAAATGGGAGAAGGGAGGCTAGAGCTGGTGTTATCAAGGGAGTTCTTTAAAAAAGGTGTGAGAAAAAGGAACATGTTTGTTAGCTGAAGAGGAAGGGCTGGAAAGCGAGAGGCTCAGAGATCTGGCAGAACAACTCTGGCGAGTCAGGAAGACCTAATCAGAATTAAACGTGTAGCCAATTCAAGAGAGTTTGTAAGCGAGATCGTTAATCCATCTCTATAAAAATTACAAAATGCCCATGCCTATGTCCTGAATGGTAATGCCTAGGTTTTCTTCTAGGGTTTTTATGGTTTTAGGTCTAACGTTTAAATCTTTAATCCATCTTGAATTGATTTTTGTATAAGGTGTAAGGAAGGGATCCAGTTTCAGCTTTCTACATATGGCTAGCCAGTTTTCCCAGCACCGTTTATTAAATAGGGAATCCTTTCCCCATTGCTTTTCTCAGGTTTGTCAAAGATCAGATAGTTGTAGGTATGCGGCGTTATTTCTGAGGGCTCTGTTCTGTTCCATTGATCTGTATCTCTGTTTTGGGACCAGTACCATGCTGTTTTGGTTACTGTAGCCTTGTAGTATAGTTTGAAGTCAGGTAGTGTGATGCCTCCAGCTTTGTTCTTTTGGCTTAGGATTGACTTGGCGATGCAGGCTCTTTTTTGGTTCCATATGAACTTTAAAGTAGTTTTTTCCAATTCTGTGAAGAAAGTCATTGGTAGCTTGATGGGGATGGCATTGAATCTGTAAATTACCTTGGGCAGTATGGCCATTTTCACGATATTGATTCTTCCTACCCATGAGCATGGAATGTTCTTCCATTTGTTTGTATCCTCTTTTATTTCCTTGAGCAGTGGTTTGTAGTTCTCCTTGAAGAGGTCCTTCACATCCCTTGTAAGTTGGATTCCTAGGTATTTTATTCTCTTTGAAGCAGTTGTGAATGGGAGTTCACTCATGATTTGGCTCTCTGTTTGTCTGTTGTTGGTGTATAAGAATGCTTGTGATTTTTGTACATTGATTTTGTATCCTGAGACTTTGCTGAAGTTGCTTATCAGCTTAAGGAGATTTTGGGCTGAGACAATGGGGTTTTCTAGATAAACAATCATGTCGTCTGCAAACAGGGACAATTTGACTTCCTCTTTTCCTAATTGAATACCCTTTATTTCCTTCTCCTGCCTGATTGCCCTGGCCAGAACTTCCAACACTATGTTGAATAGGAGTGGTGAGAGAGGGCATCCCTGTCTTGTGCCAGTTTTCAAAGGGAATGCTTCCAGTTTTTGCCCATTCAGTATGATATTGGCTGTGGGTTTGTCATAGATAGCTCTTATTATTTTGAAATACGTCCCATCAATACCTAATTTATTGAGAGTTTTTAGCATGAAGGGTTGTTGAATTTTGTCAAAGGCTTTTTCTGCATCTATTGAGATAATCATGTGGTTTTTGTCTTTGGCTCTGTTTATATGCTGGATTACATTTATTGATTTGCGTATATTGAACCAGCCTTGCATCCCAGGGATGAGGCCCACTTGATCATGGTGGATAAGCTTTTTGATGTGCTGCTGGATTCGGTTTGCCAGTATTTTATTGAGGATTTTTGCATCAATGTTCATCAAGGATATTGGTCTAAAATTCTCTTTTTTGGTTGTGTCTCTGCCCGGCTTTGCTATCAGAATGATGCTGGCCTCATAAAATGAGTTAGGGAGGATTCCCTCTTTTTCTATTGATTGGAATAGTTTCAGAAGGAATGGTACCAGTTCCTCCTTGTACCTCTGGTAGAATTCGGTTGTGAATCCATCTGGTCCTGGACTCTTTTTGGTTGGTAAACTATTGATTATTGCCACAATTTCAGCTCCTGTTATTGGTCTATTCAGAGATTCAACTTCTTCCTGGTTTAGTCTTGGGAGAGTGTATGTGTCGAGGAATGTATCCATTTCTTCTAGATTTTCCAGTTTATTTGCGTAGAGGTGTTTGTAGTATTCTCTGATGGTAGTTTGTATTTCTGTGGGATCGGTGGTGATATCCCCTTTATCATTTTTTATTGTGTCTATTTGATTCTCCTCTCTTTTTTTCTTTATTAGTCTTGCTAGCGGTCTATCAATTTTGTTGATCCTTTCAAAAAACCAGCTCCTGGATTCATTGATTTTTTGAAGGGTTTTTCGTGTCTCTATTTCCTTCAGTTCTGCTCTGATTTTAGTTATTTCTTGCCTTCTGCTAGCTTTTGAATGTGTTTGCTCTTGCTTTTCTAGTTCTTTTAATTGTGATGTTAGGGTGTCAATTTTGGATCTTTCCTGCTTTCTCTTGTGGGCATTTAGTGCTATAATTTTCCCTCTACACACTGCTTTGAATGCGTCCCAGAGATTCTGGTATGTTGTGTCTTTGTTCTCGTTGGTTTCAAAGAACATCTTTATTTCTGCCTTCATTTCGTTATGTACCCAGTAGTCGTTCAGGAGCAGGTTGTTCAGTTTCCATGTAGTTGAGCGGCTTTGAGTGAGATTCTTAATCCTGAGTTCTAGTTTGATTGCACTGTGGTCTGAGAGATAGTTTGTTATAATGCATTGCCTAGTTTATGTCAAAGAAATAACAGCTCAGTAGCCAATTACGGAATTTAAAAAATATATAAAGCAGGTCAGGATAACTGTGTTTCTAACTGAATTCTGCTGCTAACCATGAAAAATGGCGCTTCTCTGGGGTGAACATAAATGAATGAGTAATAAACCACGTACAAGTGGGATCTGGCCTCCGACTTTGTAGAAAACCAAAGTACACACCTGCTTCCATCTTCTCCTTTCTTCTAGAAGGACCCCTATCATTCAAGGCCAATACCCTACCAAGTGCTTTGGATCTTACCTTTCTCCACCTTCTCTGGAACCCCAAATCATCACTGATGTCTTTTTGCTTTTATTTTCAACTCCTCCCTCTTTCCTGGACCTTTTTCAGATGTAAGGCTACAGCTAGAAGGACAAAGATACTATTGCCTCATTCTCTCCTCCCTTTTCGCAACCCACATTCAAAGAGGTATATAAGGGAGCTTCTTTCAGAAATAAGCCTCTTCTACTACCTGGAAAGGAATGTGTCTAAGGCACCAATTATTTCCAGGTGGCTAAATCCAGTAGCTGTTTTAAATTCTTCATCCTATTTGATCTCTCAGCAGCATTCAACAGCTGGGCTGAAAAATGTTTCCTCTGGCTTTTGTGACTTCACTCCTTCTGGTTGGAACTTTCATCTCTTTAGCTATGCTTGTCATTTGGTCTGCTCATGTTCTGCCACTTAACCTTCAAGAGTTACTCATGGTTTAGCCCTAGATTCTCTTTATACTCTAGCAGAGATCAGCACACTTTTCCTGTGAAGGGCCTCACAGTAAACTATTTTAGTTTTTACAGCCATAATTTCTCTGTTGCAACTAATCAGTGTTGCCACTGTGGCAAGAAAACAGCCAAAGGCAGTAACTAAATAAATGGGTGTGGCTATGTTCCAATACAGTTATTTACAAAAACAGATGGTGGGCTGGATTTGGCTCATGGCGTGGGGTTTGCCAACTCCTGCTCTATACTATCCCTAGAAGAGTATCCTTTACTGTGTGCTTCCAAAGATGTATACCTTCCAAGGTATACATCAGTCATACCTTGAGGCCCTTCTGTCCACAAACCTGTATCATCAACTGCCTACTTAATACCTACATTTAGATATGTCAAAGGCGTCTCAAGCCTTAACACGGGAATCGTGCTCTTTCCTCTCAAATCTGATGTCCCTCCAGTGTTCTTCCTTAGTAAAAGGCACTGTCATCTATACAGTTGCACAAAGCAGAAAAGGAGTCAACTCTGACACTTGCCCTTCTCTCATCTTCTAATTCTTTGAACTGGAGGAATACTTAAAACAGGTAGGCCTGAAAATGGCATTACTTGAAGCACACAAATTTAACACTTCACTAATAGAGCTAAACTTTATTTCCATGTTTATTACATGTTTATAACTTGATGTTGAGTACATATTAGAATAGACTTAACATACAACTTGGGAGAAAAGCTGACATTCTCCACTGAATGGGTTAAAAAGGAATGTAAAACTACAAAATACTTAAGTGTGAGTTCTAAATTATGGCAAACAGAACAATAAATACCTTGCCATTTTTCTTTCTAATTTTCCAAGATAGATTTCATTATAAAAATTGTTTGATAACAATTTAAGAAGGGAAAACAAGGGATACTCATAAAAAACATTTTACTTTAATTATAGGGTACAAATAAGAGTCTTAACACAGAAATCCTACCTCCTATTTAAGATATAAATACTTGATGATATAATCAATCAAGAGGGATTAATTAATGTCAGTTGAAAATC
Source organism: Homo sapiens (assembly GCF_000001405.40). Taxonomy (NCBI): domain Eukaryota; kingdom Metazoa; phylum Chordata; class Mammalia; order Primates; family Hominidae; genus Homo; species Homo sapiens. The sequence goes on from NC_000007.14 coordinate 106,248,710, forward strand.
TAATGACTTAAATCCATAAATGCCATTTGCTTTTGTCTGGAAGATTTAGACTGATTTAAGGGTGACACACAGCAGAGTTCTAGTGGACATTCGTGTTAACCGTTTGGTGCTCAGAATGGAGATGGCCAAATACCAAGTGCTTAGTGACAGAAAGTCAGAATTAATCAGTTCCAAGTGACTAAGAGCCAATAGAATTAATCTCCATCTCCTGATTTATGGTTGTGAACAAAGAGATAGCTTTTTTCACTGCAAATTTCTAAATTAAACTCTATTCTGAAGCTGCTGAAATTCACAGAACACAGAGAATACTGTCTGTACTATAATTTCAATGTTTAAACACAAAATTATGGGTGATTATCAAAACTATTATTGGTAATAGTTTCTTTTGATTCTTTACACGCCCCTTAGCACATTTTGTGAAGAAATGTGTGTTTTTCTTAATACTACTCATCTTTACTCAAATACATTAAAAAATCATTTTAAAATTATTTTATATCATGGATTACAGAAGACTTACTAAAAGTGAATAATGCTTATTGTTCTCACTACATGTTTAAAGAACCATCTGAAAAACATATTCTTTCTAATACCACTTACAAAAAACATTTAATGAAGATAACACTTCTAATTAGGTTATTCTAGTGATCATTTTCTCATGTAACTATTTAAAACAGATGATTTATGGCTTTTCAATTTTTAAAATTTCACATTTAATGTCATGTTAAAAACTTTTCTAAATCAGTCTTCCAGTATCGGATTCTTAAGTGAGAAAAAAGAAGACAAAAGAGGAAAATTCCGTATCAATTATTTAGCCTCCTCCCTTCCCTAGAAACCAACATTTCCTTTTAAATGCAAGGCACACTCCTTTTCTTAGAACAGAGATCAGGAAACTTTTTGTGTAATTTTGTGTAAAGGGCAGGTTAATAAACATTTTGGGCTTTGCGATTCTCATTTGGCTTCTATTGCAGCTGTTTACCTTAGGCTGGAGTAGTGGGAAAGCAGCCATAGACAATCTGCATTTATAAAAAGAAGTCCAAATTTGGCCTTTGGGCTATAGTTGGCCAACCGCTGCCTCAGAAGAACAGATCTACATACATAAAAGAATCATTCGAAAGAAACTGGTCTCTAGTCAGATGTGATGTATGATTCAGAATCTAGTAGCTAATCACTCTAGAACATTTTGATGTCAAGCACTTTGAATTTAGCCAACTTAAGATTCTTCTATTGAAACACATGTCATGCTTTTCATTGGAGATAATTTATCTTCATTTAAGAATGTGCTTCAGTATTACTTATTGAGGGCATTCAGTTTAAAATTAATAAATGATGTCCATACAATTTAATATCCAATTTAATTTTTTAAAAACTTAATAAAAAATATAACAGAATTGAAACATTTAAGTACACTCACTACCCACTCCAGTAATTCATTTAAGTCATACCAACTATAGAATATGAAAAATAAATTCAGAAGTGTAATTACTTTAAAATACACTACTTCCACTTTTGTAAGTATTTTACATTTATGTATATATTCTATAGTGGAAGCAGAAATTCTCTCTAAAAACATTATCTCCTTAAAATCTTGAGGTGCATATTAGAGCCACAGGCAATCTCTGACATATAAAATTGCAGTACAGGCCTTTCAAATTTGGCATTTCACTGGTACAATACAACAACCAAGATATATAATAACTGTACAGTGCCTAGACATTCCAGTAAGAACCATTATTTTCTTTAATGTAGAATGATTAATACATATTCTACAAGGGGCAGTAAGGTTAGTAATTCTATAGGGTATGTCCCGACATAATTTTCAAATTGTACAATAACACAAACAACTTTGTTAAGGCCATGTTTTATTTGCTGATTAATGGACAAAAGGCAATGTAATTTATTTTCAAGTATTTTCTTGAAAGTCTGTGCTCATAAAAATCATGAAAAGTTGGAAAGACTGTTAAATCACTGAAACTTCAAATATATCTTACACAATCTTGTTTGTACAAAAATACAAGTTAAATATAAACATAAAGCAATCATGGTAATTTTATGCAAATCTGTTTTATGTGATCATCAGTTATATATAAAAGTTTCTCAGTTCTGTTATTTGTGAAAAGATCAATACCAGATTGAATGACTACCTATTGGCAAAGGGCCCTAAAAAGCTTACTTTAGCACTCATCTTTTACATGGTTAAATGCATTTCCTAATTTGAGATCACCTAAACACTGGAAAAGAAAAAAAATGAAAGGGCAGTATGTCCATAAACCAACAAATAATTTGGCTGTAATGTATCATAAAACACAAACCCCACACATCTGTACAATAAACATTATGTATTACATACACACAACACACACCCAGTCATAAAGCCTAATGATGTGCTGCTTCCAGTTCAATATTCAGCTGTGCATTTTTTCTTATTTCATCAAATGAATAGCTTTTTGTCACCTTGCCATTCTTGAAGACAGTATGGAGAAGATCCTGCATAAATGGAAATTTCATGATTATATTACATTATTAAGCAAAATACCTGAATCCTGGTTTGATGAATTAGACTAACCAACCAGTCAAATACAGAGATGCCAATGGTGTTCAAATTGTGAGATGATTTGATGCATAAAAAATGCTAGTGGAACAAGGTACTATCTAAAATGGCCAATCACTGAGTTGCCTGGTATGTAGAAATATTTAACTTCTATGAAAAGGAATGACCTTAATACTACATTCTTAAACCAGTTTTCTTAAAGGAAAACCAAGAAACCTAGCTGACCAATCTTTTTTTTCCTCAGGCTGAAGGAAGATGCCTGGGTGCCTAGGGAGAACTGTAATCATTGTGAGTGTGCAGCAAAAAAGCCTGGTAAACCCTGCCTTGTTCCTGGCCAACAAACTCAACAGTGATTAAACTTATCAAATGGAAGTTTAAGAAATTTGCTAGTGCTAAATTTGGGTCTAGAAAACCCACAAAAAGCCAAAAGCCAATCCCAAAACAGAAACAAAGAAAAACAAGTATTGCATTCTTGACTAACACACAGTGACTGGGTTAAAGATTCTGTTTATACTCCAAAAGTCAATGACAAAGGTAATCCACTTCATCCATACAAGAGTAGCAAAGACAGATTGAAGAAATTAAATTCCCTTTGGGTCTGGTAGAGCCACTCCTGTCTCACTAAGGAGTTACCTGCTTCTGGTTTCTCTCTGAAAAATCCACAGAAGTAATCTCAATTTTCCACCTAGTCTGAAGATTGAGGTGCATATGACATTATCTAATATTTCTGTCATTGTGTTGCTTCAAACCACAGTGCTTTAGCTGTAGCATTTTCTTTCACAAATTTAAATTTAAGGGAATACTAGTTCCTACTCTTAAATCAAATTGCCTAGATGATTATGAATTATTTTCTAGTTTATTCTACTATCATTCACATACTCTTAAATCAGTGTCTTTTAAAAATCACACTTAGATTTTTACTTTTAGTTTGAAGTGACTTTAGCTCATCTAGGATAAACTAAATCTGCCAAAATCTTAGTAGGTACAAGAGTTACACAAAGCTTACTCAAATAATTGCCTAACAGGCTATATAAAGGGATCTAATTCTAAAAGTTTGATTTACAAACATATTTTTTCATTAACGGTAACAAAGTTATTTCAATTCTGGCTCAAAACCTTAATAAATGTAAAAGTAACATGTTATAAGCAGTAATTGTGATGTAGTATAAAGAATCAAAATAGGAAGTAATAGTGCACTCATGTTTAGTGTACTTTTTTCTAATAATATGAATATTCATGAATAGTTCTGTCTAAAGTTTTTTTTGATCAAGTGGCTTAAAAACCAAAAATTTTTTAACTTGAGTTCACAAATATAAATGTACTTTTGTATGCTAAAGACCATTAGATCATATGAACTACTTTAGTGTACTGTAAATTTTTCTAGTTTGGTTGATTTGAATCAGAAAACTTGGTTAAATCAAGGTTTCACCATTTATTATGTAATCCAAATCAAGTCACCTTGTTTTCACATTTTATATTAAAGTAACATAGTTTGCTTTTGGATAAAGTGTATACAAACTTGCTGTCAATCACTATACTTACGTAATATTTCTCCCTATGTATACACAGGCCCCGTGTTTATGACGTAGACACTTGTTTTGTATCTTATTTTGGTAGGCCAGGTCAGCAATTGGACATTTTATAATAAAATATAATACTTTGTCTTCCACAAAAACAATAACATAAAAACCTCCTTTCTTATTAATTTGGTGAGCCAACCTACTATTGCTTAAAAAAACCAATCAGCATAGATACATACCTGACCATATTCCTCAAGGTCTCCTTTTCCTTCCTCCAGTGTAACAAAATTCCCTGCTGGCGTCCTATGTAAAGATAATCGGCCCTTTTTGGACCTTTTGTTGGGATCAGCAACTGGGTCCTTGAAGACGTTAATCTGAAATCCAAATTAAGAAAGTTAGACAAGTAGAAGACTAATCATCAGAAATGTCTAAACACTCCCTTACAAAAAAGCACATACATAATTTACATTTAAGTTTTAAGCACTTAATAGGTATAACTGAACCAATCCACATCTGGCTTTCAGAAACATAACACTTTAGCCTGTTTTGAAGGATAGTCGTTTGTAATAAAGAAAAAGTATGACATCTTGGATATCCTTTTTGCCACTGAAGAACACCTAATACTCCATTTGTAGGAAGTCTGTGAGCATTCTAACATGTGACCCTTAAGGTATCTCTTTATATTACAAACTGCCTTTAAACTGACAGTAAGCACAGCATGTACATGCTGTTGAAGAAAAGCCCAACTATACCAACTACGCCAAAACCACACACACAATCTTTGGAGAGGGAACAAGAGTATTACTAAGGTAAAGGCTTTCCTATTTCATAACGTATCCCTCTTTTGGTACTTTTTACTTTTGCCTTGTTATTGTCAGAAGCAAAAGTCTTAGAGAACCTGAAGACAGCAGAGTGTTTCTACATCAGAAAGGTAGGCAGCAAAGAAACAGAAACAAGTGGCAGTGGAACAAGCAGCAACAAATGAGTCAATCCCAGAACTTTCCAAAGAAAGATCAAAGAGTGAAGCAGGGAATCAACTCAGGTGTTCTTAATTCTTAGCATCCTCCTGCCTCTGTCCCTTGCTCTATAGAATCTCCAGCTCTCAAGACGTTACAAAGAAGCAAGGGGGGTTGTTGTTCACTTGCCTAGCTGTTCTATGGCTACTAGAACATGACTGTGGTATAACAATCCAAACCTCATATTCTACCTTCCTGTAACAGTTTGGTCAGTGATTATATACTTGCTTGTCTTTAATATATGATGGCTAGGTAAGCTGACATTCCTACTCAAATATTACTTTTTGATCTAAAGGTAAAAACGGCAGTGGGAAATGACTGACCTGTATTATCTCTCTTAAATAATCTTTTTCCTTATTGTTCTTCCTTTTTCCAAATCTCTGTCTCCTTAGGTCTGTTATTACCTAATATCTCCCTTCTTTCCTTGTTTCTGAGTTAAGGTCAGTAGTACCCAACAACATATTAACAGTCCACGGCCACATCAATCTTTGACAAATGCACTCAATAACCACATTCTACCTAGATACATAAGGAAGGTAGTAACACAGAAGTAATTAAAAGGTGACATACCCCAAGGCCATTAGTTACAACATAGCTACACTTGAAGGAACAATTCAAGAGATCTCTTGTCAACTTCTGTAGCAAACCTCCACCAGAACCGAAGGCAATATTTTCAATACTCCACATTTTTTGTTTCATGCCTTCTACAATCTAGAAGATTAAAACAAAACAAAACCAAACCAAACCTTAATTTGGAAGAGAATGGAGATTATTTTCAAGGGACAATATTGATGAATGAAGCATCCAAGACTGTTTTATAACACGGTCAATAAATAATTATAGCCCGCATTTTGTTTTTAAAGACCCACCCACCCCCAAAAGATGGATATGTGTGGAAGGAGAGGATTTCATGCATAGTTCCTGAATCTGCATTGCTGTCACTGTGGTTCTGGTAGGATTCGGGGAGTGAAGGAAATGAGAGAAAGTGAGAAAAAACTAGCTATAAATATCTAAGATTACTTGAGTCAACTTCTCTCATTCACCTCGTTAAGTTATTGTCCAGATCTCAGCAACACAAGCAATGGGAGCCAATTTACTAGACTCTAGGAATGACTGTAATCATCACCAATAAGTCACAATACACTGTATAATTACATGTCATATGTAATGGAACATGTAAGAATCAAAGATATTGGTGGCAAAAGAGTATAAAATACTTCTCCTATATAACAGTTGGTATACTGGTAGAGTCATTTTATTCTGGCTGATATACCAGTGCCAGAAACAAAATTATGCACAGGTGCTGTGGGTGTTAAGATTACTGTATCATTTTTGGGAGAATGATTAGTTATAAACCAGCTAGAGAGACCTGTATGAACAGTTCTAAAAGAGTTCTTTCAAGGGACATACAACTTTAAAGATGTGTTTATTACCAATGTCATTTGTATTTCTTTCACCAAAGTCAAGTTTATTTACCTAGCATCTGCCTTAATATATTCAATCACTTTGATGATAGAATGTGGCAAGTGAAGTTTGGTAACCATTTATTTCATGAGAATAGTCAAACAGAAAGCAACTGGAAAGGCTGACTCTGTTTTAAACAGAACTTTCAGAAGTTATTAGAAAATCATAAGTGTAACAGCCTTATGTGTATCAAAGTTACCACATTCTCACCAAATAGTCTCAAATTGACTTTTTTAATAGTCTCGAATTGACTTTCTTTGTTTTCAACACTGCAAAGGAAAAAACCCAACAAATCCCAAGCAACTTCATTTTTAAACAAATCTACATTTAGAAATGCAACTTTCTTTTTAAATGCCAACCATCTAATTTGAATCAAGATGAATCTAGAAGAATCAAGATGAAAACATATAAAACTTATTTAAAAGTGATTCTTTTAGGATGCACGCAAATCCAGTCTCATGTCTTTATTGTACCTGAACCTAAAGGTACCCAAGGCCCCTGAGTTCAGGTTTTCCTTTAAATAATTGTGAACAAAGTGAATTTCAATACAGAAGAAATGCAAAGAGTAGAACAGAAAAGGGGAAGAAAAGGGAAACAGGTAGATGGAGGGTAAGGTAAAATATAGAGAAAATAGTTTCTGACCTGTCACCTCATTTTAGATATGCTTCAGAGGCAAAAACAAAATGAGGAAATAACAAAGAACAGTATCATCTAATATCATATCACTGTATTTCAGGCCAAGTTTCTTTACCAAAAGTTTTAAAATTTAGACAATTTGGAGTTAAAGTGAATTTTGAGTCTGGGAAGAAAAACATTTAATACATGTGAGACTTCAAAGAAAGCTTCCTCTTGCCAACTCTGATAATGCAATACTATGTTAATATTTTAATAAATCACTCCAATAGAAGTTTCAATGATACCCAAGAAGACTGAATCCATAACTGAAACACAACAGAAAAAGAAGATAGGCGCTCTGTATTTTGTCCAACACAAAAGATATTTTTATTTTCCTAAATAAGCAGTTTCATTTTGGTACACAGTGCAAAGTGAAAACTTAGAGCAGGTTTACACTGTCAACCTCATGGGAATTCACAGGGGTGACAGGCTGAATAGCAAAGTCCAAGAGTGAGGCTGACGTCAAGGAAGAAAACAATTGTTGCAAATAAAGCAGATTTTTCATTTTATCAAAATTACAGCATCTAATTTAGTATACAAAGCAAAACTGAATTCTTTTTCCTGCTTCTAAGAACATATTTTTCATACCAATGAATGTAAAGAAATTACAAGTACAGATGGTCACAAACATACAATGGTTCAACTTAACAACGGTGCAAAAGTGATTCGCATTCAGTGGAACATCAATAAATTACTTGAGATATTCAACACTTTACTATAAAATAGGTTTTGTGTTAGATGACTGCTCAACTGTAGGCTACTAAGTGTTCTGAGCACCTGTAGGGTAAGGGAGGCTAAACTACGAGGTCTAGTAGGTTAGGTATAATAAATGCATTTTCCACTTAAC